>NC_000007.14:127506779-128131779 GCF_000001405.40 Homo sapiens | reverse complement strand
GTCATCGTCTCTCTCTCTCTCTCTTTCTCCCTGCCCCTGCTTCTCTCAGTATAGGCTCATGGATTCCACTTTATTTACTGGGTTATAATCTGTTATTGTTATTTAATTTGATGCTCAAATATTCCCACATTTGGCATGTGAGAGCCCTATGAGAGCCCATTCAGGCGCTCTGGCTCTCTATGTCCCTGAGCCCTTCCCTACTTTCTGGTACAAGATATTCCAGACTTACCCTGTACTGTTTCTGGTTTAGCCTCAGAATCAGCCATTTCTCTAGGAACCTGGTTCCTTTTAGGGGGCAGTGGTGTTTAGGGGCCAAGACCTGAGTGCTCAGCATGCTCCTTGCATTGGATGGTGCTGCTCCCAGGCCCTCTCAGTGGAGAGTGAGAACATTTCTCTCTCTCCACAGATTTTCATCTCGATTTCTCTATCTATCTATCTATCTATCTATCTATCTATCTATCTATCTATCTATCTATCTTCTCTGTGTGTGTG
Organism: Homo sapiens; assembly: GCF_000001405.40. NCBI lineage: Eukaryota > Metazoa > Chordata > Mammalia > Primates > Hominidae > Homo > Homo sapiens. The sequence continues at coordinate 128,131,287 of NC_000007.14, read as the reverse complement.
TGTGTGTGTGTGTGTGTGTGTGTCTGTGTGTGTGTGTGTAGCCATTAGTTTATACTGCTGCGTCCAATTCCAGTTTAACATTGTAGAATTCTCTCTAATTTTCCACTGTTGGTATTTATAACTCTTTTTTTCCCACCAGTGAGAAGCACAACCCCTACTCTCCTCACTATACTAGCTTTTTGACCAATCTCCGTCTGTGACCAATCTACTGATGCTGCCATCGCACACAAACACAGATGCCCTCTTTACCCACTCATGCTCCAACACCCAGTACCAGGCTGCCCCACCCAACTCCTAGCCATAGGTACCTGCCTGAACCAGCCCTACCCAGTGGCTTTTGGACTGAATAATTCAGGGAGAAAAGGAGGAAGGAGGGAAGGGAAGAGGAGGGGAGGCAGAAGGGGAAGATTCATTTTTTTCTTGAATCCCCTCAAATCAGGAAACAATACAAGTTCACCAACCACTTTCCCACGGCCCATTCTCCCAGTCCTGCCTCCTTGTCCTGCAGCAGCCCTGGGTGCAGCTGTCTACCCTCCCCTGCTGTGTCTACTCTGCTGGCTGTTCCTTCTAAGTCTTCTGTGCTGGATCCTCCTCATCTTCATAACCTTGAGGTACTGAAAAGCTCCAGGACTCATGCTCAGACCTCTTCTCCTCTCTCTCCTACCTCACTTTCGAAGTGACCTCTTCCAGTCCAGGGATTTAAATATCATATGCTGAGGACTTCTGAATTATCTCCAGCCCTAACCTCCACCCTGACTCCAGACTCAAACATCCAATTGCCTTCTCTAATTGCATGTCTAATAGGTAACCCAAAGTTAACATATCCAAAACCAAACTCCACTTTTTCTCTCAAAGCTGCTCCTTCCCCAGTGTTTCCCATTAAAGAAAATGACAGCTTCTTCCATCTAGTGTCCCAATTGCTTGATTTCTCTCTCTAAATCTTATATCTAATTCAATGGCATATTCTTGCAGTCATACCTTCAAAACACATCCCCAAATCACTACTTCTCACAATATTCATCATTACCCTCCAGTCCAAGCAACCACATTTTCCTAGGGCATCTGTGAGAGTCTCCTACCCGGCCTCCCTGGTTTCTCTCTTGCTCCCAAATGCTCCATTCACCACATAGCAGCCAGAATGATCCTGTTAAAATGTAAATCCCACTTCCAGTTCCCATAATAGAAATGACAAAAATCATTTCAGAACTTAAGACTCAAGGACAAAGAATACAAAGGAGAACAGACACCCTTAAATGAGAAAATAAAACAAATAAAGTGGTTTTTTAAACTAGAGAGAAAATGACAGATGTATAAGATAGGCAAACATTGCATAATTATAATCCCCAGAGGAGAAAACCGAAACAATGAGACTGAAAAAGATATTTAAAATATAATTGAAAAAAAACTTCCTGAAATAAGAGAAGACTTGAATCTAGATATTGAAAAGACAAGTTGAGTCAACACAGTTAGAAACATATCCTGGGATGTCTCCCAGTACCAGAAGGAGCTTCAGGACCAGAGGTGGATTCTGGGAGGGAAAGACCCAGGAACCCCTGACCGGAGATTGGTTGAAGCTGCCAGAATGCGAGTGCACACATGCGCGCACACACATGCGCACACACACATGCACACACACACACACACACAGCACTTTGGGTCAGGCAGCAAGAATTTGGGTATTTGTCTCAGGGGAGATGTATTAGTCCATTTTCACACTGGTATAAAGAACTTCCCTGAGACTACGTAATTCATAAAGGAAAGAGGTTTAATTGACTCACAGTTCCATATGGCTCGGGAGGCCTCAGGAAACTTACAATCATGGCGGAAGGCAAAGGGGAAGCAAGCAGCTTTTTCACAAGGTGGCAGGAGACACAGCAAAGGAGGAAGAGCCTCTTATAAAACCACCAGATCTCGTGGGAACTCACTCGCTCTTATGAGAACAGCACGGAAGAAACTGCCCCCATGATCCAATCATCAGATCCTCCCACTAGGACCCTTCCTCAACACCTGGGGATTACAATTCGAGATGAGGTTTGGGTGGGGACACAAAGCCAAACCATATCAGGAGACAATGCATATGAGAGCTTAGGTAGAAAATAGGTCCATTCCACAGCCCTACAAGTTGAGAGGAACAGGGGACCTACAAAAACATAAGTGAGATTGATGCAATTAGGTCTATTCAAAAGAAAGCCGGAATTAGCAATGTTAATATCAACAAAAATGGATTTCAAGATGGCAAGAATTACAACCTCTAAATAACTTTTGTTAAGAAAAAGGTAAAAATGAAAATTATAAATGATTTATAACTGAATAAAAATGAGAGCACTACATAACTTATAGGAGGTAGCCAAAGTTGTACTCAGAGAAAAAGTTATTACCTTCAGGCTATGTGCATAAGGTGTATATGAAAAAAAATGAATTTCATATTTAGACTTGGGTCCCATCCCCAAGATAGCTCCTTTTGTGTATGCAGATATTCCAAAATCCAAAAACGTCTGAAATCAGAAACACTTCGGGTCCCAAGCATTTTGGATAAATGATATTCAACCTGTACCTACAAAATCTTAAGTGAGATTGATACAATTAGATCTATTCAAAAGAAAGCCAGAATTAGCAATGTTAATATCAACCAAAATGGATTTTAAGATGGCAAGAATTACAATCTCTAAATAACTTTTGTTAAGAAAAAGGCAAAAATGAAAATTGTAAATGATTTATAACTGAATAAAAATGAGAGCACTACATAACTTGCAGGAGGTAGCCAAAATTGTACTCAGAGAGAAAGTTAGTCTTAATACATTTATGAGAAAATCAGAAAGACTGAAAAGAAATAAGCTGTGCTTTTAAATTAAGAAGCTAGAAAAAGAACAACGTAATGAAAAAAGTAGAAAGAATAATGATAAAAGCAAGATTTAAGGAAAGAAAAACAGTAGAAGAGTTGCTGAACAAAAATAAAACATGGTTCTTTAAAACATTATCAATGCAGACAAACCTTGGATAAGTAAAATAAAGAGAAAAATGAGAAGGCTGAACAAACAGCATCGGGAATCAAAAATGATTATATCCACAGACAAAAGTGACTAGTAAAATATAAAGAATCTATAATTTTCTACTAATAAATGTGAAAACCTACACAAAAATAAATTTAAAAATAGACTCAAGAAGAAGTAAAATACCTGAATAAGCTAAGAAACATGGAAAAATCCGAAATTGTGGTCAGTGACCAAATTCGAAAAGTACCTGCAATAGACAGACTGCTTTTGTCTCTCCGAAAATTCGTATGTTGAAATCTGAACCCCCAACATGATGGTATTAAGAGGGGGACCTGGGCCAGGTGCAGTGGCTCACACCTGTAATCCCAGCACTTTGGGAGGCTGACTCAGGTGGATCACCTGAGGTCAGGAGTTCAAGACTAGCCTGATCAACATGGATAAACCCCGTCTCTACTAAAAATACAAAATTAGCTGGGCATGGTGGCACATGCCTGTAATCCTAGCTACTCAGGAGGCTGAGGCAGGAGAATCACTTGAACCTGGGGGGCGGAGGTTGCAGTGAGCCAGATCACACCATTGCACTCCAGCCTGGCAACAAGAGCAAAACTCCGTCTCAAAAAAGAAAAAAAAAAAAAAAAAAAAAAAGAAGGGGGCCTTTGGGAAGTAATTAAGTCACAGGAGTGGAGCTCTCATGAATGGCATTAGATATCCCAGAGAACTAGCTTCTTCCGTCCACCATGTGAGAAGCTAGTTTGCTTCTATTCCACCTCATAGAAGGTGCTATTTATGAGGAAGCAGACCCTTCATCTACTGGTGCCTCGATCTTGGACTTCCCAGCCTCTAGAATGATGAGAAATAAATTTCTGTTGTTTATAAGCTACCCAGTTTATGGTATTTTATAATAGCTGCCCAACTAAGACAGTACCAGACCCAGAGGGTATATTAAGGTGAGTTCTATGAAGCTTTTTTATTTATTTATTTATCTATTGATTTATTTTAGATTAAAAAAATATTTTTAGAGATGGGTTCTTGCTTTGTTGCCCAGAGTGGGATTGAACTCCTAGGCTCCAATGATTCTCCTGCCTCAGCCTCCCAAAGTGCTGGGATTACAGGTGTGAGCCACCACACCTGGCCTATTTATTTATTTTAGAGGCAGGGTCTTGCTCTGTTGCCCAGGCTGGTCTTGAACTCCCGGCCCCTCAAGCAATCCTCCTGCCTTGGTCTCTCAAAGTGTTGCAATCATAGTTGTGAGCCACTATGCCTGGCCCCAACTTTTAAATTATTACATAATACTCATTTTGGATAAACTTCCAGTTTATACAGAAAAGAGATGGGAAAGTCTTAATCTAATTTTCTGATAATAGGATCACTGTGATCCTGAAAGTCGACATGGACAGCACAAGAGGGAAAACTACAGCCACTTCCACTTATACACACAAATACAGAATTACTAATCAATCAATGACCAAGTAGGGTTGTTCCAGAAGAATATGCAAGAAAAGAGTTGAATAAATAGAAACGATACCATGTTCATGGATGGGAAGGCTCCATTATAGGTCTTGTACATTTTTTATTAGGTTCTTTTTCGAGTTTATATTGCTGTTAAGATGCTGTGCCCGGCCGGGCGCGGTGGCTCACGCCTGTAGTCCCAGCACTTTGGGAGGCCGAGGCGGGCGGATCACGAGGTCAGGAGATCGAGACCATCCTGGCTAACAAGGTGAAACCCCGTCTCTACTAAAAATACAAAAAAAATTAGCCGGGCGTGGTAGCGGGCGCCTGTAGTCCCAGCTACTCGGGAGGCTGAGGCAGGAGAATGGCGTGAACCCGGGAGGCGGAGCTTGCAGTGAGCCGAGATCGCGCCACTGCACTCCAGCCTGGGCGACAGAGCGAGACTCCGTCTCAAAAAAAAAAAAAAAAAAAGATGCTGTGCCCAGTATATATTGGGTCCAAGAAGATAAAAGCCAAATACTGACAAAAGTAGAGAAAAAAGAAAGAAGCTCAGTTTCTTGTGGACACCATGGGGTCTCTGCATTAGCTCTGGTCTGCATCCCTTTGGATTTACCTGTTATGCAAAATTTAAAATCCTATTATATTAAGTATCTGTTTGCCTCTGTTACTAAAAGCTGATACAAAGCCCAATAAAACTTTCAATAAGATTTTTCATGACACTTGACACACAAATTCTGAAATTCTTACTGAAGAATAACACACCGACATTCCAGGAAGTGAAAGAGGGAAATTGGGAAAAGGAAGGGGCAGTGCCTATAGCAGAAAAACTTTCCCAGAAATTCCCCCATAGACTTCTTGCTTTTTCTAGGCCAGAGCTAGGTCACATGGGAGTCCCTAGCTTCAAAGGAGACTAGGAAATGTAGTTATTTCTGAGACATTATTGCCACAAAAGTATACTCCAGATGAATTAAAGATCTAAATGTAAAAAAGAAGCACTTTAAAATTATTAGAATAAATTAAGAAGACCATCTTTTTTCACTTTGGGGTAGAGAGGGCTTATTTATTTATTTATTTATTTATTTTTGAGATGGAGTCTCACTTTGTCACCCAGGCTGGAGTGCAGTGGTGTGATCTTGGCTCACTGCAACCTCTGCCTCCCAGGTTCAAGCAATTCTCCTGCCTCAGCCTCCTGAGTAGCTAGGATTACAGAAATGTTCCACACCAAGCTAATTTTTGCATTTTTAGTAGCTTTCACCACGTTGGTCAGGCTGGTCTTGAACTCCTGACCTAAGGTGATCCGCCTGCCTGGTTCTCCCAAAGTGCTGGGATTACAGGAGTAAGCCACTGTGCCCAGCCAAGAGGGCGTATTTAAACAAGACACAAAGTCTAAAAATCATAAAGAAAATTTTACAAATCAAAATTAAAAATTTGTACAAGGTACAAAATACTATAAACACATTTAAAAGGCAATCAACATTGCCTTTTAACTGGTGACTGGTGACAAACATTTTAAGTGTACAGAAAAGGAATTGAAATTCATCATTTGTAGAGCATTTACAAATCAATAGGAAAAAGAAAAATGACCCAAGAGAAAAGAAATGAGCAGGATATTAATGTGTAATTCACAAAAGAGAAAATATAAATGGCCAATAAACACATGAAAAGATGCTCAACCCCAAGAGTGATGAAGAAAATGCAAATCAAAACTCCTAGGAGATACTATTTTTAATCATCAGCTTGACAAAAAATACTTTATTAACATCAAGTGCTACTGAGGCGTGTGGAAATGAGCATGCTCATATAACCGCTGGGGGAAGGGTGTGAATCTTAGCCACTCTTGAGAGTGATTTGATCGTATCTACTCAAAGCAGAAAATGTGCATTTCCTATAACCTAGTGATTATGCTTCTGTGTGTCAGCACTAAATAAATACTCACACGTGTATGGGGAACCATGCCCAGGAATGATCATTGAAGTATTTTTGAAATAGCAAAGTTGTGGAATGGATAAGCAAAATGTGATATATTTTTAGGACAGAAGACTCTGCTGCACCTCATTCCAAAAGGAATGGACCTGGTTTAAATCTATCTAAAATCTTCAAATCTAAGATGTAAAAAAAAAAAAAAAAAAAAAAAAAAAAAAATCGTTAAGTAAAAAAAAAACAGTTGCAGAATATGCATACCATTTATATTATTTAAAAAACACATACCCCAAACAATACTATCTATTTTCTGTGGGTATATCTAATGAATTTCAAAAAATTTTTTAATCTCTTGGATCCACACCAAAATCATAATAGTGGTCTACCTCTGGAGATAGGAGAGGGGCAAAACTGTTGGGTTAATGGAGACTTTAGATTTATTTTTGATAATTTTAAAGGTGAATAGATTCAAGTATTGATATATTAACTTGTAATTGAAATGAATTCAAACTTCAAATCATAAAAAACATAAATTTATATCAGGCTAATTTATATATTGTCCATAGTTTGTTGTGAATAATTGTGTTTGGTTAATAGCAAACCATATAGCGGTCTCATTCCTGTAGTTTTCAGTGAATCCTTTTGCTGTCTTCATAAAAGGCTCCTTCCAGCTCTCCCTTCATGGAAAGTCTGGATCTTTCTGATCCCAGAGTAGGAAGAGCTATGAAGCGTGATCTTTAGAGAAGTGTGATGTGATAAGGCATGTTCTAAGAGGCTCCACAGACTGGGCACGGTGGCTCATGCTTGTATTCCCAGCTCTTTGGGAGGCTGAGGTGGGAGGACCTCTTGAGCCCAGGAGTTTGAGGTGGCAGCGTGCTATAATTGCACCAGTGCACTTTAGCCTGGGTGATAGAGCAAGACCTTGTCTCAATCAATCAATCAATCAGTATTAGCTGGGCATGGTGGTGCTTTCCTGTAATCCTAGCTATTTGGAAAGCTGAGCCCAGGAGGCGGAGGCTGCAGTGAACCCTGATGGGGCCACTGCACTCCAGCCTGGATGACAGAGCCAGAGCAAGGCTACCCAGCCACTGGGGTGCCCTGCAGGAGCGCAGTTTCCTAAGCTCATGTAGCCCAGATGCTCTCTGTGAAAGAGAGCCAGAGACTGGAACCTGGGGCCGCTATGAGTGCTGCAGCTCATTTCCTGCCTCCCTGGGGTGGGCTCCGTCAGGTGACCCTGGGGCTCAGCACAGGTTGACCTGCCCTCTGCCAACCCTCTCACATCTCCCCCTTAAGTGGGGCCCTGAGGGAATCAGTATCTCTGCGCTCTCCCGCAGCCCAGCCCTGGGCCTCCTATCCCTCTGTGAGCCCATCCCTGGCAGTCTTAATTAACTTCCAGAGACACAGAGACACGCAATAGCCTTGGGTGACGGGAGCTATAAAATTGCATAGTCTGATTAAAAATAATAATGAGAATACCTACTGCCCATTAGCCTGTGCCTGAGCCCTTAACAAGGGTTAGTTAATTAATCAGCCGGCTTGCAGCCTGAGGAGCGGCAAAGGTTACTGGTGCTCTTTTAGAAGAGGGGCCAGAGGTCAGTGACAAGGGGCTGGTGCTGCGAGGAAGGGCTTTCCGTGACCTACTCTGGCCTTTCATAGCTGCTGGGTCACCAGAAGAGAGAAATAAGCCCTCTAAGCTGGCCATCGCTGTCTGTGTGACTTCGAGAGGTAGCTCCCCCTTCCTGGCCTCAGTTTCCTCATCAGTAAAATGCAGAGATTGGAATGACTGTTCTCCAGGGCTTCTTCCAGCCCCGATGTTGGGGACAACCCAGGTGGCTAGAGAGCCACATCTACTGCATCTGCCGCCACCTCCTTAGAAAGCAGGGCAGGTCCGGGATCTTCTTCAAGAATAGGAGGGTCAGCCCCTGACCCTGACCTTGGCCCTGCCCCGCAGTGAGACCCTGGGTGGGTAAACACGCCAGGCCACCTCTGCCCCTTGATGGCCTTGTTTGTTTGTTTCTTAAATTGTGGTACAAGATATGTAATGTAAAATGTGCCATCTCAACCACTTCCAAGCGTGCAGTTCCCGTGGCATTAAGTAATTCATGTTGTGCAACCATCACCACCCTCCACCTCCACAACTGTTTTTCATCTTGCAAAACTGAAACTCTACACCTGTTAAACACTACGTCCCCGTTCCTCTCCAGACCCCGGCCCCTGGCAAGCACAATTCTACTTTCCTTGTCTGTGAATTTCACTAATCTAAGCACCTCATCTGAGTGGAATCCCACAGTGTTTGTTCTTTTGTGACCAGCTTATTTCACTTAGCACACTGTCCTCAAGGTTCACACACGTTGTTGTAAATTTGGGATTTTCCTACCTTCTAGGGAGTCCAGCCTGGGAGCCGGCCGGGGGGTGGGGGGGGCATTGGGGGGGACGGGGTGTGGGGGAGAAGGGCAGACAGACCCTGTGGTTCATTCTTACCCAGGGGCTGTCAGGCCTCATGCCAGGGCCTCCCGGAAGATCCAGGATAAAGGGGCACAGCCTCCAGGCATGTCGGTTTTACTCACTGGTAAATAGTGTCAAACATTACACATTAAAATCAACATGAATACATTACCGAGCAGAAGGCAGCGTGCACATGAATTTAAAAACTGGGACTTGAAAGAATTCTGTGCTTGTGGCGAATTTTCTTCTTTGAACCCTGGGGGAATTGGATGGGAAGCTGAAGGAAGTACAGCCCATGAGCCCCAGCCTGCCCTGGAATCTGGTTTGTTTTGGCCTGAAGTGTGCAGGGCAGGGCAGGTTAGGAGAGACGGGGCAGCCAGGGCGGCTGGGACTCCCACCTCCCCCAACTATAATTTATGCCTTAGAAGCCTAAGGGGTCACGATCATTGTGAACCTAGTGGGTGCTCTAAGCCCCATGGCTGCCAATCAGGGTTGCACCTCCTTAAGCCAAAGGGCCCAGGGCTGGGGATTGCCAGTAGCGCGGTCATGCCTCACCGTACCAGCGGCTTCATGGTGGAAGCAGGAAGCGTGGAGAGGCGGAGGTGGGAGCAGCCAGCTTAAGCCTCCGGCTGCCTGTGCTCTCCACTATTTCCTCCCTGAGCTAGGAGAAGTTGCCAAAGGCAGTTGCCTCCCCAGGGCCACCCCACACTCTGGCGTCTGGGGGAGCCGCCAGGAAGTGCCAGAATCCACCGCCAAAGCCCTCTCCTCTGCAGCCAGAAACGCTGCACAATAATTTGGCCTGAGAGATGAGCACCGGAAAGTTGCCATTTAATTTAATTTATTCCAATTTAACTTTAATTTCAGTGAGTCCACATTTGCTCCCCAAGCTATCTTTTCGCTCCCGAGGTTGTTAAATTATTGTAGCTCGTGAAGAAAGGGAAGATGGAAAATGGTAAGAGCCTCAAGGAGCCAGCCCAGCCCTGAGGCCCCCGTGTGTCCTGTATGTTCCCTCGGGGACTCTCAAGGCCAGATTTACTGGGGGAGGGGGGCTGGGCACGGCCACCTCTGATGCACCCAGAGCCCTCATCACCCACCCCAGAGTGAAAAGGGTATAATATTAACAATTAACCTAGCATCTGCTATGTGCCAAGATGCCTTACCTTGGTAGCAGGCGTTATTCCTATCTCTCAGAAGAGCCACCTGAGGCTCTGAGGCCAAGGATACACAGCCTCTAATGGAAGCGGGTGTGAAAAACCCCATCTGGCTGCAGTAAGGAGGGTGCAGCTGGGGCTGGGCTCAGCAAGGAATCCGAAGGGCCATGGCACTTGTGTCCCAGAACCCTCTCCCAGCCAGAGGGGCAGTCAGGGCTAGGGCCCTCCAGAGCCTCTGCCTGAATCCCAAACAACAGTTCTGGAAAGGGACCCGCATCAGAAAGGACCACAGAGGGAGCACCCTGGATTTGCACATCAGCTCTATTACCAGCTGGCTGTGTGTCCTTGGGCATAGGAATTACTGTCTCTGAACCTTGGTTCTCAAATTGCAAAATGGAATAATAATCATCATACTTCAAAGGGTTTCACAGGTGAACTGGCCCCTCAATATTAAATAAATGCCAAGAGGCTGTCCAAGAAAGACTGGACTTAAAATGTGGGAATATTGGAAAGATTGTTCTTTCTGGATTAAAAGCAACTCCTTCCTTGAAGGGCAGAAATCTGGATTTGTCTCTGGGACCAACTTTCCCTTTGTTCTGAGATGGAGCCCCCTGGGAAGCCATTTCGTTGTTTGGTGTGAGAGAAGGACCTTGCTGGAGTCTGGGTAGGTGGACGCCTACCCACCCAAGAGCCTAACCCAAAGGTGGAAGCTTGGCCTCTGCTGACTGATCCTCCCTTTACTCATTTTGGGAAAAACTTTCCCTTGCAGAGGCAGAGATTATTTTTTAAAAAAATCTAAAACCCAGAAGATATGTTTGTTTTTGCACAAAACCTCATGCTATTTGCACTGGCTGCTTCCCTGCCCAGAGCACCCTTCCCACATATTCCCATGCAGGTGCTCTCCTGCACCGCAAGACTTCGCTTAACATCGCCTTTTCACTAAAGCCTTCCCTGACCACCCTGTTTCAAATTGCAGCTCAACTCTGGGCCCCACAATCTCCACCCCTTTCCCTGGTATAGTCCTCCCCGGCCCACCCATGGTACTCGGCACCTTCCAATGCTATGGCATGTATTTATGTGGCGTCTTGTCGGTCTCCCTGACTTGGTGCAGGCTGCTATTAACAAAATACCATACACTGGGTGGCTTGTAACCCACAGAAATGTATTTATCACAGTTCTGGAAGCTGGAAGTCTGAGATCAGGTTCCCAGCACCTTCAGGTATGTGGGTGGCAGACTGCTGACTTTGTGGGCCCTCGTATGGTGGAAAGAGAGCGAGCTAGCCCTCTGGCCTCTTTTTTTTTTTTTTTTGGAGACAGAATCTCATTCTGTCGCCCAGGGTGGAGTGCAGTGGTGTGATCTTGGTTCACTGTAACCTCTGCCTCCCGGGTTCAAGCAATTCTCCTGCCTCAGCCTCCCAAGTAGCTGGGATTACAGGCGCCTGCCACCATGCCCAGCTAATTTTTGTATTTTTAGTAGAGACGGGGTTTCGCCATGTTGGCCAGGCTGGTCTCCACCTCCTGACCTCAGGTGATCCACCCCACTAGGCCTCCCAAGGTACTGAGATTACAGGCATGAGCCACCACACCAGCCTGGCCTCTTCTTAAAAGGGCACTAATCCCATGCATTAGGGCTCTCCCCTCATGACCTAATCACCTCCCAAAGGCATCCTCCAAATACCATCACCTTGGGGATTTTATTTCAACATATGAATTAGGAGGGGACACAAACATTCAGTTCATAACACTCCCCCACTAGAATGTAAAGGCCATGAGGGCAGGGATTTTGTCTGTTTTGTTTACTGCTGAATCACCAGATGCTAGAATGGTGTCTGGCACATAGTGGATGCTCAGTAAATGTCAGGTGACTGAATTAAACAGAAGCCTTTGCTCATAGGAGGCAATATGGTTGAGGAAGGGGTGAGGCAGGCCCTCTTTACCTTGCACTCAAGAAAAGACCTAGGTAAGAACTGGGATGGCCTTTGCACAGCACAGCGTGGGAAGGGTGGTTAGTGACACCATGCAGGAACGTGACTGCATAAACCAGGGCCTGGAAGGACATTGCTGGGCTGTGGGGACTCTTTTGTAGGACAGGGGCCAACCACACCCTACTGGAGTTCCCTTTAAAAGGCATGGCTATGGCTAGCCCCACAGGAAACGAGGCAGGCCCAGAGCTGAGAATGGGGAGGTCTTTGTTGAGCCTGGCTTGGCTCTGCTGGGAACACTTTCAGGTTGGCGAGCTGGTCTCTGGCCTGTGCCGCAAGCTGTGCTAGTAAGGGAGCTGGCCCTACCAAGCAGGTTGGGGTGTGTGGGCTACAAGGGTAGCCACTTCCAATGGCAGCTGGGAGGCCTGTCCTGGGTTTCAGAGGCAGGGCTAAAGGGGAAAGGAGTAGTCCCTGCCTGATGCTGGAGTGAGGTCCTCGGTCATGGCCACCAGCAGAGGCCTGGGTATCCAGAAGGAAGGTATCAAGAGGCTCCTGATAAAAGGGCAAGTTTGGCCTGATTTCCTCTCTCTTTCTCCCCATCTCTCTCCCCCCACATCTCTCTCCCCCATGTGATGCCTTCTGCCATGTTACAACAAAGCAAGAAGGCCCTCACCAGATGTGCCCCTTGGTCTTGGATGTGATGGAAGCCTCCAGATGAGTGAGCCAAGTAAACTTCTTTTCATTGTAAATTACCGCGTCTGTGGTATTCTGTTGTTGTAGCAGGAAATCCAGAAGAGTGGTGACTGGAAGGAGAGGCAAGAATATGTCAGAAGATGAAGTCTGGGTCAAACACCTGCAGCAGCCTTTCCCAGTGTCTCCATGTACTGTGTGCTGGCCAGATGGTTTAAGAATATTCGGTTCTGATGTAAAACATGACAGAAGCTACTTACAGAAGCAAATAGCTGGTGAAACATGCATAGTAAACACAGAGTATACAGAATATACGTACGTTGAACAGAGATTTAAAAAGAATGAAACAAGAGTATCACCGGCAGGTAGGAAGGGGGGAAGAAACGATAAGGCATCAAATATCCATGATGCACTCAACACCCACAGGGCACTCAACACACTCAATATTCATGAGATCTTAAATTGGCCACCCACGGGTGACACATTCTGGCTTCACGTGTCCTATGCCCAAGAAAATTAGTAAATTCATTACTTAAACATCCCAGATGCTAACTTCTATTAACTCTTACTGTGGAAAATGCTTTCTTTAATCTAAATAGAGCACCAAATGGATTTAAATCTTTAAAAAAGCTAATAGCTGTTCATCAGGCTAATTGGCAAGCCAGAGCTGCCCCTGCACCCCTCTGCTGCAGCAAGTGCGTGCATGCTCTGGGCATTTTCGTCTGCTGAACCCCTTTGCCTGCCTGGCTCTGGTCCTCACAGCCCCAGCACCAGTGACAAAGCTGATGCAGCAGAGAGGAACAGGTCATGGGAACGTCGTGCACCCAGGAGTCAGGGGTGTGTGTGCTCCATCCACCCCAGGGGCACCCTAGCCTGTGTGCTCACTCACCCTTGTTTCCTGCTCTGTGTTTTTAATTGGTTTAATAAGCCGTGTCATTTGAGAATCATCACTTCATCTATGAGCTTCCCTGTCTTGTGATCTCTGGGATGGCTGGCATACAGAGGCCACCATGGCATCGAGGTCATTTCCCACAGGACAATGAGACATGGAGTATCTTTGGGACACTCACGGATATACCTGGGTGCTACAATTTGAATGTCCCCCTCCAAAACTCATGTTGAAATTTCATTGCCATTGTGATGTATTGGGAGCTGGGGCCTTTAAGAGGTCATGAGGGCTCACTCTCGTGAATAGATTAATGCCATATCTCAGGAGTAGGCTTCTGATGAGAGGACAAGTTTAGCCTGATTGCCTCTCTCTTTCTCCCCAACTCTCTCCCCCATGTGATGCCTTCTGCCATGTTATCATGAAGCAAGAAGGCTCTCACCAGATGTGGCCCCTTGGTCTTGGATGTGGTGGAAGTCTCCAGATGAGTGAGCCAAATAAATTTCTTTTCACTGTATGTTACTGCGTCTGTGGTATTCTGTTGTAGTAGCGGGAAATAGACTAAGACACTGGAGGAAGGCATTGTGGGGACTCATGATAATTGGAACATGGAAGGAAGGGCTGCCTGTCTTGTGGGCATAGCCTGGTGTGGCAGATTACACACTCTGGGGATGGCTACAATGCTATCTCCCATTTCATCTGCTCTTTTTACAGTGTGACCTTGAGTCAATGTCCCCTCCCATCAAACCTGGGCGGCCCTTTGTGGCTGGCGAGGCCGGACGGTGGTGCTGGCCGAGGACATGGGGCGTGGTGCTCTGTGACATCCAAGGCTGGCTGCCAGACAGGAGTGAGTGGGCTTGGATGGTCCCAGGACACTGTGAGGTCGGGACACAGGCTGCAAGCACAGGCCTCAGGGGTCTGGCTTGGCCTGCTGCTGCCCTCCTGTCCTGCCTGGCCTTCCCCACCCCACACCAGCCACAGCTGTCAGGCGTGACAGGAGCCTGTGCCCTTGCCTTCGCAAGGCTGCATGGCCATGCTGGGTGGGACAGCTGTGCCCAGCCTTGCTGTCTGGGCTGCCCACCCACAGAAGGAACTTGCCCAGGTGGTTTGAAACCCTTCAAAAATGGCCCCTGAGGTTGTGTCTATTGGTCCTGACAAAGAGAGGCATTTTGGTGGGGGGTGTCCGTGGTAGGCAAGTGGCAGCCAAAACCTCGGCTCCCAGGCCTGGCCAGCAGCCCCTGCTGCACTTGGTTCCTCTCACCAGAAGCCTGGGCAATTCTGGTCAGGATGCGGCCCTCACTGCCCCATCCCCCACACTGCGAATTCCCCACATGCTTCCCTTCAAGCTTAGGGGCCGCGTGGCGAGAGGGCCGTCGCCCTGCGGGACAGCGGGCCCATCTGTTGATTCCTCTCCATCTGTCTCTCTAGGGTCCTTCTCTTCTCTGCCCTTCAACATCATTTTCAGAAGAGCATTTCCTCCGCCTCCGTGTCTAGCCCATCTCCCCTGGCCTGGCATCTGCTCTCAGCTCCAGGTGCCTCTGTTGGTGTTAGTCCATTTAGATTGCCTGGAGGTGTCTCTCTTTGTCTCCTTCCCAAGGCTCTCTTAGTCTTGCCTCTAATGCTCCCACCTCCAGTCACTCCGGGGGAATCTACTGAGCACCTAGCAACAGGCCTCAACACTCACCAGCTGTGTGGCCTTGGGCAAGCTACTCAACCTGTCTGTTCAGATGCCCCACTCTCCTCGCCTGACAGTCTTCCAGCCCAGATGTTCTGCCATCATCCTATCTCCTCCTGCATTTGCAGAGAGGGGCAGGAGTCCAGGGAGCTGGGGGCTTGCCCACTCATGCCAGCATCAGAGATCTACAGGAGCTGATTCCTCCCTCCTCCCCATGTCTGGCTTTGGGGCGCTGAGATCCCTGGGAAATGGCAGCTCAGGAGGGGTCTTTCTGTTTGGGAGCCATTTGCCACCCAGCCTGGAAGGAGGCTGCTGGGGAGGGCTGCTCCCTCCCAGGAAGAGCCAGTGAAAGAACAGCCGCTGTGGTCCCTTGGTGGCAATGGGACAGTTGCAGCTTTCCACAGGGTGGATCATCAGGAGAAGGACAGCAGCAAGCCCAGGAAAGCCCAGGCAGCTCAGCCACCCTTTTCATTTATTCAAGCCCTTGCCATCGTGCCAGGCCTCGCAGGTGTTTCCTGGGAGATTCTGGTGTCCCTTTTTCAAGGGACATTTGGCTGGGAAGTTTCAAGAGTCCTGTCAGTACACGATGCTATGACTCACTCAGCTATTTCCTATGTCCCTCGGGCTACCCTAGCCAGACCAGAAGCTTCCAGAAGGCGGAGTCTATGCCACCCCATCCCTGAATCCCCACAGTCCCCGTTTCCTGGGAATGTGGTTAGAATGACTATCTGCCGATGTCACCGACACGGAGGTGACTGTGGACACTTCAAGACTCTTGTCCATCTCTAGAAACTGGTGGTCCTGGAAGTGGGTCCACAAGACCCGTAAGAGCCGGGAGAATGAAGTCACCACTGTCACTGCTGTCCCCATCCCTTGCTTTCTGAGATGTGACTTCCTATCCTCGCTCTACGGAGAACAGCTGGAGCCATGCTGAGCAGTTCTAGGGGAAGACAGGACAGGCCGCTACCAGCCCCTTGTGAAACACTGGAGTTCAGGAGGAAACATGGAAAATGAACAGAGAAACATCATCCCCCACTTTGAGCTTCTCTCGACAGACACGCACACCCTGCACAGAACTGGGCAGGGAGCAGGCAGGCTGGACACAGGGAGGGAGGAGCCAATGACAGTCACTCCTAACGATGCATGACCACTGAGAGCAGACACTCATGGAGCCCCCACTGTGTGCCAGGCACTGGGCTCGGCATGGTTTCCCCTGTTTTTCACGACAACCCCGTGAGACAGATCCTTGTATTATGATTCATATTTTATAGACAAGGAAAAATGAGTTGCTGAGAGGGTAACTCTATCAGAGACACACACACAGCAGCAAGTGGCAGCACCAGGACTTGAACCTGGGTGGTCTGACATGACATCAGCCCTCTACCACCATGTCAAGAGCAACCTTACCTCACACCTAACACCGGCACTCAGCCCCACCATGCCTTTGGAATAGCGTTCTGCCAGTGCTAAGTGTGCAGTCCCATATTGCCCCAGGCTCCCTGGGCAATTTGTCTCAGTCAGCTCTTGGCTTGATAAGGCTGTGTAATAAAGCACTCTCAAAAATCTCAGTGGCTTGCAATAAAAAGCATTTGTATCACGGGTCTGCAGGTCAACTGCAGTTTGGCTTCATTTATTAGCCACCTATTATGTGCCAGGCACTGTTTTCTGTCGGACCTTCAGGATTGAGCCATCCAGCCATGGAGATATACATGAAACTAACAATAACGAGAAATGCAGGCACTGTGACAAAACCGTGGAAAGTGCTAGGGAGACCCAAGGAGAGGGAGTGGCCAATTCTTCTCTGAGAAGAATTGGGGATAGAGAGTAACACACAGGCTGGGCTTTGAAAATACAGTAGAATTTCAAGAGACAACGAAGGTGGACAGGGTGTTCTAGAAAGTGGGGACCATGTTTAGCAAAGGCATAGGGTGCAAGAAGAAATGAGGAGCATTGAGTGGGCTCCATGCAGTCTCCTTTGCTGAAGAACAAGGTGCGTGAGCAGGCATGGGTGAAGCAGGAGGTTGGCCACAGATTAGAAAGGGTCAGGCCCAGCAGTGGGAGAAGTCTTTGAACTTTTTTAAGCTGGAGAGTGGACTGACTAACTCCCAAAGGGGAGGAAGACAGCGACTGAAGGCAGGAAGATGGTGAGGAGACTTTGGCGGTTCTCCAGGTAAGAGACGTTGCAAACCTGAAGCCAGCTGGACCAAGGACATGGCTCAAGTGGGAGCCTGGGTGTGCATGATCCCAAGGTGAGGGGGCCAAAAGGTCCCCCTGAGAGTTCATGCAGTGTGTGACAAGAAGCAATTAAGGAATATTTCTGTGAGGCTCATATTTTGACTATCTTTCGAAAGAGGCATTATTAAAATGTTTTCTCATCAAGGGCAGCAGAATTGAGATAAATCCACATCCTAACCCCTACCCCAGGTGGGTGTTCTGCAGAATCCTCACTTACCCAATTCCTTACTAAAATGTTGGTTCTTTGTTTTGTTTTGCTTTAAACCAGATTCATTCTTTTAAAAAAAAATTTAAATTTTTGTGGGTACGTAGTAGGTGTATATATTTATGAGGTAAATGGGACGTTTTGATACAGACATGCAATGTGAAGTAAGCACATCATGGAGAATGGGGTATCCGTCTCCTCAAGTATTTATCCTTTGAGTTACAAACAATCCAATGACACTCTTTATTTTAAAATGTGCAATTCAGTTATTACTGACTATAATCACCTTATTGTGCTATCAAACAGTAGGTCTTATTCATTCTTTCTATTTTCTTTTGTACCCATTAACCATCCCCACCTCTCCCAACTCATTTTTTTGGAGGCACACATAATACATGCTGGACACACAGGCCCACCCAGGGTCTACTCTCTGTGGATCACAGACTGTGCCCGCAGAGAACCAGCCACAGCGAGGGGTCTGCACGTGCCTCCCCGCCAAGTGCAGACAGATGGCCCTGGGTGCCCAGCTCTGGCATGGCACTCAGAATGTCCTTCAGCAGTGACAGTCAGATGCTCAGCACAGACAGGAAGCAGTCTGGGGCTGCATGACCGAGCCAAGGACCCACAGGGAGCCCAGAGGAGTCAGAAGGTCCTCATACCCTTTCCCTAGGCTCACTCCGCAGCCTGTGCTCCCCACATTGAGGCCACCCCAGCCAGATCTGAGGCAAGGCCACTGAGCAGACAGACACCTGCCTAGACATGAGAAACCCACCAGAGTCTGAGAAACTCACGTGACCAGCTCATGTCAGGAAAGGGAGGGTGCTGCTGCAGCTGGGAGAGGTGCTTATTTTTAGCCTGCTTATTGGCTGGGGCTTTGCAGACTAAGATGAAGCTCCTGCTCCTCACTGATGCTGTTATTTCTCCCCACCGGGGCTGGGAATTGGTTTATCTTCCAGGTAGCCACCTCAGCAGCCGCCCGCCGCAGCAGCAGGCCCCAGGCAGGTTGCTGTGTGTCTATTATTTTTGATTGCCCGTCTTATGGGGCATGAAATCACTTCTGGGAGGGTGTGAGCTTGGCACTGCCCTCGCTGCCGCTGGAGAGGGAGCAGGAGGCAAGGTCTCCTGAGGGTGCAGCTGAGGGTGTGGTTACAGCCAGGGGTCCCGGGGCCGTGGGCACTCCTACACTGCTGTGGGCCACGCCTTCTGGCTCTGAAGGGGCTGAGTGAAAGGAAGCACCCGAGGGAGGCGGTAGGAAGGCTTCAGCTGGGAGGCAGGGCATCGACTTCCAGCACCGTCTCTGCCCTGGCTGGTGCTGCTGTGCGCCCAGCCTTCCATGCCCAGGGAGTGCTGATGTAGTTTGGTGCCTCAGTTTCTCTTTTCTGCAAAATCAGCAGGGCCATGTTCTCTTTATGGGAAAGCTCTAGGGAAGAATTGCTTACCTCTTCTAATTTTTGGTGGCTTGTGGTGTTTCTTGGCTGGGGTTGCATAACTCTAAATCTCTGCGGCTCTGCCTGCCTTCCTCAGACAGTCTTCTCCCCTGTGTCTCACGTCGCCCTTTCCTTTCCCCTGTAAGGACAGCAGTCGCTGAATTTAGGGCCCACCCTGGATCTCATCTTGAAATTCTTATGACTGTGGTCTGAATGTTTTCTATACAATTCATACATTGAAACTGGATCCTTCGTGTGACAGTGTTAGAAGGTGGGGCCTTTGGGAGATGATGAGTTCGTGAGGGCTCTGTCCTCATGGCATTAATGCTCTTATAAAAGGGACCCCAGACGCCAGGTGCATAGACTTATGCCTGTAATTCCAGCACTTTGGGAGGCCAAGGCAGGCAGATCACCTGAGGTCAAGAGTTCAAGACCAGCCTGGCCAACATGGCAAAACTCTGTCTTCACTAAAAAAATACAAAAATTATCCAGGCATGGTGGTGCATGCCTGTAGCCTCAGCTACTCGGGAGACTAGAGGCAGCTACTTGGGAGACTTCGGAGGCAGAATTGCTTGAACCTGGGAGGCAGAGGTTGCAGTGAGCCAAGACTGGGCCACTCCAGCCTGGGCAACACAATGAGACACTGACTCAGAAAAAAAAAAAGGAACCCCCAGGGAGCTAACTATCCCATTCTACCATGTAAAGACACAGCACAACAGTGCCATCTGTGAAGTAGAGAGCAAATCCAAATCCACACCAGACACTGAACCTGCCAGCACCTTGATCTTGGACTTCCCAGCCTCCAGAACTATGAGCAATACATTCTGTTGTTTATAAGCCACCCAGTTTGTGATATTTTTTTCTTTTAGCAGCTTGAATGGACTAAGACAAGTACTATCTTAATTATATTTGCAAAGACCCTATTTCCAAGTAAGGTCACATGCACAGGTACTAGGGGTCTGGACTTGGACATATCTTTTGGGGGAACACTATTCAGTTCACTACAGCCAGGTGCTTGTGCAGATGCTCCTTAGTTCTGTCCCCTACCTGCAGTGTGACAAGGTCAGAGGGCACTGCAGTTGGAGGGCATGAGGCCTACAGAGGAAGCTGTTTGCCAGAGAGCTGCTTCTGTGCTGGGCTGCCCACTTCCCTCCTACACCTGGTGCAAATGAGAAGTTCAGCCAGCATCTGAGCCCTCAGCTCAGAGTCAAGGTTTACACCCAGTTCTTCTCCTTCCTTCTGCAGGAAAGAGCCAGACAATAAGAAAAAATAGGAAGAAAGGAGGTTGAATGAAAGAAATCTGAGCCTTTCAGAATGTGCACCACCTGGGCAGAGAAGAAGAAACAGAGGTGACAAGTGGGAAGACCTCCGGGCCTGAAATTCCCTGTCATGCTGCAGCTCCGGACCTGCCCCTACCTGAGTGGGGAGCAGAGGGGTGGACTGACACCTCAGACCCCTGGGCAGCTCTTGGCAAACTCACATGCTTGTCTTCAGCAATCCTGGCTTCATTTGGGGCTCTTTTCAAACCCAGGGCCTTCCCTGGGGAACCCAGGCCCCTAGCATCCTACCCACCTTCAGTAGTTGCCACACACACACACACACACACACACACACATTCTCTCTTTCTGTCTCTTCTCAGACATGTGTCTCATTCCCTTAGGCCTTCTTTTCTCAGCTTTTCAGGTGATAGGGAGCTAATCCTACCAACAAATTCAAACCAACTTGAGAGCTAATGGCTGAAACTGTTAATGATCGCTAACAAAATGAGTCCTAGGGGCGGGGTGGGGTGTGTGTGTGTGTATTTTGCATTTCTGTGCAGAAGTGTTGCAGGAACTCAGGGACCCCGAATGGAATGACTGGCTGGAGCCGTGGCAGAGGAACATAAATTGTGAAGATTTCATGGACATTTATCAGTTCCCAAATAATGCTTTTATAATTTCTTATGCCTGTCTTTACTTTAATCTCTTAATCCTGTTACTTTCATAGGCTGAGTATGTACGTCACCTCAGGACCACTGTGATAATTGTGTTAATTGTACAAATTGATTGTAAAACATGTGTGTTTGAACAATATGAAATCAGTGCACCTTGAAAATGAACAGAATAACAGCGATTTTAGGGAACAAGGGAAGACATCCATAAGGTCTGACTGCCTGAGGGGTAGGGCAAAAAGAGCCATATTTTTCTTCTTGCAGAGAGCCTATAAATGGACATGCAAGTAGGGAAGATATCACTAAATTCTTTTCCTAGCAAGGAATATTAATATTAATACCCTGGGGAAGGAATGCATTCCTGGGGGGAGTCTATAAACAGCCGCTCTGGGGACGTCTATCCTATGTGGTTGAGATAAGGACTGAGATATGCCCTGGTCTCCTGCAGTACCCTCAGGCTTACTAGGGTGGGGAAAAACCGGGCCCTGGTAAATCTGTGGTCAGACCAGCTCTCTGCTCTCGAACCCTGTTTTCTGTTGTTTAAGATGTTTATCAAGACAATATGTGCACTGCTGAAGACAGACCCTTATCAGTGGTTCTCCTTTTTGCCCTTTGAAGCATGTGATCTACTCCCTGTTCTTAGACACCCTCCCCTTTTGAAACCCTTAATAAAAAACTTGCTGGTTTGAGGTTCAGGTGGGCATCACGGTCCTACCGATATGTGATGTCGCCCCCGGCGGCCCAGCTGCAAAATTCCTCTCTTTGTACTCTCTCCTTATTTCTCAGCTGGCTGACACTTATGGAAAATAGAAAGAGCCTACGTTGAAATACTGGGGGCGGGTTCCCCCGATACAGAAGAGGCTTTAGCTCAAAGAAAGGAACCCCTGATGCTGGCAGCGAGACATATTTTTGGATTGAGGGGCTTTGTCAGAGCTCTGGATGTGTCGCGTATGTTGACCACATATACACAGCTGCTGCTGGGTCACCTCCAAGTGGCCCAGGCTGCCCTTTGCCCTACACTTGTTGGGACACAGGCCTTTGTCAACCCACCTGGGAACAGGTCTTGGTGGATCAGCGTCTCAGACAGGTCTAGCTAGGTCACATTGACATGCCTCGGGATCTATTTATTACCGTTTCCTCCTGTTTGCAAGATGAAACAACTCAGTAACACGCCTACCCAAGGTCACACACAGTACAGCTTCTTTGATGGAAGCCCAGGTGTGTTCTGTCTCTTGAGTCTAGGCTCTCTTCTTTTTATTTAGGGGGCTGTTTATCCTTTTTCAATGCCATTCCTCTCCTCTCCCTCTCCTTTCAAAAGCCAACCATTCTAAAGTGTTTTGGTTTGTAAGAGTGCAAAATGGTGTGTGTGTGTGTGCATGCGTATGCGTTTGTTGCCTGTGAGTGCTATTTTTAACCTATTTGAGTGGTTCAGAATTACAAATCTCACTTCTGTCTTCCTCTTTCTACTCAGCTCTGCTTTGAACTCTTGCATGCTCTATGTGAACCACAGTTTCCTTCCTGCTACTGAGTCCCATGGTTTGCTTCTGTTGCATCTTACCCAACCAGTCTCCCTGGAGTGGGCCCTCCATCTCCCACCACCTCAAGGAATATTGCTATAGATGTCCTACCCCGTCCTTTTATGAGAGCATGTGAGGAATTTGCGGGGGGTACATGTCAAAAAGAGACATGCAGAACCTCAGGGTGGGCATGTTCCGCACTTGCGTCAGGACTGCCATCTCACCTGCCTCCAACCCATCTACATGGCCTCATGGAATTCTTTTCCACTGTATCATGCAGGCTCCCTAGCTGTGAAACAGAGCACAGTGTCATGTAAGATTGTCAAAGCTGACACTGAGTATAGGTTGTGGTGAGCCAAAAATGTGCGATGAGAAAACCTACAAAGTTGCACTATAGAGACATAAAAATTACAGCCATTGGTGTACTGTTCTATTTTTGCCAAATGACCAGATTGTTTGATCATTCCCAATCTGTGCCTATGCTGGCAGGCTCCCGTTTGCACATCCAGATTGGCCCTCCACCCTGCTCTCTGCCCTGCAGGCAGATCTGACTGGGTGGCACCAGCAGACTCCCTCCATCTCTGGCTTCTGGTTGGTGATGGCTATGGAGAGGCACTGGCAGGGGACGAGGGAGCAGTATGGAGAGGCGCTGGCAGGGGACGAGGGAGCAGTATGGAGAGGCGCTGGCAGGGGACGAGGGAGCAGTATGGAGAGGCGCTGGCAGGGGACGAGGGAGCAGTATGGAGAGGCGCTGGCAGGGGACGAGGGAGCAGTATGGAGAGGCGCTGGCAGGGGACGAGGGAGCAGTATGGAGAGGCGCTGGCAGGGGACGAGGGAGCAGTATGGAGAGGCGCTGGCAGGGGACGAGGGAGCAGTATGGAGAGGCGCTGGCAGGGGACGAGGGAGCAGTATGGAGAGGCGCTGGCAGGGGACGAGGGAGCAGTATGGAGAGGTGCTGGCAGGGGTGAGGGAGCAGTATGGAGAGGTGCTGGCAGGGGTGAGGGAGCAGTATGGAGAGGCATTGGCAGGGGTGAGGGAGCATTATGGAGAGGCGCTGGCAGGGGATGAGGGAGCGCTGGCAGGGGATGAGGGAGCAGTATGGAGAGGCACTGGCAGGGGTGAGGGAGCAGTATGGAGAGGCACTGGCAGGGGTGAGGGAGCAGTATGGAGAGGCGCTGGCAGGGGACGAGGGAGCAGTATGGAGAGGCGCTGGCAGGGGACGAGGGAGCAGTATGGAGAGGCGCTGGCAGGGGACGAGGGAGCAGTATGGAGAGGCGCTGGCAGGGGCGAGGGAGCAGTATGGAGAGGCGCTGGCAGGGGTAAGGGAGCAGGAGAGGAGAGCAGGGCTTTACTCCCCTGGCTCCTTTCTCCCCTCAAAACGTGTCTCATTCACTTAGGCCTTCTTTGCTCAACTTTTCAGGTGACAGCAAGCCAGGTCAGCTGCCTGATGGCCCTCATGCAGCTCCTCTCAAAGGGTGCCATTAACTGTGTCCAGTCTCTGCTACTTCAGGCCTCTGGGTGGTAACCACTGCTCTCTCTTGCTGGCCCCGGGTACTGTACCATCTCTTGTTGATTTCCCTAAACTCTGCCCATATGCTTTTGTGCATATTCCTTTATTGAATGGAATGTGTTGTGTTTCCTGCTGGACCCCTGACTGATGATATAGTATCTGATATGTTAAAGGAATACATAAAATGATGGGCCAGACTACATAATATTTAAGGACAGTTTTGGCACTAACATTCAGTGTCTGAGGACAGCTACCACGTCCTGTAATATGCCTGTCTCAGTGCTCCAATCAGAAACATGACCTGGGCTGGCACCTCCCCTCTAGGACACACTTGTCTTCAAACCTTCCCCTGTGTCACCTGCCTGCCTCCAGAGTACAGTGCCACACTCCCCCCCACCCCAAACTCCTCCTCTGTGGCCCTTCAGCTCCCTGGATTGACCTTTGCCAGAGCTTTTCCCTTCCCTGCCTGCATCATGACTGTTACAAAATTGTGACAGGGTCCCAGGCTCCCAGCACAGTGCCTGGCCCATAGCAGATCCTTGGTGTTTATGGAGTGCTTGCTGGCCCTAAGATATTTTCTCTGAGCCCACCAGGATCTTCCCTGGCCCAATGGAGACAGTGACCAGCATCTGTCTGGTACCTCAGCCACCCTGTCCTGGACCCATGGCTTGTTCTACCTTGGGGAAGAAGCCAATGACAGAAGCTGGAAGATGTGGTTGGAAGATCCCAGGGTGGGGGTGGGGGCGTGGTTGGTGGGTGGTTGGTGGGCTGACACTTTAATTGCATAATTATTTCCCCAAAGACACTGGTGCTGGGGAAGATAAGGCCTGCTGCCTGCAGGATGGATGGTGTGAAGATGGGTGAGCTATATTTTCCCAGATAAAAGCACCGATTGCCTATAAACTCTGATTCTGCCTGATGTAAAAGCCACTTTATTGCACATCCAGAAATTACAACCCGTATAAAAGCACATTATTGTGATGTAAAAATAGATTTTTATATAATTTTTTCATGCCACCACCTTGTAATTCCTCATTTCCGAGCACCCTGAGATTGCACTGAGGTTTTTCTCTTTTAATTGTTTGCCATGGCATGCCAATTTATGGTAAGATATTCTCCCTGAGATCAGAGTGGGGCCAGGGCATAAATATCAGCCATGACTTCATGGCAGGCATGGTTGTGGGACACCCGAAATGCCATCAAACAACATCAGATTCCATGTGATGTCACAGATTGGGGTGGTGAGGGCTCTAGTTTTATATTCACCTGAAGCCTTCCAGGAGGGGCTCCGTCCCCTCCCTTCCGACCTGAGGGAAGGTGCAGTGTATCTCTAAGTGTCTGGCCCCTGCCTGTAGGAATGCAGCCAAGGAAAGCTGGGCTCTGGGCTCTACTTAAGCCCCACTGGCCTGATCCATCTGGCTTATGTGGCTGCCCCTAGTTCCTTCGTTGTATGGGAAGGACCCCATAAAGCTTCCCTTTCAGAACGTTGACCTTTTCCACATTTAATCTCTTTGCCTTGGTTTCCTTCCAGGCAGACAGCCATAGAAGCCCTTACTTTGGAAGAGAGGAATGAATTTCCTCTCCTGCAGAAAGCCCTTCTCCTTGGTTACCCACCCAGTCAGGATAGCTCACTGCTGCAAAGAGCAAGATCCCATCTGTCTGGCCTTCCAGAGACTCCGTCATCACTTACTGGGGGCAGAGGAGGGTCACTTTCCTGTTCTTGCACTTTGAAAGGTAGGTGCTTTGAGTGCAGCAGCACGGGCCAAACCAGGCAGCTTCTCCCCACTCCCCACTCCGGGGTAACCCTTGGCCGCCATTAGCTAACCTGCCGGCTGGCACCTGGGGCCTCCTTTCCAGGTCCTGATTCCCAGGTCTGCACTAGACCAAGCTGGAGTACCTCTGCCTGCCATCCCAAAGCTAGTGGACAGTGTCTCAGAGTGCACGGCGGTGGGGCTCACAGCCTGGTGCTTTGCGGGTGTCTCTCCCACTGGCAATGCTGGGTGGGCCAGGTGAAGAATGAATGGATGAAAGAATGTTTAGATCAGTGGCTCGCAAACTTTAGTGTGCATGGGAATCATCTGCTGGGCTCCACAGAGTTTCTGTTCAGTAGATCTGGGGTGGGGCCCCCAAATTCGCATTTTTTTTTTTGAGACGGAGTCTCGCTCTGTCGCCCAGGCTGGAGTGCAGTGGCGGGATCTCGGCTCACTGCAAGCTCCGCCTCCCGGGTTCACGCCATTCTCCTGCCTCAGCCTCCCAAGTAGCTGGGACTACAGGCGCCCGCCACTACGCCCGGCTAATTTTTTGTATTTTTAGTAGAGACGGGGTTTCACCGTTTTAGCCGGGATGGTCTCGATCTCCTGACCTCGTGATCCGCCCGCCTCGGCCTCCCAAAGTGCTGGGATTACAGGCGTGAGCCACCGCGCCCGGCCCAAATTCTCATTTTTAACAAGTTCCCAAGAGATGCTGATGCTGCTGTTCTGGGACCGGTACTTTGAGCACCACTAGCTCAGATTATCTGTGTCTCTGTCACCCGGATGAAGGGAGCGGATTATTGAGTTGTGTGCAGTGTAGACTAACAGGAGATGGAGAGCAATCCGATGACTGTATCACCGTTCCTGAGACAAGGGCGGGAAGTATGGGGGCAGGGGGAGAGTAAGAACAGGCGGTCAGAAGTCCCCAGAGACCTGCGGAGGGAGGGACTGGTAGAGGAACAAGGAGACTAAGCTCCGGACGGTGAAGCAATGGGACTCTTTGCAGCTGGGGTGGCGGGAGAGCCGGTGACCCCAGGGAGTCTGGGCTTCCAGCATCCGGAGGCTGCAGTCTGGGCCTCCGCGTCTCCGAGCGCCCGAGGCTGCCCCCGCGAAGTTAAGCGGTCTCGTGGGGGTGGGCTGCGCCGCGTCGCACGGAACCCGCCTCCTGGACGCACCCTGAAGAGGCCCGGAGACCTCCCGGGATTGCTGCCATCTCCAGCTGCAGCCCGGCCCGGTCTGCGAGCGTTGAGGGGCCCAGCCCGGTGCAGCGCCCCCGATCCTGGCGCTCCTTTCAGCTCCAAGGGGCGCGCACGCAGCCCAGGAACCGCGATCGCTCAGCCAGCCGCGGCTCCGAGCTCCGCGATTTCAGCCGCGCGGTCGGGCTCTTGAGTGTATGCGTCGAGGGGGGCCCCTCTGCAGCTGCGCTGGGGGCCGAAGCGGGGCACAGGGGGCAGGAGGCTGCGGGCCGAGGGCGCGTTGCCGAGAGCCAGACCCCGGGTTCCAAACCCCGCCCTGCAAAGAATGAGCTCTCCGACCTTGGCCAAGTCGCTTCCTTTCCTCGGCTCAGTTTCTTCATCTGTAAAATGGGGGTGGGGACGATGATCTCCGTTTCTGAGGCTCTGAGGATCTAGGACGTGGAAGGCACAGAGAAGCTCCTGCACTAACCATTCCGGGATCCCCTGACCTTTGCTTGCAACCCGGAAGAGGGTGACCTTGGAAGAACCGCCTCTCGCCCTCCGTCCTTGGCTGCCTCCCCCATAGGCAGCATCCGCACTGCCCGCGCTCGGCTCCACAGCCGCTCACCGCCCGGCCTCTCCTGGGCCTCAGGGGACGCCGTTTCCGGGCCACGGGCGTGGTTGCCGGATCGGAGTCCCACCTCGGTTTGCGACCTTGGACCAGGGTACGACCCTGGACCACAGCAACCTGGCCGCAGGATACAGCGTGTGATGTGCTTGGCACAGAGCCCGGCACAAGGGGAGAGCTCGGTGGATAAGGCCAATTGGAGAACGGAGGCCTGCCCCGCCTCCACTCAGCGCAGCGGACGGATCTAGCGTTTTTTAAAAAGAACTAGGGGCCGGGCGCTGTGGCTCATGCCTGTAATCCCGGCACTTTGGGATACCGAGGCGGGAGTATCACGAGGTCAGGAGATCGAGACCATCCTGGCCAAAGTGGTGAAACTCCGTCTATACTAAAATACAAAAAATTAGCCTG
The DNA here is from genome assembly GCF_000001405.40 of Homo sapiens. Classification (NCBI taxonomy): domain Eukaryota; kingdom Metazoa; phylum Chordata; class Mammalia; order Primates; family Hominidae; genus Homo; species Homo sapiens. Next base: position 128,103,370 of record NC_000007.14, on the reverse strand, counting down.
GCGTGGTGGCGCACGCCTGTAGTCCCAGCTACCCAGGAGGCTACTCAGGAGGCTGAGGCTTGAACTCAGCAGGCGGAGGTGGCAGTGAGCCGAGATCGCGCCACTGCACTCCAACCTGGCAACAGAGTAAGACTCCGTCTCAATAAAAAAAAAATAATAATAAAAATAAATAAATAAAAAAAAGTAGGGAAGCATCAACCTGGAGCAATTGAGCTTAAGGACTGCTCTTTTCCAACAAGTAAAGGCTGGCCACAGGTTCCCAGGCCTCCGTTCAGATCAAGCCCTGCCTGGGCCTGGTGGGGAGGTGAGGAAGAACGGCCTCCAATCCTGGGACTTCAACTTTCTCTGCCTGTCTCTGGGTGGGACCCCATGCCCTCTGCCAGGACTCAGCTGCACTTTTAGTCATTCACTCATAAATCATTTATTGAATACTTGCAAGTCATGGACTCTAGGCCTGTCTTCCAGAGGATATCTGTAAAACCGGGGGAAGGGTCCTTCCCTGATAAGACTACCCATAAAGTGCTTAGCCCTTGTGGGAGCACACAGATCTTGAGCTGCTGCTGACATCATGATCATTTTGGAGGTGTACAGTCTAGAGAGCCTACACTCCAGAGCTTAGCTCTGCCTGCACTCTATGTTGGCCCTGGAGCTCCTAGAGCAGAGATTCTTCACCAGCCTCAGCCCCAGCCCCTCTCCTCAGGCAGCTTCTCCTGCAGAGCTGTGCCAGGGTCTGGCTCTTTCCCTTATATTTCTGGCTTTAGGTAGCATGAGTCTTGTTTGCTCCCTGCCTCCAAACTCAGGCCTTGGTCAGACCTCCCAGGAGCCCTCTGTGGGAACCAGGTGGGCTTCTCTACCTACTACCTCCTGCTGGTAGCCTCTGGCCTGAAAGGGCTGGGGAGGGGATAGCTCCTCAGGGTGGTCCTTTGGCCCAAAGCACCTCCTGGGAGCCGGTTAGAAATGCAGATTCTTGGCCCTGCCCCATACTTACTGAAGGAGAATGTGCATTCTAACAAGATCCCCAGATGATTCACAAGCAAGTTAAAGTTTGAGAAGCGCTGCTCCAGGGCCTGCTGGCCTGGAAGGCACCAGAGGAAAATGGAAGCTTGGTCTTCAGGAAATGCCCAAGGAGCCACCTCCAGGTTCAGGGCCTTAACTCTTCCTGCTTCTGGAGAACTCTCTTGTCCCTGCCTTTAGGGGCCTCTCCCTCTCCCCAAGAAAAGTGGTCTCACTGAAGTTTACCAGGTTCAAGTATCTGCAGATAGTATCAGGGGACTTGACTGGCTCAGCTGTGGGTCCCTTGTGCCCAGCAGAGAGTAGGTGTTTAACTCTGCTTATGAACTGCAAAACAGTATTTGCAATTGGAACACGATAGCAGTAACGAGGTAAGAACTGATTTGGGCGCCACTTCCTTGAGAGGGAGTTTCCAGCCCTCTCTGCAAGCAGAAGTGGATACTTGCGTCAAGGATGCTGTGGAAGTGCCCCCTACTTTGATGTAGTAAGATTCCTGAACCCTCTTCCCATGAAAGCACTGACACAGGATGGCAAATATATGGGACACACATGACCATCCCCCTTTCCCACACCCTTGGTAGACATTAATAATTGATTACAGCTGACTTTCTGGCATGACCTTAGAATCCTTGACTACAGGGCACCCCAGGGAGCCACTATCAATTGATCAGACATGGCACTATTTGTGATCTCTGCCTCGGGTCTCCCCCCTGGGAGCTGCCCTCTACAGATCAGGCCAGATGAGACAAGGCCGCCAGGCTAGTTCCCAAGGACATCCTCCTCCCTGCAAACCCGAGTGCCTGTGCGACTGCACCTTGTGAAGCCCCCTCTGGAAACGGCCCTCCCCAGCTGTTGAGTAAAGTGCAGCTTCAGATCTGTCTTTGCCCACACGGGTCCTTCTCACTAGGGGTCAAGGTCATGTAAGTGGCTCATCATGGTGGCCTCTGTGCAGCTCCTCACACCCTGTGTAACTTGGAATCAGGCACCCACCTCTTCTGGTTTGTCACCCTGTCAAATGGGAATGTCCCCAACTGTCATGCACTGTGTGCCACTCACACAGTGGACATGAGGACGGCCTAGGAGGTGCCCCCACATCAGTGCTAATACTTCCTGCCTGGCATGATGCCCTTCGCCTGACTCTGGAGGGCTCCCTCTGCATAGCTCTGCTCCCTGGGAACCTGAGACTAGTGTTTCCCTGTTCACAGCCAGTGAGGCCTATGTGCTGGAGTCGAGGCAGGAGTGCAGCTGTGATACTGGCTGCTCCCCCTGCATCCAGGCCCCAGTAAACTCCATCTCGGGGCTTCCCATGGTGGGTGGGGTGCACTGCAGCATCCTGCCCCCTAGCACTGCCCCTGCTCCACCCCACTCCCTGCCCATGGTCCACTCAGCCCCAGCACAGGACTTTCTCCAGAACTACACCCACATCAGCAGGGAGGAGTCATTTTCTGCTGCTGGTTTTCAGGTCTGTGAATCAGAACTGGCTCCTCCAAGAGGCATCTACACACACACACACACACACACACACACACAAACACACACACACACCCCAACCCCTACCACTAACTTCCTTCTGCTGTCTAAATCCAGATTTCAGGTCTGAGGCAAAGTGTCTATGTGTAAGTTTTGGCTAGGCATGGTGTCCTCCATGCCAGGTGAGTATGGGCATATGTCCTCTCCCTAGTCCATGCAGCCAGGAGCTCTGTGCTGTTTGCTTCTGTAACTTCAGCACCCAAATGGTGCCTGGCACGACAGGTACTCAGTGCACATGCGCTGAACACCTTAGCTACAGGACTAGTTCCACGCCAGCAAGGTGAAGGGATGGAACCCCCTGCCCTGGGTGTGCATGACTCCTGCTTCCCATCACTCCACAACTGGACAGCCAGAGACTCAGCCCAGTCATCTCAGCCTCCCCACCCCCCACCTCCTGACACCTTGACTCCCTTCTGGCCTCAACCCCACAATGCTCTCAAGAGCAGAGAGGTTATTCCATGCCTGCACCCTCCTCCCTGGGTGATAACAGCAAACACTGAACACAGAATCTGTGCTGGGCCCTGTGTAAAGTGCTTTACAAATCTCACTGAATTCCTTTTTTATTTTTTTAATTAAAAAAAAAGTAGAGCTGGGGTCTCACTATGTTACCCAGGCTGGTCTTAAATGCCTAGGCTCAAGCGATCCTCCCGCCTTGGTCTCCCAGTGCTGGGACTACAGGCTTGAGCCACCGCGCCTGGCCTCTGAATTCTTTTATTAACCTTACGATGTAGGAATTTTTATCTTTTATTCTTCAGTCTACAGATGAGGGAACCGCCTCAGAAAGGTTAATTAGCCCACTTGGGGCACTCGGCTAGCGTGCGGCACGCTAGGACTCAAGCTCAGCCCGTCTGCCTTCAGAACCAACCATATCCTCCACCACTGACTCCTTGAGATCAATCTCATGGCCAAGTTCTTGACCAGCACCAACTTGGCCTGATAATTATTAGTCTGTCTGACATCTATCTATCTATTGATTCAGTCTCTGAACTCAGCCTATGGTTCTGCTTCTTTGAAACCCAAACTCCTTACCCACTGGTCAGGTCCTGTCCTGAGCATGTGTTAGGACAGGCTGGAGGGAGGTGGCCAACTCAGGCTTGGTTGTTTCTGCAGTGGGCTGGAGGGCGGACTTGGCTCCATCAATACCATTTCCTCTACTGTGACATCTCTGAGGCTGAGACTGCTGACCACAGGTGAGTCAAGCATGTAAACGCATTGTGAAGCCAAACAGAAGTATCATTTAGAATAACCGTAAGTAGCTTTGGCCTCATTTTGTTCTACGTAATTGAGAACACAAAATGTTAACACCACAGGATCTGTCTTAGACCTGTGGCATTCACGTGGCTGCAGGAGAGTGAGATCTGCCCAAGTGGAGGGGGAGCTGGCCTATCTCCCAGGCCCAGATGACTCCTATAGATTGAAGCTGCCTGCTCACTGAATTGCATCAGTATCACCTGATCCATAGCAGTGACTGGGCCCAGGGCCTAGAATGACTCGATTGAGCTGGGATAATAGGTCTGTATTGCCTGGCTAGACACAGCCAAGGCCCTCAAGCAGCAGGGTGAGGGACCCTTGTCTCCTGCTGGCCTTGCCTAAGGTTCTGAGGCAGCTGTGAAGAGGTTGGGGGGGTAGGGGCTCTGAAGCCCCTATCCTACCTTGTGTCAATTCAAGCCCCAGGCACAGGCACTCTGGCAAAGATACCTAGAGATTGTAAGGTCCCATCATGTCGTCAGGACTATTTCAGGGAAAAAATGTCCTTTAAAAGACCCTGGCACCAAGAACAGCCCAAACTATGGTGATAGGGGTAAAAGTTGTTGCTTTCAGGGATGCTGATGTTCTACAGTCGATCCAAATGGTAGCTTCACTATATATATTCGCAAAAATCCACATATGCTTAAGATCTGTGCACTTCCCGTAACTTACACTTTAATCTGAAGTGAGCAGGGTACCTTGAAGTCAGTGTCTCGTGCAGGCCTGGTCAGCTCTCCCTGTCCTGGATGGCTGCTTTTTCCCAAAAGGGTGGGGCTTCAGCTGGTCAGTGCCCAGGGCTGGTGAGAACAAAGTCCCTAGTTTTGTGGCCACACGCTAGACTTGGAATGCAGAGAGCCTTCTGAGAAGAGCCCCACCAGCCATGAGAGGGCTTTGCTCAGTGAGTTCCCTCAACCAGACCCATTGTTTATCAGGTAAACTGTTGAAGTTGTCACCCTGTCCTCAAAACCTTCCTCACCTCCCTGGAAGAGCTTTCTCCTTTGAGTTCCTACACTTTATTAATTTAATAATGTAATAGCCATCTATAGACCCACCTCCCAGACCAACACACAGAACATTCCCAGTCACTTATGTCTCCCCAGCATCCTTCCTTATCTCACCCCTGGGGTCCGCTGCCCCACCTGGAGGTGACCACCATCCAGATTTCTGTGTTTATCATCCCTTTGCTTTTATGTTTTATATACATATATGTGGGGTGTCCACATGTCCCAGTTTACTGGAGATAGTGTCAACTTACACTTGCAGTCCAAATGTCAGAATTTGTGTTCCTTTTTGCTCGCAAAAACATCCCTATTTGGACAATAAATTAAATGATCACCTAGATACATGTATATCTAAGCAACGTATTTTTGGTTTTGAGCTTTAGAATAATGGTATTATATGATATGAAGTTCTCTGAGATGTGCTTTATTCATTCAACATTATTTCTGAGATTTATCCTTGCTTTGTGTGGCTACAGTTCATTTTCATTGCTGAGTAATATTCCATTGTGTGAATACCTTGCCATGCCTGTAGTGTCTCATTTCTGTTTGTAGGAACAAAGCTGCAGTGCCCATTCTTGCATATGGGTCCTGGTGGTTTTTTTGCTTTTTTTTTGAGACGGAGTCTCACTCTGTTGCCCAGGCTGGAGTGCAGTGGCGCGATCTAGGCTCACTGCAAGCTCCGCCTCCCGGGTTCACGCCATTCTCCTGCCTCAGCCTCCCGAGTAGCTGGGACTACAGGTGCCCGCCACCAGGCCTGGCTAGTTTTTTTGTATTTTTAGTAGAGACGGGGTTTCACCGTGTTAGCCAGGAAGATCTTGATCTCCTGACCTCATGATCCGCCCGCCTCGGCCTCCCAAAGTGCTGGGATTACAGGCGCGAGCCACCGCGCCAGCCGGTGGGTTGTTCTTAACACATGCAAATAGCCCCTGGCCACAGAACCAGGAGGAAATTGCTGGGTGATGGGGCATGGCCACTGTCAACTCCACAAGCTAAGGCCACAGCATTTGTACATACATCAATTACATCAATTAGGTCTTTCTATCACCAACATCTGTTCTCAGTATACTGTGAGCCCCACGAGGCCAAAGATAACTCTCCCTTTTTCTCCCAGCCCTTAGAACAGTGCCTGGAGCAGCTCAGGAAATGCTAAATGCCTGAATGTTCAGGGGCTATGGATGGCTCAGGGCAGACTCATTCCCATCCTGGGGAAAGAAACCTCAAAGATGTTGCTGCTGGCAGAGCCACAGGAGCAGCCCCATTTTTGCATGTGCTGGTTCCTGCAATGGATCTGCAGAAATCCAGGGCACTGTCAACATGCAGTGGTTAGAAATATCTGCCTGCTTGAGGGCTCTGGGCCCGTGACAGGAGTCACTCCTCCGCCCTGTGCAACGACACCCTAGCCTCCTTTGTCTGAACTGGGACCCCAGCTCACCCTGCAGGCCCCCGAGGGCCAGGCCTGCTGGGATGGATACCCTCCAAGGCGAAAGCCATGACGGAGAGAAAAATCATAGGCCTGGGGCCGGGAGATCTGTTTTCTATTCCTGGCCCTGCCATTAATAAACTGGGTGACCTTGGGCAAGTCACTTTGTCTCCCTTCTCATCCTATAAAATGAGTTTGGACAGTGATAGCCAATTCTTGAACTTGAGAACTCATCAGAATCGCCTAGGAAACTTGTTAAAGTGGATCCCCAGGCCCCACCCCACGGGGATTGGGGTAGTAGGTCTGGAGTGGCACTTAGATACATGTATATTTACATGACAATGAATTTAAAAAGACCACTGAAAACACTCACAAATGGTTAGAAAATTCAATAGTAGAGATTATAATAAAAAGCAGCGCTTCCCATCCCTAGTGTGCTACCTACAGGCAACCACTTTTAATCATGTTTTTGATCTGATGGTTACTATCTTATTGCTAAATAATAAGCTAGTTCTTGTTTTATCAACTTCAGACATTACCCATTGTCTTCCTGCTATGACAGATGAGGAGGACTCAGCTCACTTACCCCCCCACCACTCCTAATATAGTTCTGGCACTATTTTTGGAAGCTGTATTTTAACGAGCACCCCAGGTGATTCTGATGTAGTTGGCCTGCCAGCCACACTTAGTGCCTAGTGAGAGCTGGTGGCGACACCAAAGTGCCCATGGCCCATTTCTGAAGCCCCTGGTTCTGCTTGGCTTCTGGACTTGCTGGTAGGCCCTGTCCCTACCTGTGGAGGCTCAGAAAGGCTGGGCACAGGGGTCACACAGACAAGCACACTGTTCTGGGATTGTTGGGGACGGAACTGCCTTGCCCCGTCATCTTGCTTCCCCTTCTCATCTCATGTCACCTTCTGCCCCCAGTTGCATCATTAGGATGAGCAGATTTCTCCTTTAGGGCCTGACACAGCCCTAGCAGACAGCTCAATGTCTGACTTCTAATAATCAAGGAGTGGTGTATTCATACAATGGACCACACAAAATGCACAAGCTAAAATGAACCTAACCACGCAGATGAATCTCACAGGTGTGCTGGGTGGAAGACATCAGGCACATAAGAATACATATGGTTTGAGTCCCCTTATGTAAAATGTAAAGCCACGCAAACCAAGAAAAACAAATCAACATAAAAACATAACAAACAAAATAGGCCAAAATCATCTACTGGGATAGAAGTCAAGAGGGGTTACTTTTGGGGGTGAGAGCGGCTATGGAGGGGTGCATGAGGGGCTGCTGATGCTTTTTGGTGTGTGTGCTGTTTATGTGGGTAATGTTCACTTTGTATTTGAGCGGTACCCTTTTCATTTGTGCACCTTTTCGAATGTGTCTATTTCCTTATAAATGTTACCTCCCTTACAGGAATGAAGACAAACCAAGCAGCTCTCCTTCCTCCCTCCTAAACTCCCCCTTAAACAAGCCCTTCCCGGAATAGGACCAGGCAGGCTGAGGAGGCCAGAAACATCCCTGTGTGGTAGACTGGGGTTGGGGAGGTGGGTTTGGGGCTGGAGCCCAGAGACCTGATCCTGCCAGTCTTGATGTATTCCAGAGTTCCAGCCTGGTGCCCCACAGAGCAAAGCTGCCTGCTGGGTCAAGGAAGTGGCTGGAAATGAGGCCCAAGCATGTTACATGGGAAGGATGACAAGATACTCGCCAGCCAGGACCCATGTGCCTTCTTCCCCACCTGCTCACAGCCAAGCTGTCCAGGGAGAAGGTGGTGTATGGGCCCCCAGTCCGCCTCCACAGGCTGCTGGCCAACCTAGTGTAAATATTATTACACTCCTACGCATCTGAAGGACGTTAATTATTAAAACACATGCCACCCAGGGTAGTGCACTGTAATTAGGTTCAAATTAAATTAGCATCCTCTTGTAATTAGGACATCAATAACCACTCTTGAGGCACCAGCTTTCTAGCCCATCCCCATTGCTTCCCAATATGGGCTAATGCAAAAAACGGGGTCCACTCTCTCCCCAGGACGCAAAAATAATCAAACCAATAAATAAAATGGAGGCAGTCACGGGAGCCCTTCTCTCCACTGCCCGCCTTCGCTACTAATCCTGTCCACCAGCAAGAGGAGGGAGATGAGGTCGCTGCGGAGGAGTCTCAGCCACCAATACTTCCCTGGTGGCTTTCCCAAGCCCTGGGCTCTGCTGCATCCACCCTCGGAGACCAGGAGACTCCTCAAGCTGCCCAGAGATAAGCGATGCCTTCCCACCATCTGCTAGCCCCAGCTCTTCTCCTTTCCTCTGGGAAACTTCCCAGCCACCTGGGCCAGGGCCTCTGTCCCTTAAAGTCCCAGGGCACCACCCACTGCTGTGGCTTGTTATAGATAGCATGCATCTGCTGCCTCCTCGAGAGCCCAGAGAGATGACCTTGGCACTCACTGGACCCAACACTGTGCTTGGCACTATCTGGGTCTTAATCCCTGCTTGGAGGAAGCCTAAATGGATGGATAACAGGTGCTCAAGAGACTTCACTATTCAACAGGAAAGGTGGATGGAGAAGCAGAACCCACAATCCTGAGGCCAAGGTGCAATTTTTATAACTCAGGGGGAGTGGGAGGAACCTGTGGAGAGCTTTTTCTGGCTACTGGTGCAAGGGCTGGTGCTGAGTGGACAGCTACAGATGAAAATAGAACATGCCAATGTGTGCGCACTCTGTGAGTGCCTCCTTCAAATCTGCACCCTTGGCGCGTGGCTTGCCTCACCCTGGTCCCAGCCCTATCCAGGTCACACCTCAGGAACTTGGCAGATGTGATACCGAGAGAAACACCAAGTTGGGGTCAAAACCAGACAAGCTGCGGTAGCGCCTTCCTGCCTGGTGACTGATCTGACCTTTGTCTCAACCAGCCTTGGCAGAGAAAAAACTCAGAAGTGGGAAGGCTCAGGCATAATTTCAATTGGAAAACTAAGGAGGGTTTATCCTTGGGTGCAGATGTAACCAAGGCAACTGTGAAGACCGTGAGATGATTTCAGACCCTTTCACAAAAGAGTGGGCTGGCATCTTGCCCTCTGCCGATTGTGTTCACTGTGAATACACATCGCACCCTACCAGAAGCACCTTGGAGGTCAAGAAATAAGTGAGATGGGCATTCTCTTCTTGATGGATAAAAATAAAATCAGAGACCATGGTGAGAGTGTGCTTCTCTGCTGGGGGCAGGACAGCTTCTCCAGGAGTGGGGATGATGAAGAGATTCACACCAAGTCATCATCCACACCCCTCCTGACTTCCTGGGCCCCCTAAGGGGCTGCATGTAGTCAAGGGAAGCACAGTTTACTGGACCATAAAGGGTCTGATTCAGACAGTGTAAGCGCTTGTTCTGGCTAAGCCGGAGGCGCTGCAAGTAGAAACTGTGAGTCCCCACGAGGACCAAGGGAAACTAGTGTTTCTGGAGTTGAACTGACTCAACATTTCTCCCCATGGCCCCTCCCTGGCTCTTCCTACCCTCACCTAACTATAGCGCACCTTGAGTATAAGCAGCACACATGAGAACCCCGTAAGAGCCCTGGCCAGAACAAGTGTGTGTTACGGCAGGACCTCCAGCTGAGGAATGAGATCCAGCCAGCCAGGCCCTACCACCTCCACTGACTGTCCCTGTAGCCCCCAAGATCAAAGGGTCAATTTTATATGGCAGCTTGGAGCATCACCCCAGATCAGAATGTTGGTGGGATGTGGGGCTGTCAGAAAGACGTGCCACCAAGTTTCACCAAAGTATGTGCCAGGGAGGGGCGGGGGCACACAGGTAATGCCGTCAGTGGAGGAATAATGAGGCGCTGGACACCATGGGTGTGGGGAGTGGTGACTCTCACACTTGACTTTCTCTCCCCGGGACTCCTGGCCTCACACCACCATGGCTCCTCCCTCATGGGCTACACGCAGCCTGAGGATTCTGAGCTCCAGGGCCAGTTCTACCTGAGGACTTTTGGGGAGAGCTTATCAAGTCAGACATGAGCAATGGCTAACCTGGAGCAGACAGGCCTCTCACCTGGGACCTGGGTCCCTCTTGGAGAAGCCGGCCCTCCTAGCTCTGTTCTCCGGAGAGGAACCAGGGGGCCTGCGTTCTAACCCACTCTATCCCAGACACAGCAGGAATTAGGGAAATCACCTCATTGCTCTCAGCTGATTCCTTTTGAATCCTTTCTTGGGGATCTGGCAGGGTCTGCCTAAGGCCAGACCCAGCAATTCACAGTGGGTAAATTGTCCTGGGTGCTGCTGGCCAAGCTGCTGTAACTCTCTAAGGTCCTTGAAAACAGCCATGTGCAAGAAGTCAAAAAAGACCTGTAGCCTCCTGCATGATGGCCATGGTGCCAAGTGGTGCCCACTGGGTCCAGGAGTTGCTTGCTCAGACTCTGAAGATCTGCCTTGCTTTCCCCAGCTGGCTCTATTTCTAGGGAGAATGTCCAGGCATTTGGATGACTATCTTGGGGGTCATTCAAGTGTCCAGGTCTCCTCCTGGGTGAAGCTGCCAAGACTCCATGCTCTGGACCACACTGTGATCAATAAGGGCTGCAGACAGCACGTACTATTTTATTGGGCCTCAAAAGCTTTAAATACAGAATGGGCTGGCCAGAGCGAAGATGTGAACACACTGGCATTTGAGAATGGACGTATCAGAAAAATCACATAATCAACAGTTGGACAGAGAGCTGGGACGAGGGCAGTCTGGGATAGAGGCAGGTGCCAGCTGGCGGCCAGCCTGGGTGTTAGGATTACTCCCTCCACTAGGACATAGTCTTTGATGTTTCTTCCTGATTTGAGGACTTTTTTTTTTTAAAAAAAGCCCACAAACCTCCAAATAAAACCAACTGGCAGAGACTGTGGATAGCAGTGCCCATCATCCCAGAGGACAAGGGTCTGCCCCAGAAAGCCTTGGGGTCCCCACCCCGCAGCCCCGATGCCACCCCACGAGACATTTCCACACACTGAAGCAAAGCTGGACCCAATCTACAACCCCTCTCTGGGGTTTGGAGTTGAAAACACCCTCCCGGCAGAGGAAGAGGGACTGGCGTGAGCGGGGCTGGGGGCCAAACCCGATCCCCTCCTTAGCGGCTGTAGCCAAATTCGTCTGCATCATCAGCTCGAAAGTCTCCATAGCGCCACAGGTTCAGCTGTAAGAAAAAACAGACAATAGCTCTTCAGGGATACGGGACCCACCGGAACTCAGAGGGCCAAACCCCTCAACTCGGTACCCTCTGGGGGCTCCCAAGGTAAGAACTCACCCTGGCGCTCTTGGCTGACTCTTGGGCATTCAGGTATTCTGTGATCTGGAGGGACGAGAGAAGAAAGGGAGTGGTCAGAGTTGCCCTCAAATGATCAGCCAGCAGGACCCTGCAGAATGCTTAGGTAAGCGCCAGAGCTCTCCCTTGCTCAAGCCTGTCCAATGGAGCCTTAGTTCCCTCAGAGTAAAACGGAAAACACAATCACATTAGTCTCCTGGCTTTTCCCTTAACTCTTCGCACTAGCTCTTCTGTCTGCCTGGAACGCTCCTCTGGTCACGTCCTCCTGGCTACCTCTCCCACCTGCTTCAGTCTGTGATAAAGTATCTCCCTCTTAATGAGGTCTCGGGCAACCCCATTTAAAATTACAACCTAGGCCAGGTGTGGTGGCTCATGCCTATAATTGCTGCACTTTGGGAGGCCAAGGCAGGAGGATCACTTGAGCCCAGGAGTTCAAGACCAGGCTGACCCCATCTCTATTAAAAAAAAAAAAAAATTAGCCAGGCATGGTGGCCCATGAATGTCTGTAGTCTCAGTACTTGGCAGGCTGAGGTGGGAGGATCACTTGGGCCAGGGAGTTGAAGGCTGCAGTGAGTCGTGATTCCGGCACTGTGCCATTGTACTCCAGACCCGGTCTCAAAAGAAACCAAACCAAACAAGAGCAATACAAATACAACCTTCCCCTCCCATTCCTGACTCCCTGGATTCCACTTCTATTTTTCACTGCAGTTATCATCTTCTAATATCCTATTTAATTTACTTATTATGTTCATTGTAATTGTTGTCTCCTCATGCTTGAATGTAAGCTTCTCAGGGCAGGGGTGCTGTTTCTTGCTCACTGATATACTGTAGGCCCTCAATAAATGTCTGCTGATAGAATGAATAAATAAATGAGCATGTTAGGTGTTTATCTCAGGGACTGCGGCAGAAGGAATTTTCTAGATAGCAGGGGCATTATGGGCAGTTTCATATGGGGTACAATAAGATCTCCAATTCTATAGGGAGGCTGAAGCTGACCTCCTAGGAGCCATCTCCTAAGGAAAGTGGGGGTCTATCCAGAGGGGCTTAGGGGTCGGGCTTCTCTTGAGACACAGCGGCAGTCCACAGGGGTGTCTTGTTCCAGTGAGTCGTCAGCCTGCACAGCCACCGACACATTATGTGGGCTTGCGGTGTGGTGGGGAGAGAGGAAAGGCCAGGAGGGCTGGGAGAAGGGAGAGCAGTGGGCGAATGGAAGAGAGATGAAGAGGAGGAAAGTGTTTGGTTTTCATGCCCCGCCTTTCTTGCCCCTGTCTCTGAAGGAACATAGGGAGAAGCTGGCCACATCCTGCTGCCCTCTCATCACTTTCTGCCAGGAGACGGCAGCTCTGTCGGGGGCCCGAGCTTCCCCAAGTCTGGCCCTCTTGGATGGTTCGCTGATTCAGCCCAGCTGGGACGCAGGGCTGGTCTGCAATAGGGCCTCAGTGGCTGCTTGGTGAAAGGGTAGAGAGGGACTCAGAAATGTATAGTGTTGGGTGGAAGGGGCTGCCTTGTATCCAGAGCCCAAAGCTAATCACCAAAGGCTGCTCAGTGCAAGCTGTTTCTCAGGTACGAGCGCACTGATTGTCACGATCAGCCCTGAGAAGTGGCAAGGCAGCTAGTCCTCCCCTCACTTCATAAGCAGGGAGATGGGGCTCAGGAGGCTGGCTTCTCCTCTCAGAACAGTGGAGGCAGGACTCCAAGTCCAAGGGGCTTTCCAAATAGCCAGAGGGTTGTGTGGCAGTCTTTCTGGGCCCTTTGGTGCTGCCTCCTCGACAGCTCTGGCTCGGGGTGGCACTGGGTGTTAGGAGTTGGTTATTGACTTGGAAGCTGTCTGTTGGACAGTGAGACTGGGAGAGCGGGAGGGACAGGCCTTGACCCTCTCCACATAGCCCCTGGCAAAGCTTTCTCGCCTGTCACCTGGGGGTACATGGGGAGGGAAGCTTTCCGCTCTAGTTTGCAGCTGCATTCTCAGCCAAACCCGCAGCCAATTAATTTGGGATGTAATTAGCTTTAAAACAAAAACAAAAAAACACCAACAAACCCAAATCCATTATCTTTCCTCAGCAGGAACAGCAGGATGGTGGATTCCCTGCTCCCTTCCTGGCTTGTGGAACAGTCCCTTTCTCTGTGAGGGTGGTGGCGCAATGCTGGGGCCGCCTCTCCACATCACATACCACTTTCTGGAACTGTTTCTCCTTGCGCACCTCCACCATGACCAGCCCTTCCTTCACCAAGCCCAGCCCCACATCGCCCTTGGAATCTGCAAACTGCAGGGTGACATGGGGGCAGCCGGCACTCAGGTGTTCCACGTTGAGCAGGCACTGAGTGTTCTGGATATCCCGAACTACGCTGTCCACGGCGTCCGTGCGGGCATCATCCTGGAGCAGAGACACACTCAGGTCAGAGCAAGCCAGAGAACAACCACTTGGGCCCCAGCTCCTGTCCATAGACTCCCAAGAAAGTCTGGCCAGCAGGGGCCTGTAATTTTCTCCCCAGAGAACCCTAGTGAGGTTGGCCAGGCACGGTGGCTCATGCCTGTAATCCCAGCACTTTGGGAGGCTGAGGTGGGTGGACCCCTTGAGGCCAGGAGTTGGCGACCAGCCTGGCCAACACAGTGAAACCCCATCTCTACCAAAAACACAAAAATTAGCTGGGCATGGGGTGCATGCCTGTAATCCCAGCTACTTGGGAAACTGCGGCACGAGAATCGCTTGAAGCTAGGAGGCGGAGGCTGCAGTGAGCCAATATTGCGCCACTGCACTCCTGCCTGGGTGACAGAGTGAGACTTGGCCTCAAAAAAATACCAAAAAAACAAAAAAACACAAACCAGAAAGAACCCTAGTGAGGCAGAAACAGGCTCTGGATAGGAAGCCTTCCCCTTTTCTTTTCCTTGCCCTCAGCCAGAGACTATTTGCAAGTGACCCCTTTCTTTCCTACCCTGTGCTCCCACCCACCTGCCCTGTGTCTCCGAGAAAAAGTGACTTCTTCCCACTCAAAGCTCACCTACACTTGGTGCCCTTTCACTTCCTTCCTCCAGCAGGACCTTGCTCCAGTGCACTATGTCCATGACATCCTGTGTCTCTGTCTTTTTTTTTTTTAAAGAGACAGGGACTAGGCCAGGTGTGGTGGCTCATGCCTGTAATCCCAGCACTTTGGGAGGCCGAGGTGGGTGGGTGACCTGAGGTCAGGAGTTCAAGACCAGCCTGGCCAACATGGTGAAACCCTGTCTCTACTGAAAATACAAAAATTAGCTGGGCGTGGTGGCGGGCACTTATAATCCCAGCTACTCGGAAGGCTGAGGTGGGAGAATCACTTCAACCTGGGAGGGAGAGGTTGCAGTGAGCCGAGATTGTGCCACTGCACTCTAGCCTGGGTGACAAAGCAAGAATTCATCTCAAAAAAAAAAAAAAAAAAAAAAAAGAGAGATAGGGACTGGCCAGAGTGCAGTGGTGTCATCATCTCACTGCAACCTTGAACTTGTGGGCTCGAGCGATCCTCTCACCGCAGTCTCCTGAATAGCTGGGACTAGCTGGGAGTACAGGCGTGTGCCACCACACCCAGCTATTTTTTTTTTTTTTTTTTTTTTTAGAGACAGGGTCTTGCTATGTTGCCCAGGGTGGTTTTGAACACCTGGGCTCAAGCAGTCCTCCCTGCTTGGCCTCCTATGCTGGGATTACAGGCGTGAGCCACTGCACCTGACTCCACATGTCTGTCTTCACCGACGTGTTTTGTGATACTTGCCTTCAGCATTTTCTGTTGCATCTCTCCTGACCTTCAGCAACTTTGTGAAAAGGTAAAGAGTAAATTTGCTTATTCTTCATTTGCACCCTTTATCTGGTGACAGTGCCAACCATGGTGATCACGCAGCTCTCACTCCAGGTACCAGGCACCTTCTCAAAGCTAAAGCCAAGGGCAGCCCCTGGGAAGCCTCAACCTGCCTGAGCTCCCGGGGGATCTGGACATTGTAGACTGGCTTTCTGTTTCTGGGGATAGAGGGTATCCACGACCCTCAGCATGGGTTCTCTCCTTTCTGGCTGCATATGCTGCCTCTGGGCTCCTGTTCTCAGATGGCAGGACCCCAGCACTTCCTAACACTCTCTCTCCTCCCCATCACACCTTCCACATACTCAATCTGGGCAATCTTGTACACCGCATGGTTTTAACTACACAGACCCATAAATTCCAGGTCTCATCTCACTCCCCAACTGAAAACTGTAAGGCTGCCTGGAGGTCCCACTGCCCAAATTCGCTCCTTCTCATTCTTCTTGGCCAACAGCAACACATCCACACATAAGAAACCCAGCACCACCTTTGTCTCTAGCCTGGACTGTTACAATTGTCTCCCACCCATTCATTCTAGTCCCTCTGTTCACTGTGCCATCAGAACTAACTTTCAGAAACACACTGGACCATGTCACACTTCTCCTAGAAATGGTGCCACATTCCTCCTGCCTATACAGCACAAAGAATAAACTCCTTGCCAGGGTAGACAACCCCACGACACCAAGCCCTTTCCCACCTCACCTCCTGCCACTGCCTGATCACCTCCTGCCACTGCCCAAAAGCCCCCTGGGATCCAGCTGTGGTGGTCTAGTCTTTGTCCAAATGCACCCTGGCCTACCTGCTTCTATGAACTAGCTGGAATGCTCTAATACTACCTCCTCGGTGGCATCTTCCTCAACTTCCCATCTCTTGAGTACTATTACTAAGAGACCATCATAGTTTCCATCTTCTCCTGTCAGCCCATGAGGGCTGCTGCAGCGGCTAAGTGTCAGTGGATAGTCCCCTTTGGAAGGAGGAAGACTCCAGACTCACATCTTGGGGCACCTGGATGAAGGCGAAGGCATACTCCGTGGCTTGAGCTGGCAGCACCCGAGTGCTGAAGGCAGGTGATAGGGTACCCAGGCGGGTGGATGGCAGGACCTCTCTCTGCAGAGGAAGCAGCAGGCCAACATGTCACATACTCGCTGCCCCCTTGCTCTCTCACAGGACAGCTCTCTGTGGCCAGGCCTCTGGGAATGCTAACTCTGGGCCACCCTGTTCATCCCATGACTTGGTTCCACTTTGCAATGTACAAAGGCTCCCCAGTGGGTGAAGCCTGGAGAGAACGTGCCCTGCTGGTCCAGCAGTAGATGGGGAGCTCACTCTGGGCCTGGTGCTGGCACACCTAGTGGTTCCCATGAAAACAATCGCAGTATAACTGGACTCTAATCGCTTTTCCATTTCCTCCCAATGCCCTTCTGTCTGTGACATGGGTTCCCTGACTACGTTCCCACAGGCCAGGGGGTTCTCCAGCTGCTGGCTAGGGGAGCACACCAAGACAAGTATCCCTGTGGTCACCGGGCCTGCCTGTGGTTCTGGCCCAGGCATCTGGGTTCACCCTTGTCTGGCAGGACCTCTTCCTTTGTGTATTCCCAGGAGATGGGTTGGGAGCATGGCCCAACTCTGGGCTCTCTACTAACAGATCCTCAGTCCTAGTACTTGAGGAAGGCATGGGAGGTACGCAGACAAGCAGTGCCATGACTCAGGAGCGTCACCCTCCTGAATGACAGTTTTCTCACCAGCTGGCTGCTGTTCCTCAAGAGAATCTCCCAGGAGTTGTCAACAGACTCCCAGGCCCAGCCGGAGAAATTTTTCTCCCAAGGGTGCCAGTCAGTCACTGTCACCTTGTGACTGTCCCTTCCCAGCAAACCTGAGTTTGGGGATGTGCCGGGGATTAGCGCATGGAACAAACACCCAGTTTGGCTTGAACACCAGGAACTGTGGGTGTAAAGGCCCTCCATGTGCTACAGAGGCCCTGCCCCCATTCTGCAGAGACCTCAGGCAGAAGAGGAACTGTGGGTGTGGCTGGACACTCATCCGTGGGGTCTGGATGCGGGACCTATCAGTGCTTGCAGCCACTGGTCATAGACCCCAGTTTTGCCAGGTCACTGAGGGGGCCTGGCCTGTTACACGCACAGCAGAGATGCCCCAATGCTCATTGTTCTATTGGTAAGCTCAGAGGGACCTTGGAGAGATCAGATGGATTTGACTCGGGGGCTGCTGTGTTTGATAGCCCCTCCAACACTCTGGTCCCCAACACTCACGTTGCCGTAGTCAATGTAGAAGACATGTATTTTGGCAGGAGACTCGACTTTCTCTACTCGGGCACGGTACCTGCAATGGCATCATGGGCAGAGCTCAAGAGACAGCCCTGAGGACTCTGGGCTCCCAGAGCCTCAGCAATGGCGGGGCAGGGGCACAGCATTTCCCTGCCTGGGTTCAACGGGTGTCACAGGGGACAGTAACTGCACTCCATCTAGGCCCAGCCTCGGCCACTGTGGTCACCACCTAATGGAATCAGAGCATAGCTGGGAGCAGAAGAGGGAGAAAGGAGCATGTGGAGCAGATTAATGTGTCCTTGGGGCATAAAGCAACAAGACTAATGACTAGATTGATGTCTGCTGTTTAAACCCAGTGCACTAAACAGCAGCTGTAATTAGCCAGCAGATCTGCCTGGGAGGCCGCAGCAGGGAACATATCCAAGTCACTTCGTCACCCTGGGAAGGCCATGGGCCCTCCCTTGGTAGATTACACATCAGCGACCTTCTTCCGGCCTGTGAGCACTGCTGCTCATGTCCTAGACAGCCGGGGAAGAGGGTCGGGCAGCTGGTTTAGGCTTACTGTAGCCCAGCCTCTACCTCAGCCCCCTGTAACATCATTCTTCCTGGGTGGGGTGAGGGGTGTGCTGGACAGCCTGGCCGGCCGGCCAGCCAGCCAGCCAGCAAGGGCTCCCACCCTGGAATCCCCCAGGAGACAAGGAAGGAGCCACTTCTGTCTGGCTGGACTGCAGGGGTGCACAGGCCAGAGCAAGGCCCCAGATGGGCTGTGGGCAATGAAGAGGGACACCCAGGAGAGCTGCTAGGGGCCATCATTAACCAGCTGGGGAAACCAGACTGCTAAGGCAACACCTGAGGCCTGAGGACAGCCCTGCTATCGTTCCTGCTCAAGACTCTGCCTTGCTTTTCCAAGTGGCTTACCATTCTCCATCTACAAATTTGGCAATGCAGAACTCTCCCCTGCGGGGGGCATAGGAGCCCTCTACAGGGGGGTGACTGGCAATGTCATTGCGCATGTTCTCCATCAGCTTCTCCAACTGGGTGCCTGCCAGGGAGGAAGAGCACAGTGAGACCTGGGTGCTGGGTTCCTCGACGGCTCAGCAGGGTTTTTCTGGGAGTGGTTGGGGAGGGAGCTCAATGTAAAATTCTGGGGGGCACTGCAGCACTGGCTCTGTCCCCAACCCATGCGGGGAAGCCCTCTTGGTCTCCACTCCAGAGGTTTCATGCCATCTGCCTTCAGAAGTGGGACTGGTGACTTGCTGACATGTTGGGCCTTAAAGGCACACACAGCCTTGCCATCTCAGCTCTCCAGTCTGCTGGCCCAGGGTGTGGGAGCCCTTGGGATGTGCCTGAGCTTTGATTAAGGAGGTGGAGAAAGAAAGTAGACAGGGAGCAAGGACAATCCAAACAGCCTCCTCCAGGGTGAGAGCTGGCCAGCCCGTACCCCATTCCTGCAAGGCCAGCTCCTGGCCTGGGCCACAGAGGTGGTAACTGACAGAAGCCACTGTCTACTGTCTTTCAGGGGGCAAAAGTAGGGATGAAGGATGGGCCCCACACCACCGTGGAAAAGGCCCCAGAATTGAAGCCATGGAAGGTGGGGGAGGAATTCTTGGATCAGGGCCTAGAGCCTCAGTATTATTCAAACTTGGCCCCTCTGACCCTTGTCACCCTGCAAGATACATGCTGAACAGGACTTCCAGTGCTGCTGGGCTGGGGCTGTACTGTCCCACCCTGCTACTCAGGGCCCCTGCGCCACAGGAGGAGGGATTCCCTGCCTTGTCTTTCCCTAAGCACTCTGACCTTGGGTCAGTGGTCCTGCTGCTTATTTGCTGCTTTTGCCTGTTTTAGCAACACCCAGGGCCTACTCAGTTTCTCTCCCTGGCTCCTTGTAGAATTCTCCCACCCTGACTCTGGGAGGCATCAGTCCCTTCTGGCCCTGATTCTAGCTCAGTCTCAGACCTTTTTTGCCCCTTGCGTCTCAGAAGCAAGGAGGGTGACTGTGGATCTGTGGTCTAAGTGTGGGGCTCCTCTCTTTATCTTCAGGCCCAAGGCAGTGCTGTAAGGAGGGCGCAACATATGTCTGTTGTTACACTTGCCACAGTCAGCCTTATAAGTTCCCTGCTACTATACTGTGAGCTCCTTCAGGGCATAGAGCATAGCTCACTTCTTTCTGTTTACTTGCACAAAGCCTGGTAGAATCCCCAATGCATGCAGGGTGCTTAATAATTCAGCTGCATTGAAAATAAACTGCATAAGCATGCAGGGATGTATGTCCACTCTTAAGCTGCTGCAGAGGCCACTGGTCCTGCATCCACACGACAGAGGCCTGAAGGTAGCAGCCGCCCCTCTCCCTACCCAGTGGTCAGCCCTCTATAATTCTCTTTAGACAGTGCTCCTTGCCATAGACAGTGAAATTCCAGGGATTAAGAAGCCTTGACAGACAGCTTCCTCCCTAACTTGGTCTACTTTCATTTTTTTTGCTCCAAGGCAACAGAAGCAGGACTTTGTCTCCTGCCAACAGGCAAAGCCCTCTGGGAGGTCCTTACAGAGCCTCACTGGTCATTTGCAGCTAATGGCAATGTTTTCGTCAGATCCCTCTTGAAGACAGACTCTAATTGAAAGAAGGGAGACAGGGTGAGAGGATGCCACCCAAGAGGGGATGAAAGGTTTCAGCAGAGAGGGGGCTGTGGATCCTGAGGTTCATCTCCATGGATACCATGGAGCCACCAGAGGGCAGGGGCCTTCCTCTCTGGAGCCCACCACAAATCCCCAGGTGGCCTGCCAGGAAGGGCCTCACTCCCTTCTCTTCCAGCATTCTAAGGACACATGGTTTTCTCTTTTCTCTTGTTTTCTGCCTCAGATTTCTGCTCTCTAAGACTTCAGGGGCTTGTTCTGAGTCAAGGCGGGTCCTCCCCAGCAGGACCCAGAGGCTGAGTAGAGCCTGCCTGGGAGTGATCGCATCCTTTTGCTCAAGTTCTCTGGTGGGCTGGCGGGGATTTTGGGGTGGTGGATTCCAGCTGGTTCCTCTGCCCAGGAACGGCTCTTGTTCCCACTGAGACCACCACTACAAGACTCCTTCCCTGTCACATGACCCAGCCCTAAAGGCTGGCCACCGCCCCGGTTCATTCAGGCAACTGCTGGAGCAGCTTTCAGCAGGACTGTGGCTGACCTCAAGAGAACCTAATCCCGCAGGCTCGTGGGCTCCATCTCTACCCCTCCCCCTTGCGTTTTTCCTTTTTCAAGCACAGCCAGCCCAGGGCCAGGAATGGTCAAGTTTTTCCTGGTGAAATGACACTGCCACAAAGGCAGCTGCCTGGGAAACAGCATTAGAGGGAAGTGGCTGAGACGGGGCTGGAGCGGACCTGGGGTGGGCTGAGGAGGCTGGGCAGAGCTGTGTCCTGCCATCTGGGGGACTGCCCAAGTGCTGCTGACACTTCTAGCCCCCTCTGTCCACCTGTGCCTACCATGATTTGTTTCCTGGGATCCAGAAGCAGCTCTAAGAGCTTTTCCTTCCGCTCCAAACTCAACTGTTTCCCTGCACAGGGTGGCCATGAGAAAAGGGAGGTCAGGGTGGAAAGCGTAAGCGGTTGGAGGTGTAGTCGGGCTAGCGGCTGCCAGAGCTCTCTCCTGCCCTTTGGCCTCCAGAAACCCCAGGTCTCTGCCCAGGGGACCCTGGCCACAGTGCACACCACTCAGGACGGAAGGAGGAGAAGGTCCTTCAGAGACTGCCCGGGGATGTCTTCCCCTAGAGCGCTGCCTGTTTCCATGGAAACTGGCTATCACTCAGGGCTATGTTAACCTCTAGAGAAGGAGAAACCCCAGCAGAGACAAACCCAGCACCACTCCTTGCTCCCCCAGAGGGAAACGGGCTGAGCAATGCCTGGCTGGTGCCTGACAGATTCTGGGGGCTACAAATCATCCTGCCCAGCATAGCCAGGGGTATGTAGGAACAAACAATCACCTAAGAGACTCAGAGCTCCACCCAGATAAACCTGGTTATCTCACCTGCGTCCAGAGGACCTGTCCGGCAGCACCTCCATGCCTGAGCCCAAGCCAGGGCTCATGTGAAGGCTCCTGAAGTAACTCCAAGCCCAGAGGAGCAGTGGGACAAGGCAGGGAGACAGGGGCGGCAACGTGAGCTCTTCAGGGGAGGCTCCTGGACTGCCTAGGCATTGTTCCTCCCACCCACTGGGCAGAGGCCCCCTACCCCCAGGCAGCGCCAGCTGGACCAAGCCAGGAACCACGAGCCAGCGGCCTGAGCACTCACCGGTCTCCACATCCTGCACGTAGAAGTGCAGGTCATCAGTGATCTCAGTCACAAACACGGGCTTGTAGCTAGCAGATCGCTCCTTCTCCTCCAGCACTGGCATCACCTCCTCCACGGGCTGCTCCTCATAGTGGGCCCAGACCTGCATGTTCAGTCGGCAGAGGTGAGAAGAGGGCGAGGAAGTGAAGTCATAAAAGACACTGGGAGGCCAGGCGTGGTGGCTCATGCCTGTAATCCCAGCACTTTGGGAGGCCGAGGCGGGTGGATCACGAGGTTAGGAGTTCAAGACCAGACTGGCCAATATGGTGAAACTCTATCTCTACTAAAAATACAAAAAATTAGCTGGGTGCGGTGGTGGGCGCCTGTAATCCCAGCTACTTGGGAGGCTGAGGCAGGAGAATCGCTTGAACCTGGGAGGCACGGGTTGCGGTGAGCCAAGATCATGCCACTGCACTCCAGCCTGGGCGACAGTGCAAGACTCCGTCTCAAAAAAGAAGAAAAAAAAAAGACACTGGGAAAGGGGTTTTGGGCAAATGGGATCGGCCCTGGGCGAGTGACTGTGGGGCACTCGATTCACACCAGGCTGAGCCCCTGAAGCCCTCTATCTCGGAGGGGAAAGGTGAGTTCTCTAAAGTCCTGATCTAGCAGTTCTCAAATTCTGGCAGGCATCAGAACCAACAAGGGAATTTATTAAAAATGCAGGCCCCAGATCCTACCCCAGGCCTACCAAATTACAATCTGTTCTGAGCATCCCAGAGAGTAAAAAAGAGCAAAACCAGATCCCAGGCTATCTCATGCACGTCCGAGTGTGAGAGCCCTGCTTTCATGAACTCTTTGGCTCTGGGCTCCTCACACCCGCACCTCTCTTGCTCCAGCTCCCCATCTCCCTTCCCCGTGGCACTCTGCAGGGCACTCTGAATTCTGCAGGACCTCCTGCTGTCACAGGGCTCCTGGTGCTCCTGAAGCAGTCCAAGCCACAGCCCTAGGCTGGGGAAGAGCTCACCAAGAATGCTTCTGCTCAGCAACTTTCCCTTTCTCCATCCTCCTCACCTCCAGCAGGTTGCTCTGACCTCAGCCCAGAAGCTGGGCCATGCGCTCTCCACCCTTCCCTCTCTCCCTTCCTTCCCCAAAGCCCTGTGCTGTCAGGGCTGCAGTGGCTCAGAAGCTGATTTGACGCGACAGCGTGTCAAGTCCAATCCTGCAGCCAGGAGATTATCCAAATGGTGAGGTCTGTCAGAGCAGGGGAGGGAGGTGGCTTTCCAGCTGAGCAGCAGGAAGGGTGGGTGGGAGAGTGCAGAGAATGGATCACGCGTGGGGTCCCACAGACGCACACAGGAATAAGGATGATTAAAAGTATTTGCCCAAAACTTCTGTGCTTATTAGGTGCCAGGTACCATTCTAAACATTCTCCAAATATTAATTCATTTAGTCCTTACAACAACCCTTTGAGTAGGTCTTGGTATTATCCCTGTTTTACAAATGGGAAAACTGAGGTACACAGGCTTGCAGCTAGAAGTAGTGAAATCAGAATTCAAACATAGGCAGCCTGGCACTACAGCTCTTCCAGGGGCACTTTGGCATTGACTAGGTATCCCTGAGAAAACACCACCAACCAGGAGGAAAAAGCTGTTTGTTGGTGGGGGGTGGGGAGGGAGATGAGGACTTATGTCCCTGTTGTTTTTGAACTTGCCATTTGACATTGGTCAAACTTTTCTGGGTCCCCTTTCTTCTCTCTCAGCTGAAATGCAGATTCCTCAGGAGCTTCAGGACACAGCAGAAAGGCAGGAATGCTGGAATTCTGGAACCACCTTGGGTCAACCCAGACCCCACACTTCTGCCTTTAACGCGGCCTGAGCGTGTGTTCTTCCACTAGAAGGAGCGGCTATGGGGGAATGACTGAGACATCTCCCAGGCCCAAGCTTTCCACCATCCTACATCAAGCAGTGCCTTCTATGGCTGGGCTTGTGGGCCCCTGGTATGGGGTCTGGCCTCCTACCCAAATAGTTCCTGACCCCTTCTCACCTTCCAGGCTCCTGATACCCTAACACCTGTCCCCATCACCAGAGACCTCTGTACACACTGCTGCTTCTAGTCCCCTAAGCCCTGGCTGGCCAGAGGGGAGGAGGCAGGCAGCAGGACTTTAACCCACAGCTTTGCCTCTAGTCAGGACAGAGGCCCTAATCCCTCAAGGGCCTTCCTGCCCATGTGGGGAAGTGGGTCTCTAGCTTGTGGGCTTCCCTGTGAAAGGGCCAGGAGAGAGCCATAAATGCTTCTGATGCCAAGCCTATGTCCTGATGGGCCTGAGGCTTTTGCCCTGGGCCTCCAGAGCTGGAAGTTCCCTGGTATCTACTTAGCCAGTCACTCCTATTGACACCTGGGCTCCCAGCCCTTCTGGGACGCTTGCAGCTCTGAGGATCAGTGGGACTCACTCGGCCTCAGAGACGAGACTGTCAGCACTACCTTAAGTGAACTGGGATGGAGCCCTCCTGACCCAGGAGTCTGCTCCCTCATTCCTACCAGCAGGCACCCCTGCAGTCCTGAATCCCTCAGCACGTCCTCTGCTCTGCATCCCATGCAGGTGCTCTTCCCTCTTCCTGCCAGCTCCCTCCTTTCCCGGCACTGAGCTTGTTAACAGAGACCGGCATTCTGTGCTGGTTCCTGAGTGGGCCATGGCCCCTGAGCCTGCAAGCTGTTGAGGGCTCCCATCCTAGCCCCACCCTGCTCCTTTGGCTTGGGGGAAGGCGGCCCCTCAGCAGTGTTGATGAATTCGGAACACACAGGATGAAAGCAGAAACTGCTAAAGACTCCTCAAGTAAAAGTGCCTTGGGTGACAGCATCAGGTGTCCTCCTTGGGGAGAGTGGGGTGGAGCTTCTTTCCCAGCAGGCTCAGGTGGGCAGCAGGCGTGAGGTCACGGAAGATGCAAACCAAAGCCTTGGGGATGGCCCTCAGCCCCCAGCACTAGGGCCAGTCCTGTAACAAGGTGCCACAGCTCACTTCGTGGTGGGTGGGGTGGTGCACACTGCCACCTGAATTGAGAAGACAGCAGAAGCAAGGTGTCTCCATACACAAAGTGGCTGGCACTTGAGGTTGCCAAGAAGCATACAGAGGGTAGGAGAGAGACAGCTGTCTCCTCAGATAAAGGAACTGTGTTTCTAGGAGAGGCTGACCTTTGGCCCTTCAGGCAGTGCAGCCATGACGGTTCCCTCTTTCCCTGTGGGGATGGAGGTGACCAGCTGTTCCTTGGGACTTGCAGCCACATGGGCAAGCTGGTCCATGCAGGCTGGCCAGGTGGCACCTTGGTGGGAAGGAGTCAGTCAGCTGGGACAGGCGTGGTTGCCCTTGTCCCCATCCTTAGAACAAGGGTGCATTTGGCTCAGGCTGCCCTTCTGCAGAGCTGGGGTGCATGGAGGAGACACACTCACTGGCAAGACACCTGCCAGACCCAGCCACTTTCCACAGCCATCCTCAGCCCCTCACAGCTCAGATTTCCCATAAGAAGCTGGTTTCTGGGAATCCCCATTGTAGATGCTCCTCTTCCTGGACCTCTGGGGAGATGACAAGGAAAACTCCAGAAGAAACAGTAGTTGTACACCCAGACACAGAAAATTATTGCTGTATGGCTCTACCCCAGCCTCTTGAAAGATGGAGGAGCTGGGGAAGAGCCTCTATGGCCAAAGAGCTGGGCAGAGAACAGGGGTCCTGAGCTTGACCTAAGCAGCAGGGCCCAGGAATGCTGGGAGAGCCAACCACAGGACAGTCTGCCCTTCTCATGGACCACCTCTAAGCATGTGGAGAGGCTGTTACTAAGCCTGCTATTGTGGAGAGGCTGTCCCAGCTGACTGATGCCAGGGTTTGCGGTCAGGTGGGGGAAGTGTCTCTCCAGGCCAAGGCCAGGGTGGAGCTCTGCCCCTGGTGGGGCACTGCTGGTACCCCCGGTGGCCCCAGCTACAGAGCAAGACTGGGAAGGGTGGATGGAGGCCCCTCCTGCCTGTTCATCTGCTCCAGGCTGCTCTGCCATGCAAGTTCCTGTCTTGCTCGGGTCCCCTCTACACTTTGGGGCTCCTTGTGTTCTGTTGCTGCGGCCACCCTGAGGGAAAGAGCCCATCAAGCCAGGCACAGACCAGGCAGGTCAGGAATGGAGGCTGTCTCTCCTCTCCTCTCCCTGCCCTGGCTCTCTCTCTTCCCTGCATTTCCTCCTCAGGGAGTCCCAGGTCCTTCTCTTGGCAGGTGATGAGGACTGTGGACAGAGAATCCACTGGCTGGAGTCTTTCCTTTCTAAATCCTGTTTAACATTGCTGCTTGCAAGGCTCCAGGGGTGGGGCTGGCGAGGGGCCAAGGTGGCGGAGGCCTTTAGGCCTGCAGCAGGGAAGCCAAGCTCAATAAAAGCCAATCGATGGCCAATCCAGCCCTGTGCAGGGCCCTGCTGAGCACGTGTGTGAGATGGGGTTAAGGAGGGGGGACAGGCATCTGCCATCTGTGGTTCCCTCCTTGGTCCTCAGGTCTGCCCAGGGCTGCTGAGGAGGAAGTGGGGGTTACCTCCTGCCAAGGAAGTGGAGAGCCCTATCGGCCTCTTCACTGAGGAGGCATCCACAGGGCACAGGGAGGAATTACACTCAGCAGGGAGGTAGTTAAGCCTTCGTAGCTGGGAAACCAGCATTCTCAGATTCCCCCAGACAGACACACTCACGAATGCATGCACACACAATCACACTCCCTAAAGCCTTCTGCACTTCCTGGTCTCACAGAATCCCTCAGCATTACCTTTCCTTGGTTAGCTACAGGCACAAACATTCCTGCATCCTGATGCTAACAGGATCTTGTAACCACTGTCTCTTGACAGGTAAGGCAGCCCTTGTGGGATCAAGTGGGACAAGGCTGGGTACACCCCAGATACTCAGGTTACTGTCCCCCAGCCGGCCACCAGATGCTCTTATCAGGGTTCAGCCAACTCTTAGAGCTGCTACAAAGCTCTGCTAGTGCTGCTCCTGGGAAACAGCCCCTCCAGGAGGAAGAAAGCCAGCCTCGGTTCCTCAGGATCCTTGACGAGCAGACTGGGATTTGCAGGAGAGGGACCCAGGAGGCGGCAGGCCCTAGCACTGAGAGTTGTGCACTGCATTTTAATTGGACTGGAATAAAAACACGCAGGCCGTGTAAGTAATTAATCACTGGTAATTACTCCTCAGCGTCATCAAGTGGCACCAGCAAAATGGTGACTTGGGCTCTTTCAGACAAACCCACTGTGCAGTAAATAACGATGCTGAGTTCAGCACAGCCCCTGGCAGGGAACCCACCCTTCCATCTCAGGCCAGAGTCCCCTCCCTGTGCTCCCCTGGGTTCCTCTAGAGTCTCTACTCTTAGAGGGTAGAGGATCGCCCAGCTCTGAAAAGGTGGCTTCCAGGTTCACTGCTGAAAAGCCAGGAAGCAGGGCAAGGACGAAGATGCTTTTGGCCTCTGGGCGTTAGACTCTGGGGCTTGCCGCTCTACCCCCAGCTGCTAACTCTTCTGTGAAAGTGCCAACCTTTAAACAGGAGGCCCCAGCGCTGCCCCTCCCCCCCTCTCCCTGCAGCAGGCAGAGGACATGGGGGTGGCAGTCTTAAGTTCAGCTGTCACAAGCAGGAAATCCAGGAAGAAGCCGTGTGACTCCTTTCCTATAGGAGCTGAGGCTGCCTGCTTCCCCCTCATTCTGGGAGGAGGAGGCTTGATGTGAGCAGGAGGTGGGAATCTCCTCTGAGGTCTGATGGTGGCTGCCTCCTGCAGGGCACTGACCGTCCCTTTCATCTGTGCTAGCTTTGTGGTCCACCTTTCCCTGGAGTCTTTCCACCTCCACTCTCCTCTACCACCAAGGGGCTGGTTGCCTGCCCCAATCCCCAGGGGAAGGGAAGAATAGATAGAGAGAGACCCAGGAGGACAGTCCCAAGGGGACAAGAGATGCCCTGAATGAGGAGGCAGCTGCTTGGGGCTGGTGAAGAATCTGGTGCTTCTGGGGCCTCAAAGCCCCCGACTCTTTTTGGCAGGTGTCCGGGCCTTAGCTCTGGGAAGTGAGTTTTGAGCCAGATGGCTGCCCCATGGGGAAGGAAGCATTTATTCCTGGAACAAATTTATAGCTCAGCACGGCTGTCCCACGAATCCTCCTCAAGCTCAGAGAAGCCCTGACAAATTGGTGGCCAGCTGATTTATCCCCATTATCAGGGCCGGGCTATAAGTCAAAAGCAACAGGCTGGGTGAGCCCGGCTCCCACCTCCAAATCACTGCATTCCTCAATTGTCAATTGGTTTCCAAAAGCCACTTTCCACCCCATCCCCCTTGTCTCTTCAATGCGGTGCCCACAGAGACTGATGGGCTATAAATCTCTTGTCCTAACAGCTAGAGGCCTCTCCTAGGGTTGTTTCCCCACGGGGCAATGTGAAGGAAATTCAGATGTGGGCTTGGGCCGCCCAGTCCTGAGGGCACTGACAGAGAAGGGTCAGGGCTGGGGAGGGAGGGGCGCCCCGGGCATTTTGTCCCATGGCTCCACAGTCACCTAGACAGATTTCTGCTTCAGGACCACCTGAGCAGGCCTGGGATCACTGATGACATTCTGGGCTGGCAGCCCAGGCCCACCTCAGGTCTGCAACAGGCTGTGGCCGAGGACACCTCAGCTGGCAGCCTCTCCTCGCCTGTGTGTGGCCTTGGTGTGGGGTCTGAGACCAACACCTTCCTGGGCTACTCTGTGGGGATGAGAGAACTTCCTCCTGTTCTCTGGAGGCAGCAGCATTAGTGTGTGAGGAGGACGGGAGGGCAGGGAGAGCACAGCTGGGCTGCCACATGTACCTTCTCTTTCTTCTGCTTTGCGGCCTCCTCGGCAGACAGCAGGGACTTGTAGTAGGAGCTGCGTTCGGCGGTGAAGTGGACCTTGGAGAGCGCGTGCTCCACCAGCAGGACGGACAGGTTGGCACCGTCGATGTGCAGCCAGCCGATAAAGTTGCCGGCCTTGTCCATGCTCTCCACCTCCACCTCCACCTGGGACAGAGAGACAGGCGTAAGCCTGTGGGGGCCAGGCCTGAGTGTGCAGGGGCTGTGCCCGTGGGGAGGACAGCAGCGCCGAAGCCTTGGGCTCACAGGCCTTGGCAGCCGCTGCCAACCTCTGGGAACCCCCAGAACCCTTCAATTTCAGCCTCTCACGGGAACAGACACACCCCAAAACTCGACTCTCTTCTCAGAGCCCCTTCCCCTCCTTGCGGCAGAAAGCTACCGGGGCAAACGGGATTCTCCTTAACCTGAGAGAGAGAGAGAGAGCGCAGCTGAAGGTCAGGAGCAAGTGAAGAAGCAGGCAGAGGTCTTGGTGCCTCCCACTCTTCAGCACCCTCCCCAGCTCTGTGCTAGAAGACAGGCAGGTCCTTAGGGAGCGAGGCAACCCCTGGGGAGAGGGAGGCTGCTTTTCCTGGTAGAGCTGAATGAATTCGTGTCTAATGAAGGTAATTAAAGTGGTTGCATGAAAAGCAGGAGAGGAGAGGGGGAGAGGACAGGAGAGGCAGAAAGACGCGGGCAGGAAATGCATCAGCGCAAGGGCAGTGAGTGACAATCCCGCAGAAGGAGTGGCCAGAAGGGTGTGGGCTGTGGCTGAACCCCAGAGCCCTCAAGGAATCTCCACGGGCCTCAAGGCCTCCTCCACTGACTGTCTCATCCCGAGGACCCAGGATAACAGACCTAGCACTGACTGCTTTTCTAAAAGGGCAGCCTCAGGATCGTGGCCCTCGTGGTAGCTGATCTGCTCCCACATCGTGAAGGCCACTGCCCAGGATAAATTCCTTCTTTGATTTTCTCCTGACCTCTTTCTTTCCCTGCTAAAGGGGCCTATAAATGTCTTTGCTGCCAAATGTAAAAACTTGTATTAATTTAAATGCCTTCAAGCTCGATTAAGCAATAAAATGAATGTCTAAATACCTGGGAATTCTCGAGGTCGGAGCTGGAGCTAGTGACAGAAGGTTAGAAGGGATGAGGGATACTGGGTGACATGCCTCCCCAGAAGGACAAGGAGGTGGTCTGGGTGTGCAGAGAGAAGGTAGCGGGGAGGAAAACAGGCAGGGCCCGAGAGGCAGGACCCTCGCTTCCTCCCATCCTTGAATACCCTCTGCGTCCTTGAGGCCCACATTTGATCCTTCAAGAGGAAATGCAGGTTCAATGACAACTGAAGTTGGAGTGTGGTATAGAAGGGGATATGTGGAGTCTATTAGAGTTATTAACGAAAAAGAGATAATGGAGAACATATAGGTCCAGTCCATGTTGATTCTGTAGGTGGCACTGGAGAAGTGTAGCTATTAAGGGACAGAGCTGAGAGCAGAATCCAGGTTTCCCCAATGCCTTCTCTACACTGCCTCCTGGCAGAAAAGACCCTGCCCCTCCCTAATACCCCCTTTCCACAGCCTTCTGTTTCAGGAGCAGCCCTTCCTTCCACTGCCATACCTCTGCCCCCTCCACCATCCAGGACCGTGGGACCCTGCAGCTCACTAGTAGAGTCTGGGCGTAAGTGCTGGCCCCAATTCTGGGCTGGGCTGACCCAGTGCCTGAATTCACGACAGAGTCCAGTGTCTGTGGGTGTTAAAACCAGTTTCTCCTATCTCTAATTTTGGCAACTAACCTGCTGAAGGACCTACTCTTGTAGGAGAGAAGGGCAGGTGGGCAAAATCTGAGGTTGCTCAGGTTTCAACACCTTGGATCCACCTTGCAAATGCCCAGGGCGCTGGAACAAAGGAGAAGCTTGGCCACTGGAAGACTGAGCGCCTCCTCCAGTGGGAGGCCAGGAATGGGGAACAGACTGTCATGCCTGCAGGGGCTGGGGGAGGTGGCGGGGGTAGTGTGGTAGGGGTGGACAAGACCTGTGAGGGGCAAAATGATACATGAGAAGACTGTCTCTTGCTCATCTTAACTTGCCAAGCTTTATCAAACATGCTAAGCTCAAGAAGCAGCAGGTCCTAGAGGAATTCTGGGGAAGCTGAAGGAAGAACAGAGAGGTTGCTTGCCTTGTGTTTAGGGGTTCCTGGACACATGTCTGGGCAAAAGCAAATGAGGCTGGTACAGTTCCCAGCCAACACTGAGCCCAGGCCCACATCAGTTTCCGCATTCCCTGACCTCTCGTCTTCCACAATTTTAGTAGCCAAGTGTCCTTTCCCTAAAACCAAGGATGTCTGCCCTGCTTGGACACAAGGCCTCTCTCCAGGCCTGGCAGGCCACTAGACAGCTTGTGGTGGGCCAGTGTGGCTCTTAGCACTGGGTTGCTGGGGTTGGTGCAAGAATGTCAGAGATACGCTGCAGAGGCAACCAACCAGGCACGCACAGTTGCTGTCTATCCTGTGAGGTGCCAATGCTCAGACCCCAACCCACATGGCAAACCCCACATTCACACCTCGCTCTCTGAGGCTGCAATCCACATGCTCGCCTTTCTCCAGGGCTTACATGAGAAGGAACCCAGCAATGAGCAGCCACACCTGGGGCCAACACTGCAGGGTGCAGCCGGGCTCTCCTGCGCAGGTGAGCACCAGCTTCACACTTAACCAGCCTGTCGCCTGCAATCGATATGCTAACTTGGGCTTGACAAGTCCCTGGGCCCAGCCAGCCGCAGATGAAAGAAATCTCTGGCCTTGGGCACAGTGCTGCCACCGAATCCATCCTGGGTTGTAGATGGCGATAAAGCTGTCGCCCATGGGGCTCTGTTCCCTTTTATTACAGCTGCCACAGCCACAGTAATTTCTCAATCAAACAAAGGCACTCGGGGAAGGTGGGCTGGCTCCTCTCTAGCCAAACCCCATGCGGTGTCTCTCCTTCTCCACAAACCTCAGCCTGGACGAGGCTGTGGAATTCGGTGTGACGCTTCTTGAACTCTGGGAGAATTACGGAGATTGAAAGCAGAGGTTTAAGCAGGTTGTATGTGTGTGATCATCCTTTGATGTTTCTCTTTTACATTGACTGCCAGGAAGTTATGACTTAACTGTAACATTATGTGGGTCTATGTTTGTACAAGTATTATTTCTTTGTTCAACTCAAGGATTCAAATTTCTCTGACATCTTCTCTTAATTAAAAGATAGACACAGAGATATATACATACAGTTCAATTTTGTTATTTATGGTAATTTTGTTCTATAGAGAGAATTTGCAAATATTGAACCATTGCTCCTAGGGGAAATGCAGGTTTGGGTTCCTGTGAGCCTCTGGTCACAATATTTTCATCAAATCAATAAATAACCTTGTTCTGTGTTTCTGTTTAAAGACACCTTGTCTAATATGTGTTGCTGGCTCATTAACACTGAACTCATGGCCAACAGCACAATGACTTATGCCTGAATGAAGCTTATCTAACACATGTATCTTCTCCATAAGGCACATCCTAGTATTTCTGCACTCAGGAACACTAGACAGCACTTCAGCTCTATGCTGGGGGCCATTTAAGACTGTGAAACCACCAACAAAAAGCATGAAAAATGCAATAACATGATGCTAAATAGATTGTGAGAAGGACACTTGTTTATATCATCAGAGCTGAAACAAGAAGGCAGAGTGTTGTCTTGTTCTACCCTGTTCCACCTAAAATGGAAATGTGCCCCGCCAGATGACTCAATTTTTTTTGTCACTCTGTGCATGTCCACAAATGACTGCAAAAGTACCATGAGTATTGATTTTGGGGTTACAAAAATAGATTTTGGTGAATTTGCAAATATGTAACCGGTGAATAATGAAGATCGACTGTATACTGTATAGACACATAGAGTTAATTCCCACAAGTTGCCTCAAACTGGAGACTATAAAGAGACATGTCTCACAAGTTGCCTCAAACAGAAGACACGTTAGGGGAGGCTCATTCCTGTAAATAGACAAGAAATTTCTTCTTGTCCAACTGGCTACTGCAAGCATTAAATGAGATCCTACTGGTGGAGTGTTGTGTAATTTGCAAACTGCTATAACATAGCCACTCATCTCTTGGGCATCTTGGAGTGTTTCAGGAAGAGCTCTGGACTCAATAGCTTCCACAGGAGGCCTCCTATAATGGCAGGTGACTTTAGGCCTTAGGTGACTTAGGTGACTACCACAGGCTGCTAGAAGGCTGGGAGCAGGCTTCGTATGAGAGCATGCACTGACGTGCACATGTGGGTGGATATGGCCTTGAGGGCACCAGAGTATGTGTGTGCATGTACACAAGCAGCATGGGCGAGGGACAGATGAGGGCTCTCCTCTCGATTCCCCTCTACTTAGTGCCCATGCTGAAGCTGAGACCTAGGAAGACACATGGTTCTGGGGGAGGGGGGTACCTCCCGAGAGACTATAAGAAGGGGCAGGTGGTGCCACACTGAGGAAGGGGCTTGGTGGTAACTGGTTAAGAAGCGAACAGCCTAGAGGCTTGAAGGTCAATGTGACCTTCAGATGTTGACAGCCATTGCAGTCTGCCTCACTTGCAGCCCTGCTGGTCTGCCAGCATCTCTTGCTCTCTGCTCTTGATGCTGGCAGAGTGGGTGGGGATTTTGAGGTTGCTGAATACCTGGACTGCACCTTTGCCCGCTTCAATGCCACTTTCTCCGGGAAGGCTTCCCTGATCCCTGGCCTACCATGAATCACCCTCTGAATGCCTATGGGTTCACCCTCCCTTTGGCACTTGTGGGGCAGTGTACAGCATGGAGGTTATAAGTGTGGACTCTGGCTCCAGACTATCTAGACCTGCATGAATTCTGGGGTGCCACTTAAGTTCTCCGTGCCTCTATTTACTGTAAAACTGGGATTGCAACATCATCTACCTCAAGGATGTTATGATTAAATGAACTAATATAAATATGTTAAGCACTTAGAAAAGTGCTTAGCACATAAATGCTTCAACACGATCATCATAAATTATTTACTTCCTGGTAGGGGCAGTTATTTCATTTCTAAATGTCTTCATTCTCCAAGTAGACTGTCAGCTCCATGGGGAAGGAAGCTTGTTCCAGACTGTGAAATTTCTCCAGAGCTGAGCACACTGACTGGCCCATGAGGTGGCAGAAAGAGCATGGATTCTGGAGTCAGATATCAACTCCCAGTCCTAGCTGTGAATTTTTGGGTAATTCACTTGACCTCTCTTAGACTGTTTCCTTAATGGTAAAATGAGGAGGGGTCCTGTGCACTGAATGAGGTAACAAAACTGCTTCCTCTTCCCTTCAACAAATGCCAGTGATGCCCTGGTGGGATGGTTACATTCAGCAGCTGTCCTGCTTTGCTGAGCTGTATACCTCTGATGAGAAGGGTCTTCTCATCAGAAATGGCCAATCCCTGCTTAATGAGCTCCTTTATTCTCCCTGACTCTGAAAGCTTTGGGTTTCTTACACCCGGGGAGTCCTCCCATGAAATACCGAGTGAAGGTAAGGCAAGTGGGGTTGATAGGATGAGCTCAAGTGTGTGACTGTCCCTGTACCACCTGCACAGATCCCTTTCTCTTCAGTGGAGGTCTTTCCCCATCACAGGGCCAAAGCGGTGGGTGCTGCCAGCCAGCCATGCCCTGCAGGAGAGCAGCTCGACGCTGGACCTGGCCTGACTGTGGGCTAGAGCAGCCAGTGGGCCCTGCTGCCTCACAGTGGGACGTGTCCTCCTGCTCCCAAGCACATTAATATGCCACTAATGAAATTGTTCTGGCTTATTTACCAAATTAATACAAACGGCACAGGCTGTTAATTTCCATGTCTCCTAATTACCGAGGAAGAGCTCCCCATGCCCAGGCAACACACATACCTCAGTGATCACCCAGCCGAGCTGTGGTCTCACCCTTCCCAGGGATGAGGAAGGGGAGAAGGGGGAGGAGAAAAGAAGAGCATGGAGCAGCCCCCAGCTCCGTGGCTGAAATCAAACATGGAGGAAGGGGGTGGCCAGGAACTTGTTTCATTTCCTGCGGCCCCTTTCTGAGCAGTCTCAGTGCCCTGGGCTCCAGAAATATACACTTGGTCCCTGTCCCCACCCCAAACTGTTCCTCTTCTCCCCATTGTCTGGATTCTGTCAGCTCCTTAAAACAGAAACTACTTCAGTCAAACAGGCAGTGGGGACCAAGTCCTTCTCCTTCTCTAAGCAGTGAGGCATATTCTTGGCCTGGGGTACAATGCAGGGCTGAGGGGTCTGGAGAAAGGAAGAGAAGTGAAAGCCAGGCAATGGATGATGGCTTTAGAAATGTCAACATTCTCAACTTCTTCTAGCCCTCTGCAATTAGACTTCAGATTCTGAAATCTTTCCTAAAGAAAGAAGGGTTTGGGGTGGGGGGAGGGAGAGAGTGAGCATGTGCATGCATGTGGTAAGTGTGGGGAAGATTATTTAAGAACTCAGCTTTCAAACCACGGAGGAAATTCTGACTGCCCTGGGGGTTGATTTAGCTGTGTCTGTCCTTAACTCGCCTGGAGCCTGCAGCCAAGCTGGATGCCTAGTGCTTCCAAGTAGGCGCAAAGCTGAAGATCCAGGTCCCTCTCCTAAAGCCTCCTCCAGGTCATGGTGAAGTTGCGGGGAGGGTGAGGCGGGAGAAGGTGCACTGGAGGCTGCTTCTGGTAAGGCTGGCTTAAATAAGGGAGCCGAGGGCACTGGGGGCAAAATAATTAAGAAATGGAGACTAGAGAAAGACAGCAGGGGGATGCACATTCCCCTTGATGACTCAGGGCACCCAAAGGAGAGCGTTCACACAGGGGATTTACTAGCAATGGGGGGAGGACAGGGAGACCCCACACACATACAAGCCTTTCCCTTTTTACTTTCTGGGAGGATGGAGAAGAGATACTGTCTTCCCCAAGTGCACAGGCGTTACTGCAGTGCACAATGCCTGAGGCAGTACAGAAAATTACTGAGCCTCAGCCAACCTCAGAGCCCTGGGTTGCGAGGCTGTAGGTTGCCTGAAAACAGTTGTGGAGGATGCTCCCGTACCAAGGAAGGTGGGCTGCCTCAAGCAGGACAGGCAGGTCCCAAGTAGAAAAGAGCCCAGCACAGGGCGCCACTGCCCTGAGGCATCTGGGAAGGAAGTCACTGCACAAAGTGGGGTGCTGGCTGTAAGTTCTTCCAGGTAGCAGGGTGGGGCTGCTCAGGGCTACCTGTGGGAAGGTGACATCAGAGTCCCCACAGACAGGCTTTAGAGGCAGAATTCTCCATCATTTCCATGTGCTGTCTGGCCATATTCCTGCTTTCAATATTCCTAAAGCAACCAGCAACAATCACAGCAAGCGGCCTGGATGGGAAGAAGGAGCTGAGGAGCAGAGAAAGGCCCTGGGCTAGAACTGTGATCCAGGTGCCAATCCTGCCTCTTATGGGCTGGGCACACTGCACCTCTCTTTGGGCTTAGTTTCTCCATCTGGGAAATGAGAGTTGAACAAAGTTTCCAAGGTTCTCTCTGCTCTGCATTCTCTGAGGTCAGAGAATGGGGGCAGCAAAGCTGACAGACTGTGCCTGCAAGCCAACAGGAGAGATGAAAAGCAACAGTTCCACAGGAGAGAAGGGCAAGCAGGGAAGCCCCATTTGCTAACGATCAAGTCCTGTAGGAGAACTTGCAGGGGGGCGCGGGAAATGGAGAGACGGGAACTGAATAATGACTCGGAGCCCAAGGTACTCCTGCCTCTTCCCAACCCACTCATCCTGGCTGCAGCTTTTTTCAAGAATGTGAGTAGTGTTCTGGAGTAACCAGCATGTAGCTTGGGTCCTTTCCTGCCATGCAGTGGTAGCCTTGCCCAAGGCTGGGTTTTCTACCATCACTGATGCTGCGTGAAGGCTGTAGCATGCTGCCACAGCCAGAACTGTGAACTTGAAGAGATACCTCACCTTAACACAGTAACAGTTTAACACAGCCAGCTCATCCCCTCCACTCCCGGTCACACACAGCCACACCGACTTCTTTCAGAGATGATGAACATTAACAATGCAATTAATAAGGCGATGCTGTGGAAGGCGAGAGGCTGTGCCTATGCAATACCTCCTGGGTCTCGTTACCATCTGCAACCGTGGGGAGTGGGCTGGCTAGAGGCAGGCAGCAGCACGGATTTTCCATGTGCTACTGTGGCAATGTGGTTCTGATCCCCACTGACGCCTCTGCTCCTAATCCCCCATCACCTCCAGACCAGGTAACTCTTTCAAGCGCAGCCCACAGAGTGGATTGCTTTTCTAGAAAACCTCTTTTCTGGCATTGGAGTGCTAGGAATGCCTGGAAATCAGGCCTGGGCTGGCACACCAGCAAGAGGGGCCAAGAGGCTCCTGAAAAGAAAAGGCCTGTGCTGTGGGTGAGCTGGCTCTAGAAGCTCAGGGTGGCTTTCTCTCCCGCCTGGAATGCCTTTTCCCTACCTCAGGGATGAGGGGTGGGATGGTAGGGGTAGGGGGGCAGCTTCGGTCCTGCCTGAGGCAGTGAGGCAGCAGCCACTGCCATCAGCATCATCTGGGTCTGCTGGGAAATGCAAACCTGCTGACTCCAGGCCTTTGCGAGCGCTAACACAGTTTACAAACTGACGCAATCTGTTCCTTTGGTGCAGGCAATAAGGAAGCAGACTGTTCATCTTCCCAGGAAAAACCCGTGCTGGAAGCTGGAGGGAGATTTAACACTCTTCCCTGAGGCTGGTGCCAGGGATGTGGCTAGAATCAGGGGGCCCTCATTCTGTCCCGGACCCATCTTCCCAAAGGTCTCCCAAGCCAGAGCAGGCATGCCTGAATGGCACAGCTCCTCCTCATGTTCCCAGTTGACGTGAAGGGCAGTCCCAGGCAAAAAACCAGGAGAGAAGGCTGCCTTCCATTCGGTGCGTCCGTTCTTTATCTTGAACACTGGTTTGGGCCATGGAGTCAGCAGCAGTGGCCCATGTTCTCCCAGGCCCAGCCAAAGAACCTCTATGGCTTTAGAGCTGTACCCAAGCCCTAAAGGGATGGAGCTAGGGGTGTGAGAAGACAGTTGGCCTCTTTTCTTGGGGAAAATCGGTGTATGATCTATGGAGTAACTGCATGAGGTTATTAAATCTCTGACTTGGTCTGAAAGTAACCAAATGTTGTCCAATCAGGTCAAGTTCACGTGTCAGTTCCCCTCTGCAGGTACCTGTACCTATATAACTGACCTCAAGGCCTGCTGTGGGATGGTACAGACCCCTGCCCTGTTCCCAGGCAGGAAGTAGCTGACCTGTGACCCCCCCAATGGGGCCAGTCCGCTCTGCTTTGTGGACCTTGATTCTCAGGCTCCTATACCTGAACCACAGTGGGTTTCCCACGGAGACCCACACTTTGCTGTTAAGAAGCATTTAGCATCCATGATTACTTCATTCCCTTCCATCCATCTTGCAGAAAAAGAAATGAACTTGGCTCCAGATCACAACCTCTTCTGCTTCCTCAGGTACCCATTTCCATCAGTTACCTCTTTCTGTCATCACCTTCCCGATTTCCTTTTTCACCGGCATCTAACTCTTCACCTGCAAACATCTTGCCCATCTTAGCAAGTCTTGCTTTGACTCATATCCCATCAAGTCTACCTCTTTCTCTTTACCCAGAGAGTACTCTGCACATTGCCAGCCCCTTTTCACTTCTGTAGCCAATGCAGCTGGCTACCAGTCAGTACTCCAATGTCACTATTACTTCAAAGACCTGTTAATTGCCATTTAAATAATTTCTTCTCAGATTTAATCATTTTTGACCTTTTAAATATCTGTAAAAGTCAAGCACCCCCTTTCCTTTTGGAAACTTTCTTTTTTTAGGCCTGTGTTTCCCAATCTTGGCTTTTTCTCCCTGCTTTCTTAGTAGCAATTGTGAATTCTTCCCCAACAACATGGCCCTTGAATATGAACGTTCCCCAGGGGCTATTTTAAGCTGTAGACAGTCCCTGCATCCCACTGCTCTCTGAATTATAGAACTCAACTTTCGCCTCTAGTGCAGCGCTCACTTCAGAATTCAGCTCCACCAGGTGAATCTCCAATGTAATGAGTCCCATTCTGAATCTCTCACCTTCACTATGAAACCTGTTCTTCCACCTCCATTTCTCATCCCAGGCCGCAGCATGAGTAGCACAGGAATCACCCCTGGGCTCCACAGGTAGGTCCGCACCAATACACACTGATTCTACCTCAGAAATGGCTCTTGGATTCTTCCCCTCTTTTTTATCCTTATTGCCATGCCCAGCTTTGAGTAACAGGTCCCCCACTGCTGTCTCTGTACCAGACTTGTCTCTAAGGACCCCTCCATGATACTGGAGGGTGTGGCTCATCACAGGCAGTGCAGCACCATGGTCAGATGCAGGCTCTAGGGCCAGACCACCTCCTTCTGCGCTTGCTCTACTACTTACTGGCTTAATCTAGAGTGGGTTTTTTTTTAACCTCTCTGGGTCTAGGTTTACCTTGTGGTCAAATGGGTATAATAATGAATGCTACCTACCTCAAAGGGCTTCAGTGAAGAGGAAGTGAACTGATTCAAGTTAAACACTTAAGGAGAGTCTGGCGAATAGTAAGTGCTCAATAAATGTTGTTACTTAAAAAAAAAAATTTCCCAATCTGATCACTTCACCCTTCTGCTGAAATCCTTTCCTTGTTCTCCACTAATGTTGGAATTCCTCAGTACAGCACAGAATAAGCGCCTCAGAGCTGGGCTCTTCCTGCTCTCAAGTCCTGCCATTGTGGCCTTCATTATTTTGCTTTAGTCAGGCCACACAACTCCCAGCTCCACAGACAAGTTGCATGGTTCCAGGCCTTGGCACATGCTATTCATTTTGGCTGGAATGTTCCGTCCTATGACTTCACCTGTAAACTCCTACCCAACTTACCCCTTGGATTCTGCACAGATGTGATTTTATTTGAACCACTCCATTACTTATCTGGGTAGGGCTTGTTCTCACAGCACTTTACTCATATCACCATGACAGTATTACAATGGGCATTTATTAATGGCACCTGGTAGGCATTCAATAAATAGATGAGGAAAGGCAAAATATTCTAGCTTCTCCAGATCGCCAGCAGTGACGTGGGAGAAGGAAAGTCCCTGGACAGAATACTACCTTTGGGTACATGCATGGCACCAAACTGACTGGAGAAGGCCTATTTCAAGAACTCCTCGAAGGTGAGAGGACCATCCCTCAGCTGCCCCTGCCACGACAAGCATGCTTGTGGGACCCAGAGGGGCAGAAACTGGCTTCAGTCAGTGAGGCCAGCAGTGATGACTCAGAGGCAGCACAGCCCAGACGCCATGAACAGAAGGGGCTGTTTTGCACTTGGCTTTGCCTGTACTGACTATAACTGGAGTGAGGATGGCCTCCTCTGTTTATCCAGGCAGGAGTGCAGGCAGCAGCCGTGTGTGCCTCCCTCCGGTCTCCCACGCATCCACCACCTCCTCACCACCCATCCCTCAGCAAGGAAGGGGTGAAGAGCAAAAGTGGACATGAGAGAGCCTAGGAAGAGCTGTGAGGATAGGGCATGAGCTAACGACGTTGAGCAGAGGTGGGAGGTGGGGTGAGGCCACAGATGCCATGAAGCCTGGACCCCCGGAGCCCAGACCACTGTCTAGCGTGAAGCCCTCCAAGCAAGGGATTAGGTGGTGCTGGTCAGGCCACAGTCACCTCAGGAAGCATCTAAGTACACGGGCTGAGACGGCTGGAAGCTACAAGTCACCCGCCAGGTGCTGGTCTCGAGCCCTCTGGAACAAGGAAACCTTTGAGGAAAGGCAGTTGCTGTTGGGTTTGAAGGAATCCGGGGCTTAGATTGGGATGCCAACCCCTAGCTCAATCCCTTCAGAGTTCTCAAAACTGGGCTGTGGGTGTGGAGGCCAAAAGCTGCCAGGATAAGACAGGAGTGTCCCATGTCAGGGTGGGAAGGGGACGTGGAGCACCTTCTCTTTTACCATCTGATTTCTTGGCAAAAGGGACACAGACGCCAATCCCTCTTGCAGGCCAGAAGAAGGCACCAGAGAGAAGAATCTGTTTGAACAGATAACTGAACAGAGATAATTCTATACTCTCAGCTAGGGATCAGGCAATTTACTTGCTTCATAAAACTGAATATAAGAAACGCCAAACAATTTCAACCAAACACATGCCCATCCCTCCCTGACTAATGTTTGATTAACTGCATGAAAGGCACAGCTGAAAGCACCAGAGGGTGAAAGGAAGGGACTCCCTTGCCCCTTCTCTTTCCTTTTGTCCTCACGCCTCTTTTATCATTAGGCTGGCTTGAAGGTACCATCCCCTCTGAGGCAGTCCTATGCCCCTGTACATAACTCACTCCTACCTGTCCTTAAATCTACCCTGCCTCCATGTGCCAAGCAGAAAGCCTGACAGAAGCCTGCTTTCCTCACCAAGCGATGCATAGCATATGCTGAGTACAATGGCCCAGAGAGGGCAACTTTTTCTGATCCACACAAAAGCACCATTGCAGGGAGGCAGCAGCCCCGTTAACCTACACTCCAGATCGGACACAGAATAAAAAAGTCCAAGCTTCTCCTCTCACCCGACTAAGGAGCTGCCTTTAGGCACAGTAGAGAGAAGATCTGGACACTGTGGGGGACTGTGCATGTTCCCAAACTGTTTCAAACCTATTATAACCCAGCAAGGAAAGTGAAGAGGCCTTTGAGATGACGCTGAGCCCCTGAGCCTGGGCTCTGAGCTCCTGCAGCGCCAGTGCTAGAAGGCTATTCTGCATTCACCCTCCTATGCATAGTACAACTGGATTCTTGCTCGGTATGACCTGGGGGGCCCAGGATTGCTCTGGCCTCTCAGGAATGCAAGGAAAAGCCTGTGAGTAAAAGCTACCAATTATAAGGTTTGAACACATACACGTGAAATAAGGATAAATGCAGCATGTCAGAGGCTGGATCAGCCTGGTTAATGACCCTGGCCCATGCCCTCTTCTGTGTGGAGGTTGGGTTTCCTCACTGCTAGTTTTTTATTGCTAATGACAATTAAAATATGGCATGGCTTACACCCTCAGAGTGGAGCTCTAATGTGCCGCAGCCCTCTCAAACTCCTAGTGCAGGGCTGCAGTTTGTGACCTAGAAACGTATAGGTCACAATGAGCAGTGCTGCCTCTGGCCTTCCTCATTCTGCTGTGGGACCCAGTGGTCCTTGCCTAGCCCGGGCATCTTGACCCCACAGCTTCTCCACACAGGGACCACACTCCTTCTTCCACTTTACCCACTGCCCAGGACAGGGGCTCTTGATGGTTTTTGGGCCTTGTGATCAGCTCCTAAAAGTTCTCAAAGCCACTGCAATGAGATCAGAGGTGAGATACGGAGAAATATTAGTGATGGGAAAGAACAATCTGTAGGATGGGTCAGCAGCATGGGTGTTGATGTGACTCTCTGCCCATCTGCTTGACAGGAGCCAGGGTTTCATTAATTTCAATTATTGTTCTCTCTCCACTTCAAACCAATGTCCCAAATACAATTCCGTTAACAAGGTCATAGGATGCAGCGGGTAGTCCCTCAGCCCTACTATTTGCCCAGCCTGATTCTGCCCTGTTCTCAGGCATGAAGTAGCTGTCTTGTGACCCCCCAGTGGGGCCAGGGTGGCCTCATTCTCCCTGCTCCACCTCCCAATTCTGTTGTGCTAAGCAGAATTCCACTGATACATGCACTGCTTTCCAGGTAGAAAGCACTCCTCCAAGGGAGGTGTGTCCTGAAATGGAGAGAGGAAATGAAGACGCTCAGTGTCTCTTGCTAAGATGTCCCAGAAGTCACAATTGAGCTTTTAAAGAGAATCTCTTTGACTTTGGAGGAAGAAAATGGACCCCACCCTTGAATAAGAACAGCTGCCTCCTTGGATAGAGGACACCTGGATGCCACTCTTCCCACCATGGACTTCTTGCCACAGTGCCCTCGGAAAAAGCTTTGAGACTCCTGCCACTACCACCCCACCCCTCGGTGTAAATGCCATTTAAGCAATGTGATTTCTTTTAGTGCTCTCAGGAGTTGCTCTCAATTGCCCACTGCTCCTGAGCTGCTGCCTAGAGGCAGCAGGCAGGAAAATGCAGAGTGGGAAGTTAAGGAGCAGGGAGGAGGAAGGGAAAGGCCAAGCCCCATCCTTTATTTTAAGCAGGTGCTTGTGAAGACACTGCAGAGAAGACAGGAAAAAATAAAAAAGGACTCAGAGGAGATTCTCAGCATCTTGTATCTTCTCAAAGAGAGAGCATATTCAATGGTGTCATGCTTCCATGTCACCAATCTCATTTCCTCTGACTCTCCTTCACGGACCCTCTGCTCTGGCCCATTTGATCTGCTTGTTGTGTGAGCTGCCCAACCCATCCCCTACAACCCTGCCAGTCCCTGATATCATGATCCTGCATCATGGCTCAAAGGCCAGACAAGCTGCAGTTCCCACATGCGAACGAGGGAGGCAGAGCCCACTTAGAAGGAGATCTGTTCATCAACCAGTAAAGGAGTGCTAAGCCATCACCTTCAGGAATGTGTTATCAAGGAGTACATAATGAAAATAGCTGCAACTGCTTGCAAGGGGCAACCCACACCCACTATTTTTGTCTTCCAGGAAGCCTTCCCTGATCCACTCTTCCTAACAAGTAACTCCATCTCAACATTCATCTTGTCCTATATCCACTTGCTCTTGGTAATCCATTACCTCTTACATGTTAAGCCCTCTGAACGGGCTATTTTCCTGTTTGTTTGAAATTCAGCCCCAGTCCCCACAGCTGGGGCATGTGCAGCACGATTCTACAGAGTGCTTCATAAAGAGAACGTGCTGGATTCCTGGGGAAGACTGTGCTTGGCAGGGCTCTTTTGTTTCTGAGCAGCACCTTCTGTGTGGCTACATTCCTGGTTGCTGTCCAGAGCTTTCCTAACAAAGACAGCTTCCAAGGCCAGACAAACAGCAGAAAATGCAGGTTAAACCTGTACCACAGTACAATGTACACTGCAAGGAAGGATGCTTGTGGTTCAGCACTGCATCTCCAGAAAGACAGCAGGGCTAGAGAAGGACTGGGATGCCTAGTTGAGCTGATGAAACATATGACAACATTCAAAAAATGATTAGGGTTCCTCAAAGTGAGAAGACACATGTTGAGAGAACGTGCATGTATAAAAATCAGTAAGTATGTAAAGAGACCTAACATTCACTTTAATCAACTGACCAAGAAATGGGTTTTTGTTATCTTCTAAGCAGAAAAGCACTGTATTAGGCACTGCAGTAGGTCTAAAAGGAGAGAGAATTCACTTCTGTCTTCAAAGAGCCTATGATTTAGATGAGAAGACACGATAAAGCCACATCCTGTCAGTCAATGACAAAATGCCATGTAAAACACATGACTGCTGAGTGGTACAGGCAGCAGGTACTAGGGGGGTTCAAGGGAGAGAGCCAGCTCTGAGCACTGAAGAGTCGGGAAACTCTTTCAGGTAGGATCGGACCTTAAAGGATGGGACTTCACAGGTGGGGAGAAAGGCAGACATGTTCCAGCATAGGGAATGTCTAGGGTCACACTTTAGAAATAGTGCATAAGTGGCAGGGTAGAAGAAGGAACGAGGGTAGAATTTTGGGACAGAAAGCCATGCTGAGGTCAGTGGAGGTGCAAGTAGACATTAGAGAAACACGGGATGACGGGGAGAACAGAAGCCAGGAGAAGGTGCAAGCAGCTCAGAGGAAAAGCTGGAGAGAGCTGACTTGAAGGATGGGCAAGGGGAACAGTCAGAGCCCACCCACCTGCTGAGACAGATCGGGGATGGAGGAATCAGGGGCTGGTTTTAAGGAAGGAGGGGAGGGAAGGAGGGACGGAACGAGAGGAACCTGAACAACATGTATAAAAATCCTGTGATGGCTGGGAGAATGACATGGGAAGAAATGATGCATGTGGAAGCTTGTGAATGGACCACGCTGAACTAGAGTCAGAATGTTTACAAGAGCGATCAAAGGAGTCAGAAAGAGGAGAAAAAGGCTGAAGGCCCAGCCTTTACCAGATGTGGTCAGATGCATGAATTTTCAATCCTTCTCTGCATAAAAGAGAAGCAAAATGCTTTGTGCCTGGTCCTGCCTTCACCTACCTGCCTCTAGTCCAACATTTTCCTCTTGATTTCAGGGTGATATCAATTGGCAGAACTGCACAGAGGTACCCAGTGAGAGCTCTGCAGCCAGACTATCTGAGTTCAAATTTAGCCTCTGCCATTCAGGGACCTGGAGGGAGTTATTTTAAGACTTTGTGCTTCA
Organism: Homo sapiens; assembly: GCF_000001405.40. Lineage (NCBI taxonomy): Eukaryota > Metazoa > Chordata > Mammalia > Primates > Hominidae > Homo > Homo sapiens. The sequence continues at coordinate 128,058,392 of NC_000007.14, read as the reverse complement.
GTTTCTTCAAGCTGTAACATGGGAGTAATAAAGCTGAACATCTCCCTCACAAGGTTTAAATGAGTTAATATATATCAAGCTCTTAGAACAATAAGAACTCAATAACTGTTGGCTCATCTCATTGTGCTAAGCACATGTAGTGAGAATAGAAACGTATGTTGAGTGTACCTAGGTCACAGAGTGACTGAGCTCTGTTGTTCTCTAAGAGAACACTGCAGGCCTTTGGCTGATGCATAGCCCAGCTTGTTTGCCTAGCACTGGCAAGGGGTCAGGTCTCTGTGATTTCTAGAACTACATGGGAGCTTTCCTCTGAGAGAGGGCAGGGTGTGGTGAACTAGAGGTTGTGAATCCTGGCCTGATAGCCAGGCTAAGGGACTAGTCCTTTGGTAGATGCTGCCTGCCCAGCCCCAGCCTGAGCACTGGTCACTTTTAGTACCTGCAGGGAAATGTGGATTTGTGTCTCTAGTCTCATTTCCACCACCTCCTACTTGCCTTATACTACAGGGACTCTTTGATCTGGGTCGACTGATCTCTGTGTTCCCTCAACACACACTGAAGTTTCATATCTCTGTGCCTTTGGACACACTGTGTGTGGTAGAGATCTATCTCCCTGGCTCCATTCTCTCCTTTTTCTGTTCCTTTTATTGCATGCATCAGTATGGTCAGCTGAAAGACTACAATCCCCAAGTCTTGTTTCTCACTGGCCACACTAGCGAGATTCGGCAGAAATTTCTTGGTGGGACTTCTAGGAAAGCATTTGCTATCTTTGTGCTTTCTTCCTGTGTTTTGGCTTCCTGACTGGAAGGATGAGGTAAATGGCTAGAGATCTGTAGACACCTTGGACCCTGAGAATGTAAGCCATGTGCTAAGAAATGCTGAGCAGGAGAATGAAGGGGCCTGGATCCCTGCTGATACCAGGTGCCACTGTATTGGTTCTGAACTGCCCACCTCTGGGCTTCCTATGAGAAAGAAGCAAACTTTAATCTTGTTAAACGAATGCTGTTTTTGGTCTATATTACCAGCGACGAAATGCTATTCCTAACTGCTGCATTTGAATCTCTCACTGGAATTCATGTCCTTCCTCTCCCCTTGGCTGGGCAGATGTCTAATTCTTATAGATTCAGCCTCGGCAGTCCTTCCTCCAGGAAATCTTTTCTGAAGCCCCAGTTGTGCACCACAGAGTATATAAAGGAGTCCCCCTTATCTGCGGTTTTCCTTTCCACAGTCTCATTTACCCGTGGTCAACCGCTGTCTGAAAATATTAAATGGAAAATTCCAGAAATAATTCAAAGTTTTAAACTGTGTGCCGTTCTGAGTAGCGTGATGAAACCTCTTGCCCTCCTGCCTGGGACATGAATCATCCCTCAGTCCAGCATATCCAGGCTGTAGATGCTACCCGCCTGTAACTCACTTAGTAACCCTCTCCCTCTCTGTAACCAAATCGACTGTCATGGAATTACAGTACTTGTGTTCAAGTAACTCTTATTGACTTAATACCCCAAAGCACAAGAGTAGTGATGCTGGCATATTGTTATAATTGTTCTGTTTTATTATTATTGTTATTAATCTTATACCTTATGTATAAATTATATGCATGCATATGTAGGAAAAAAACACTGTATATGTCTAGTTTGGCACCGTCTGTGGTTTGAGGCATCCACTGAGGGTCCTGGAATGTATTCCCTGTGGATAAGGGGGGACTACTGTACCACCCTGTATTCTCATTGTTGATGAGCTCATGAGTCTGCCAACTCCTTGATGGCAGAAAACAGAGCTTGATTTTGTGGCAGAAAACTATTTGACTTTGTGGTCCCAACTCCTAGCATGGCGCCTGACACACAGTAGAAGGTCAGTGCATGTTTGCTAAATGAATCGAATGAAATGGAAATACAGATGCCAATCACTGGTACTTATCTATTGATTTGTCTTTGCTTTTAAGAATGTTTGATTCAAAGAACATAAAGGGAGGATAATCTCAGAGAAACAAGGCCCTTTTTTCTTTTGTTACTGATCCAAATGCAGTCCATGGCATATAGTATCTGGGGCAAAGGCTGGCTCATTATGGCTGCGCCCTTCCAGCTACTGCCCCTGAACACAGGTTCTGTCCAAAAGCCAGGCTTGGCAGGGGATAGATCATAAATGCTCGAGGCAAGAGGCTCTGCAGTTGTCCAATTCCACATCTGAAGGAAAGACCAATAGCTCCTTGTTACAGGGAAGAGGAAGAGAATTAACACTTATTGAGTATCTGCTGTGTGCTACACACTGAATTAAGTTCACAAAGACATGCATGTTGTTTTACTTAATCCTTATAACCATTTTGTGAAGTGGTTGTTTTAAGTCCCATTTTACTAATAAAAAAATGGAGGCTTAGAGAAGAACTTGCCCAAGGTCATTTGATCAATGGAGAGGCTAGAATTTGAACTCAGTCCTGCCTAATTCCAGAGCCTGGCTCTTGTCACTAGTCAGCAGGCAGCATGATTCTGCTGACATCTGGGAGCAGCACACTCCCAGATGTCTAAGTTTTTGAGACAGCCGAGGTAGAGGCTCTGGCCCAGCGAGTGGGGGATGAAGGCATGCTGAGAAAGGCCAGGAAGCAGACCCAGGGAGAGGCATCTGTCTTCCTGCTAGCCCTGGTTGCTCTGCTCTTGGGCCGAGGAGTGATGTGTCAGTATAAAGGAAAAAAGTCATTAAGGAAGCTTCAGTTTCCCTCAGCACAGAACTGCCGGAGCTCCTTTCTCCAGTGATCCCAGGCGGAGCACTCCAGTTAGCAGCATTCTGGGCTCATTACCTTTGGGGCTCGTTGCATCTATTCTCTGTTGGTTGCTCAGCATGAGCCCAGCCCCAAAACTCATCATTACTTCTCTGACTACCTGGGAGCCACTGGCTGCAACCTCTTCTTCTTGGACCTGCACTGGGAGGTGGTCAGGTTAGGGCATCCCCTTGCTGTAAGGCCAATAGGTTCCCATTTCCTTCCTCCCCTGCTGCCATTACTCTGCAGAGGAAAGCTACAGCAGACACCCAGAGAGGGGCTCTAACTTTGAAGCTACAGGGGCTCCTTTAGATCCCTGTGGTGGGAACATCAGCCACACTGAGATGACAAGAACATGGGAACCCATGGTCCTACAGAGCTGCCAGGGGGAGGAGCACAGGCTGTGGAGAAGGTAAGGCTGAAAGAACAGAACCCGGCCCACCTTCCTGCCTCCCAACCCCCTGACTGGATCTACCTTTTTCATGCTCTGACCAAAACAAAATCCTTCCAGCTTTCCCAACTGAAACAAAACAAAACAAAACCACGAAGTTTATAATTTAAAAGCCCAGAGAATTTATTGCCCTGGAGATGTGGAAATTTAAAACTCATAACCATCCTGCAGGCCAATAGATCGGGCAGATATCCATCCTATTAGAATAACTCTACACTGCAGACATCCATCTTATTAAACTAAATCGTTAAGAAAGGCTTTCCCCACATCACAGAGATGCTGTGTATGGCTTTCTGCTCACCTTCCTCAATACATTCATCAGCCCATTTTGTTTCCTCTGTTGACTTCGGCCTCAGAATTACAAACTACTGAGAGGCAGCAGAAGTTTTAAATTAAGTATTCATGGGCATAGGTGAGCTTGGGAAATGATTGTAGGTCACGAGGCAGGCAGGGAAGATTTAGTGCCTCATGTGTGGGGAGAAAAGCCGAGGCTCATTAACAAGTCTGGATCCAGCCTGGGGATAGAGGAGCCAGGGAGAGGAAGAAGAAAAAGGGGGCTGAGGAGGAGGAATTTAAAAGCTCTTTGGTCAAAGGGCCAGACATGCCACATGACAAAATGAAAATTACTGGAGACTTTGAACCATTGCTAATGCCAACCTCCGTGCAAGGCATTCATATCTGCTATGCAGAACAATCTATGTGTGAGGTGGGGACCTTGGTAGGATAGGCAGCTAGGTGCTCGTGCCTCCCTCCACTTCCCTTTGGGCATTTCCAGATTCCCCTTCTGCCAGATAGTTCTGTGTTACCAGCACTTACCATAGATATGGTACAGCCAAGGCTGTCTTTAAGAACACCAACCTCTGTTCCTGGCCACCTCTGGGGCACCACTGGGTGGGACTCTTTTCCTCCCCACTCTGGTTTGCCTTAGGAGGTGAGATGCCGATCTCTGTTCTCTGCCTTCCTGCCACTGGAGGGCTGTCTCCTGGAGAAGGCACTGAGGCCTGTGGTCTACAGAGGTCTGCATAAGTAAGCCTGTGTACATGCCACCGCCACTCCATCTGACCACCATGCAGGTCATTCACTCAGCCCCAGAAAGGAGACCCAGGGTACTGCCGATGACTTACTGACAGTGGCCTTAGCGGCGATCAGTGGTGCTGGGAAGATGGGCAGCAGCAGGCCCATTTCTCCAGGGGCCTGCCCCCTGTACCGGCCATTCCCATTACCTTGTTTTATTTTCTTTTATTGCAGAGCGGCTCCAGTGTGTGGGCAATAAAGCTTTGACTGCTGCACTCCACAGGCCTGGGGTCGGGGAAAAGCTCAGCCTGCCGGAGTAGGACAGCGTGGAGAGTGGAGGCCCAAGCAGGAGGCTGATTCTGGCTAGTGTATCTCCAGGGAAGCAATACCAGAGAATCCTTCCCTAGTCTGAAAGGCCCTTTGAGGACCAGCAGGAAAAAGGTGCCGCTCTGAAACTAGGGCTTTTCCCTGGTCTCCCATTTATCCAGGATCCCCATCCTCTGCTTGTGGGTTTTGTAAGTCCCCTTCCACCCCAGAAAACACTCTCTCTCAGCTGCTATGTTCCATCCTCTTGCTCCTGGACTGATTTCTTTCCCCCATTGCCCAGGTATCTCACTTCTGTCTTTTGAACAATTTTGTGTTCCACAGTTTTCCAGGTAGTGGGGGGAAAATATTACCTTCCGAAATCTCTGGCCTCCTGCACCATTTTTTTTGAACCCTGAGAGTCACTCAGACTCCTGAAGACAGGGCAGGCTAAGGGGAGAGAATTAGCTCACAGCATCTCACAGAGCTGGAACAGGGCAATTCTCCACTTAAGTGCCCAAAGCCTTGGGAAATGGAAGTGCTGGAGTGGCTGAGGCTAGAGAGGGGCTTCTTGAAGTTTCAGGTACATGCTTGTATGGGATAAAAGAGGCTTTAGGAAGAGGAAACAGAAGCAGCTATTTGGCTTACTGCCAAGACATGGGGTGACAGAGCTTCCTGCAGTCCTAAATGGTTTACAAACATAGAACCTCTGCCAAAACTTGTCCTTGTCAATTCTGAAAGCCTTAAAACCCCATAATTGTGTCTCTAATGAGACTCTCTAAAGAGACCCTTCCCCACCAATTGTCTGCAACACACTATTTAATCTGGCTAATGCCTATTCAATATATGTAAGCAAATTTTTTTATTCAATGCATTTGATTTATGCTCTATTTTTATACCAACCAGTTTAAGATAATCATATGCCAATTCTTGTGTGTTCTAGACTTGCACTATCCATACAGTAGGTACCAGCTCTAAACTAGAAGTCCCTGAAGGGTAGGGCTGACTATTGGTCTTTTCACATAATTTTCTTAACTATAATTTTTCTGCCCCAAGGGACCCATCGAAGTAACACTGAAATCCGAGGGAATGATTTTCAGGGCACAAAAGTAGGGTGGGACACAAGACTGGCATTCCAGACACAGCCCATCGGGCCAGGCTTTGGACAAGGAGATGGATTTCATCTGATTTCCCTTGACGGACGAGTTGTGTTCAGCAAACAGCCTGGTATGCAGCTGTCACTCTGATGCTGAGCTCTGACAGGCATCGATCAGGCTGCGGTGTGAGCATGCAGATACACACACAGGCCTCGTCAACATCCGTGACTTGGAAGACAGCTCTGTCTGGGGCCAGGATGACTACACCCCTTTCAGCAGATGCTGCTAGGAGGAGATTGCACCAATGGGGAAAAGGAGACAGGATGGAGCTTCTTCCAAATACCCTTTCCTGGGCGGGAAGACAAGCTGTGGCAATGAAGTGGAGTCACAAACGGGAGGAGAGACAGATCCAACCTTGATGGACAAGCTGCCAGAATGGGAGCTTGTCCAGACAGCTGAGATGGGCATTAGGCTAAAGCTGGGGCACTGAGCTAGAGCTGGACATAAATGGCCTGTAATCCCTAAGTCCAGGCAGAAGAAATGGACCACTGGCAGCCCCAGCCTTCCGTCCTGCCTGGCAGCTCCTCTGGGCCTGATGTTGCCCTCAGAAAGCCCTAGTGAGTTCCAGAGCACTCCAACTGAACTGAAGGTCATCTGTCCCAATGCTTCCTCCCCAAAGCAAATGTCATCCTTACACCTCTGATATCGGTGTCTATCAACTTCGATCTCCTTCAAAGAAGCCCATTTCACTGTTAGAAAAGTCCTCTTTCAAGTGAATGCCCTCTAACTTGAACTTCTTCCTACTGGTCTTAGTTTTGTACTCTGGAGCAATTGGAAACACATCTGATCCATTTTTTTTATTTACCAGTGGATGACTTTTAGAAAGTTCTCTGAACCCAAGTATCACTTAGCTCAGAGGACTGGCTACCTTGAGGACTAAACGAGAGAAGCTCCGTCAAAGGATGGGCACAGCACTTAGCAACAGTAAGTACACAAGTGTTCGTTCCTTGCCTCCTTCCACATGACAACCATTGGTATTATCAGTGTTTGTCCTTTCTTTCCATCCCGAGTGAATTCCATTACCTGGACCTGGATCCCATATTCTACACCACCCAGGTCCCTTCCTAGGAATGCCCCTCCATTTATCAGGATCCCTCTAAAAACACACTGCTTAGAACTGAACACAGTATCTCAGATGCTGTTTAGGCAGTGCAGAATAATTACCTCCTTTGATCTATATGATTTCTCTATGAATGCAATTTTTATCAGTCACTTCACACTGTTAGCTACAGTTGGTGGTAAATAAAACCCTGTGGGGTAATTTTCATGTAAATTGCTGTCAAGCTAGGTCACCTTCATCTTGTAATGGTGTAACTGATTTTTGAACTTAAACATGGGACTTGTGGCCATCTCACATTGGAAGCTGCAGCCCATCTCTCTCTCTCTCATACTTACAGGAGATATTGAACTTTGATTTTTCTGTTCTAACAGTAAAAAGTCTTGTTCATCTCAAATGTCTTTCCTGGGCCTCTGCCTTTGTCTTCGGGAGGGTGGACTCAGGGGCAGAAACATGAACTTGCACAGTGGCTCCAAGATACCCCATGGGAAGGATTTGGTGACACTGTCCAGGAGGAAAACTCCTGCACTGGGAAGCTGTGGGAAGCTCTGGAAGCAAGCACACAGGGCAGAACCAGAGAAGGAGCAGTCAGCACTCCACCCTCTGGAAAGCCTGAGCCCCCTCCTTCCCAGTTACTGGATCTGAGGCTTTCACTCAAGCAAGTGAAGCTACTGCCACTCGCATGGGCCCAGCGGTGGATTTGGTGGAGTCTACGGTCAAAATGGAGACGACACAGAAAAGAGCTCAGAGGCATCTAGGAAATGATGCTCTTTCTCAGCTCAGGAGGACTGACTTAGCCCTGCTGCCTCCCAGAGCCCTTCATCACGGCAGCTCTGCCTATCTTCTTGGATTAACAATGGTTCTGTCAAATAAGTATGGAATGTTTCTGGAAAAGGCTGGCTGGGTCATAGGTAGATGGTTGTGGGAATGCAGAGAACAGAGATTTGATTTGCAGGTGACATGATAAATGGAAGAGAGATTTGGGCCCTAAGACTGGGGGAAGAGATGGAAGACCAAAAAAATCAGCCAGAAACTTGAGGCTAAAGAGAGCTTTTCTCAAGTATTGCTCCAATGGCAAAATTGCTGGGGATCTGAGGGACATGTGGAACTCATTTGGGGTCTAGCTCCCAGATTTTATACCAGCAATAAGGTCGATAACTAATGAAGTCCTTGCTACAGTGCAGTAACTGAACTGCTCACGTCAGTGAAGCTAAACTTGCAGAGGCTTTCTTTTCTCAGTATCAGACTCAATGCTGTGAGGATAAGTTATCTGGGGAAAAGAGGTAAGGAGAAGAACAATGAGGTATGGGATTTCTACTGTACTTTTTTCTGTAGGACCTGCTGGATCCTTCTGCCTCAATTTGTCTGCAAATGACATAAACATGCATTAAAGATGGCCAGAAAACAGTGACTTTTGCAAATGCCTCCATAGAGGCGTTCAAACAGAAAAACCATCCACATGCTAAAAAGAGGGAGGTGAGAAAGAAGAGGGAGAACTGGGTAAATTAAGTGCTCCATATCTTGTCCTGTTAACGTCTCCTTTACACACACATACATGTAAGCGAGTGCTTGCATGTCTGGTTCAGTCTTCTTACGAAAACCCAGTGGAAACAACCATGCAGTCTCTGAGGCTACCTGCCTTAGACAGAGAATGTCACTGAGGTCACTTCTGTTTTTATTCAGAATGCAGTGCTCTCTGAGAACCCTTTCCTTTGTGGGCGTTTACCCCAGCCTCCCCAATTCCAGCCAAGCTTTCACTTGATGATTCTAAGACATTAGCTCAGAATCTCTTTTACCTTCACACTGCCCCAGAGATCCACTGTACCCTGGACCTCATCATTCTATCCTCTCCTGCATACGTTGCTGGGACACTCTAGCCAATTTCTTCCCATAATTCTTCATAATATTATCATCCCCATTTTATGGATGAGGACCCTGAAGGTTAAAGGATTAAGTGGTTTAGGTCTAAGGCCATGCAGCTGGTAAGTGACAGGGCCAGAATTCAAACACAGGTCTCTGATTCCAAGGTCCACGCTGCTGACCATAATGCCATCCTGCTGCACTGACACTTCACTAGACTTGAAGCTCCTCAAGCCTTCTGGTCTTATCAATGACAGGTGGTGCTTGGGGAGGTGAGTGCTCTTAGAACTATGATGGACTTGAGAGGAAAGGAAAGGAAGAGGGGGAACTGGTGGGCTTCATGTCAGAATGGCACCTGAAGAGGAAACTGTCCTTGTCGGGAGGCCTTGGAGGGATGGAGTGGGGGCAGTTTCGGGGAAAGAGCAGTTAAGAGAGGAGAGGACAGGAAGGAGAGGGGCTGGGAGATAACAACATGGTGGAGCAGGGACTTGTTTCTTTTAACCAGAAGACAGAAAATCTTCTGGGGCACTTGACAGAGTGGATCAAGTCCCCCAGACTTGACTTCATCAATTGTGGAGCCTTCCACGGTGTTATAAAATTCAGGCTGAGTTGGGAAGAGAAGAGTGAAAAAATCTGCAGGTTGAAATCATGCTGGTTTTGCTCCAGTAAGGGTAGCATGAGGGGTTAGAGGGAACACTGCAAAAGGAGCAGACCTTGAAGGGGAAAGGTTCTGGCCCCATTTCTACCTTGAGATGACTGTGGGGCCAAAATAGCCAAGGCTGCTTAGAAGGAGCTCCAAAAGGCTCTGTAATGCTGCTAACAGTCCTGCTCTTTTGGAGACAGGAAGACAGATCAGACAAACACCCGTGTGAACAGCTGGAAGAAGGAGCTGTAAACCAGAGGGACCATTCTCTCTCTACTCACTGAAAGTGCACTGCAGAAGAGCCAGTGGGGTAGAGAAGACACATGGGGGAGTGATGAATATTTTATTTGGAGAACTGAGGATCTCTTACAGCAGCAGGGATGATACACATATACCCTGCATCACTTGAGAGCTCCCTGTGGCCCCTTTTCTAATAGCTTTCTGCCGTCTCGCCCTCCAAAACAAAAACTGGTCCCAGCAGCACTCTCCACAGCCACTGCAGCTGGACAGGCCACCACTGAGAAGCTGTTTTCAGGGGTAACACCTTCCCTCTCTCCCGTCCCAAGGCTGTTACCAAACAGGCTGCGTGTTTTTCCCAGTTCATCCCACTCTTTCCAATCAGTGCTAATTGAACCACTTAACTCAAAGACAGTAACATTTGTCGTTTCAAACCATTAAGAAAAGTGACTAAATTGAGGCGTCATACATGAGGCCTGCTCTGGCATCACAGCACACTCACATGCAAACATGCCCACAAATGCCCACAAGGCACACTCAATGTGTAAACATGCACAACTAACAGAGCTTAAGGAGAAAGTCTGCAAAGCGTAGTCAGCAAATGTCAGCCTGTCTTTCTCAACAAGTTTTCCTGAATTGGAAAAAAAAAAAAAAAAGAAAAAAAATCACTGCCAGTTCCAATTCGGAGCCTGGAAATTGAGGCTGTGGTCTCAGGGTCTCCCAGAGCTTCTGCCTCTTGCATTCTCTGAAGTCCAGATAAGAACAAGGAAGAAGACAGTCGGGTGCGGTGGCTCATGCCTGTAATCCCAGCACTTTGGGAGGCTAAGACGGGTGGATCACGAGGTCAGGAGATCGAGACCAGCCTGGCCAACATGGTGAAACCCTGTCTCTACCAAAAATACAAAAATTAGCCGGGCATGATGGTGGGCGCCTGTAGTCCCAGCTACTCGGGAGGCTGAGGCAGGAGAATTGTTTGAACCCGGGAGGCCGAGGTTGCAGTGAGCCGAGATCACACCATTGCACTCTAGCCTGGGCAATAAGAGCGAAATTTCGTCTCAAAAAAAAAAAAAGATGCAGGTTCATAAACAATAAGTCATACAAAACTCATTTCCTTTGTAGGTGGGTCACTAGTCTGTAAAACAAGGAGTCTATCTTAAACCTGCCCAGGGACTGAATTATTTTAGCTGGGTCAATGACGGGGCACAAAATGGAAACCACAAACTAAGTTATACCCTTTTCAAAGATCTCTCAACTCTGATTATGTCTTAGTTTGCCGCTAATCTGTCTTTAGTATCTCTTTCACAAAAGAGGAGCAGAGCCTTACAGGCAAATAGGATTTAGCCAGAATTCACCAACACTGTTCTGTATTCTATGTGTTTATTTTTAAGATTTCCTTTCATTTATGGTAAGTGGTATTTTTCCATTTAATAAAGCTTCCTTTAAAAAAGAGATTTCAGAAAGAACAGAGTGATTTGAAGAAAAATATTAGTGAAATAATCAGTGGTACCTGGATTTGGCTAAAGCACAGGCATGGTATAAAAATATCTGAAGTTTGGAAGATCCTGCTGTAAATGGAGCTGGGCAATAGCAGGGAAGGGACCACTGAGTGGCACTTAGGCTGCCTGAGTCCACAGGCACTCACTGTGGAAAGGTCCACGGGTTGCCTGATCAACAGCCATTTCCACCTTCTCCCTGCTGGCAGGTGCCCATCCTTTTTTCTCGTATGTGACTCAGGAAAATGCTGACTGGTATAAGTCATTTTTTGTGCCATGGACCCCTCTGGCAGTTGAGGGTAGCCTATGGACCCCTTTAAATAATAATCTTTTTACATGCATGAAATATATAGGATTGCAAAGGAAACCAATTATAGTGAAAATTATGAAAATATTTATAAAAACCCATCAAAATCAGGATATAAGTACATGTATTTCTTTATCAACACACTAAGAGATCTAACATCAGCTCTAAAAACTACTATACTTTCAAAGAAGTGGTAAGAGTAAACAATATTCTGAAATTCCTACAATTACTGTAATATGATATGAATATATTCTTTATTTCTATTGGTGATGAATAGATAAATTAGTTTTACTTTGATTTGCTGCTTAATTCATATTCAAAGGAAATAGTTAGTCTTAGCAGTTAATACAAATAAAGACACACGCTAGGTGCTGTGGCTCATGCCTATAATCCCAGCACTTAACGGAGGCTGAGGTGGGAGGACTGCTTGAGGATGGAAGTTCTAAACCAGCATGGGAGGCAGGGCACAGTGGCTCACGTCTGTAATCCCAGCACTTTGGGAGGTCAAGGCGGGCAGATCACTTGAGGTTAGGAGTTTGAGACCAGCCTGGCCAACATGCTGACACCCCATGTCTACTAAAAATATAAAAATGAGCTGGGCTTGGTGGTGTATGCCTGTAATCCCAGCTACTTAGGAGGCTGAGGGAGGAGAATCACTTGAACCCGAGGTGGAGGTTGCAGTGAGGTGAGATCATGCCACTGCACTCTGGCCTGCGTGACGGAGTGAGACTCTGTCTCAAAAAAAAAAAAAAAAAACACAACAACAACCAAAAAAAAAACCCAAAAAAACAAAAAACCCCAAAAAACCCAGCATGGGCAACATAGCAGGATCCCATCTCTACAAAAAATAAAAACAATTAGCCTGGCATAGTGGCACCCATCTATAGTCCCAGCTAGGCAGGAGGCTGAGGTTGGGAGGATTGCTTTAGCTCAGGAGTTTGAGGCTCCAGTGAGCCATGATTGTGCCACTGCACTTCAGCCTGTTTGATAGAGCAAGACCCTGGCTTCAGGGAGAAAAATTTTCTGTATCCAAATTCATGGCTCCTCCAAATCCCTAGTCTCAGCCAATCATTGGGGTGGAGGAAAAGAGTTCCCTTTCCTGGTTTCACATAGTGGTTTAGGAGTGGATGTGTCATCCAGATCTGGATAATCAGTTGTAAAAGGAAGTCAGCTGAGATGCTTGTGGGGAAGGATTTTTTTCTTTTTAAACTTTTAAAAAGGCACAAAACAAGAAACTATGCTTCTCCTGCCTTTGTCGATTGGTGTATGAGCATGCAATGCCTAGAGCTATGGCAATCATCTTGCAGCCAAGAAAGGTACTTGTGGTCATGGGGAGAGAATGGCAGCATAGAAAGAGGGAAAAAACCAAGGTGCCTGATTCTGACCTGGGGACATATCTTAGTTAAACCAACCACCCCTCCCCTGGAGCTGTCCTACTTAGGGACTGACATTTTATGTGAGATGATAAATCTGATTATTTAAGCTGCTCCTATGTTCTAGTGCTGCAGCATAAAACACATATAGCCTAAAGTGACCCATGAGTCTTTACCACAGTTACATATGTCTTTTTCCACTTCCAGAAAATATTAGGTGGCTGAATCCCCCTAATATTTCTGCATCACAGGGTAGGAGTGGCATGGGTTGCTCTGTGCCCCAAACCCATCTCTGTCCTTTATTCCAGTCTCTCAGGCTCCTTGATGTAGAGCAGAAGAGCTGTCTAATAAGAACTGACAGGATGGAGGCCATAGGGACTGCTGATGACAGGAGAGAGCCCTCTTAGCAAAGGATGCCACCCAGAGGGCTGGAGCATGGCTTAGAACTCTATTCTGGGGGCAGCCACTGGGTGGGGTGGGGAGGAGGCACAGCCAGGGTCCATGGAAAACTGTTCTGGAAAAGAGGGAACAGGCAGCCCAGCACAGTTGTGAAGTCAAGAAACAGAAAGTTGGCGTTTTCAGGTTCTTAACTGGTTCTGATCCAAATATCTGGCCTGATAACTACTCCAATTCTTTACAAGAGCTCCTTTTGCTTTTTTCTCCCATCAGCTCGTATCTGCCTCTAGTTTCCACGCTATCTATGTGCAAGCTTCTCAATTCATAGCCATAAATCTGATACAAAGCTTGGAGAAGGCATCAGACAGACCCTGTAATCTGTGCTAATCCTAAAATCAGGAGCTAAACCCAGGACACAAATGGATTTGCAAAAATAAGGATTTTAGAAACTCAGATGGCATTAGCAGGCCTCAGAGATAAATGTACACAACTGAACACGATCCATCAGTACAGAAACAGATATAGTATGTTCCTTCTACTCCATATGAACTATCTGGAAAAATAAAGTACTGAATGGGAAAAGGCTGTTACACCTCCAGGGATGAGAGCAAAACCATTTCAAAAATGGCTTAAACTTGAAGATTCTCTTAAATTGTTTAGGAGTAGGAATGAGAAGACGGATAAAAGGTGTGTGTGTGTGTCTGTGTGTGTGGCGGGGGTGGGGGGGGAGATGGGAGGGGGGAAGAAGATGAGCTCCTTTTTTATTTTAAACACTTTTTGATTTTTTTCTTTATTGTAAAAACAATGATTTCAGCAAGGTAAGAGCAAGGAAGAAAAAATTTTCAAAATAAGTGTGTTGTACACGTATGGGACCCATACAGGAAATTCTGTGGTAAACAGTTTTCAAGCCACTGGTTTCAGATTTTCTGCTCATCTTACCTATCCCATGGGACAAAGGTCTCTGGAAATCAGGCAGGGCTGCATTTGCCTACAAAGCCTGATTCTTTAGGAGTCTGCCTGTCCCTTTGTGGATGCGGCCTGAATAAATCTTTCTGTGCTACAAGTCAGGGCTGCAAAGCTCCTTGACCACACCGAGTGGAGAAGTGATAACACACAAACCACAAGTGCCATTGGCCCAAGTGTGGCGACAGGACACTTTAGATAGGAGGTGGGTCTGGAGAAAACTCTCGTTCAGCCAAATGGAAACATTTTGTTGCGTTTTCTTCTCCTCCACATACCCAGATGTGAAAGCAATGAGTCTTGGGTAAAGTCCTTGGCTGGGGCCACATCTTTATTCCCACTCTGCTACCTTCTGTCCCCAGACACAGCCTCTCTCAGGCCCACAACCCTTCTCTCCGCACTATTCCTCTTCTAAAGGCTTCTAAAATAAAATGGAAGAAAAATATTTGTTTGGTTACATTGTCTTATTTAATAGACACTCTAAGTGTTGCAACGTTTATTACGTGTGTGTGTGTGTGTGTGTGTGTGTATATGTGTATATATATACACACATATATACATATATAAAGATACACAATATTGTATCTTTACATATTGTGTATTTATACACAATATATAAATACATATATAAAGATATATTATCTGAAAAGGGGCAGAAATAAGAATCCTGCTCCTGAACATCTGGTAGCTGCAAGGTAACATTCTTTATCAAATTGAGACCAAGAGGTGTTCCTGCCTGATAGGAGACCAGGCCTGTCAGCACCACCATTCATATATTTCAGATATATAAATTTATATATATATATAAAAATTTATTTTTTGAGATGGAGTCTCCCTCTGTCACCCAGCTAGATGCAGTGGCACAATCTCGGCTCACTGCAGCCTCTGCCTCTGGGGTTCAAGTGATTCTCCCACCTCAGCCTCCCAAGTAGCTGGGATTACAGGTGCATGCCACTACACCTGGCTAATTTTTGTATTTTTAGTAGAAATGGGGTTTTACCATGTTGGCCAAGCTGGTCTCGAACTCCTGACCTCAAGTGATCTGCCTGCCTTGGCCTTATTACATGTATATTATTTATGATGGACTAAATTCAAAATAATTAGGGCAAACAAGATACAAGGAGGGTTTTAATTTGGCAAAGATGAGGCTGGTATTAAAAAAACCCAGCATCACTGAAATATGAGAGGGGAGAGAGACCTGGTGTAACCTCTGAGATGGGCACCTGATTAAACATACTTCAGCCACCCTCTTTGGCTTTTCTCACAAAGAGATGTGGCCTAAGATGGAGCTGTTCAGGGGGTAGAAGACTAAGCCCAGCCTGCCATTCACGTGCCAGTGATGCTGTCTTCTAGGCTCTCATGTATGCGTGAGCCCTTAGAAAGTTCTTCATTACCCACTTAATTCTTTTCCTTCACAGAAAAGAGTACTTAATGAGAATGGTCTTGTTCACCTAAGCAAGTGAGTCAAGGTTATGTGGTTAGAAAACTCATTAATAACAAATAACATCTTAAAAGAGACAGATTCAGATAGCAGCTGGCAGGAGCCAACTCCTCCAGTGGCATTAAAAACAAGACAGGGTTGGTGGTGGTGCTGACAGGCCTGGTCTCCCATCAGGCAGGAACACCTCTTGGTCTCAATTTGGTAAAGAATTTTACCTTGCAGCTACCAGATGTTCAGGAGCAGAATTCTTATTTCTGCCCCTTTTCAGATAATAGGTGCAAAAGAAAGCTTTAATGGGTTAGGAAATCAAACAGGTTCAGGGTACCACAGCTCTTGCTTGGGGAGAGAGTGAAGGACCAGTCCGGCAGGACGGGCAGCAGTGCTGAGCAGAGGCTACAGCCTTCGCAGGATCTGAGAAGAATGACGACATCCCCAGTTTGTTGGCTGGTTGGTCTGTTCATGTTCATCTCCCCCCTTTTCCACTTACTGTCTCTCTTGCATACACGGGCACCACCTTGAATGGATCCTGCTGACTGGCTCATGGAGGCTGACTGCCAGAAGCCAGGGCAGGAAGGACAGGGCGTAAGTTGCTCAGTGTTATCTGGGATCCCAAGATGGTCTCCTCTTGGGGAGGGATCCCCAGGAGCTCTGTGCCAGATCCAAAGCACCAATAAGTTGCTGGGCCAGAGAGGCTGTTTTCAGGGGAGGGAGGAGAGTCCCTGTCCATCTCAGACACTGCTCACTCACACAAAGCATCCTTTCAGAGTTGCTGGCTGGCAGGGTTTTTTTTCAGGGTTTGTGCACTGAATACAAATCGAGTAGCCTCACTGGGCTGCCATACAAACTGGCCCTAGTCACCAAGAAAGTGATAGAGAATGAGAGCTCTTCTAGCCAGGCTGCCAGTGTCTAGGCATCATGGTAGGAGACCCCTCAGATCCCCAGCTGGTAGCTGCACAAAGGCTGGGGATTTAGCACCCCCCATCAGAACCAGAGCCATTTCAGTCTGGTGTTCATCAGAGAAACAGTTTAAAGTAGACCAAGATGAAAGGTTCCCCAGAACACCCTGCTTAGCATTCTTGGCTGGTAGTGAGGTAAACATTGAAAGATGGGGATTCATGGCTTGGAGTGGTGTTGGGATGAGGCAGAACAAGTTTCAAGGTGGTCATGTTACCTGTGGTTAAAAAGAAATAAGCAAACAAATCTACCTGTGAGTTCTAGCCAAATTCAGAGCTGTATCAGAGAAACTCAGTATGTAAATGTGAGAGAGTATGTACATGAATAGACCAACTAGCCAACCAACAAACTGGGGACATTCTCATCCTTTCTAAATCTGATAGAGGAGCTGAGAGTTCTAGCACGTTTAGATCATGTTCACCTATCCCCAATTCCTCTAGATATAAAGGTGATTTTCCACTGGAAGCATTTGCAGACAGAGTTGCCTCTAAAAACGTGGAGCAAGAGCAGATTGGAGGCTTGATAGATCTAACTCCTGAAGAAGCTCAAGTCATAATAAAAAAGGAACGCAGCATCCAGGAACCTGGATGTTAGCCAATTCACCCATTGGTTGTTTGATGACTCATGGGATAGCCAGTGGTGTGGGCGCTGGGCTGGTTTCCCGGTGTTCCCAATGCTGCGCTGCCCTCCACCTCTTATTTTTTAAATTGTTATTATTATTATTTTAGAGATGGGGGGTCTCATTATATTGCCCAGGCTAATCTCAAACTCCTGGGCTTAAGCGATCCTGCATCCTCGACCTCCTGTAGTGCTAGGATTATAGACAGGAGCCCCTGCACCGGGGCCCCCTCCGCTCTTAAGGTAAAGTGCTTGTCCTTTTGCTCAAAGATGGGAAGGGGTGGGATGAAGAGTACCAGCTACAGAGAGACAAAGTTCAAGCCCACATTTCCATCATGGGTCCCTTAATTCCCTCCCTGGAACTCCTTAGATGAGACAAATGAACTTGCCAAGGAACTCACGTTACTAGGCCAGTACTGAGTGGACTACTAGAACAGGAAAATCCTAACCATAGCTCAAGCTGGAGGCATACAATTGAAAACAATTAGCAAACTGTGCAAGGCAGCTTGATGGCCACAGATGCTGATGTTTAAAGAAAATGAACAACAGATCAAGAAAGCTGGTAGAGAGGAGGCAGCGCCAATGTGGCACCACTCTACAAACCAAGGGATTAGAACGGCTTGGAGGCCATGGAAGAGATACAAGAAGAAACCCAGAAAAGGACATAATAGGTTTCAAGCCAAATTGAATAGATTAAAAACATGGAGAAAGTTCCAAACTGAGTAAAAATCTTTAATTTAGTCAGAAATTCCGTAGGATAAGTATAAAAAGTATGTTCCCATTTTGTTGCCACTTTACAGATGCTAAAATTTTCTCTGGAGCACAGAGTTGCTCAGTTAAGGGGCTCTAGAATATTCCCAGGAGAAAGGTCTTACCATGTCACTTTTTTTTTTTTTAGGTGTCAAACCATGTCTTTTTTTTTTTTTTTTTTTTTTTTTTTTTAAAGATAGGACCTTGCTCTGTTTGATGACCAGAGTTGGAGTGAGTGGTGCGATCTCAGGTCACTGCAACCTCCTCCTCCCAGGCTCAAGCAATTCCCCCACCTTGGCCTCCCAAAATGCTGGGATTACAAGCATAAGCACTGCACCTGGATTTTTTTTTTTTAAATTTCTGTGACACACCCCGTGTTTCAAGGAAACAAAATCACAACGTGAAGAAATATCTTCCATCCAGGCAAAAGGAAAAGAAAGTCACTGACAAAGCTGGAGAAGGACCCAGGTAGCCTGGGCTCCCAGGCAGACTCAATACACAGCTGTTTGCTGTCTCCCTGAGTGTTTTTAAATTAAGGGTTCGTTGATGGAATTCTTCCTTGGTCAAGCAAAATTTGGGGACTGACAGGTAATAGAGATGAGAACCCTAGACAAAGGGGACCAGAAGCTCTGGGCTCCTCTCCTTGCCCAGCAGGTACCCGCCGACTGTGCTATAGCTCTGGCACTCAGTGGGATATTTATAGCTGCCTTTAAATTTACCCAGCTCTCCATAAAGCGAGGTAATGGGGCGCCCTTTACTGCTGCTAGTGGTGATTGTCCTAACATTCTTTAATTAGCAAAAAGCGTTGGCACAGCCACTTTCAAAGCATTTGATCTTACTGTCCTGGTGTTCCCTATTTCAGGCTCAACAGCCCCCACTCCCTTTGGAGAAAATGCACTTTAGCCAATTTGAAAATGACAGGCTTATGTGTACATGAGCACAGATAATGTGTATTTGTGCACCTATGCTCACTCCTCACATATTCACAACTGCCAAGAACCCGTGAGCCTTTATGATACCTCCATAAAACTCTCCTTCATAAATCTGTCAGCAAGGGGCTAGGAATTCTAAAAATTGAGAACTGGAGACACCTTAAGGTCACTAGGATTCTCCTTCATTTTTCCAGTATTAAAAAAAAAAATCAGGCTAGTAATTTCTCACCTGCTTCTTCAAAGAATGTAAGTAGAGCAGGGTAGGGCTAGGGCTATCGATAAAATTAGGAAGGCCTGAGCTCTTACCCACGTGGGATATCAAAAACAGTCCTCATCCCTCTGAAATAATAAACTCACTGCTAGGTCTAAGTATTGGAAACAAGATGCAGGGGCCTCTGCTCTTGTGGGGATGCACAATAGACAGCCCATAAACAAGACAATTTCAGATAATGGAAAATAAAATGAGAAAAATAAAGCTGAGTGATATAACTGTGATGAGTGGGGCTACTCTGGACAGGACAACCACCTGAAGATATGGGGGAACATTTTAGGTTGTGGGGAGAGTAAAGGCCTTAATGGGGAGAACCATGTAAGAGTATTCCAGGAAAAGAAATTCAGTGTAGCTGAAGGGCAGGGAATGAGGAGGAAGACGATAAAACCTGAGGGCAGAGGTGCAGGCAGGGATGAAGACTTAGGGCCTGTGGGCCATGGGAAGCAGTATGGTTGTTATTCAAACTATGAGAGGAAGACACTGGGGCATTTTAAGCAAATCAATAACATAATCTGATCTACTGTCACAAAGATCACTTTGGTTGCTATGGAGAAGAGACTGTAGAGGGCAAGTGTAAAAATCTATGTCTTGAATAGATTAATTTCTTAGTTTTGAATAAATGTTCTGTGGTTATGTAAGATATTAACTCACACAAGAGAAAGCTGGGTGAAGCACATATGGGAACTCAGTACTATTTTTGACCTGTCTATAAGTCTAAAATTACCTCAAAAAAAAAAACCCAACCCAGTAACTGTTAAAAACAAATAATGAAAAACATCTCATACCTTAAATGAAGAATTGAAAGTTATAAATTAGGTGCAATAACAAGAGCAGGTATCCAGAAGAAAAGAATCCCCTCAGTAACTGACTTTGAACAAGACAGCCTCTTCTATACCGGTTTCCGTATTAGAAAATAATAGATGCTACGACCATTACTATTTGCTGAGATTGTGATTTCCTTTACTTGCTTCTAGTTCAACAATAGCATGAAATAAGTTATTAATCCCACTTTACACGTGAAGAATCTGGGGCTTAAACAACTAACCTATATATACGCGGTATGTAAGAGGCAGAACTGGGGTTTAAACTCAGGTCTGTCTGACTCCAGAGATGCTTTGCATCCACCAGTACACCATAATGCCCACTAGCATCCACATACACAGACACGCATGTGCTCTTATGTGGCAAATTTTGTATTAGTCCATTTGGGAAAAAATATTGTTTTGGGTTTTCTCCAACCAAAATCTGAATAATTTTAAGCATACACTGTGTGTCTGTGAAGAGGCTAATTGTAAGCATAGGCATGGATTAATGATCACATTTATGTTTCAGATACCTGAAAAGCCACTCTATTCATAGCTCTCAGTTCCACATCTGCACCTGCTGGCCCTGATCTGGAGGTATCCCTTAATCTCCAATGAACATGAAGCTCAAAATCTCTAAGACTTAGATACAGTGGAGCCAAATTTGGTGGCAATGCCAGGAGGTACTTTTGGTGTTACTACTGGTAAACGCTTAAGTGTTCCAATATCTTTGGGATAAAATCTAGAGACAATGTAAAGAGAAAGTGAGAAAATCATTAAGAATGGAATCAGAAACAGAAAATAAGAGACAGATTTTTCCTGAGTGTGTCTTGTCAGCCTGCCCCCTTCTCTTGGCTCATGTGATGCTTCCTGATTGAGAGACTCTCTCCCTTCCCAGTGGGAAGACCCAACAGCCACACAGCTCCTGCTTGGCTCCCCTACCCTTCACAGGCACAGGTATAGGGAAGAGTCACCTGCTGGTTGTCAGATGCATTGTCCCTTTCCCCTTCATGTTAAATGGCACATCACAGCATCACAGTGGTTGAGTTTGGGCTCTGTACTGAGACTGAAACCTGGCTCTATCACTGTAATGGGCTGAATGAGCCCCTAGAAAAATAGGGGTACATCCTCATTCCCAGAACCCTGTGACGGGAATTTGAAATGATGTCTGCAAAGACCCATTTAAATTAAGGATCTTGAGATAAGGAGATCATCCTGGATTATCCAGGTAGGCCCTAAATCCAATGACAGGTGTCCTTATAAGTCACAAAGAGGAGAGAGGCAGACAGAAAAGGAGAAGGCAATGTGGCCATGGAGGCAGAGACTGAAGTGATACAGCTGTAAGTCAAGGAAGGCTGACAGCCACCAGAAGCTGGCAGGGGCAAGAGGCAAGGAATGATTCTCCCCTACGGCCTCTGGAGGGAGTGCAGCCCTGCCAGATTTTGAACTTTTAGCCTCCAGAACTGTGAGAGAATATATTTCTGCTTTAAATCACCAACTATGTGGTGATTTGTTATGGCAGCCTCAAGAAACAAATTTAGTCACTCATTAGTAGTCAGTTCTGTGATCCTGAGAACACTTCTTAAATTCATCTGCAAAATGGGGAAATCTGATGGTACCCATCTCACAGAGCTGTTGTGAGGAGTAAATATGTGTAACTTAACACAGTACCAAGTACCTATCAACGCTGCAGTAAATGTTGCTATTAAAACCATTATTACTGCTATACACAGGCAATTAAAGAGGAAAAGCCACAAGGGCCTGGAATGGGCCAGTGTATTTTCATGCAGAAGTGCATTTTCAGGGCTCCTGGCTGAACCTCTCTTTTCAATTTGAACATGTAAGTGACTGTGGCTAGACCACATGCAAACTATTCCAAAAGAGGAGGCAGAGTGCTAGCTGGGAGGTTTTCCCCATCACTCGAGCCTGACAGCCCACAAAGAAACTGTAAGCCCTAGAAACTTAGTCTTAGAGGAGAGGGAAAGGCCTCTCCATTCTATCTCTTTACCGTTTGTACTAAGCACTGTGTCTTTTCTTAGCCAAGGTTTTTAAAAATTGCTCTTGATGGGACCTGGAGGGAGAATGCTTTTTTATCCTTTATTGTCCACTCCCTTCTGACTTCCTTAAAGAGCTGAGTCCTTGGGGGAAAAGAACAGTGGATTCAAAGCACACTCAGAAGAGTGGGTAACTCTAAAACAGCTGTCTTGCCTTGAATCATCAGGCTCCAGGAATAAAATCCATTCCCTTTATGACTGTGGGTAGTAATGGCACAGCCAGCCTCACTATGGGATCACAGGCAAGAAAAATAACCTTCCCTTTGCAATTCTGATTTTACTTATTAAACAGAAAATTCATGGCTAGTTGTCCCTGATAGGTGTTTGCACACGTGGGTGGAACTAAGACACACACACACACACACAAATGTGTTCATTACCTTGGAAAGAAGGCAGTGACTATTTCCATGTAGACCATTCCTACTTTTTATTATTACTGATTCACCAATTGATATCTTTCCTTCCCTTTGTGGAGGGCAATTTCCATACTACTTTTTTCTTTCTAGTTTCCCAAATTCCTTTTATGTCTTTGCTCCTGTTCTGTTCCTGCCACTGATGGACCTACCCTTAAAAGAGTCCGCAAAGCCTATTTGGTGGCAAAACGATACCCAGCTCACTCCTGGAACACCCTATGAGGCATTATGGACATCTAGTGGCTGCTCAGGATAATGCCTCAGGGATGCATATCAGGTTAGGGAGTGGTCTAGCCTTGGGCTTTACTAAGGAACCCAATTATCCTGGCTGGGTGGGAGAGTCCTGGGTCCTCTAGATGACCATTTCTGTCATTTTCTATTGGCGACCCAAAGTCACTAGGAAGTGCAGACTGGTGCTATTGAAGACTCTTCTTTATCCCAATCCAGCAAAGTATAGTTGCACTGGCATACAAGCCCACATTAGACAGGCATTTGGAAATATCTTCAAGGCCCAGGTTTAAATGCCAATTAGCCATACATTGTTACTTAGAGGAACTGAGGTCAAAAAGGACAGACTCTGATACTAATCAGTCATGTAGCTTTAGGTAAGTCACTGTGCCTCTCTGAGCTTCATCAGTGACATCTGTAAAGTGAGAGGTTAAATCCAGATAATCTCCAAGGTCCACTTTAGTTTAACATTCTGTGATCTATGTGTCTTTTTAGTAGCTGGGAAAACACAGTCCGATTTGCTCTGCTCCAGCACTGTGGATCTCTAGATTAAATGAAGAAAGCATTCTCACTTAACTTTGTGGCCCATTTCCAAGACTTGGCTACAATTCCAAAGGATCAACCTTCACAGAGCTACATATCTGAGATGGGACAGGAATCATGGACTAAGAGAGCGGTAAGAAACTTTCTAATCCATTTCCTTGATTTTATAAATGGAAAAACTGATGTTTAGAGCTATTTTAAGATTTGTCACATGTCTAAAGGGGACTAGAACTCAGGTATCCCAATCTTAGCACAGGGCTCATTCTATAATACCAGGCTGCTGACACAGGCCTTCCCCAATCACTGCTGGCTTTTTTAGCTCTCTCTGGCGTTATCACAGCAGTCTCCCTGTGTGAAACTGCAAGTGAAAACAATCTGAATCCACTGTCTCTTCCTCTTAGGGTGTAAGTAGCCTTCTTTCCTTCTTATTCTTTGGTGGCACCATTCCAAATCCAAGAAGCAGTCAGAGCCACGGGCTGTGAGGAGCAAGATGCCATAGCTAGATGGTACTTGGGTTACCAAAATGAGAGGCTGCAATCCCACTTTCAGCTCAGAAGGGCTGTGTGCAACGACGGCCCCACAGCCTCCTCTGTAGTCCAGTTAGTAGGTTCAGTGGTGCTTTCCTGGCCCAGCTGGCTTACAGGGGGCAAAGCAGCCTGATGTAGAGCTCGACAGAGCTTGGGCATAGTCACCTTCATGGATGGCAGTCACAAATACTTACTGAGAGACAACCTCATTACTAAGTACTGGTCTGACCCAACTCGGCCCCCACTTTCATCTACCTTTATAGTGCGGGGCAGCAGCTTTCATTTGTGGAGCCTGGAGCTGAACAGACAGGGTTTGAGTTTGCCTACAGTAGCAGAGGACCAGCCCAGGCAGAGACCCTGTTGCCTGAGGAGGGAAGGATAGTCATACTTAATCGCTGCCATCCAGACCCTGGCCAGGGGTCTCCTCAGGCAATAGATGACTCTACTAGGTCGGTGCCAGCTATAAAGGAGCAGAACCTCTCACCAGAAAGTCTGAGTGCCCAGATGGAACTAAACCCCAGTATCAGGGTTTGACTTACCTCCATGTCTCCCTCATTCTTTTTCTTGATGAGAGTTCATTTTCTCAGCCCGTCTCCTACCCTTCATCTTACTTCTCTGACACATCCTTCACTGAACTTTCCTACAGTCTCTCTCTCCTCCCCCCTCCACTTGCCTCCACCATTTACTCTATGAAGAGTAGACACAGCGGGCATTCCTGTTAGTGATGAAAACATCGGACTCAGGGTTTGAAGGCTGGATGGAAAGGCTGGCTCTGTTACTTTCTAGTGTGTGACCTTGGGCAAGTTATTTGCCTGCCTAAGCTAAGTGCCTTCATCTGTGAAATGGAGACAAGTGTGGCAATTACTTTCACTGGGTAAATGAAGATTAAACAAGAACAGATATAAGTTCTTGGTATGGTGGATAGTACATAGTAGATAAGCATCCCAGTAAATGACTATTGAAGTGGATGAATGAAACCTGAGTTCTCATCCCACTAGGAGAATACTTTGGGGAATCACTTCCACACCCAAGTTTCTTGACATCTGAGACGTGCTGAGGCTCAAATCCACTATCACTTACTAGTGACCCTAGGCAACGTTTGACTCATATAAAATGAATAATAGGGTTGCAGTGGAATACAGAGTAAGGGTTCAATAAACAGAAACTAACAAGGTTATTATTTGACAGCAAATGATAACAGAAAGGTCTTGGCAAAGAATGGGGACTCCAACTTGCCTACAAAGGAACCGTTTCCAGGACTTCAAGTATTCCATGGCGTATTTAAAGAGGTTCAGGTTACTGGGCAAAAGACAATACTCAGAAATAGGTGTGGTAGAAACCAGAGAGCTGAGAAATCTGGGACCTCCTCGTTCTTAAGCAACAGCCCACGCGCAGGTGATGAGGGTTTATCAAGCGAGCCTGCCAGAAATCACACGGGGAGAGGGGTGGGTTGAGGAGTCTGGAGGCAGCTCTTGAAGGGAAGGGATATTAAACCATGCTATATTCTACTGGACCGGCTTCCCAGGGCTCAGCTAGATTGCCTCACCCACAGTCGGCAGAGAAAGGGGCAGTCTTTTTTCAGGGGGGTGGGAAAAAGCTGACCTAGTCCCCTTCTCCTACACTAGTCTGTCAAATGCCTTAGGGTCTCCTACCAGAAATAGGAGCAAGAATTCCACCCCCACTCCCAATCGCTACCCCTGGCTGCTACGCAGTTCTTCTCAGAGTCCTAGCCAAGGAAGGGCTGGCGAGCTCACAGGGCAGGGGGCTCAGCCGCCCGCCTCCCTTCCCCCAGTTCTCTGGGGGCAGCGGGGAGCAAGGGGCGACTCCGGCCAGCGAAGACTGAGAAGCCGCGGCTGCAGCTCCATGAATGAACGGGCTGTGTCGTGGGCTCCGGGAGTTCACCTCAATCCTTCCTGCCGGCCTCTGTGCTGTCCCAGGTTGCCATTCCCCAGCTCATCACACTTGGTCATTCCTGCCACTGTTTCCCGCCCCCGCAACCCTCATTAAGGAAACCCTCATTTAAAGCCCCAGTGAGAGCACAGGAGGGGTGAGGCAAAGCGAAGGAGGGGCTGGCGGCAGTGCAGCAGCGAAGCCCGGGCTCTCGGTCCTGGGAGCCTCGTGGCCCCGGCCGCCGTCCCCCGAGTCCCCACCACGCAGTTCCGAACTCCGAACGCGAGTCCGCGCCCCGTCAGCAGTCAGCGGGGGTGAGGATGACGCGGGCCGGGCGAGAGGCAGGCCAAATGCAGCAGCCCCGCCGCGGGCCGCCGGGCCCCTGAGCCCCGCTCTTCAGAGCCAGGGGGCCCCGGGTGCGGGCCGGAGGGCGGGGGCCGGCGCGGGCTCTCCCGCCGCAGCCCCGCGCCGCTCCAGCCTATCAGCGGCCACCCAACTGCTCCCTCCGACCGGCCCAAAATAGCTGCGAACGCCTGCGACTTGCGCGCGGCCCCTCACTTGACGCTCACTCCGGCTCGCTCGCCCGCTCGCCCTGGCCCCGCTCCGCTCGTCTAGAGGGGGCGGGGAGGAAGCGGCCCGGGGAGGGGGGAGGGGGGAGGGGGAGAGAGGAAGAGAGGAGGAAGGAAGGAGGAAAGAGGAAGACGGGCGGCCGGAGGCGCGGGGCTGCGCGGCGCCGGCCGGCGCGGCGCTGGAAGGCGCCGGCGTTAACCCCGCGAGGCAGGCGACGGAGGGGGAGCGGCGCTAATACATAAGAGCACTGCATCACGCTAATCTTCTCCCAGAACAGTATGCGTCAGCAGTACATTCACGTTCTGACTGAAGGACAAAAGGATGAGAGAGCAGTCTGCGTGGCTGCCGCCTGCAACACCGCGAGCCCGGCGCGAGGAGGAGACGGTGGGCGCCGCGCGCAGGGGCCCCGCTGCTGCTGCTGCCGCCGCTAGCCAGCGGGGACTATGTTCCTGGGCTCCGGAGCGTTTCCCGCAGCCGCGACCCCCGCTGCTCACGCCGCTGCAGCAGTCCGCTGGCGGCGCGGCCACTGAGGGCGCCGGGAGCCGAAGCCGCGAACTCGCTCCCTCCGCACAAAGCCGGAGCCGGCGGCGCGCCGGGGGCCGGGCAGCGGCGGGCGGCGACGGGCGGTTGCGCGCCGCCGGGGGCTGCGGCCGCCGCCGCCGCCGGACCCGCGCCCGCCCCCGGACTCTCTGAAGGGGCCTGCGGTGCGGGCGCGACCGCGGGCGCCGCGCGCTCCTCCGGCCGGCGGACCGGGTCCGAGCGCAGCCGCCACGCCGCTGGTCCTCGGGGGCCGGACGGAGCGCCGCCCCGCGTGCCGGCAGCCGGCGGACTGGAGAACTGACCCCCCGTTTTTGTCTCTTCCACCCTCCGAGAAGAGGCGAGGAGAAAGGGGGTGTGTGTCTGGGGAGGGCGAAGGCGCCGCGAACACCTCCTCTTAACTCTCGCCGCTCCGCGAGCTCACGACCGCAATCAGCTGCCGCCGGCCCGGAGCGGCCGACGCCGGGAGAGGGAGCGCAGCATCCAGCGAGTGCGGCCTGGGCGGCTTCGGGGCGCCCCCGCACTCCCTCCGGCGGCGGCCCGCAGAGCGGGCCGGGGCCGCCGGAGCGCACTTTGGCGATGAAGCGCCTTCCCCCGCGGCTGGAGCGAGCCGGTGCCAGGGTCCAAGGACAAAGCCGGGAAGCGCTGGTGGCGCCGCTCCTTGGGCGGAGGGGGGGGCATGCACCTGCATAGCCCGCCGGGCCTTGGCTCTCCCAGGCGCGCCTCAACTCCGCGGCTTCGCCGGCTCCGGCTCCGGATTTACTAGAGGCCATTTTGTCTCCCCCACCCCTTCCCTCCCCTCCCCTCCCCTCCCCTCTGCCCTCCCCGCCCCCACCACTTCCCCCTTTTGTTAATTAAAACTAAGAAGTCGGAATGGGAACGAGGTGCCCAGCTCCCGTGGAGAAAGCTTAAGGACACCACGCCAGTGCTTTCCTGCCTTCCTTCCGAGGTAGGTGACGGCGAACTGGGTGGGGACGGTTGCAGTGTGGGAGAGTCGTAGCTTTCGGAGGGCTTGCCTTGAGGGTGGGTTGGGAGACCAGGGGCCGCTCGAGTTTGGCAGGATTTTTTTCGGCCGATCCGCTCCGTCTCTCTAATCGCCCCCTCCCCACCTCCTTCTCCAGATGGAAAGAGGAGCTCCTAGCTCACTTAAGCCGGGGTAGGGCTGGTTCTCCTTTCCGAGCCAAAATCCCAGGCGATGGTGAATTATGAACGTGCCACACCATGAAGCTCTTGTGGCAGGTAACTGTGCACCACCACACCTGGAATGCCATCCTGCTCCCGTTCGTCTACCTCACGGCGCAAGTGTGGATTCTGTGTGCAGCCATCGCTGCTGCCGCCTCAGCCGGGCCCCAGAACTGCCCCTCCGTCTGCTCGTGCAGTAACCAGTTCAGCAAGGTGGTGTGCACGCGCCGGGGCCTCTCCGAGGTCCCGCAGGGTATTCCCTCGAACACCCGGTACCTCAACCTCATGGAGAACAACATCCAGATGATCCAGGCCGACACCTTCCGCCACCTCCACCACCTGGAGGTCCTGCAGTTGGGCAGGAACTCCATCCGGCAGATTGAGGTGGGGGCCTTCAACGGCCTGGCCAGCCTCAACACCCTGGAGCTGTTCGACAACTGGCTGACAGTCATCCCTAGCGGGGCCTTTGAATACCTGTCCAAGCTGCGGGAGCTCTGGCTTCGCAACAACCCCATCGAAAGCATCCCCTCTTACGCCTTCAACCGGGTGCCCTCCCTCATGCGCCTGGACTTGGGGGAGCTCAAGAAGCTGGAGTATATCTCTGAGGGAGCTTTTGAGGGGCTGTTCAACCTCAAGTATCTGAACTTGGGCATGTGCAACATTAAAGACATGCCCAATCTCACCCCCCTGGTGGGGCTGGAGGAGCTGGAGATGTCAGGGAACCACTTCCCTGAGATCAGGCCTGGCTCCTTCCATGGCCTGAGCTCCCTCAAGAAGCTCTGGGTCATGAACTCACAGGTCAGCCTGATTGAGCGGAATGCTTTTGACGGGCTGGCTTCACTTGTGGAACTCAACTTGGCCCACAATAACCTCTCTTCTTTGCCCCATGACCTCTTTACCCCGCTGAGGTACCTGGTGGAGTTGCATCTACACCACAACCCTTGGAACTGTGATTGTGACATTCTGTGGCTAGCCTGGTGGCTTCGAGAGTATATACCCACCAATTCCACCTGCTGTGGCCGCTGTCATGCTCCCATGCACATGCGAGGCCGCTACCTCGTGGAGGTGGACCAGGCCTCCTTCCAGTGCTCTGCCCCCTTCATCATGGACGCACCTCGAGACCTCAACATTTCTGAGGGTCGGATGGCAGAACTTAAGTGTCGGACTCCCCCTATGTCCTCCGTGAAGTGGTTGCTGCCCAATGGGACAGTGCTCAGCCACGCCTCCCGCCACCCAAGGATCTCTGTCCTCAACGACGGCACCTTGAACTTTTCCCACGTGCTGCTTTCAGACACTGGGGTGTACACATGCATGGTGACCAATGTTGCAGGCAACTCCAACGCCTCGGCCTACCTCAATGTGAGCACGGCTGAGCTTAACACCTCCAACTACAGCTTCTTCACCACAGTAACAGTGGAGACCACGGAGATCTCGCCTGAGGACACAACGCGAAAGTACAAGCCTGTTCCTACCACGTCCACTGGTTACCAGCCGGCATATACCACCTCTACCACGGTGCTCATTCAGACTACCCGTGTGCCCAAGCAGGTGGCAGTACCCGCGACAGACACCACTGACAAGATGCAGACCAGCCTGGATGAAGTCATGAAGACCACCAAGATCATCATTGGCTGCTTTGTGGCAGTGACTCTGCTAGCTGCCGCCATGTTGATTGTCTTCTATAAACTTCGTAAGCGGCACCAGCAGCGGAGTACAGTCACAGCCGCCCGGACTGTTGAGATAATCCAGGTGGACGAAGACATCCCAGCAGCAACATCCGCAGCAGCAACAGCAGCTCCGTCCGGTGTATCAGGTGAGGGGGCAGTAGTGCTGCCCACAATTCATGACCATATTAACTACAACACCTACAAACCAGCACATGGGGCCCACTGGACAGAAAACAGCCTGGGGAACTCTCTGCACCCCACAGTCACCACTATCTCTGAACCTTATATAATTCAGACCCATACCAAGGACAAGGTACAGGAAACTCAAATATGACTCCCCTCCCCCAAAAAACTTATAAAATGCAATAGAATGCACACAAAGACAGCAACTTTTGTACAGAGTGGGGAGAGACTTTTTCTTGTATATGCTTATATATTAAGTCTATGGGCTGGTTAAAAAAAACAGATTATATTAAAATTTAAAGACAAAAAGTCAAAACAAAAATATTTTCTAACTTGTAAGTTCTATTTAAAGGGGGTGGGGGGGAATCTTGGGAACGTTGTGGGGTACAAGCCACAAGTTAACTTGCTATGCTGCCAGAAGGGATTTCTGGTATAAGGTTGAAATTGCTGAGATAAAATAAACTAAAACAACAAACATCCTTAAAGAGGTAGGGTGTGGGCTGCTGAGGGGGCAAGAGGGATAGACTGAATCTGTCATTTTTTAGAAGATGCTTCATAGGACACAGGACTATCCATTTCTACAGACATCTTTCTTAAGCCGAGAGCTGTCTTTGCAGAATTATCTTATTAAAAAAAAATACAAAAAAAAAGCACCATGAATTTGTACTGTGCCAAAATGATAGTGGCAATAATATTTTTCTTCAGAGGCTAAGGGGAAGATAGACCTGTACATGTATTTTAAGCAGGAAAACCACCAAAATTCAAACGAACCCTTAAAGGGGCTGAGTCTTTGTCCATGTGCACAAGTCTTGGGGGTCTGTGCACTGGACACACATGTGCCTTGCCTGACAGAATTGCTTAGAAAGGAGCAGAGAAGGACGGGAGCTGGCGTAGCTCTCAGTCTAATGCTTTCACATTGCACCAGATTCCTGCAGTTGGGCTTAACCCACTCTGCAAGGCATGTGTCTATTCAGGGTTTCCCAGGAGGAGGAGGCCCCTGAAGGGGTGCGGCAGCAGGGGGGTGGGAAGGGAGGGTAAAGCAGAGAGAATGTATTCACAGGAGGCCATAAATTAGCATTGTGCCATGTCCACCTGTTGTTCCTGGACTCTGACACATGATTGTAGACAATGATGGCATTTTATGATTTTTAAAAAAGATTTTGTTTGTTTTAAGGTGGAGAGGGAGGAGAAGCCTGAATTGGGGAGCTTGGGAGTGGAAGCTTTTCTCATGCTTGTGATTTGGTGACTCTTCTAAATGCTGATTCATTAGGGATTATTACAGCGGATGTCAACTGGTTGTGGTGATGGGGTGGGGGCAGAACATGAGTAGCAAAGAAAAGGGAGAGACGAAAAGGGTACAGGCTCACGTAAAGTAATGAAGCCTTTCCCAACCAGGATGGTTCACAAAAAAGCTGTGAGATCCACAGTTACAAGTGACACGCATGCACACATGGAGTTCCACATGGGGTACTGTTGAATGGAGCACACTGATGGGAAGCTTCCCTCTCCCAGGCCCCCTCAGGAGAAGGTGGAAGAGAAAGGGTGGGCGTGGGTGGGGAAGGCAGAGATCTCTGTTATTCTGGTCCATCTAATGATGTAACTTCTTTCAGTTATTATTTTAGCTTTAAAAGGAAATAAGGGGTTCAGATTTGAAAGGGGGTGGTATGGGTGGGGGAGGGGAATTGCCAACAAAAGAACACTGATTGTAATGTGAGAAAAGTGTATTTTTGTATTTTAATAAATATTGTTGAATTTTTAATTCAATGTCCCCAAAGGGTTAAATTGAGTAAGACCCTGAACCTATAGATT
Organism: Homo sapiens; assembly: GCF_000001405.40. NCBI lineage: Eukaryota > Metazoa > Chordata > Mammalia > Primates > Hominidae > Homo > Homo sapiens. The sequence continues at coordinate 128,027,020 of NC_000007.14, read as the reverse complement.
CTTATGAGCCAATCATTTCTATTTAATAAAAAAGCGGGGAGGGGAGGGTACAGGTATGATGGGGGAAAGACAAATGTTAAATTATTTTCAAGTATGGGAAAATGCTAAAGCTGTCAACCTTTCCTTAGCTTAAATAAAAGCACCCCGATTCTAGTGCACCTTCTACAAGCTAACTGTGTTAGTCCCTGGCTTTGTTGGGGGTATAATCAAATTCCCTATGCCCTGGAAAAGCAGGGGAAATGGGTCAGCCTCAGCTCCTGGGACCTGGCCAAAAGTTAAATGCCACCTCAGCAGAAGCTGCTGGTCAGGCAGCACCAGCTCTACCCGAGGAACCTGGGGGACCTGGATTTCAGAGGCCTGCAATAATGTAGTTTGGCTTAAATTTCCCACAGGCAGTGTTGCTTCTGTTCTCTGGGTGCTAAATAATCTAAACATGTTTTGGTGGTAGGTGTCTGTCTCCTGATGCTTACCAAGTAATAATGTCCAGAGAGGCTGCGTGAATCAGGACCCTGCATTTCTTCAGTGCTAGTATTTATACTAATGCAGGGAATTGGGACTGAGTGGGTGTGAACTCTTTGGCACTAAGGAGGGAAAGAGAGGCAGGCAGCACTTTGCAGCAGTTGGCTAAGAAAGGGCCAATTCTTAATCCTCCTGGGTATATACATCATTTCTGGGTATCAGTGTGCCAGCACATATGTATGGGCACACACTTATAAACTACCACTCACAGTTCTAGGCACCAAAGATCCGTTCCTCCTGCCTCTCCTTTATCACCATACCCCCAATAAAAAGAAAGAAAACTGCAGGAGAGCAAAGGGTGGGACTTGGCTAGGACCAGGTGAAAAAGCAAGAAATTACTCCCTTTCCTAGTGCCACAAGACACAACTCAGGCTGTTTAAAACAGCTTCCTGGGTATGCATTCAGAGGAAATTGCGGAGGAAGTTGCTGTTTCAGAAATAGAGGATGAGGAGCCAATTTCCTAACACCCTTCTTTTTTTTTTTTTGACAGCTATTTGAGCAGACAGGGAATTATGCAGTAACTTTGCAATGACTAAGGGTCTGTGGCTAACAGTCTGAGGGGAGAGGTACAGAAATGGGCCTAAAACAATCTCGGGAAAGAGTCCTATGGACAAATGCATTTGTCCCAAGGAAGACTATATTCAGCTTCAATCTGTGGGAGAAGGACTTTTGAAAGGAACCTCAAAGGAGTTGGGGGAGACTAAGACTAGGATCCTAGATTTAAGTATCCTCAGAGCTGCAGGGAGAGTTCCTTACCCCAGTAGGCCTGCCCTTTGATCCATGCAGTTTCCACTTTTACAGCAGTAACCTTCCTTTGCTATCATGGTATATCCTCCTCTGTAGCAGGCACTTGGGACAGCTTTTCAGAGAGGCATCCCGTGAGTACCAAAAATGCAGCCGTGAATGCTGTGACTCATCCTTGGCCAGGCCAAGGTTTGTTACCTAGGAATGGAACACGGGTTGGTAGCTCTTTAGGGGGTAGTTATAGCAACACGTTGGATGTAAAGACTCTTGCTGATGATACGGAGTTAGAGAATTTTCATTACAGAACTGAAGGCCGTGAAAAATCATTTAGTCTAATCCCTTCACATTTTACAGTCAAAGAAACTGAGCCCCAGAGAAATTAAAAGACATATCCAAGGTCACACTGCTAGTGGAGGAGGTGGGACTAAAAGCCCAGGTCTTTTGACTCCTGAGTCAATGTGCTTTCTCACCCAGGCTGCTATTGGCTATCAAGAACATACTTAACTAGCAAAACAGTTAAAATGAGACCTTCCTAAGATACGTCTGTGTTCTCTTATCCCTTAGAGCTGTTCACTCTCTTTAGAACTGGCTATACTGCCCTCTAAGGCCTGACTACAGGGGCTCCACATGTGCTAAGGGGTTAGACTATCAGGACTCTACATAACCATTTCCTGATTCTTAGGCCCAATGGCAGACAGAAACTGCAGGATCCCACAGAGGGTGACAGCTAAGGGGAAGGAGTGAAGTAGGTAAGACTTGGTGTTTTATAGTTAGAAAAGGTGGCTTGGCCTCCTCCCAGCCTTGGAAACTCTGCAGTGTGGAGGAGGTCTTAAAACACCTACTGGACCACAGAGGTTCCCCATAATGGAGTGGTTTTTGCTTACCCGGCTCAACAATGAGAATACTGGGAGGGTCTTTTGCTCCTCTTCTCCACTGTATCTACCCCAGCTCTAACTCTTTAAGTGCCATGCTGTAGCTGCCACTTCTACAATGTGCTCCAGGACTTTTTAACACCCTTCAGCTGCATCCTATCGTCAATGGAGGTAAAGGTAGATAGGCTAGTTTCTAAGGCCTAGAGACATTAGCTTTATCATGGCTATTTAACATGTATTGAGGCCAGCAACTTGCTGAGTGCCGTGGAACAACCAGCAGAGAGTCCCTGCAAGACAATTCCTATTGTTGTCTGAGAAGAGGGTCAGAGTCCATGGTCTCTGGCTTCCTTCCGTGGTAATGGGTAGAGACTGGGAGAGGGCTAAGTGGGCCTTACTCAACCCAGGCTTCTACCTCAGGGGGCCAGGGCCTATAATTAAGGCTCCATCATTTCACTGCAACAAAGCAGCAGGGGCTTAAAATTAGAAGAGAGAGAGGAACATTTATATCCAAACATATGTCTGATTTTATCTCCTCTGCTGGCACTCAGCACTCCATGCCATCGGCTAATGCAGGCACTGTTCACGCCATTTCTAAATCCTGCCTCAGCTAAACTGCAAGGCAGCTTTTGGCTCAGAGCAACTCTCTTGGTCTCACTCCTTTCAGGAAGCACCCCTCTCCTATGCAAGGGGAAGAATGTTTTGGACAGTAGGATAAGTTGTTTTCATCTTTGCTTTAAATTAAAATGAAGTAAATTACTTCTTGGAGCAGTGATAAGGGCTTCAGCAACTAGATCAGTGAAATACACACACACACACACACAGCAATATAGCATAGTGCTTACAAGCACAGACTCTGTAGCCAGTCTTCCTGTGTTGAATCCTAGTTCCCATCACTTACTAGCTGTGTGACTTTGGAAAAAGACTCAGTTTCTTCACCTAAAAAATACAGACAATATTACTATCTACCTCAGTACTTCACAGATTGTGAGAATTGAAATTTTACATATATAATTATATATGTATGTGTGTGACATAGATCTCACACTTAGTGCTCCACACCATATAGCAAATGCTAGATAACAGTTATTTGACAATACACACAAACACACAGATCAACAGAGAAGCCCCCATCACCACCCCTATTCTTGAACATTGTATATGTCCAAAGAGAGACATGCCTATTGTGCTACTCCAGAGAAGAAGGATGATGATCTAGAAGTCAGAGACAATAGTATCTATAAGCCCGATCACTGTGAAAAACATGGTTATACTTATCCTCCCAGGAAAACCTTGCCTTGTGCTCTGATCCCTACACCAGCACTATAGCTGTCCCAAGGCACTGATTTAGTCCAGGAATAGATTACCTTTCCTTGTGGTGAGCCAGAAGAAAGTAAAGGTGCTGATAGTCATGCATAAGCTGAGGGCTGGGACCTTGGGAAGCCTAGGTCCTTTACCAAGAAGGTAAACTTCCTAATGTCTTCTCCCCTACCCATGTTTCTCTGGCACAGAGCAGTCATAGCCTTATTACTCAGGTCAGTGATGAAATCCTCCCTGACCATTAAGTGTTACCAGGACTGGGAGTGGGGAGTGGGGAGGCACTAGGAGGAAGAAGGTAGCACTGAAAGGGCCGGTGGGGCTTCCGAGCAGTATTGCAGAGCTAGGAGAAAAGAAAGGCAGACAAAAAGCACCATAATTGGAGCAAATGAGAGAAGAATGGAGCTCTATGGCAGATACACAGGCTAAGGGGCTGCAATGCAGTCAAGGAGGAAAGCCAGGGAGATTCCTCTGCCTTAGCAAGCAAGAGGCTGGCTGGACCCTGGATGGGGGAGGACTGTTAGTGCGAAATTCATGGCATGAAACAGAGGAGAAGAAAAGCAGGGAGATCAACTTTCCAAGAGAGGCGAAGAAAGAATGCATTTTGATTTCCTAATGAGAGGCTAGAATTAGATTTTAGGATGATCACAGGTTTTATCCTCTGGTACACGCCAGCTTTGCTGTCAGTACTTGGGCCAAACCACCTACCCACAACAGTCCTGTTCCCTATCCTGGAGGCTGTCCACTGCTTGGGGAAGCAACCCAGCCTTCAGGGATGTAATTTAATCCTGACCCTGACAGGCTCACTCAGGGATCTGCTCTAAACCCATTTCCTCATTTCTATTAACACAGTCATGGGGAGGGGGGTGGGGTGTGCTGGGGAGAAGAGAGGGAGCAACTCGGTATTTGTCCACAAAAAGAGTATTATTCCAGAGGAAGAGTGTTATATAAATTGTGTTTTCCAATAAAAATAGTGATGTCTATCAGTTCAGTGTACATGGACCTTTGCAGTGAGTCAGAGATTTGGCCTAGGCCTGTGGGGGATATCCCTGGGAGAAACTGTCTTGTCAAAGGAAGTTAGCATTTGAGACGATGGCATGATCTTTGCCCACTTATCCCATCAAAAAGAGTTTTGAAAGGATAGCAGGGAAGCATTGATATGAGAGGCTACTCTCAAGCTAGGTGTGGGAGCTAGACGGACCAAGATAGTACTTAGGCTTTCAGGTTTGTTCATTCTGTACACTCAGGAACATTACTAGAGTAATTACTACAGTTTAAATCAATTATAGGATGCCAAAGAAACAGTACTTGATCTACTTGTTTCTTTCATACCCTCCTACCTTCTTTTTTTTTTTTTTTTTTTTTTTGAGAGAGAGTCTTGCTCTGTTGCCCAGGCTGGAGTGCAGTGGTGTGATCTCGGCTCACTGCAACCTCCGCCTCCCGGGTTCAAGCGATTCTCCTGGCGTCAGCTTCCCGAGTTGCTGGGATTACAGGTGCGCACCACCACGCCTGGCTAATTTTTGTATTTTTAGTAGAGACGGGGTTTCACCATGCTGGCCAGGCTGGTCTGAAACTCCCGACCTCAGGCAATCCGCCCACCTTGGGCTCACAAAGTGCTGGGATTACAGGCGTCAGCCACTGTACCCAGCCCCCACCTACCTTCTTATAGCCCCACTAATAAAAAAATACCCTTCAATTAATTATTGTATCAGGTTTCCTGTCCCATATTCCCCATTTGAGTACACTCATCTGCCATAACAGGACCTAGGAAATCCTGCATGAGGCCCTCCATTTTGAAGAATGATGGCTCTTTCTTCCTAACATTTCTCATGATATTTCCTCTCCAGGGCAACTCCTTAATTTGTAGTCTCTTTTACAGTTCCTTTAAGGTCTCAACCCTCATTTCCCTGTGTCTCTAAGCTGGTGCTGATTTAGTCACTAGATAAGTTACTACCTGCTCAATGAGTCAGCAAGGATGACTGAGAAGAGCTTTCACACACTAAGTGTTCCCTGTGCAAAGTTTGGTTTCCTTGCCTCGGGCTACTTCTTCCCAGTCTTCAAGACCCTGGCTTCCTCCCTTTACCTGCCCACTCATCCAGGTTCATTAAGACCATTCAGACAGCTTCTCCCACGGCAGGTGAACTGAATGAGTTATAGGCAGCTCTCCACAGAGGCAGTTCCATCCAGGAGCCAAGTGCCAGTTCCCTGGATCATGCAGCTGTGTTTGGAGGAATGCTGAGTGCATCCCTCACAATAGGCCCAGAAATGGAGCTGAGGCCTCAGATACTAACAGCCTGTTTCTGCAGCCTGCCAGCCACAGTGGTTATAAGTTATAATCTATTGCCATTGCAAGAAGACTTAATTTCTGGACTTAAAGGAAGTCAGATAATACTTTATCCTATTAGTGTCTGCCTGTGTGAACTGACAATGGCATCCTTCTGACACGACTGCATATTCTTCCAATTCATCTCTTTAAGATTAGGCAGGGGGAAGTCTGGATGGAGTAGGAAAGGAGAGAGGAAAAAAATAACCTAAGGAAGAGACTGTTGAAGGAACCAGGGAAAGGGAAGACTATTTTTTTCATTAGAAATGAGGAGAGGGGATGCAGAGGGACAGGACAAGACTGTGCTCTTTCAAAGCATGTTTGCATTTCATTTTGTTTCTCTCATGAGGGGGAGAGACGGCAAGCACTGGAGGTGCTGTGTGCATGTGTGTCAGAAAAAAGGCTCTGAAGCCACAGAGAAGGATGAATACAAGAAGAATAAGGCATTGGCCCATTCTGTGCGCTTGCTGTTTCATCCATTGTGCCCGCTGGAGGCTTTCCCTTTCCTTAATCCTTCCCCCTTCATGTGTAAGTCCACATCCACTCCGACTAGTGGTGTTATGTCAGCCGAGGGTGCCTTCTCATTCTGGGTATGTTATCGAGGCTGGCCGACCTGGGGATGACAATTGACACTGAGACAGAACACAGGTTCATGGTTCCTAACTTCCGGGATATGGAGAGGGCAATGAGAACTTCCAAGTTAATTCAGAAAATCTAGTTGAACCCTCACATTTTATTTATGAGGAAAATGAAGCCCAGGAAGATGTGCCTTGCCCAGGTGTCACATAGCTGGTGATGCAGAGACCTTACCTGTAGTCTCTGGGTTCGCGACCTAGCGCAATTGCTGAGCGCCGGCAGGGCCACCATGACTTACAACTCCAGGGGGCGCCATTTACAGAAATGGCAAAGTGATTAGTGCCCCCTGGAGTTTGCAGTTTGATGCAATCCTTTATAGTTCCCTTTTGGGAGGGGGGAAGGCCTTTCCCACCAGTACTGTTATCTGTGCTTAATGCTCTGAGACAGATGGTGCCCACTCATGATTTCATTCAAACAGGAAGAGCTGAGAAATCAGGCAACTTTCCTTTCTCTTCAGGGCATGTGTGCTCTGATGGCAGCCCCATGGCTAATAAACCAAAAGGGGCATGTGTTGCTTCCATGGCCTTCCCCTTCTCTCTACAAGAGTGCAGGGTAGTAAGGTAACATCTATCCCAACATGACAGGAGGGCTTGCAGAAAGCTAAATCATGTTAGAGGTCTGTTCAAGGTCATGCAGACCCTTGGAGAAGCAGAGAAGCCTGGAGTCCCGCTCTACCTCCCTGGCCTTCCTAGTGTTGTGTAAGCAAGGGGACCCTCAGAGGGAAAGCTCTGGCAGCCCAGGTTGACTCAGGGGTCTACCCTGAAACTGGGGTCCAGAAAGCTAGGAAATTGTCCCCTCTTCCTCCCATCTCAAATCCTCTCTTGGGAACAGAGTGGCCCTGGCTATAATTTTATCACATACATTTAATTAGAATTTGTCTTCTTCATGATGGTTTCAAGTGAAGTCCCAATAGAAACATTCTAAAAGAACAGTGCTTTCAGGCAAGGATTTCTTCTAACCAAGTTAATTTAGCAGAAATGTGCATTGGGTGGAGTTACCTCTCTTTTCAACTTCAAAGCTGGGAAGCAATGGGAGGTGAGGAATGCAGAGAAAATAAAGAGGAGGGCAGGGGCTTCAGGCAAATGAGTTTCCATCCATTAAGGAGCGGCAATTTCTGCTAGCTCCCCTAGAGACCGGTCCCCTCCAATAATGGCCTGACTCTAATGATTCCCACTCCTAAGCAACAGCCTGTGTTATGCTGGTGTTGAGACGAACTGTGCCAGAGAAATTCCCTTTCTCTCAGAGGTGCTGCTATCATTACACAAGAGACATTAGTTAGCCAGGAGGATGTGCTATTGATGGGGAGAGAGAAAGATAACCAAAGAGAATGCTCTTCCCTAGCAGGCTTGGTACAGCTGACTTAGGACAGAAAAGGCGGACTGAGAGGTTACGGGTTAGCAATAAGAAAGGACTACCCATCATGGGCAGATTCTCTGGACCAGGGGGTGACCACAGGAGAAGTGGCCTCCTGATGAGTTGATGAACTCAGTTCAAGGAGGAACTAGCTGGCTGAGGTGGGGAGGGGGGCAGGTCTTTGGAGTTTGGAGTGTGGGTTAAGCTCAGACATAATGGACAAAACTGATGGACATTTGAGATGTGAAATGTGGTAATAAGTTCATGGGAAGTAAGGGTAAGGGATTCAATTTCAGGTCCCTAAATACTGGTCATTTCCAGGACAGAAGTACAGGTATGTGGCCTTAACAGCAATGAAGTTAGGATCATAGCTGTTATTGAGGCTTCAATGTTAGTTGAGGGTAGAGGGTTCTCTTATTCTGTCCTCTCCACTCTAAATACACTGAAATCTGTGATGAAAGCTAATATTGTGAGTTACTGCTAAAGTTGTTGCCAGCAGGTCTTGAGTAGGGGGTAGGGAGTCCCTTATTTTGCCCCTGGTGGCTTGCCTGTGATAGAGACGGACTGCTTCCAGAGGCTGCCTTGCCAGATGTGCCAGCAGGCAGCCCGGCCAGAGAGCCTGCAGTGCAGACAGATGTCCTGGGTCGTATTCAGGATGGTGAGACCCTTTATGGTACAGTGGCTTGGCTCTGGGGCAGTGCCAGAGCGGCAGGGTAATGTTCCTCAGCCAGATTCATTTCCCCCCAAACCTCTTCAAATATGTGGGCCACGGAGGGAGGCAAATTTAATTAAATTACTGTGTTGTGAACTGCCCTTCCTGGCCAAAGGCTAAAAATGGGCTCATGCTGACATGCAAACCCATCTGTGTGTACACAGCATGTGTTTTCTTTGTGCTGGGCTGTCAGCAGCTGGATGGGGTTGGCAATGCCCAAGGTTGGACCCAGAGAGCTGGCCCTTTTGCCACAGCAAGGCAGAGTCAACAATAATCCAACCTGGACCCCATACAGCTCCGATGACCTTTCTTTGTACTTAAAAGATGACTGGGTGGCACTCCCCCTTCCTATATCAATTTGTTTCTCCTCAAGTGCTTCTTTTGCTGACACACAGGACTTTCCCATAAGGCGGTGCCCTGAGCAGTACTGGGGAAGAAGGAACAAAGCTGCAGTGAGGTGTGATTCAGAAGAGTGCATGGGCAGGGTTTGTTTAGCTTGGCAGGAGACAGAGGGGTCTCCCGGGTGATACTCTAGAGTGCTACTTCAGCAGTTCCCCACTGGCAATGCCAATGCTGGATAGAGAGCCCTTGTCAGGTGCCAGAGTAAAGCAGAAAAGCTTCCTCTCCCCTGCTCCCTGCACAAATGCCACAGTGCCTATAGGACTTGACCAACAAAGGCAGGCAAGGAAGGTCAGGAGCAACTAGAAGCATTTAACATGTGGAAACCAACAACCAAGACAAATGCTGGCTGTCCTGAACCTGTTACCTGCCAAGGTCATTTCATTTCCCTCCTGGAAGTTCAGGCTTCGCTGCTGCAGTTTACAAAATACCACAAGGGTAAAGAGTTTGCCCCCCCTCCCCGAGTGGTGCTGCTGCTGGAGTTGGAACAGGGCTTCCCTCTGCTGGTGTGAAATGACTTGAGATGGGATCAGGTGTGGCACGGGGAGTAGCAGATGCTGAAGGCCGCATGGCAGGCTTTTCATTCGGAACTGAGACCAGGGAAGAGTCAGCTAGGCAATCTTTTCCTGACTTGTCCCCCAGAGAGAACAGAGCCACCTCTCATGTCTAAAACTTCAGTGAATGCGACACATGGAGCCTGAGAGGTGGCCCTGTACTGGGACAACAGGAAAACATCTTCCTGGGTGATTAATAGTTGTACTTACGTAGCCCCCTCATGTCCTGGACATCCTGGTAGCAAGCAGCTACCTAGTTGATCTGAGCAGTCCAAGCACTCTGGGGTGATGATAGCCCTCTGTAAGTCCCCATCTAGGCAGGTTTGCAGGTAAGCCACATGAGAACAGGGGGAAGAACCTCCCTACCCTAACCTCCAAGGCTCTGGCGTGCTGTGTGCTCTTCTGAATCACACCTCACTGCAGGATGAGGAAAGCAGGATCCCTCTTGGAGCTCTGCTGTCCCCTCTACACTGTGCTGAGCAGCTTCAGGGATGTTCTCTGACATAACAGGGGGTGTGGGGGTGGTAGTGTATCTGCCACATTTTGTTGCTGGCTAAAGTTTCTGGCAGTGAATCTGATGGTTACTTTAAGGACTAAGACAAATATTGTCAGTTCAGGTCCTTGGGACCTATACCTCAAGAACCTGGCCTATGCCTATAGCTGACCCTCTGTCCAGTACTTCCAAATGACTAGAATTTCTGGATCAAAAACAAAAGCAGGCAGATCACTAAGATTTGGTCAGACACAAGAAAATAATGGATCCAAGAAAGCAAGTTTCCTATGGTTAAGAGGTTAAGTAACAATTGTAACAGGAAGAGAAAAAGACATGTAATCTACACAAGGAGGGTAGGGGCAGTTAGGAAGAACAAGAAATTGACTGCTGTGGTGAGATCTATCATGTGACTTTAGAGAAAGAAAAAGGTTCCTGGGTGTTCTGCCCAGGTACTCTACGCTTTGGTAAAGGAGCTTTCTTCCTTACCGAATTGGAGAGAAGAGGGCAAACACCAGCCATAGGCTGAGGTAACCATGACATTTCAGTGGAATGAGACCCCTTGATTTTCTGCCACCCACACGGCCCCATGCCCACTCCAGCATGAGAGCTCACCAAACGACTGGTTTCAAATTCTAGAGATAGGAGCAGATGCCTCTTCAGGCCTCTTAGTCAGTATTTTATTGTTCCTTAGGTGCCAGTAAAGTATTTTATCATTATTAAAGATTAAAAATATACTTATCCTGAAGAAAACACCCCAAGTTGTATAGAAAGTCCATAATATATCTCAATCCTAATATTCCTCAATTGAAAAAAAAGGTTTGTTGGGCAGGGTGGTGCACATCTATAGTCCTAGCTACTAGGGAGGCTGAGGAGGGAGGAACTCTTGAATCCAAGAGTTTGAGACCAGCCTGGGCAACGTAGCAAGACTCTGTCTCTTAAAAAAAAAAAAAAAAAAAGGAAGTTGTTCCTCCCTATTTAAGCAGCCTAGGGCTGGAAGAGCTTTCTCTTAAGGGAGAAAAAGCCTTAAAATAATGTCAGTAATAGCAATCTAGACATCAGGGTGAATAATATAAATGTTGGTATGGCTGTACCAATGGCATTCCAGCAGCTGCTGAGATCGCTTTGGTTTGCAGATGACCCAAATGTAAATACAAATAATGTATTTACATTGCATGGCCCTATCTAAAGTGGAAGGGGCAGCATGGTAGGCTGCTGCCCCAGGATTCTCTCCCTTCGATAGGCTGCTGCCAGAGTGGATGGCTATGTCTGGCTCCGGCAGAGCCTGCTAGGTGGGACATCTGATTCCTGTACAGCTCCAAATTTCTGCTGCTCACCAAGAAGCCAGCAATGGGGAAAGGCAGAGTGGTGTCCTGGGGCTGCTGCAGCCATATCTTTCTCTTGAACAAGGTCACCCATGACCCCTCTCATACTTGTTACCAATCATTTCATTTCTGTTGGAAAGGGACAAGGAGAAGGGAAACTAATTGATTATAATGGTGTATTACAGGGCACTACCTTTAAGCACCTTGAACCAGACTGAAAAACTGAGCATTGTACTTTGAGAAGTTGCCAAAGTCTATATTAAAATGAGGTAAGGGTAGGAAAAGGAAGAAAGGTGATTTCTGACATGTGCTTTTTTGACTCTCAGCTCCTATAAATACTTAGGGAGCAAAGTGGGTGGGATTAAGGCCATTTTCAAAAACAGATTAGCGCTGATGAAGGCTGGAAAGTGTTTTCTGCAAAATATGAACTTAAACCTTGCCCTGTTCTATGAGTTTCAGATAAATTCTTTTTATCATGTCACCCTGATTAATATGCCAGAACATGAACTAAGAGCGGTCTTCATTTTAGCCCCACGTTGACCTGCGGGCAAGGCCTGACCCAGCCCCTTCATCTTGGGAAAGCAGGGCAGGAGAGGGGATGGGAGTGGCAGACATCCCTGGGTATGGCTGGGGCCATCTGCACTACTGTGAATCAAGGTTGGCTCAGACAGAAGGCGCGAGGGAGGAGGTGCAGCTGCTGATGGCTCAGACAGCTTGGACCTGTCCAGGCAAACAAGCCGCTCAAGTGCAAGAACAGCCAGCCAAGTAGGCAGAGCACGAATAAGGACTTAAAGCTTGAAATATCTGACAAGATATAGAGGGAGGGTAGGAAGCTGTCTGGGATTTCAACTGGTGTCTGGCCTTGCCTCTCACTGCTAAGGCAGGCTCTTCTGCTACCAATGGGTGGGATGTGATGCTTGGGAGCTGGTGGGATGGATACAGGGAAGCATTCTTTGAGCTAGAATTTAAAAAAAATCTTCATCTCTGGTAACAAATTGCAGACACAGCTGTGGACTGTTCTCTCTCACAACTGCCCGCCAAAGCAAAACTGAATCTTGATCCACAGATAGATCTATCTCCCCTCCACAGATCTGCCCAAAGTTAAGAAGCAGTGGGCTTTGTGTGCATGTGTATGTGGGCCTGTGGGTGGGTGGGAAGCTGCACCACCAACTGCGCAATATGGGAGTCCTGTCTCAGAACTAGCTAAGGAGGACGACACAAGTGCTCTGCCTTCCCACCCGCCTTTGGGAAAGGGAGGCCAGCAGTGGACTGTTCGGGGGACAAGTGCCACTCCAGCTCCTTCTAGTGAGGACTCTTGGAGACAGTGCTTCTCAGCGCCAGGCTCGTATTATCAGCACTGTTGCTGTTAAAAATACCAGTGTAGATCAAATCTAGATGCTATATCAAATACCTTGCAATCTCTAGGGGTGGTGACAGGACTTCCTTCAATGCTTTAAAAAACATCCAGGAGATTCAAAGGTATACCCAGGATGACAGCCTCTAGACTCAAAAGGGAGGCAAGAAGACTTACTGATCAGACAGGTTTCTGATAGACAGGACAGTACTGCCACTGACTCCAGAAGCGCTTGTTGTACATGGTTGTGCTTAAGCTGAGTGACTGTTCCTGAAGTTTCATTCAGGTTCAGGAGGAGTAACTTCCAAAAGAAGTGGCCAGGTGTTAATTGACTGACTGCCCTGGAAAAACATAGGGAAACCCTCCTACAAGCAGGTCACTCTCCTCAGAGCCCCAGGCAAGGAAGGAGAGAGGATAGACTGCTCAGAGACCTGTGAATATCAAGTGGGAGAAACCAAGGCACAGAGAGATTACCCTTTATTCCAAAGGCAAGTAGTAAGAATATCAAATAGGTTATTTCTCTCTAGCCATTACCAGCTACAGGCTGTCCCTCATCAGTCACAGGCTGCTCTACAAGCAAACTTAGGCCGAGGTCTCCCCTGATCTAGAGCCCTGCCTAAGGAGGTGAGTGGTAGGCGGGGAGCATTACTGCCAGGGCTCCGCCTCATGTGAGATCAGCAGCAGTGGCATTACAGTCTCATAGGAGCTTGAACCCTATAGTGAACTGCACATGCGAGGGATCTAGGTTGTGTGCTCCTTATGCGAATCTAATGCCTGATGATCTGAGGTGTAACAGTTTCATCCCCAAACCATTGCCTCACCCGACCAGTCCATGGAAAAATTGTCTTCCATGAAACTGATCCCTAGTGCCAAAAAGGTTGGGGACTGCTGCTCTAGATCATCTCACAGTTTAGGTTCATAATTCCAAATGACTGAGAAACTAATTTTTAAATCTGAGGATTCCGACCCTTAGTGTAAAGGCATTCCCTGCCATAGCCCTTCGGTGATTCACATATTCATTAGTTTGCTTATTTAGAACCAGTATAGTGATCCGCACCCTGCCAGGTGCTGGGGAACGATGGAGATGAAAGACTTGGTCCTTGCCCTCAAGGCACTCAGCACTTGGGCGGACACAATGACAATGTGGTCTAAGAGTGGGAAGGTGGAGGTATATAAAGGGGGAGCACTCTGGAGAGTGATCCAGAGTCAGGAGAAGCCCCTGCCTCCTCCTGTCCAGAGTCCCATGAAGAAACACAGATGAGGCCACACAGTAGGCTTGTTCTTAGGACTGGGCTGAGGAAGCAACCCCCTCATTTGGAGTCTGGATGTAGCACTGGACAGTGTGGGACCAACGCTGACTCTGACTGTGTGAGGAAAACAAAGATGAGCCAGGCCCTTCTACAGAGGTGCAGGGGGTGACTTGTGCACTGGCAGGCACTGGCGGAAAGGGCTGTCTCAGGGGTCCAGGGGCAATGGGAAGGGAGGGTGTCATGCGAACCTTTGGGCTGGCTGAGTGACCTGGGCAGTCCATAACGCTTCCTCTGCTTCGGTATTGCTTAGCAAAACATAAACTATTCATAGCTTAATGTTTAGGTGTAAATCACAAAACCCCCCAAGAAAGAAGAACTAGCAGCCTACCCCTGAATGAAAAGGTGCTCAGCTAGGGTCCTGAGCAAGGATGTGGTATGTAAATGTAGCATGGAAGCTTCCAGCCTGAGCTCCAGAGCTCCATTTAGGTTGGCTGCAGCAAGCTGCTGCTCGTCCCACTTGCTGACCAGCCAGAGCAAAATAGTGCTTGGGAGTTGGAATAGGCACTGAAGACACAAAAGAGGCCTCATACACATACGGATGCAGAGCTGAGGGCATGTGGACTCCTGGGAATGGGGGGAGGTACAAGTTTCAGTCCTCTTGCCCCAGCTTTAGGCAAATACCGCTTGGCAAACTGCTGAGCACTCTTAAGGGACTGGGGCTTTCTTGTGGCATGTGTTACAATGCAGCTGCAGCTGTCTTCCATTGCCCTGGTGTAGCCAGAGAGGTCCATAGGATGGGACATGCAGTGCTGGCAAGTGATGAGGCAGGTAAACTCCAAGGTATAATAGCTCTCAGGGCGGTTACAGTGAGTTCATCCAGTGGAAGAGACAATATTGTCTAGTTGTACGCTCCTGAAGTCAGATTCCAGATACAGGTCTAATTTGATCTTTGTGCCATCCTGTCCCCCACCTACCAAGAGTCCAGATTACTCATGAAAACTTATCCAGAAAAATCAGGCTTAGGTTAGACAAAGTCCAAAGACAAAACACATCTTTTAGGGCATGGTGATCCAAATTTAATCCCCTAAACTAACTAGTGGTTCTCAATCTTAGTTCTACATTAAAATTGCCTGGGGAGCTTCAACATTAATATATATTTATATAAAATGTATGTATATATTTAAAACCCTTTTCTGATGTGAAAAATTCAAAATACTGAAAATAGGATACTAATGAACTTCCATATAACCACCATCCAGATCCAACAACTACCAAAGTTGTCATATTTGCTTCATCTCTATCCCCCTTTTCTTTGTGGAAGCATTTTAAAGTATATCCCAGACATGATGCCATTTTCAACCTTAAACACTTCATTTAATATGTATCTCTAAAAAATATGTTCATTTTCTTACATAACCACAATGCCATTATTATGCCTACCAAAATTATCAAAGTTATTCCTTGGTATCAACTAATAAATCTGGGGAAGTTAAAAAGCTGGTGCTTGATGAAGCCAGAATCTTTGGAGGGAGGCCCAGGCATTAGTAGCTTTCCTAAGCCTCCATACTCCATGATTCCAATGTGCAGCTGGGGTAAGAACCACTACCCTGATCCTGCTCTGGGATCTGAAGCAAGCTCTGCGAATGTCCTTTAGCCCCTGATCACATGTTACACAATAAAAGAGCCAAGGAAAACGTGACATGCCAGACAGGATGAAGAGAAGGAAAACAAAAGCATTAAAATGTCAGCAAGGCATAGAACTGAATCCTTTGTATACTACAAGGGCACTCTCTCCCCAGGAGTTGAGGCCCACTCACTTGAGCCACCAAATCCATCAAAGGTCTGAACACCAGGAACCAGGGTAGTTACCAGCTGCCTGGGCAGCTCACAGGGCCCTCAAGCACCTCTGCACTGGGCCAGTCTGCATCATTCCTCCACTCTATTTCTAGCTCTTCTTGCTTCTGTACACACTGTCTCTGTGGCCTAATATTCTGGCAAACTCTGAGCCTCAGCACCTGGTTTTAGAGAGGATTAATTATATAGGCCTGTGGTGTGTGTGTTTGGGGGTGGGGGGGACAGTGTGCGCCAAAACTTCTTGGGTGTTGGCACTGGGGTGTAAGTACCACAGTCTTCAATTTTACTTATTTATTTCATTAAAAAAATAACTAAACAAAACGTCCTGCAAAAAGATGAGGCTGTATCATTGTAGCTAAAAATACCTCTGCTGAGGGCGTCCGCTCACCAGCTCCTCAGTTAGAGATGCTACAGGGCCCTTTGTGAGCTGTGCAGTGTTGGCGGCTCCACAGGGGCTCTGGGGGGCTGGGGCCAATCCTTGGAGCAGTGACTAGTGACTACTGGGTAAAGGAAGGCTGGCAAACAGCCCTTGAGCCAGCATGGAGATCTGCATACTTCAGGTAACTACAAAACCCCTCTTGCTTTATGGACCCACTGCCTAAGCCAAGGAACCTCTTGCCTTCTTACGGCATCTCTGAGGATGCCAAAGTAATAGGGGACCAGTCTTGACTTCCCTGAGGTTCACATGAGTACAATAACCACCAGAGGCAGTAATGCCATGCAGTCTGGCTCATGGTGTCTCTGGTGCTGAACAACCTGTGGGTGGGGTGAGTGGTAACTAGACTCACTGGAAGCCTCTCCGTGGCCTCAGGAAAGGGCTGCTTTAAATGCAGGCTGACATCAGAAGGGGGAGGCTATGTGGAAGACAGGCTTTGCAATAAGGGCCTCTTTCTCTGGCTCTCTTTTCTTCATCCTCTTAGTACCCACAGGTCATTTAGTCCAAAACACTCATTTTTATTGGGGAAGATGAAGCCTCAGGGAGGTGAAATGATTTTGTCAAGGTCACAGAGATAGTAAATGGAAGAGTCAGGACTTAAACATGGGATTTCTGATTACAGGTGTAGTGCTTTGTTCCACTATACTGTGTCATCCTAATGAATGGATTCATTATAAGCATTCAACAAGTGTTGAAAGAGCTATGGGAAAAGGGATTTTCAGTTCAGGTGCCAAAAGGACCAAAGACTGTCAGGAGCGTGCTGCCTGGATGATCTGGGAATTCTGAATCTTGGCAAGTTCTGGGAAACTCAAGGGTCAGACTCAGCAACTTAATCAGATGTTCAGTGGGAACAGTGACGACTCCGCAGTCTGTGATCTTTAGCCAGAGATCCAAAGCCATTCCCTTCTTTTCTCTCTGGGAGTGGGAAACACTTGGTATTAGATTGACTAGGGGCTCTCAGGAGAAAAGGAGGCAAGGATAAGGACAAGGTTGTCTGACTTGATCCGGCATTGACTCCTTTCTCATTTCTTGGCATCGTGTGTGACCCTTATGAAAAAATGTGGAAGTTTGTGTCAAGAGCATGAGAGATAAGGGTCAAAAAAAAAAAAAAAGTTATTGAGAAAACACACTCACTGGCATGGGGGAAGGTGCAGACTTTTTCAGAAGAACACAATGCAAACCTAACATTGCCAGAATGCACAATGTGCAGGGGACTTGTCTAGAGTCCTATGCTGTCTAATAAGGTGGCCACTAGCCCCATGTGGCTATTTACCTTGAAATTATTTAAATTTTATAAAGATTCTATTAATCAGTTGTATAAACCATATTTCAAGTGCTCAATATCCATTACGTGGCTACTGTACTGGACAGCAGAGACAAAGGACATTTCCACCAACATAGAAAGTTCTGTTGGACAGCACTGGTAGAATCTGGTTGTCTTTTTCCATCTCTTGCTGCCTGCAATGAGTAGTTTCCGAAACCCCTTTGAGGATAATTGAACTTGGAAAAGCTAGAGGGTCCCATAATTCACTCTCCAACAAACCTACTAAACCTGGGCTCCAAAGAAGCTAACAGCAGCTGGGAGTATGAATCCGCCAGTGCACCAGGCTCACCAGGCCCTAACCCTTCTTTCCCCAGTACCTTGTCTGCATGTTCACAGCCACTCTGACCTTTGCATATTTTATTCAGTTTCTATTTTATGCTGTTTTAATTGATGTTTAATATAGCTTAACTTGTGTGGTGTTCCAAGCCCCTCACCAGGGGGCCGCTCATAGGCAGAAGCACAATTAATAGCAATCCTGAGAAAATTATGCCCTGTATCAAAGCTGTCATTGCACCATAAAAATGCTTATTATTACTATTGAATTCTACAGTCCTGACACCTCCCCATATTTACTAGGTAGCAGATAAACCTCTGTGTTTGTGCCTTCTCTACTCTACCACACCATCAGGACTAAATATAGCCCTCATGTCTATGTTTAGCTCCATTTAGCTGTGCTTTGGAAAAGGGGAAAAAAATCAGAGTTAATAAAATTAAATTGCTGGAAAATATGATTTGTTCCTCCCCCACTTGGACAACCCCTTAAAAGACGAACAGACATCACTGCTAACAAGAAGGGTAACCTGCCTCTGCTACAGGGTGGGAGAAACCCCCAGACCCTGACAGCATGGCATGAGTCCTGCATCAGCCTCATGGGAGAGTAGAGGGAGTGGGTCCAGGGGCATGGGATACCAGAGGAAAGGGATGGCACTCATGGGCCCACCCTGTGCCCTGCCTCAACTTGACCAGAACAGAGTGCTTGAGCTGGAGTCCCACCTAGGGAGTTCGAGGGCAATCGTGGATGGGCATTTTGACCTCCCCACAACTCTCTCAATTCAAAAATCAAAACAATGCAACCCCCCTCCAAAAAAAAAAAAAAAGGAAAGAAAAAGCCCCCAACCTGTAAGAGTTTAGCACTCCTTGGTTTCCTCCGGGCTTATCTGAAGCTTGGATTTGGCACGAATAGACAGCAGCTTTTCTACAACTACATATCAGGGAAAGCGATGGAAAATTCCAGGTCTGTCAGACACCTGTACTCCTCCTCTAGCACACGTTCTCAATCTGTGTGCAGTTATCTTTGCAACCCTGTCTAGGAGGAGTTTCCTTACAGAAGGCCAAAGCCCTGGATGACTTCTCTAACTTAGGCTCCCATCCTTTTCTCACTAAAATAATACAATTTAAAGAGAATGCACCCGCTTACCTCTTCTGTCTGCCTCCATCACATCACCTACTCCCTTTTATATGCCACTGTCATATTCTCAAATTATTACTTGTACTTCAGGTGGATGATGAGGCTGTTGTCTGGGAGGCACTGTGGGGATAAAGGTAAGAGCAATACAGTAGGAATGTGGAGACTGGCTCTACCATGAAATTTACCATGTGAAAGTGCACATCAAGTGATGAACTTCTTCATGCCTCAGTTTTCTCATTTACTGTGAAATGTTTGGATTGGACTATATAACCTCTAGATCCCTTCTATCTATGAAAGGCTATAATTCAGTATTATGAAGGCTGTATGCTCAAGTCCTTGGAAACTGAATGGGTCATACTCACTTCTATTTATAATTTGGTTTTTATCTTTGCACTCAATGCTCTTTGGAGAAATGTAGATTTCCATTCCTAAATTTTTCTAACCAACAAAGGAAAAGCTCTATTTTAGTTTGTTTGACAAAGAAACGTCTATAACTAGATTGAGTTTCCCATATAATATTTGCTTTGCCTTCTTCCATCTTTGCCTAAAAAAGGAGTTTCTAAAAAACCAGAAATGCTTTCTGTACTCAGGCATAGCAGGAATGAGGCTGCCTTGGCTGAAGGAAGAAGATGGTGCATATCTGGAGCCCCAGTGGAGCAGGACTATTTGCCATCTGCTGCACTAGTTGCCTCGTCTCCATATCAGGCCTGGTCTGTAGTTTGCTGCAAATACTAGGAGCCGAGCCACTTCCCACCCATGGCAAGCCTTGAACCCTTTGTATTCTGGCTGCCAAGATGATCTGAAAGCAGGGAGCCACTTTTCAGCTTAGGGAAAAACATGTGCATTAAATGGAAGTAGATTCTTCTTTTCCCTCCCTCTTGCCACTCCCAGCCATTTTTAAAGCTTTATACTAAAAAGGAGGAAGATCCGTCTGACAAAGCTGAGGAAGATGATGGAATTGCCAGGCCAGAATGGTTTATTAATGATCCATGGGAAAAAAAACAATTGTCCTGCTGGCAGCTTCACATGTAATTAACCAGCTTCACAGAGAGCTGGCTGCCTTCTCCAGGCCTGGCATCCGCATACTGCAGAGCTACCTGACACAGCAACACTGGGTTTCTAACAAAATCTCGCTACTGGGAGAGGGGCATCTAAAATAGTGACCTCAACCCACTCGGCGCTCAGGAAACAAGACTGAGATGGCAGTGCTCCTCCGGAGAAGGCTGGCTGTGTGCTCGGGCTGACACAAAGACTGCGACCTCCATGCTGGCAACAACCAGCCCTGGGAACTGCCACTCCCACTGCTCACCATTAACTGCCCACTCAGGTAAGTGGCTGAGCAGGGTTCTCTTCCAGGTAGCCCTCCAAATGCAGCCTCTCTGCCAAAAGTCTACATAGGCAGGAGTTTCTGGGAATTGGCTCACTTTATGCCACAGCAGCAAACTTCAGCACTGATGGGAGTTGAGAGGGCCTGGTGACCACACTGGGTGTGGGGGACAACAGTTGCTTCTGTGTAAGAACCAACAACCTTCAAAATATGGTACATAAAGGAGAAGCAGCAGCTGGGTTAGCCAAGCTTTGGCTTTGTAGTCAGTGCCAACTTCCCTCTTAAGAGTCCTGGGATTCAAAGAACCCTGGTCCTCCCACCAGGTGAGTGAACTAATACATATTTGCCATTCGCAATGCACAGTTTTTAAAATGTGCATGTAAGTGTGTGGCAGCTAACTGTCCTATTTGGGAGGTGGGGGGAGGATACCCCATTACCTTTCCCCAAATGAGAGTCAAGAGACTGTTCCCAGTGAGGCTGGTCAAAACACACATGCACGCACACACACACAAGGATCCACCATTACCTTTTCCAAGTGAAAGTCAAGATACTGTTCCCAGTGAGGCTGAACACACACACACACGCACGCACGCACGCACCCTTCCCATGCTTGTTTCTCTAGGGCAGAAAAAGAAGCTGAGAAGAACTGTCTCCACTCTACATTCCTGGTGGATACAGAACCCTCTAAGAACAAGAACACTTCCTTCACCCACAGCCCTGCTAAGGCCAGACCCTGGGCACCTCACATTCCCCCAGGGTCAGCTGAAGTTACTACTTGAAGGCTCATGAAGGGAATGACAAACCTTTGCACCTTTGGCAAAAGCAGAGCCAGTTCACAGGGGTCATGGACTTTTCACTCAGCACACTCATTTTACATTCTGTGGAAAAAGATAACAAAGGAAGGCTGTGTCCTTTAGAAAAAGGTCGGGGGCTGGGGGTGGGGACTTGAGAAGTGCTGGGGGAGACTGCAGCTCCATCAGCTGATGCCGTATTGCCTCTGCTAGAGAGCCCAGCACAGGTGGGGAGCTCCTCAAATAAAGCAAGCCTCGGAGTTGGAGACCAGGCTCCACAGCAGTTTTCCTGTTCAGTACCTGCAGTCTCCTTCTTCACCCAGCTTTGATTACAGGAGTCAAACACAGTGGTTCTCTCATTCCTATCAAAGCAGGTTGGAAAAAGAAGTAATCCCAACTGTAAATCAGCAACCTAACAGGCATTGGGAGAGGTCACTGGTGGCTTGGTAGGAAATGGATAGCTCATGACAAATGAATTGGTACTGCCTGCCATTTTTTCTTGCCATCACTTGAATCAATAAGGGAAAAGGTGAATTGCTATTGATCTCTTCAACACCTTTCAACGATACTGTACAAATTACAGAAACACAAGGGGGCGGGTGAAAGAATGAAAGAGGAAGGACAGATGAAAGACTGTCTGGGCGGTGTAAGCCTGCATGTATTTCCCTGGAGGCAGTCTTCCAGTCACTGGGTGTTAGGCATGCGTGGGTGCACATGTGAGTGTGGCATGAAGAGCCCTTTCTCACACCTGGAAGGGCTGAAGGGCTGGCTACGGAGGGCCCCTCTGCACCTCACATGCTGGCAATGCTCCAACAGGGCTACTTCGCTTGATACAAGGCTAGATTATTGAGAGGTGCTGTGAATCCCAAGGCCTCATGAATTTTTGAAGTTGTCACACGTTAGTGGTGTTGGGATAGGCTATCTCAACAACTGACTATAATTCTGGACAGGAAAGCAAGAATCAAAAGCTTCAAGGGCAATCTCTAGCTATACCTTACTAACCTCACTCCCTGGCTGACATGCCCAGAAAATATAGACAGACAGCAAATAAGGCAAAGCTATCTTGCTTCGTACTTGAAAATAACAAAGATTACGGCAGCTAGGGCACAGGCCTGTCCTTTTAAACACTCTGGGCAAAAGACATGGCATGAATATCAGAGGCCTGGGTCCAAATGTTAGAGGTCTGGCTGTAAACCTAGGGTGAAACGGATACTGACCACACAGGCAAGATTGCAAACTCTATGTAAATACGGCCTTATGCAGACAACCAGGAAATAAGACACACGGTTATGATGGCTGGGGATAACAACCCATAACACAAAGATGAACATCTGATGTCTGTTTTCATCTTTAGCTCAGGAATAGTGCAACCAGAGCGGCAAAGACTGAAGGAACCCCTAAGTCCTCTGGGACAGATTCTCTTTAGGATATGCTGCTTATCAGAAGCCAAAGTCAGTACTCTACTCATGTCCAGAAAAAGGCAATGCAAAAGATTTCATGGCATAGAGAAAAGGAAATATTGGCCAAAGTTTAGTCCAATGGGGAACATCATGGTCAGATCTCAGGGTCCCAGGCCAACAGTTCTCCTATTCTACCAACTGGGCATAATTATTCAGTTGCTGGTGACAGAAAAAAATGTTCTGACCAGAGGTCCCTCTTCAGGTCACACAGCACTCTTAGTGCATCATCTGGGGTCTGGGTGTCCTTAGAAACCTCCCCACCACACCTGAGTATTCACCTTTTAGCATTCTCTAGGCAAAAGAGGGCTTAGTTCTTCCATTTTGCAGCTGGCAAAACCAAGGCAGGCAGTCACTGACATGTAAAAACAATGAGAGCCCTTCACAACGCTCCTGGCACCCTTGCTTAATCTCCAGAAACTGACTCAGGGTATAACTGTATCATTCAGAAATCAGTTGATATCACAGTTAGCCAGTCTACCCATCTTCCTCCCACAAATACATCAAGGGCCAAAACATAGGGCAAAAAAAAAAAAAAAAGAAAGTAAGTTACAAAGCTGCTGATGTGTTAGAGTGGAAATGCTGAGATTAGGAGGAGGAAGTGGTTAAGTGCACCCTGGGTGTTTGGAAATGGCCACGTCTGCAGCCCTGGAAGCTGATGAAGAAGGAGCTCTAGCCCTCTCTGCCAGGCAGGCCACGAGACCAGCCCCTCACTCCAGAGGTAGGGAGCTTGGCTGTGAAAGGGCATGATGGTAAGATACAGCTATTTAGCAAACACCAGTCCCCTCCCACAAGGCATCTTCAATTCCAAAAGTGACCCTATTCTAAAATTACCAAGTGGCAGGTGGCCAGGCCAAAAATCCATATCCAATCAGTGCTAATGGACTGTTTGTTGCATTTCCTCATATATGGCTGCAGCACTGCTATGAAAACCCTGGGTCGGTGGTTTGAGATTTATTTAACTGGAGAGGTAACGGCACCCCAGCACCGCAAGCATTATAGAGATGTGTGAAGTGAAATGGCACATGCAGGCTGCTGGTGGGGAATGGAGGGACCTGTTGGTCTTATTTGCATGATCTTCCACCTCTAGCTGTACACCCAATGCCAAATCCTTTTCTGGTAACCATTAAAAAGAATTCGACTGCATCAAGAGAAGGGAAAGGGGAGAAGAGGAAGGCATATGTTAAGCTGAAAAGGAAAACAGCACAGTGAAGCAGTTTCCAGTTCCTTCTTTCATTCTCGGTTCAAGAGGTACCTGTTCTTGCTACAGTGACCCAAACGCTTCTTCTTGGAGGCCTTTTCCTATCCTTTTCAGTCTTGTTTAACACCTAGATTTTTCTTTTTCATTTTCATTTTTTTCTTCTTTTTTTTGGAGAGTCTTGGCTCTGTTGCCCAGGCTGGAGTGCAGTGGCACGATTTCGGCTCACTGCAACCTCTGCCACCAATTCTTGGCCTCAGCCTCCTGAGTAGCTGGGACTACAGGGATGTGCCATCACACCAGGCTAACTTTTGTATTTTCATTAGAGACAAGGTTTCGCCATGTTGGCCAGGCTGGTCTTGAAATCCTGGCCTCATGTGATCCCCCTGCCTCGGCCTCCAAAGTGTTGGAATTACAGGTGTGAGCCACTGTGCCCAGCCTGTGTTACCACCTAGTTCTTTCTTTAGTGCTTCTGCTGGCACTGTGCTATCTATCTTCCAACTCTTCAACTTAATGCAGGTCAAGGACAAATCTATGGCAATCCTGGATTGTTGTGGTCATGGTAGGAAAGTATGGAGACACAAAGGAGCACTGCTATTCTGTCAGAGGATAAGGAAGCCTGTACCAGCCAGGATCTAGTTAGTTCATACCCGTATCCCTCATTTTCAAGTTGCTGTGACAATGTCACAGAGGACCTGCATCAACAGAAAAAGCAGAGAGCCCTCACTGTTGGCAGATTAGTCTCCAAATACCCCTATGGCAAGTGGAGAACACTGCAAAGATGGTCAAACCATTATTCCTTAGACATCCATGAGGTATGTGTGGAGTCCTGGTGTCACCCCTCCCTTGGTGATCACCTTATCAGTCCATAGCCAAGTCTAGAAAAGGCATCTTGCATAGGTTAGGACTTGCTGGCATTATCTCCAGACCTTTGGTTTTCCACTGAATGTAATACTGCCTAATGTGTGGGACCATGAGGAATCAGAGACAAAGAGACCTTATGTTATTTTACTTCACAGAATAAAAGACTGGCTGATGTCCTGAGGGTACTTAAATAAATAATCCTTTGCAAACTTAGACCAAGGATGGAAAATAGGTTTCCGTTAAGTGCCAAATCCTCTCAACTGGTAGTAGTAGCGAGGATCCCTGTTTTGAGAAGGATCTGAGCCCTCAGCCAAAGCAGCGCGGTGACTGACTGGCAATGTCTGCCATGGGTGGACAACCCGAATAGGGGTAGCATATGCATATGTGCCATCACTGGCTTAGACAGGCTGGGGGAGTGAAGAGCACTGGGAGGGTTGTTCTTTGTTGATTCTAATCTGAATGCTGCTCACAACACACATACCTAGATCCAGCCTAGAACTCTACTCTGGTTTTGTACATACTGAAGTTCAAGTCCTAAATTTCAGTTAAGCCCTGAGAGAATTTCTTTTATTTTTTTTTGTTTTTGAGATGGAGTTTCGCTCTTGTTGCCAAGACTGGAGTGCAGTGGTGCGATCTTGGCTCACCGCAACCTCCGCCTCCTGGGTTCAAGTGATTCTCCTGCCTCAGCCTCCCAAATAGTTGGGATTACAGGCATGTGCCACCATGCCCAGCTGATTTTGTATTTTTAGTAGAGACGGGGTTTCTCCATGTTGGTCAGGTTGGTCTTGAACTCCCGATCTCAGGTAATCGGCCCACCTTGGCCTCCCAAAGTGCTGGGATTACAGGCGTGAGCCACTGTGCCCGGCTGAGAGAATTTCTATTAATAATAAAAATGATGCTGTAAGCTACCATTCACTGAGTGTTTAATATCTTGGGTTGTGAGGAACAGTTTACACATACACTTAATTTTCACAGTAACCCTAGTGAGAAGGTACCCTCCTTACATAGGTGAGGCAATTAGGTTTAGCAGGATGGCTGCATTGCACAATGCTAGGGATAGCGTTCATATTAAATTCTAATAGGCACTGAGATTGCCCTCGGTTTAGAGAGGCTAAGGGATGTGTGCATGGTCAGACAGCAAATGGTGAAAGTGGAATGAGAACCTAGGTTTGACTTTTCACATGCTAACAGAGTTTCATTAAGAAGGAAAAGATGCCCTTAAATGTCCTAAAGAAGAGACTAAGAATGAGCTATTCCTTTCTCACTATGTGAAACATGTTGTTTTGACCAGGTTAGGGTATCTCTGTTCTTAATTCTCAAGCTTGCTCATAATCTTATTTCATGCACCGCAGCATTTCATAACAGACCATTGGTCACTTTCATTTTCAAAATCCATTTAAGTGCAGCTGACCAGAAACCGTCACGGGTGGAGTAGCAAGTGGAAAGTTCATCAATAAAGCCAGGTTTGGAACACGGAGGTTCTCTTCAAGTCCTTGGCAACAGACACAGGGAGTGGGCATGCTAATGGCAAGAACAGGGCAGGGTAAAGGTCAGCTCATCCACCAGAACAGTTGCCCCTCTGTCCTTGGGCGAGTCACATGTGAAACACCACAACGTTAGTATTACCTGGAGAAAAAATGCCATCTACAGTCTGCTTGTGCTCTGCTGGTGGCTCAGGCAGCCTTGCTATTATACATTAAGAGCTGTGTTCTAAAAAGATATGAGTTGAATTATGTAATTCCATAGGGGATATTCAGACAATGGGCATGGCTTGCAATGTTTAGGACAAACGGAACAGGGAGGCCTGAAGCCTGAAGACACTCCAAACATACCACATTAAAGTTCACTTGCCAGGTGCAATGGCTCATGCCCGTAATCCCAGCACTGTGGGAGGCTGAGGCAGGCAGATCTCTTGAGCCCAGAGTTTGAGACCAGCCTGGGCAACATGGTGAAAGCCTGTCTCTACAGAAAATAACAAAACATTAGCTGGGCATGGGGACACGGGCCTGTAGTCCTACCTACTTGAGAGGCTGAGGTGGGAGGGTCACCTGAGCCTGGGAGGTTGAGGCTACAGTGAGCCATGACTGTGCCACTGCATTCCAGCCTGGGCGACAGAGTGAGACCCTGTCTCAAAAAAAAAAAAAAAAAGAAGCAAAAGCAAAGCAAGCTCACACTCAAGTCTGTATGGGTGTTGGCCAATGCTCTGGGTTCAGAAGTTCTTCTGAAAACAAGTAGTGGGCAGGTCTGTGTGAGGTCATCTTTAGTTTGTCAAGAAATTATCTGCTTGTCTGTAGATACTACCAAATTAGGCTTCCAGAAGGAAGTTAACAGATTTCACAATAGGTATTTCACCTGAAAAATAAAAATTCTGAGCTGCTTTTCTTCAGCCCTTTGTTATTAAAAATATTAGCTTCCACCTTTTTTTTTTTTTTTTTTTTTAGAGAACACTCACCAAAGCTCAAGAAGCAGTGACTATTCAGGATGATTACAGAGGTAAGAGAAACTAGGAATTGTTACTAGGAGCACCTGATATATCAAAATGAAATAAATGGCACCCAGCTCTCCTAGCACAAACCCTACCTCTCAGGGGAGTCCAGCAGTCTCTTCCTCCTGATAACATTTTTCCATTTATTCTAGGTCATAGGCCCTACATAGCTATGAGAGGGAGACCAGGAGACTGAATGTGCCTGGCAATAGCTATCTTCCATAGGAATGGCTCATTAAGAATATCATTTCATGTCAGATGGGTAGACTGTATCGAATACCATGAGTGGCAAGGGTTCTGCTTGGCAAGGCTCTGTTTCAAGGACTTTCATGACCTTATGTGATCCAGTACATGCATTCCCCAATTGCAATCACTGCCCACTATCCTCATCATCCAGCTTCAATTGAGATGAGGCATAAAGTAAGTACTGTGGACCCTTCTAGCAGAAAAAATGCAAGAGGAAATCACATGTGAGGCTTTTATGTCTTTACTCTGGGCTGAGCTGGGTTAGACCTAAAGATGGAGAGGAAAAGTGAGTGCCAGGAGTCTTGGAACTGCTAAGGTTTCTATTGCTTCTACTTGGGGGGAAAAATGAAACTGTCAGGTCTGAGGACTGTATTTCTTCCTTTTTTTTTTTTTTGATAGGAACAACATTAAGAAAAACAAATTGATCTGACAGAGAAAACATAAAACTCTCTTAAGGAAGAGTTTACTATAGTAGGGACACATTCCCTAGGGGAAGGGAAGGGAAGCGTCTGCTGAAAAGGATTTTCTTCCCTGGGCTAGAATTACATCCTTGAGGCCTTCCTACATGTTCCAAGGAGGCCAAATCTCTTGTGGTCCTAAACTATTCCTCATTCCACTCCTAATCCCAACAGCCATCCTGGGATAGGAACACTAGCCTCTGGAGAGCAGTGAGGCCTACCAAACCTACACCAGTCAGCCCATATGACATAATTACAGGTAACAGAATCTTGGCCAAGCCAATGAAAAATTAGGCACAGTACCTATTTCAGAAGAATGGATGCAATTCTATGCTTGACTGGCTATGAAAGTTCTAAGGAGAGGAATAGGGAAACAGTCAAGCTAAGCCAGCAGCTTTGCAGAGAGGAATCCCACTGGAGCCAGCACAGTATTGGCACCTATTAGCACATGCTGCTGAGCTCACTTGGGGAAGGCCACCAGTGACTGGAGACTCAGCTACTTCCAGGCGTTAAAAGCTGATAGAGGAAGCCCAGTAGTCAGGGGAAGAAAGGCAATGGGGCAACGTCCCCCATGGTACATTTCTACCTCCACTTTTCTCCTTGTGATGCCACTTTCATTTAGGGGCTGGAATGGGATTTGAGGGCCCTCTCTTCTCTCTAGGCTTTCTGAAGTACTTCGCAAAGGGCCAGGAGCCCAGAAGTGAAGGGGCTGTAATAGACAGATAACAACCTGGTATTCAGGAACAGCCCGTCTCCAAACAGGAATTTGTTGACCTGAACTTCAAAATTAACTCTTCGCTTATTTAGCAGTCTAATCCACAAAACAGAAACATACCAGAGAGGGAGAGATTTGCAGACTATGTTCAGAGAGTGAAGGGACACGAATGGTTTCTATTTGAACACTAAACATTTTTCAAAACACTCATCATTATCTCATTACCTTTAAATATACTGGCTGGAGAGACAGGGAGACCCAGGCAGGTCAGGGTCCTATAGTAAGTGCACAGTCAGGTTTTGGCTATGGACTTTTTCAATGATAAGCTGATGAATTAGCAGCCATGTGTCCAGTCTTAATACTTCAACAGTTTTCCTCCCACCCTGACAAATGCCAAGCTTGGAGAGCTTTCCTAAAGAACCATAAAGGACAACAAAATAACAGGCCTTCTTCCCATTCTCTAGAATTAGGTCACAAGGAATCAATTAGTTGATTTGACAAATATTTATTTATTGAGTATCTCTTATATACTAGGCACTGGAGTACAAAGACAAAACATGGTTCCTGTCTGTGAGGAGCTTACAAGCTAGTGGGGAGAGACTTGGGTCATAGATCCCTTGTATACTATTGGTAAGTGCACAACAGATACATGCACAGGGTGCTGTGGGAACTGATGGAAGGACATCTCATCTAGCCTGGGAGAGCAAGGGAAGCCTTCCAAGAAAAGGTGGTGCACCTTCCAGAACAGGAGTGAATAGGAAAGCAAGCAAGGGCGATGACTGATGTGCTGGGCCGAAAGTGTAAGTCTACCTGAGAGATGGGAGAAACAAAATGTAATGGTATATATGGTGAACTGCCAGTATAACAGGTCCATTCTGATAAGGCACGAATTACGAAGTGAGTGGGGGTGGTGAGACATAAAGTTGGAGAGGTTATCAAGAATATATGTAAACTGAGATAAGACTTTATCCCAGAGGCAATGGGGAGTTATATTTTTTAAACAAATGCACCTACACAGTCAGATTTGTCTTTTAAGAAACATTAGATATAGGAATATAGACATACATGAGCAAATGGGAAAAGTAAGGCCCACAAAAATCAAACAGCAGATGAAGCAGGAATCAGACAACAGACACAGGAGCTGTGGGAAGAGCAGAGTAAATATTTAGGGGAGGCATGGGCATAGCAAATTCTTCAAATTCCTCTGCAGTCTTGGAAGCATTCAGGATCAGAATCCATGCCCTATAGAAGACTGACTCTTAGTCAATGTGGGACCTTCAGGGAAGTCCTCTACTATTCCTTTAACTAGTTCCAGATATTCTATGGTTGAAAAATGGTAAAATATGGCTAAAAGAATTATTGCCTTCTAAAAGCAAAACTGGCATGATTTGAGGAGAAAAAGCATTTGATTTGGAATGCAGATATTTGAGTTTTAGTATATGTCTTACCATTAGCTCTGTGAACAGAGGCAAGTTACTGTGCATTTTGGTGTCCTGAACTGTAAGACAGGGTTAATATTTTTCTTATAGGTTTGCTGTGAGATTAAAATGAAACATTATGCATGAAAACACTTTTAAAATGAGAAAATGCTATATAAAATTAAGGTTTGATCGCTATTAAGACAGGAGTTTTTCTTACCTGAGACTTCTTCAAAGAATATGGCCCTTAACTAAGAATAAACTGCTTGAAATTAAAGACCACTGGTGGGTGATGAACTGTCAAGCATGTGTGGGGAGGTGATAAAGGCCTTAGCCCCCAAACAGCCTTTAAAAGCTTGTGGGATGAGAGAGCTATTTAGAAAGCTGACCATAACATGTTCCCTTTTTCCTGGGCAGTGGCTGAGATAATCTAGAATAAGGGGGCTTTGTGAAAATAAATGAAACATTGCCGG
Source organism: Homo sapiens (assembly GCF_000001405.40). Taxonomy (NCBI): domain Eukaryota; kingdom Metazoa; phylum Chordata; class Mammalia; order Primates; family Hominidae; genus Homo; species Homo sapiens. The sequence continues at coordinate 127,996,721 of NC_000007.14, read as the reverse complement.
ACAGCCTGCTTGCTTTTCCAGCAGGTAATTATTTGTGGCTCGGAGAGGGTTCCCAAGCGACATGGCCGTCAGGGAGAGTCAGGAGAGTAGGTTGCACTGGATTCACCCTCACTGGGCGTCCATTACTTTCTTGGAATTTCCTGTGGCTTGAACTGTCCTCATTCCTTTGATCCAGAGATATAACTTTGCTAGTGTTCCCTCTCTTGTGGGTCTCCTCAACAGGGAAGGAGCCTGCGCAGAGAGATGGAATGGGAAGGGCTAAGAGAGCATACACCACAGCGCTTGTGGGGTGATGTAGGGAAAGGACCGAGGGCACAAGAAGGACAGAGATTGAGATAAACTTGAAACTGCTTAGAGCAGTTTATCTATTTCAGACACGATACAGCACACTTGGAGCTACGATGAAAGAAATGAAATCACTTTTTCTTGTATTCTAAGTTTTATTTCCCAGACATACACCCCTTCATAAATACACACCAATATTCATGGCTGAGGCCACATTCCCCTGAAACGTAAATACTTTTTTTTCCCCAATGGCAACAGTTGCTTATAATGTTTTTCTGTACCTTTTTTTTTTTTTTAAAGCAGGGAGTAAGGGAGAGAGAGGAAACCCAGGACTCTGCCCTGGCCACTGCAGCCTGCAGAATGAGCTCCCCGGGGGCATCCTCCCTTTTAATGCCAGCAGGGAGAAGGGAAATAGGTCAAGGCAGCAGCCTGAGTTTTCAGCTGGGGCTGTCCAGCATGAGGACATCATTTTTCAGGCAGCAGCAAAGAGCAATTCTAATGTGTCAGAAAGGACAAAGGGGTCATCGAAAAAGGCCTTAGAAATGATCACCAAACCCACATACATTGCCCCTGTCCTCAGAAACTGTACCTCCTACAGCCTGGAACTGTGAAGACAGTTAAACTATGACACTGATCTCTTTAAATAATACCTTATGGCCCTTTAAGACTTCGGGTTTCTCCAACACAGCAGTGAAAACACTGCTGTGCAGGCAGCAACTGGTCAGTGAGTATGTGCTGGCTAGCTGCCTTCTGGAAGAAAGTGAGAAGAGACATGAAATCACTGTTTTATTCAGAACAAGGGCCGCAAAAAGGAAAGGGTGGCTTGGGATTGCTAGATCAGTGTTTTAGACAGGAATGCCAAGGCAGAAAAGAATCACATATCCAGGACCACATAAAAACTGGAGTGTGAAAACCTAGGAGTTTACACTTTTAAGCCAGTTATTTACCCATTAGCTAATGCTATCTCTCACTACTTCTGGGGGATGCTAGTAATAGGCACAACTCCCCATCTGGGAAATCACACCAGATCTTCCTGTCCTTGACTGTGTGGCAGGGAACTGCCTTAAAGAGTCAGCTGTATGTGGGTCAGGGGTCACCAAGTACATGCTATCCAATGGGACATGGCACTCAGCTCATAGTCACAGCTACAGCCAACAGATACAATAATCTCATGCAGTCCAGCCTCAACGGCAGGGGACAGGAGAGCCAACTTAAATTTTCAGGGCTATTACAAGCCATTTAAACCCAATTCAGCATACCATATGCAGCAGTAGTCAGCAAACTTTTTGGTAAAGGAACAGATCGTAAATAGTTTAGGCTTTGCAAGCCATATAGCCTCTGTCGTAACTACACAACTCGGCTGTTATAGTATGAAAGCAGTTATAGACAATACATGAAAGAATTAGCATGGCCAGGCCAGGCGCGGTTGGCTCATGCCTGTAATCCCAGCACTTTGGGAGGCTGAGGTAGGCAGATCACAAGGTCAGGAGTTCGAGACCAGCCTGGCCAATATGGTGAAACCCCGTCTCTACTAAAAATACAAAAACAAAAAAAAAAATTAGCCGAGCATGGTGGTGCAGGCCTGTAATCCCAGCTACTTGGGAGGCTGAGGCAGGAGAATTGCTTGAACCCAGAAGGCAGAGGTTGCAGTGAGCTGAGATCGCGCCACTGCACTCCAGCCTGGGCGACAGAGCGAGACTCCGTTTCAAACAATCAAACAACAAGAAAAAACAGAGTTAGCATGGCTGTGTTTCAATGAAACTTTATTGTAAAAACTGGCAGTGGCACAGATTTGCCCACCTGTCCTAAATACCAGCGGAGTCAGGCTAGAAAGAAAGACTGAATTTACTGTTTTTTTTTTTTTTTTTTTTTTTTTTTTTTTTTTTTGAGTAAAAGTGATCGTCATTTGAGAGTTATTTGGCTGCTTTGGGCTTCAAGGCTGGAGAAGCAGGTAATGGCACAGTATCTCACTCACTGTTCTTCCTGCCCTGGGGTTGGCAGCACCACCAGAATGCCCAGACCACTGAGTTGGAATTGTCTTCCCAGATTTCCAACTCAGGTAAAAGAACAAAAGCCAACAGGAACCAATGGCTAAGGAGGAGCAACATGTAAAACAGTGGTGTAAAAGAAGAAATGCAACGTAAGAGGGCAGGAGAGAAGTCAAGATAATGGAGCCGAGTGGTGGCCAGAAATGTGAGTAGCTCTGTGCTGACTAGCGTCAGTGTAAAACAAATTTAAGGAAAGCAGCATTATGAGGTCTCAAGATAATGGGAGCCACCTGAAAACGGAGATAAAAGACTTGTCTAAAGCTTGAGGGCTCCACATGAAGATATGAGATGGAAAGACTATAATTCAGGCAGGAACTCCTGCACGGCCCACCAAAAGCCAGGACAATGCACTTACAAACATGGTGTCATTTTACCAGTGCCAGACACCCTGCATGCCAGCTTCCTGTTCTCTGCCTGGCAGAAGGCTGGCCTAGAGGCAGTCACCGTTACACAGCCCCTCTCCCCTCAGTATCTTCCTCAGGTTAGTTTATGGTTTCACATAGGGAAGTCCAACTTGATGACCAGGCCTCTGTCGGATCACACAGGGGCCCAGGAAGTACTCTGAAATCGTACAATCTGTGGGCTTCATCTTTCCTAGGATAATGCAGATTTATGGTAACCGAGGAAGGCATGCAGGGGATAGAGAAATTCTGGCCAAAGAAAAGACATGAAAAAAATTTAAAACTTTAAAGGGAAGGGATGGGGCAGGGCCAAGGACAATCACGTCTTCAAAATACCTGGTTATCTGAGCTAAAACTCATGATCAAGGGAACAGGTAAAAGGCACAAAAAACCAGTTCAACTGCGGCCATCCCAGCGGTGGCTCAGCTCCAGGAGAGTTCCTGCACTGTCGTGCACTGTGGGCAAGATAGAGGCTGCCTGGAAGGTAAGAGCTGCATGAGGTGGGAGGTCGTGGGCCCACATTCAGGCATCCATGCATTGCTCAGGACTTCTGCTGAGGGCGGGAAGGACCTCTGCATCCAGGAGTACCAATGTACTGGGACTTTCCTCTTCTGCTAGATCTTTGTGGGGTTGGGGGAGTAGGACAAAGAGAAGCATTCCCCAAGACAACTTATGAAATAAAAATGGAGGTACTACATAGGTAAAAGTAAATGAATAAGCCTGTAACAAAACACAAACCTCTCCATTCCTACACTGTTCAGAAAACAGTTTTCATATATAATATAAAGGAAATGTTCAGGACAGTAGGGTATTACTGGATCTTTTAGTCAGATTTTTGAATTATTCATAGTTTAGGACATACTCACATTTTCTCAGTGTAAAGAACTTTCAAAACAGCCAACCCAAGTAATCATATAAGTAGCTAAGAAAATGCAGAAAGGTTCTTATTGAGATCCTCAACCTAGGGATATGAAAGATGGGGCCACTATAATCAAGAAAGATCAACTCTGGGTTAGACTAAGAATCTGCAAACTCAATTACATACCAAGAGCACCAAAGAGTTTCCCCAAAGAAAACTGGGGAAAATTTTAATCTTTTTCAACAGTCAGGTATTAGCAAATATAAGACAAAGGTAAGGTCGCAATAACCATGGGAGAGTAAAAGAGTTTTGGGCCACTCACTCCTTTTAGTGATCAGTATTCTCTTTGATCCCCTTGTACTTTTGGATCTCATCAGTGGGCCAGAAACATGATCAGGAAGAAAGGTGGTTGGGAAAAAGACAGTTGAAAAAGAATGGGAAAGAAACTTTAGGAGATGTGAAACAGTAGGAAGACAATGATGGTGAGAAATTTGACTTAGACAGTAAATGATGAGAATGCCATCAACCGATGTCTTGGGCAATCTAATGAAGGGATTTCCTTCCTCCATCCAAAGCACAACAAACAAAAGTCTGTTGCTGCATCCTTCACAATGTCTTTAAGTTATGAATTTGAACAGACTCACCTGCTTTTACCAACATAGTTACTTTGCAGTTCATTATCCAAAATTAGAGGGAAATTCTACAATATCTGCCCCATCCACTTAATCCCTGGCCCACTTCAAAAACTGCAACAGGCACTTATAGACAACTGGAGTGTTTGGATTTTTGAAATACTTCTCTTGCACGGGGTTATTTTTAATTGATAAAAATTCAGGCAGCATTGTGTAACTACAAAACGGGAGAGGGGGAAGCACCTTCCATGTCAATATAAGGATTTTTACTTTGCATGCATCTTCACAAAAAATAAAATGGAGGGCAATGTGAATCTGATGATACAATTAAGCCCCCCAATCCCCCAATCATTGTACAGATAGCCAACAAAGCAGATGTGATACCCAGATTGTTGTAGCTGATGTTTGGGAAATGGAACTGAGAATTCAGGATTTGTTAGGCCACTCCACTTTCTTCTACAAAATAAGAAGGCAAGCAGTAAAGAATCAAAGAGGTGGCAACCAACACTTCTCTCAAGGCCAGGATAGTCCAACATAAGCATCTCGGAGTGGCGTGTTCTCTTGTTCTCTCACGCCTCATGTATTTCTTAGCAATTCAAATCAGCTTGAGAGGCTGAAGCTTACAAACAGGTATTTTTATCACTGAGCATCCTAAAGAAGTCCACGCATCTGCTCTCAAAGATCTACGAAGACTCATTAGAGAGACAGCCTCTAGGACCCTATAATCTTGTACCTCTGTGAGTATTATGAAAGCTGGAGGGACCCTATAGATGACTGTAAAAGAAATGGGGACAATGGCAGATTCAAAAATCCTAAGGCTGAGCCAAGCACACCTCCCTGCTGCTCCTTTCTTGTGCCCACCTAGCAGGACAAATGGCTGGCATACTCCTGGAAAGAAGATGGATCTGTTGATGAAGGCTTGAGCAAAATTAGCAGGTAGAAGGGCACCACAGCAGCTGAGATCCTAACTCCTGCATGCAAGAGCCAGCCCAACAGGCAGAAACAGAAATACAATTAAATTAAGTCAGAAAACCCGCTACAGAAAATACAATTACTCAAAGATACAAATAAATGTTCAAAGAAAATTGGCCCCTGACAGGGTTAGTCAAGCTTCTAAATCCAGCTGGAGACAGGCAACTCAGGCTAATACACCAAGGAGGAAGAATGCAAAGATGTAAGCTCTCTGCATCAGGAGTCTGGCTGGGCTGGCCTGGTGTCCACCACACATCCCAGGCCACCAGTGGAGGGGAGCAATTTGGGGGTGGCTGGCCAATGAAGCAGCGCTCAGGGAAATAAGATGTGGGCAGACACAAGAATGGATTATGGATGTGCAAGGCTGAGCAGTGGAAAAAACAACAGACTGATCTCTGACATGGCAGACCAAGGGAGCCTTATTTTGTCACCCCTCCTCACAGAAGAAGCAACAGGAAGATGTCCTACCTCTCGCTGCAGCACCAGTTCCTTGGTGAAAAGTGTAGCTTCCTCGCTGAAGGGCTCTCCTTCCTGCACCAAGCCTGGGAGGTTTCGGGCTCCTCTGGGGCATTCAATGCCTGTGTCAGGAGAAAAGTAGAATCTGTGATGAAAAGGTGCCCACTAGGCTTGCTGTCCAATAAGGACGGTCCCCTGACACCTCCAGTGAAGCAGGCGTTACATCTAACTTCCATCCATTCTATCTGAGACGAAGACAGAGGTAATGGGAGAAGTGGAGGAGGGGTTTAGTTCTCTCCAGGTGGAAAAAACCAACACTATCACAGCAGCACCAATGGATAGGAGCTCTCAGCCACAGCATCTGGGAATTATCAAGAGCACATGGCGAAAGGAGCCTTCCAAGTAAGATGAGCAGGAACTCCTCATCCTGCACTGCTCCAACTGACGGTCCCATAGTCTCGCAGCTTGAGCCATCTCTTACAGAAATGGCTCCCTCACCTACTGATATCCCAGCCATTCTGCCTCCTAAGTGCCATTCTCACTGACTCCTGGACATTTTCTCCTTGCTGTCTGACTTTTACACCAAATTCAAAAGTGTTAATTCAGTGTCACTTTTCTCTTCAAATAAGCCTCCCCTCTCAACTCTGGGTGTATTCTGGACAATAGTATCATCGGCTTTTCATTCAGAATGAGAGACAGAAAAAAAAGCAAAACACCTCAGAATACTGATGAAATATTAGGTGCCTGGAGCCAAAGAAACCCAGTTTCACATCCCAGCTCTATCACTTATTAGCTGTGTGACCTTAGCCAAATTACTCAGAAAGTCTCAGTTTTCCTACTTATAAAACAGATATTATAATATATCCGCTTCTTAAGGTTGCTGTGTGAACTAGGAGAGATTATTTAGAACGATGCCTGCCACATGGAGACGTTTACTATATCCTATTATTAATATTATCTGTATCATCATTATCACTCTTAGCAATTCCCATGCTCAAAACCTCAAAATCCTCTTTGACCCCCACAACCAACCTGTCCCTGAAGACAGAATCCTATCCTTCATACTCTTTTTTTGTATCCAACCACAGGATTCTGTACAAAGTGCTCACTAACCAAGTGAGACTGCCTTTTCTTTCTTTGAGTCAACCCGTTAGTTTTGCAAGTATATTTACCACTAACAGTGGTCATCTGTGACAGACCATGAAATATGCTACATTTTGATATCTGAGACTTACAAATATTTCAAAAAAATTCACACTGTAGCTATAATTATGACGCTATATAATTACAGACATAATTCCACAAAAAGTGGAACTGGGCTAGAGACATAGGAAACGAAAATGATGAAGATCTGGGGGAGGATGCATGGAGTATGTGTGTCTCTGAATCACTGGTGGTCTCTCCTGCTGCAGTAAGGCAGAACTAAGAGGTGCTACCTTTTATTTACGAACAGCCTCAAGGGAACGTACAAGAGATCTGGCATAGGAGCAGCAGAAGCAGGGTGTCTCGGTGATGGCAAACACCTGCTTGGTGGAGACAAGGTCCCACTGTTGCTAGGATAGAAGGTACATCTCTGTGTATGAATAAAGCTAGGTGCTGCTCATGTTTCTGGCCAGGGCATTGATTCAAGGTGACAAAGCTCAGAAAAAAGGGAATAGGCTATATATTGGGCTTTCAGAAGATAAAGAACGGAGCTTTCTCTCTGAGCCCCAAGGCCTTACAAATGGAATACACCACATCAAATAAAATGCTAGGCCAGGAGAAAGACTGCCACAGGACAGCAGCTTGAGGTGACAGCAAGGACCATTCTGCCACCCTTGAAAAGATGGGACAGATGAAGGCCCCACCCAAGTGTCACATGGCAAAGAAGATCACCAGGGCTGCCTCATTCCTGGCACTTCAGTGCCGGCCTGCAAGGGAGGGGTGGAACGTATTTTTGTAAAAGACAGCAATAAACTCATGAGCCAAGGAGCCTGAGATTAACCCTACAGGGAGAGATGAGGCTAGAGAAAAATGGAATGAAAGATGGCCCATGTTTTTTACATCAATAGCCAAAAACACTTTTCTTTTTATATCTGCAAACTAAGCAAGAACAAAATCATCAGAGAGAAAAATAAACAATTCCATTGAACAATCTTGCCACATAACCACAGAAAAAGCATTGTTGCAGAAACAGGCATAATGCTAAAACAAGTGTTCAGTTTGTTTCTGACTCTTAGCAGCCATTTGGGCAGGACAGGACTGGGGTGCTGTTGGGTGGGGCTGCTATGAACTGGGGACTAGAACTGGGATGTAGCTAGGGTACTGCACTGGGCAGCAGGAACTAAGGGGTTGAATTTTCACTATGAGGGCATAAAAGATTTCCGAGCTTCACTTACTGAGTACCACTCTACTCCTTTGTCACTCTCTTGGTATTCTGAAATCTCACCAGGTTGGTGAAGCTTCAGAGATTGCAGTTGCTCCCCTGAATCCTGGAGACCACCAAGTGATTAAATTGAGAAAACATGATGGCTCAGTGGGCCAGGGTGTTAAACAAATCAAGCAGAAATATATTCAAAACATTTTTCATGAGATAGTCCTCTGGGCCTGTGAAAACCAAATCCCAGTCACTCCATGTAGACACAAAGGCAAAGAAGGGCCTTTGTTACGTTGCTAGTCCACTTCCCAGCAGTTAAGCCCTAGCACGACAAGAGTAGGAAGCCGAAGTAGGGTGCTTCTGTGCCCTTTTTCAAGTGGAAATAAGTAAACATCCATTCACATCCATTCCCATCAGGCAGAGGCAGAATCTATTCCCAGACTAAGGTACAAAGTCAGGGCCAGGAGAGCAGGACAGGCTTTATGATATCTGAATGTCTGAGTATTAGAAATTTGCCGAGCCGAGCTACATCTACAGATAGAAGATACTGTAGATGGGCGTTTTTCAAACTTTTTATTCTTACTGTGACCAACATACACACTTACATATGGGTACAAACACCTGTAGACAACCAATGGAAGTAAGAAGCCTTCAATAGATTCCAGAGTCTCAAAACAGTCACATCAGGCAGATTCTGCCAGTGCAATTATTTAGGCAGGAAGACCATTTCCTGAGGTTTCCTTCTCTGCCATCTTGATATTACCTTTTGCAGAGCAGTATTTATGTATTCATTTATTTATTTGGGGGGTTATTTTTATTGGAGGCCAGCTTAGCAATTATTACGTTTCCACAAAACAATGGTTAATCTTGACTATATATGTTAGTTATATATGTCAGTATATGTTATACTGACAGTCTCTCTTCTGTTCACCATTTCATTAAGGAAAAAAACAAAACGGCTATGACACTGAATTGATTTAAAACCTCTAGTGGGACAAATACCCAGTTTGAAAAACACTGGTATTGACTGAGGTGTAAAGACAGAAGGATGGAAGGACGGGGCAGGTCCTGATGGCTTTCTTGCAGAGTTAAAAAAGTGCTCCAACTGAGGGTTTATCCAGTTTCTAGACTTGCTTTTGTGTACTAAGGGACCAAGGAACAGAGCAAAAAATATGCTGTCCACTGGTAGAGAGGAGACCACACAAATGGTAACATTCTGAGCCAAAAAGTCAGTTGTCGTTGCTGCTGAAAGCCAGATGAAGCCACATGCTGGCAGCGAGCAGAGTTATTATGCTGTGCCCTCCTCTCCCAAGAGCTCAGGGAGCAAGTCAACCTAATCCATGCTGCACCTTTCCTCAAGCAATGCCTGCACTGCTGGGCTGGTGATGCAATAAAATGGACGTTAAAAATAAAAGTTAAAGAAAACAGATGAAGGGAAAGAAAGTTGGGTTCTAAGAAAGCAAACCCAAGGCTGCTGATGCTCAGCTGGGCAGGCTGACAGGCAGCAATGGAGCGCTCCCAAGCCACACAGGGCCTCAGACTGTAAATATGAAGTGAGATATCACTGGAGCTGCAGAAGTTCTCCCCAGCCAGTTGAGAAAGTGCCTGGCTGGATCCTGCATGTTACCACCAATAGCTGTCTTTTCTGATAACATACCAGTGCAGTGCTGCCTGCTGATAAAGATATATTAACTCAGCTGTGCCTCAAATGCCACAGGTGCAAGAGAAGTGCCAAGCTTACCTCTGACACAAGCCTTTAAGAAACAAACTATTTTGTTTTAATAAACACAAAAGAAGACAAAACACTACACTTAAAAAAAAATCCCAAAAATTCCTGAGCATTTTCCTTCTCTATCATGGGGTGTGCCAGAACAAAGACAGATCCCCCATGGGGGGACTCAGCTGACTTCCACAAGGGCAGGCACAGGAGAGGCAGGTAAGACAAATGCCTGCCCCACCTCCTGCTCCATGTGGCTGCTGCTCCTGACCTCTTTCAAACTCTACAGGTCCATCTGCCTATAAGCAAAAACTCATTATTTTTCATACCTTTTCTAGACTTTCTGGGATATGAATGGTTGGCCATGGCTATTTGAAACAAAACAAAACAAAACAAAACAAAAGGAAATAAAATCAAGTAAAAAGAGGTTTCTGCCTGACTCTGTATAGTTTAGGAAGAGAAAATTCATTGCTAGCCATCAGCACATCATGATTCTGGGTTCTGCTCTGCCACTGATAGAATATTAAACTTATCCAGGCCTCATCTGTCTATAAAATGAAGGATATGCAAGGCCTTCTCTGGACACAAAATCTTACCATTTTGGTTATACCCTTTTGAGATTCCTCACCCAAGCCTTGACTCATGGAGTATAAATATCCAACAAAATGCTGGGCTATGGAGCAATCATTCTATTAAAAAAATTATACATTTAGAGACATTGACTAACTAGGTCAATTAACACAAATACTCTGGTCAGTCAGCTTTGGAACAAGAAGTACACATTCTTGTTAATGACAAGACAATGGGCTCTGTAAGAGATTCTATTGATGGCTATGTGAAACTTATGTATCGCTCTGAGTATTTTACACTCTTTTTCGAGTTTTATGATAACTAAGTCTCAGGACTCAGAATGTGTTCACTTTTTCCTTTATTGGGCAGTGGGAGCTAAGGGAAGTGTGACAAATTGGCCTTAGCTGGAAGTATGTGACAGCTTCCCAGTGGCACTTATTCCACCACTAAGAGACCAGGCATTAGCTGAAGGAGACAAAACTCAAGTGGAAACAAAAAACAGTTTGAAGGATTAGTCAACGGTGTCTACTGCATGCCCGCTGTGTTCTCACTACTGCATCAGACATCACAGTGGCACAGGAGGCATGCAGAACCTGCCTTCTGTCCACGGGGTACACTGAAAAATCCACCAGCTCATCTAGCAGACCTCTACTCTCCATTGAACTAATGCTTGTCAATGTCTACTCTGGGCCAGGAAGATGAGGATTGTTGTGGAAGATGAGGATTCAATGATGAAAACACTTTGTGCTCATGAAGTTAGTTACCAGCTAGGAAAGATTATTTTACTCTACTATTGTAAAAGGTATGTTATTGGTGACTGGATTTGCCATTTGGCCTATATGTTGCATAATGTTAAGAAATAGTACATGGCCGGGCACAGTGGCTGAAGCCTGTAATCCCAGCACTCTGGGAGGCCAAGGCAGGCGGATCACTTGAGGTCAGGAGTTTGAGACCAGCCTGGCCAAGATGGTGAAACCCCGCCTCTACTAAAAATACAAAAATTGGCAGGGTGTGGTGGTGTGCGCCTGTAGGGCCAGCTACTCAGGAGGCTGAGGCAGGAGAACCACTTGAATTCCAGAAGTGGAGGTTGCAGTGAGCTGAGATTGTACCACTGCACTCTAGCCCGGGCTAGAAGTGCATGTATGGCTAGGAAGCTATTGGCAGAATGTAGTGGACAACTCAATCACGGGGCTTAACAGGACACATCCCTCACTAAGGAGACAGCCTCGGGCAGCTATGCTTTTTAGCACATGACCTCTGTTCTCTCCGCACACCACAAGCTGGGAATGGGAAGTCAGTGCAGAAGGTGGGGAATGGCAGAGAGGGAGGGAGTGGTGCTGTAGCAGCTTCAAGGGTAGCAAATGTGCAGTCAGGCCAGCAATAGGAAAAACAGCTCTATTCAAATAGAAATGGCAGATGCCAGGTGAACCAATAAGAGTCTCCTTCTGGAATTTGAACTGAGCAGTGTTTAAAACACAATCCCCGCAGGAGCCAGAGGAAGGAGGCAATAAGCAGAGGGGACGAACTGACATTAACACTGGAGATCTACAGTGAGGTCCCTGGAGCAGTCTCAGACTCAGAATCACCTCAGGTTCCAGGATCTGTGACACCTGACCCTACCTAGGCTCCTATTAGATTTTCATGGATATTCCTCTGCTCTCTCCCCTCACTGACACTGTAAGCCAATCTGTGAGGATCTGGTACTTTCAACCAAACTAAAACTAAAACTATAACAAAAACAGTGCATCTTAGGGCAGGCACTGTGTCATATTCAGATTTTAATCTTTCCAGCACTTAACATACTATGTAGCACACAGTGGCATTGGAGACGCTCAATAAATGTTGAATGAATATTAGTGAAAAATAGTTCTGAAAAACGTAAACACACAGAGAAAGAGATGGTTGATGAACTGTCAGGGCGCAGAGCTGAGATGAGGTTTAGTCTGACACACCTGGAGAACAGAGGTGTTTTATGCAAATACCAGGAAAGGGGCCAACAGAATCCATAACTACATACATCCCACTTTCCCATGGTTATATAACACTTCAAGGATTAAACAAAGTATAGCATAGCTACACCCTTTTACCCCACTGGTCTTTAAATTGGCACATTTAGAGAACGTGGTTTAACTACAGAGTTGAAGTGGTCAACACTGACCAGCTATGTCAGAGAGACCTGAGGCTGGAGCATAGCAGAAATGTTTAGCTTCTGACATGCCAAAGGAGGAAAACAATTCTCACTCATGACCTATGTTCAATTCTAGGAAAGTTATGTGGCCACATGGAAATGCAGAAAACTGGAGCACACTTAAAGAGAGCAGGGGAAAATGACTCAGGGGCGTGGAGACCTGCCTTTAAAGGGAAGATAAAAGGTGCTAAATTTGTACAGCTCAGCTAAGCGGTGACTAAGAGGGTGACAGGATAACAATCTGCAAATATTTGAAAGGTGTAAACACAAGAAAGGAGGGAGAATGCCTAGCCTGAAAACAGGGGGTGTAATTATTAGGGGAAATAAAATCTGGACGCCATATCGGAAAAACTTAGTGTGGGGATGACTACTGGGATATAAATAAGTTTCCCAATGGAAGGGAAAATGTTATTCAGTCTTAAAGCTGAAAGATGGTCACTAAGTCCACTCCTCTGCTTACAGTGAGGAGCCCAGGCCAGTGAATTGTGATTTCATTTTATATATTTAGGCAAATTAATAATATTCAATATTATTGAATATTGAATATTCAATACCTCTGCTTTAAATAATGCTCCCTGAAATTTCAACACAATTTTTGTTGATCAAACGATGGGGGAGACAAAATGGCAGTTTTGATGGAACTTTCACAACAAAACAGGGTTTATCTCCCTAGCCACATACCTAGCTAGCAGATAAAGGGGTGCTCAGTGCAGATGTAGGGGGTGGACAGTGGGGAGAGGAACAGGAGGCAAGAGTATCTCATCTAGTTTTCATCTTCCTTTCTAGTCTTTAAGACCCCAGGCAGGAATGCTGTAAAAGTTTTCCAGATAGGAAACTATGGACACCTCTCCTTTCTATAGACTGCACTTGGTCCCCTGGAGTCATTGTCAAGGACAAGACACAGAACACCAAAACAAGCTTCCTGTCCCACTGACTGCACTCCCATACCTCTGCCTGAGTACCTGCTGCTGCAGCTACTCGATTTATAATCCACAGGCTCCCAGCAGTTTTTTACCCCTAGACTCAATTAGTTCCATTTCTATACTTTCCCATACCACCCTTCTTCCCACCAAAAAACAAAACAAAATTGTAAAAAGCCCCACTACACATAGACTGTAAGATACTTAAACTCCGTATAAAGGCTGAGAAAAGCAACACTTTTAAGTTTGTCCAGGCCGATTTCAAAAATTCTTCAGCGCCAACAATATATAGACAGGTATTCCCTCCTTAAGTATCAAGAACAAAATCAAGAACTTTTAACCATCAACATGAAAGGTAGAGTCAGACAGACCATCTGCCTAATTTTAAGGAATGTAGTTATCACTTAAATAACATACAAAGCCAAATCAGTTCATGCCATTGCTTCTCAGACCTGTAATAGCTCATACACCAAAAACTTGTACTTCTTGCTCATAAGCTTTAAAGTAGAAAGAATTTGGATGGCTCAGGTTGCAAACGATGTCAATGAATCAGTTCACTATTGAAAACTGCACACCATCTCACTTAGGGCGTATATTTCCACATTCCTAAAATGGCCCAAAGAAAAAGGGAAATGGCAGACCAGTTGGTTCCCAAGAGTTCGTTCTTCATGATATGAGGCTACAGTTTGTACTAAAAGGTTTAGAAGTAAAACAAAGATTTTGCATTCTCTCAAATTCTTTATTCTCTCCCTTGTTCTCTAAACTCCTACTTTGTTACCTCAGGGGAGGTAGGATCTTGTGGACCAATTTTGGAACATGTCACTGCTAAAGCTCTTTCAATGATCAGAATAAAGGGATAAAAGAAGAATGAAGGGATCCTAATTAAAGGGATCAAATACCTAATTGTAGTCAGGGGAGTCAGAACTGGGCAGAAGCTGAGACTGAAGCTGTTTTTAGTCACAGCTCCAATTTTTTAGGATAGACTTTTATTAGGTTGTTCGGATTTTGTAATGTTTGATGCATTTGTTGAAAGACCAGGCACTGAAGTTAATTTGGAATTGGAACAAGAAAACCAAGTCTTCACAATGCAATGGAAACTGCAGCTCTCTTTGAAGAAAGGAAGGGGAAGAGAAGAGAAGCATCTACAGACAGGAAGTGCGGTGCTTGGCTGTTAAACATGCCTTAAGTTTCTGATACAAGTCATAATAGTTGTTCGCCTGTTAATGGTAGATCCCTCTTCTACAGTCATTTGAGGTAAGGGATATGCCACTTCTCTCTACATCCCCGGTATCTGGCAAACAGAAGATGCTCAATAATTCAGTTTGCTACATGAATGCCAGAGAGGAGAAAATCTAGCAATAACAGATACACCAAACCTGTTACAACAACCTGCTTTTCCAAGAGTTCTGGATGCATATGAGTTAACCTGTGGAGTATTGATGAGGAATTCTAGTACTACTTATTCTCAGGACTTAAAGGTGAGTGTGTGGTTAAATGCTCAATCATTGACCACAGCCAGTGGAAGAGGCAAGGAAGGGATGACTTAGAGGCCTTATACTGAATATCTTGCTCTCAGTCTAGCCAGGCAATGTACAAAACCAGCTTCACTGAATTTGATTTATTGTTAGCTTTAGACACCACACAATCTCTCCCAAATGGGAAAAAAGCATTTTTAGATGGAGCTGGTACAGAAGATAACAATCAGGCCAGCATGGGAATAACCTTTTATAATTCTCCCCATTGCAAAGCAAGATCTGAAAACAATGATTTTTAAGGGGAGAAAAAAAAAACCCTCTCACTGATTAACGAGGCCTTTCCCTTTCTGTGGCATCCCAAGAGCAGGCTGTAACCCACCTCACCAGGCTGTCTCTGGAGGTGTGTTTGGGAAGGGGACTGGAGATCGCAGGCTGTCCGCTTCCCAATGCCCATGTTCATTTTTGGGGATTGCTATAAGCAGCAGCTGCAATAATGTCACCATCAGCTACTAGCAGAAAGAACAACTGGGCATGGGAGAGACCTGTGCCTTTCAAAAATTTTTTTTTTTTCCTGGGTTTCTCTTTATTATCCATACCAAAACAACAACCTCATACCTTCATTAACAAATTCACAGAAAACAAAGTATCTGAGGTCAAAAGCTAGAGCTGCAGTGTTCTGAATGACAAGAAAGCTCCTACATGGCTCAAGCTTTTATGTAACACAGTGGCACTGTGCAGACAGCATCTAACAGGCACAAATGCTACGTCTGAGCAAGGAGGAGGAGTTGGTTTCTATGAGAACCTCAACTTTTATTTCTTCTGACTTATTTTAAAGCAATAGGACTTTATCTTTAAATCAAATAAAACATATTTTCCTCCCTTTTGATTTTTGGCACCAAAGGTTCCTATTCTTGGTCTTTTTTATTCCATGTTAATTGATAAAGAGAAAAATTTGAATCTACTGTCCAGGTTGCTAGAGATTTGCTACAAGGTGAAGAGAAAGCCACAGGAAATACCCCTATGGATCTTGCAAGTCTCCACTTCCATGAGGTATTCTGGCACACACCTGGCAGCCAAATGTAAAAGCTACTTACTTGCATAAATTTAGAGTGACTTTTTCTAGACCAAGCTGTTTTATTTGAACAAAATGGTTCTGAGATGTGTGGAGTGTACTTCTAAACTATTGCCTTTTTTGAGCTTTCACTCAAATAAAATTGCTCTGAGCTCCTCCTCCTGAGGCAAGTGAATTCCAAATGTCTAGAGATTAGTATACTTAGCCTACAGTAGGATGAGGAGGAAAAACCAGCTAGTGTCAGGAATATTAAGACTTAAGAACCAAAGAGCATGAATAAAAAAAACCTCTGGGCTGAGAAACTCTTAGCAAGAGTCCTTCACCTCACTAACTTTACTTTAAAGAAAAAGAGGCCGGGCGCGGTGGCTCACGCCTGTAATCCCAGCACTTTGGGAGGCCGAGGCGGGCGGATCACGAGGTCAGGAGATCGAGACCATCCCGGCTAAAACGGTGAAACCCCGTCTCTACTAAAAATACAAAAAAAAAAAAAATTAGCCGGGCGTAGTGGCGGGCGCCTGTAGTCCCAGCTACTTGGGAGGCTGAGGCAGGAGAATGGCGTGAACCCGGGAGGCGGAGCATGCAGTGAGCCGAGATTGCGCCACTGCACTCCAGCCTGGGCGACAGAGCGAGACTCCGTCTCAAAAAAAAAAAAAAAAAAAAAGAAAAAGAATAAAATAAAATAAAATAAAGCAAGCAAAAAGGGAAAGGAATTGTGAAAAGTCAAGGTTCTCCAAGAGCACAGGCCAAGCTACATATATCCTATCCTGAGTAGCTTGAATCCTGGGCCAGCTGTGGGTCAAGAATGGCATTTGCCTTATTCATCTATTTATTTTTTAGTTACCATACTCTAAAGCAGGGAACAACAGACAACTTCCTGAAGACTAAGTCTGCCCACTGATTTTACAGAGCTCATGAGCTAAGAATGATTTTTACATTTTTGAATGGTTAAGACAAAAATCAGAAGAAGAATATTTGTGACATGTTATAGGATATAATAAATTCCTCTTCAAAGGTTTTAGCCTGTAAATTGTTAAGTACAATGAGTTCTGAGGTCCTTTCCAAAGAACCAATATATCAGTATGTTCAGCTCCCCTGTTCTTTGTTCTTCATTTTAAAGTTTAACTTCCTCGTTCTTTATGTCTCCTTGCCCCTAGTTTCAGTAAACAACCCCCTCCTAGCCTCTATCACCTGCTCTGATCTTAGTCATCCTTGGTCACCTGCTCTGTTCTTATTCATCCAGAGTCACCTGTTCTGTAACTGCCCTTCCTGCCAAACTACTCACCCTGCCACTCCAGCTCGTACCCCTGCTCTCTTTAAAAGAGCCAATCAGAATTAGCTTAGAGTGTGTGGTCCAACCCTAGCCGATAGGGAAACGACACAGCAATAGGGGCTACCTGCCCCTTCCCCTCCCTCGTTCAAGTGTGCTCTCGCCATTGCTCCATCCGTGAGTCGCACCCTTCTACAGAAGTAAAATTGCCTTGCTGAGAAAATTTATGTTCGAGTGCTGTTTCTTTTGCCACACTGAAAATTTATTTCCAACAATGTGAAGACTATGAAATTCAAATTTCAGTGTCAATAAATGAAGTCTTATTAGAACATGGCCACATGTATTTGCTGTCTATGACTGCTTTCATAGTACAGGGCTAGAGTTGTACCATGAATATTTGTAACAAAGATCATAAGGCCCACAAAGACTAAGATATTTACTATTTGCCCCTTTCTAGAAAAAGCTCGCCAACACGCTCTGAAGCATGTTGCATGGTGGTTTAAAAAAAAATACAGGCGGCCAGGTGTGGTGGCTCACGTCTGTAATCCCAGCACTTTGGGAGGCTGAGGTGGGTGGATCACCTGAGGTCAGGAGTTCAAGACCAGCCTGGCCAACATGGTGAAACCCCACCTCTACTAAAAATACAAAAATTGGCCAGGCGTGGTGGTGTGCGCCTGTAATCCCAGCTACTCGGCAGGCTGACGCAGGAGAATCGCTTGAACCTGATAGTACAGGGTAACTAAACCTGATGTTTAGTTATCAGTACAGGTGACAGCATAAAATGTTAAATTATAATAAATAAAAATAATATTTAAAAAACCTTATGGTCATGTGACCTAGAAGGTAAAAGGAATGAAAACATGGCTTAGGGGAAATGGCCAGAGGCAGCTGACATTAACCACAGGTATGTGCCCTTAACCTTTCTCTCCTGAGCCCTGTTCTATGAATGTCCACTTTCCTGTACGTCTGATCATTCTATTTTATTCCCACTGTCCTCCCACAGATGCATATTTCCCCATTCAAAGCATACTTTCCATAAGCTCAAACCTTGAAAATGCCAGAGTTGCCACTCTGTTCTTCATTATAACTGCTTCTCTCCACTTCCTGACCAATCTGCTCACCATTACATTTCTTGTGAAGAAGTCCTTTGCTCCTAAGATGTTGTCCTTAGACTTTATCTTTCAACTAAATGATAGTTAGAAGTCCTACTAGATTGTTCTATGGTATTTACCACTGAGCGCCAACCCCTTAGTGAGATCCTTTCTTCCTTGATGCTTCTGTCTTCTAGGTGTCCTATCTCTCTGGCTGCTTGTTTTGTTTCTTACTGTTGCCCTCAGTCATGCACTGGGCCCTTTTTTTCTCTCTGCACTATCCTTTGGCAGGTCTATCCATTCTCACCTTCTCCATTCACTGTGATCATGCAGAACTCAGACATGTAATCCTGGCTCTATACCCAATTGCCAAACATCTAACAACTGCCCACGTCTCCCCTTGGATGTCCTGCCAAGACCTCAAACTCAACATGTCTTAAAACCAAACTCATCTTCTTCCTCCTAAACCTCTGCCACCTACCTCCTCCTCTTCCAGAGTTCCCCATTCTGGCTCCAGCATGACCATCCTCTTGGGCTGAAAACCTCTCTTATCTTCTTCCCTACTCTATCCACATAACCCAGTGATTGCTACATCCTCTTGATTCCATTATTTTCCCTTCTATAGTTATTCCTCTGAATCTTCAGCATACCTCTGTTTGTCAGGCTCTTGTCACTTGTGGCCAAGAATCTTCTGATCGATCTACCTGTGCCTGCCCTCGATTTTTCCCTATACTTATTCTTTATACACACTACCAGCTTAATCTACTATTCTTTATACTTTATACCATACTATTCTTTATACCATACTATTCTTTATACACACTACCAGCTTAATCTACTACCAGATTAATCAGCTACCAGATTAATCTTCCTAAAACACAATGTTCTGCTTCTTATTTTCTTTTTTTTTTATTTGCTTCCAAACAAAATCAGAACTCCACAATCTGACATCCTAGGCCTTCTAAGATCTGGTCCAATTCCTTCGGACCATATAAAACATGCATTACCCATTTGACACCTTTTCAAATATTTGAAGAGACTTGCAACATCTATTTCTTCTCATTCTCAAGTCTTATTTTCTCTGGGTTGAACATTTCTAAGGTCCTCATGAGACGTGAATTTTGATTTCTTACCATTCTACTCTTTTTCTTTCTTCTTTAAACCTACATAAGATGAAGTGAATCTTCAAACTGAAAATATCTTTCTAGTTGATTTAATTAAAAACGTCCAATGGGGGTGGTGGAGTGTGCAACAGGGAGCATCCCTTTTTCTGCACTGTTGAGAGCCGACTCCGGAAGCGTTCGCAGTGAAATGTGCTGCTTTGTTGGATAAACGGGGGAGGGGTGTGGAGAGACTGCATATCAGTCTTCTCTCTGTGTGGCCAGGCAGAGTTGGACTTTTCCTCCAGGAAGCATGCTGCAGCAAGAGACAGCTCCATTAGTGCGGGCGGAATCCCCAGACTGAAGGAAATGGGAAGCCCTCAAGACACCATGTAGGGGAGGTGGAGCCTGTCCCAGCAAAGGTTTCCTGCCTCCACGGCCTCCATTCCAGCTTTCATTCTCTGTCTCTCAGCAGCAGCCCCAGGCACTGTGGAGACCCTGGTGGTGTTGTGACAAGCAGTCTATTCATTTCCTTCTCTCATTCACTGGGCTTTAAGGGATAAAAAGGAACAGCAAATCCAAACCACTGCCCAGAATTCACTTTGCAGAATTCAGGGAAAGATTGTTCTACTGAAGTGATGATTTTCCCTGGTTGGGAGACCTGAGGGAAAGAAAAGGACTTCTGCATCCTTTACTTTCCACTGATGCAACATTGCAGACATGAGTATTTCAGTCACCACTGTGGCCAGTGGACAGGGAAGGCACAGCAGTGCACTCAACGGAAGCTTTTTAGCCCCTGTCACAGTGTGGCAACAGTGCACCAAAGCACCAGGATTTCAACTGTCATGCTGGACACAAAGCTTCAGTTGAAAAGAAGGAGGGCAGTGAGGGAGAAAATCAGGTACCCAACAGACCCGCATCTGGTCTTTATTTTTGCAGCCATGCAGGAGGTATTAACTTGTGCCATCAGGCTGTGCCTGTCTTCCAGGGAGAGGAAAGCTGCTCCAGTGTGCTCCGCACAAAAGAAGGACAGCACCAGGATGGGAAGCTTGCCAGAAATCAGGATTTCTAATAAGGGTGGGGCAGGGGAGGGAGTGGCGAGGACTGATTACGGAGAGGAGGAGTAAACTTCCTGAACACAGCTCTCCACAAAGCACATTCCCCGACCAGGGTTCCTGGTGCCTGTGACAGCCAAGGGGTGTGTGTGAGCTTGTGCACTTGTCTGTGCTCACTCACCCAAGGAAATAGGGTGGGGAATAAGAGAGGAAAGGAGAACAGGGTGGAGGAGGGGCTAAGGAAACCACAGTGGCCATCTCTGAGGGCTGAACTCTCATGTATAAGCCCATGGTGGGACATAGCAACTGTCACAATGACCCAAATCAGAAACTGGTATTTGGGAAGAACGTAGGAAGAATGCTGAATGGAGCCGGACCTGCCTACTAACAGCCATGAGCACCTCTGTGGGGGTGTCAGAGTGGAGTGGAGCAGAGAGAAGAACGGGGTAGCGTGCTCGGCGCTACAGCGCACAGAAGAAAGTCTCATGCCAGGGCAAAAGAGAGGAGCCACCCCTTCTGTAGTGATCTGCCAGCCTCACACCCTTCACATGTCTTCCAAAGCCCCAGGCTGGCTGCCTGCTCTGCTCCCTTTGTCCATCCTGCCGACTTTGGTAGATGCTGGCTTGTTTGTGCCTTTTCACTCACTTTGGTTCCTTGTTCCCTCTCCACCATATCTTAATCCTGCTCTCTGTCAGGCCATTCTTGTGTAGTATCACAAGCAGAAAGAAACTTAGCTGAAGCCTTTTACTCTGATTGCTGGCTGCTCTGGGGTGCAAGCAGAGGGGAGTCAATCTCTCTTACACACACACACACACACACACACACACACACACGAGGGGAGTCAATCTCTCTTACACACACACACACACACACGAGGGGAGTCAATCTCTCACATACACACGCGCGTGCGCACATGCGCGCGCGCCCACACATACAAACACAAGTAATGCTTCTCCTGAGTGTCTCCCTACTACACTCAACTCAATACTGGGGTGTAAACAAGTGGCCTGCTCAAAAACACCTAAATTAATGGAAAAACGATGCGCTGCACGTCCTTGTAGGGAAATTTGGGGAGTCTGAAAAGCTGTATGGTTTGTGTGTGCCTCTTTTGTGTAACAATGTATTTTGGTTTTCATAGTTTTTATCATTAAAGAAATTGTATGTCCTCTAAAAATATAAAACAAAACAAACAAAATCAAGTGGCCAGTCACAAATAGGGCTTTTTCTCTTTGGGTAACTCCCTCTGCAATTCACAAAGTGCCTGGACACTCTCTGGCCCAAATGGATCCCCCCAGGTCTGAAGGCAATTAGATCTCCTGACACAAGATGCTCTTCAGCAATACAACTCAAGACCCAGGGGACAAAGGAAGATGGCCTTTTCTTTCTCAGTCAACCATCCTAGGGAGACACCAGCTCCTGAATGGCAAAGAGGACAGCTGTCAGCAAAAGGGCGGGGGAGCGGTGAGGCAAATTTCACAGCCTAACAGCCAAGAGAAAAACAAAAACAAGAGAAGTGTTTCATATGGAGGCTGTCTCCCCTAATGTCACTAAACTGGAAAATCCTATATTCTTGAATTCACCCACCCTTAGCAGACAGCTGTTCATGCCTGAGTCAGGAGGAAAGGTGAATGCTTTGGAAGGGGAATTCTCCTAGACAGCCTGGAATCTGAAGAAGCTCAATCACCTAAATAATGTCAGTATTTTGGACCGGCATAAAAAGTGGGCTCATTTCTGTATCTCCTTGGAAACCAAATGGCTCCCGAGGTAGTGAATGAGAGAGGGCAATGAAATCGCTGCTCCAAAGGGAGCCCAGGCCAACCCCCCAGCAAGCAACTCTGTCTTCTATTTGGTATTTCCAGGGCAGACAAGATCAAAGAAGGAGCATGAACGAATCTTCAAGTACCAAGTTTGATCCAAACCACTCCAAATTCACCTTGCGTGGATGGAGATAACGGGCATTTATAATCTGATGGGACCCTAACATTCTTACTTCTCTTCACCAATATTCTAGCTGAGATGCTGTATCGTATTAAATCTTTGTGGATGAGTGATGTGGTTTAAAATACTGCAGGCTTTGGCTGCCATTCCCTTCCCTGGGGTCTCAAAATAACTCCACACAAATCATTTTTGCTAAACACTCACTCAGGCAGCTCTTCCCTGCCAGAACACACACATCTTATGTAAGTGAAGAAGCCACCTAGCTTGCTGGAAGACAGTAGCACTCCCAGAGAGGCAGTACTGTCTGCTGCTACTGAGACTCTGCAGAGCTGGGTTTTCAACCTCCCTGTCCCCTGACAAAAGGCAGAAACATAGCCAGGCTGTACACAAGCTTCCTTAGCAAGACAGCCCCCACAGAGGTTCAGGTGGTCAGGCCAGGGAAGGCCACTCAATTCAGGGCTGCTTTAGAAACAAAGGCAATTTGGACATAGTGACCACTTAATACATAAAAGGTCAGCTCTGCTAAATTTTGGAAAGGAATGAGAAGGGGGAGTAATATGGTGTCTCTCCTTCAAGAATCCACACAGGTCATTGTGGAAGATAGGCACACACATAGATATGACACAGTACAAAGCTATAGGTAGAGCAGAACCAAAAGAATGAGGTTGGTGAACAGGAGCAGTGAATGGGTGTGGCTGGGAAGAGGAGAGATGTTAGAGACCACCTCACCTCAGGTAGCTTCAAAGCCTCCTCTTCCCAAATCATTGACATTTGACAGTTCTAACCCACTCCTCTGCCCTTGGCTTGGCTGCTTTGTTTGCCCTTCCTCCTAGTGCCCTTCCTACCTCTTCTCAATCTAAGCCTCTGCTGTCAGATCCTCTTTTCTGACAGTTCAGAAGCCTCCGAACATCACAATGGTCTGTTCTTAGCTGCTTCCCACTCCAAATCCAGTCCCTAGGCAATCATTTGCTCTCTGTGCTTCCAATTCCACTATAAGCTGATGACTCTCAAAGTTTTAATCTCCATTTCTGACATTTCTATTGAATTCATCTGGACCTGCAAACACTCACAGTCATCTAACATCCAAGTTGTCAAAACTGACCTCATCAAACCTTGTGTTATTAACAAGCCAGAAAACTGACCTCTCTCTTCCTCATGCTCTACTATCAAAGCACCAACCAGGTTTAAAGCCTCCTTAAACAGGGCTGCTCCTTCCTCTTCATTCCCACTCTGCGGCCTAGGCAGGCTGCACACCTCTTCTCAGACACATGGCAACCACCTCCCAGCCAGACTTCCTCACCTCATTTGGGCCCTCTCCAATCTTGTCTCCATACAGCAGTCAAAGGGATCTTTGAAAATTACATAATGCAATGAAAAAAGATGACTTTCTGCTACATCCAGTAACATGGATGAATCTCATAGACAACAGTTGGGTAAAATGGCCAGGTGCGGTGGCTCATGCCTGTAATCCCAACACTTTGGGAGGCCAAGACAGGTGGATCTCTTGAGGTCAAGAGTTCGAGACCAGCTTGGCCAACACGGTGAAACCCTGTCTCTACTAAAAATACAAAAATTAGCCAGGTGTGATAGTGCATACCTGTAATCCCAGCCACTAGGGAGGCTGAGGTAGGATAATTGCTTGAACCCAGAGGGCAGAGGTTGCGGCGAGCAGAGATTGGGCCCCTGGGTGACAGAGCAAGACTCTGTCTCAAGAAAAAAAGGTAAACTAAGATTGTGATTCCATTTCTGAAGTTCAAAGATAGGGCCAGGTGCTGTGGCTCACACCTGTAATCCCAGCACTTCATGAGGCCAAGACAGGGGATCACTTGATCCCAGGAGCTTGAGACCAGCCTGGCCAACATGGCGAAACCCGTCTCTATAAAAAATATAAAAATTAGCATGGTGTGACATGAACCTATAGTCCCAGCTACTTGGGAGGCTGAGGCAGGAGGATCACTTGAGCTTGGGAGGCAGAGGTTGCAGTGAGCCAAGATTGTGCCACTGCACTCCAGCTTGGTGACAGTGCAAGGCTCTGTCTCAACAAAACAAAACAACCCCCCTCACCGCCCCCTGCAAAAAACCTAAAAACTAGACAAAACTAATCTATGATGACCGAGGTCGGAAAGGATACTGGTTATCTTTGAGGGGAGCACCAGGAGGGTCCTGTGGAGTGTTAGAAATACTTCATATCTTCATGTATGGTGTTTACTTGAAATTACATTCATATATAAAAATTCATCAAGCTGGCCAGGCGTGGTGGCTCACGCCTATAATCCTAGCACTTTGGGAGGCCGAGGCGGGTGGACTGTCTGAGCTCAGGAGTTCGAGACCAGCCTGGGCAACACGGTGAAACCTGGTCTCTACTAAAAAAACAAAAAAGTTAGCTGGGCGTGGTGGCATGCACCTGTAATCCCAGTTACTTGGGAGGCTGAGGCAGGAGAATTGCTTGAACCCAGGAGGCAGAGGTTGCAGTGAGCTGAGATCGCACCACTGCACTCCAGCCTGGGCGACAGAGTGAGACTCCGAATCAAAAAAAAAAAAAAAAAAATTAATTCAGCAAGCTGTATACTTACGACTTGTGTACTTTATTGTATATAAGTCACATTTAAATTTATTTTAATGACAATGTATCACCTATCTTTCATTGCTTCTGATAACTTACCTTAGGAGTTCCTAAACTAGGGGTCAAGAATGGGCTTAGGGGAGAGAGGCTGGTGTTTGTAAACCCAGTGAAATTATATGAACATCTTTGTATGTATTTTCTGAAGAGAAGATTACCTTGTACTCTTCAGATTCATTATTTACTGAGAATGTCTAAGACTCAGCGTCACCAACAACTGATCTATGTGGTACAATCTAAACAACCTTGCACAGACACAAGGCCCTTCTAAGACTGGGATATCTGACTTTCCAAACTTACCTTTAACCACTGTCCCTCTTCTAGCAGACATGACAGCCATAATAAACTATTTATCCTTCTGAATAACGATGCTTTTTCACAGCCCTCTCTCCTTCCTTTGCTGGTTACAAACCTTTTTCTTTCTTCATCTATCTGGCATTTTCTAGGGAGAAAGCCTATAGCCTTCTAAGATTTGTAAAATGGTTGGTGACCACCCCAACAGCAAAGAAACTGAGCCACAGGGAAAAGTGACATCGAAATAACTCTGTGCTGAACTCCAGCAAAACAATCAGTCTGCAAAGGGTGGCTTGGGGCTGGGAAGAAGCTCATTAAAGATTGTTGAAAGAATGAATAAATCTGAGTATTTGAATTCACTGCTTTTGTGGTCCTGTAAAGACGATCAGGTGATGGCAATCCACACTGGGGCCTTATCAGGATTTTTATTTTTTAAAACATTTATTTATTTATTTATTTATAGAGACAGGGTCTCGCTTTGTTGCCCAGGCTGGTCTCAAACTCCTGGGCTCAAGTGATCCTCTCACCCAGGCCTCCCAAAGTGCTGGGATTATAGGCATGAGCCACCATACCTGGCCCTAATCAGGATTTTTATTAACAGCTGAGGTGAAGGCATTGCAGATGTATGTATTTAATATACATATCACATGAGAGGACAAACATACAAACTCAATCAGGCAAGAATCAGGGGTTAAAGTTACCAAGATAAAATTGAAAAGGGATTAACAGCAAGTGCTCAACAGAAAATGAGAGACTGTGATATACTTTCATACAAGTTCATGTATAAAGGACCTAGAAAATATGTGTTTGACTACCATTCTGTGACACGCAGAACTTAAAAAAAAACTTGAGAAAGAAAATCACACTGCCTATCTTTCCTAGTTTCCCTGCCTAAAAAGGAAAAGACAGTGACAGCAAAGACATCTTCATGTATCACCTAAGCATTCACAGAATCACAAAATGTTATAGCTGGAGAAAGAACCTTAGAAATCGAGTCCAAACTCCTTATTTTTACAGAGGACGTTACTGGAAATAAGAGAAGTTCAATGACTTACACAAGGTCACATGGCAACTTGGCAATAAAATGCAGCTTATAAACCCTATCTTTTGATGGGCAGTTGTTCTTTCCACTGTATCCTGTCAGTTCAGGTTGAATGAACTTTATATTACTTAGGTTACCTGATTTATCCAAAGGAATTCTGTTTTTAGATGTCTTTTCCCAAGTGAACAGATAATCTGATAGACTATGATAGACTTTAAAAAAACATAGGAAATAGCTGTATTATCAAAACTAGGTTCACATACAATTAAAAGTTTTTTAAAGTACAACAAGTGACTATATAGACTACTGGAGAAGAAACTCACATAACAATAATGACTACAATGTGAAATTACCCTTCTGCTGCGTAGGGCACTGGATCAAGCACTTTTTAAATAAAGGCATCATGCTAGGTAATACTTAGAGAAACTCTAATTTATAGAAGATAAACTAAGGCAAAGATAGGTTAAGCAAGTTGTCCTAGATCACGGGGATTATAAAGGGCATATCCAGAATTTGAGACTGTTCCTGTGATTCTAAAATTCACATGTGAAATGAATACAGTAAAGTGCATCCCTCAAAAAGGAATATATCACTGAATTTACAAAGCTGGAGTTTTTTTTGTTTTGTTTTGTTTTTGAGACGGAGTCTTGCTCTGCTGCCCAGGATGGAATGCAGTGGTGCGATCTCAGCTCACTGCAAGCTCCGCCTCCCGGGTTCACACTATTCTCCTGCCTCAGCCTCCCGAGTAAGTAGCTAGGACTACACGTGCCCGCCACCATGCCTGGCTAATTCTTGTATTTTTAGTAGAGACGGGATTTCACCATGTTAGCCAGGCTGGTCTCGATCTCCTGACCTCGTGATCTGCCCGCCTCGGCCTCCCAAAGTGCTGGGATTACAGGCGTGAGTCACTGCGCCCAGCCTAAAGCTGGAGTTCTTATTGTATAACTTTCTCATTTTGTATACGAGCGAATGGAGCCAGGATCAGAAACCAGGCATCTGTATATTAAATCATTTACTTCTTCCCATACAGCACGTTACTGCACTAGTGTTTGAGGGGACAGAAAGCGGGCTAGCTGGTTCTGCTTGGACATGTGGTGGAAGCAGCTCGGTATACCTTCCTCCCTTCCCAGGTTCAAGGCACCCGTAATGACTAACCAGAGAAATGTACATTCTACTGTAATCCTCTTCCTCAGGACTCAGAACCCACCTACCCACCACCAACTATTTACTTCCACTGTGTTGCCAGTGTCAAAACTCCAGGCAAAGGAACAGTTACTAGGTAGTGGACTAGGCAATAGCAGAGGCAGCAAAAGATGGTGGGTGAACACAGAGGAGGTAGAGAAGGACGTGCAGGAGGCAACTCTGGATGGAGTTGAGTCGTAAAGACTGAGTAAAAGCTGCCCAGAGGACCATACCTCAAGCACAACTGTGGGGGCGGTTGCTGATTCTGCTCCAGATGTTTACAATAGAAGGAAGCCAAGGATTTGGGGAGTTGGGGGCAAAAACAAACTATATGTGCCCTGCCAGGGCCCTTGATTTTCTTCTGAGAACCACAGCCCAGTTCAGGAGATGTTGGATCTGTTGTGTTATGCTTGGGAGAGCACAAGCCAGTCTTCCTGCTACTCTTGATTCTAAGCCAGAAAAGGAACTGGCTTTGTGAAACACAATTGCATCCTGTGTGCTCTTTCCTCCAACAAGTTCTGTTATAATTTCTTAGACATCGAAAAAGGTAATTATTCAGACTCTGTGTGCAAACTATATGAACATAACATTTCACAATATCAACCAGATTTGGTTTTAATTTAAATTGTGATCTGAGAACCATTATCCCAGCATTCTTCTTCCCTCTGT
The DNA here is from genome assembly GCF_000001405.40 of Homo sapiens. Taxonomy (NCBI): domain Eukaryota; kingdom Metazoa; phylum Chordata; class Mammalia; order Primates; family Hominidae; genus Homo; species Homo sapiens. The sequence goes on along the minus strand of NC_000007.14, from coordinate 127,968,512 downwards.
CGATGTCTAATCAAACCTTACAAAAAGAAACTCAATGGGAGCTAGAAGAGTAAAAAGTGGACTATTTTATAATTCATCCCCACTTTACAAAAATCTTTTAACTTCCTACTATTGTGGAAATGGCTTTTCCCAACATTACATACATATATCAGACAACACAGACTGCAGATCTCTGTGTTACTGAGACAAATTTCAAAACCCAATGTAGAGTCATTGAAAGGGGACAGAGATATTTGATTGACAGGAGGTCACAATTTGCCAGCAGAAGGATAAAGAACTTGTCTCAATGGAAGATTGAAACTGAAAAGCTTAAAATATTCTTTGAAAAAAAGCAACATTGTTCTGACATCTAAAGAGGACAAATCAAATTGGTCTTCTCCCTCAGTCCCTGAAAAGGAGAGAGAGGAAATGGTGGAGTGGTAAGTGCCAGGTCCATCCCTAATTAAAGCTGTGTGACCCTGGCCAATTAATAACCTCGCAGAGCCTTAGTGTTCTCACTTGTTAAATGGAGGTAAGAGCAACCCTTCCTACCCCACAGCATTGTAATAAGCATCCAGGGGGAAATACATAGAGTAAAACACCCTGAGAAGTACGTGTTATTATATAAATTAATACTTACAGAGGATAATCTTCCTGATGAGTTTTAGCATATTTAATCATGGTCCGAGCCAGGGCTTAAAGGTGGCCACACTGGTGATGAGAGAGCTAATGACCTCACCAACGTCAACAGATATCTCTTGGAAATATTTTTTAGCAACTATAGTTTCCTGGCAAATGCACAGTAACCGTATACTAATGTAAAAGCAGGGTATATCGAGAAAAACTGAATATGGATAAATATATACAACACAATTAGAGAATACTTTGGATTCTAAAGAGCATGGCAGGAGTGAGGATAAGCCAGCAAGGGTAGGGTGCTGAGTAGGAAGAAAAGGCTTGCATCTCCTAGATCTTAGGACATGTTTCTGGCTGAAGTTTGTGAAGCATGAAGAACAGACAACAGCTGGGAAATCAGGAAGGGAGTACATCAAGCCATAGTTATTCATGCTCCCTGAAAGATACAGCATGGATGGCAACAAGTGATAGTTACATGAAAGCAGAAATTACATTCCTTGCTGATTTGCTCCATCGTGATTTCAGCAAACACATTTTTTCCCACCACCCCCATCCCTGCCACGAACTTGTGCATGAAGCATCAAGGTGGCATGAGAGTTTTCTCTCTGGATTCCATGTCAATAAATACTGATCCTACTGAGAAAGAGAGTGCTAGCTCCTAAACCAGGAGAACTATGCTTTCAGTATTGCCTCCGTTTCGACCTTCTGCCTTCTCCAGCACTCTCACCAACCAACCAACAGATCTAATGACTGTGCAACACCCACTGGGAGCATGGGGGAAACCGAGGGTGACTGACTGAGGTTCTCAGTGTTTCTGATTGCAGAAGGGTGCTACAGGATTTGGGAAGGGAAGCTAAGGGGTAAACATCCTGCAATTCATGGGAAGTCCTCCACAAGGAGGAAATGTTCCACCCAAATGCCACTAGTGCCCCGTTAGAAATATGCCGCTCTATCAATTTTGTTGATCCTTTCAAAAAACCAGCTCCTGGATTCATTGATTTTTTGAAGGGTTTTTTGTGTCTCTATTTCCTTCAGTTCTGCTCTGATTTTAGTTATTTCTTGCCTTCTGCTAGCTTTTGAATGTGTTTGCTCTTGCTTTTCTAGTTCTTTTAATTGTGATGTTAGGGTGTCAATTTTGGATCTTTCCTGCTTTCTCTTGTGGGCATTTAGTGCTATAAATTTCCCTCTACACACTGCTTTGAATGTGTCCCAGAGATTCTGGTATGTTGTGTCTTTGTTCTCGTTGGTTTCAAAGAACATCTTTATTTCTGCCTTCATTTCGTTATGTACCCAGTAGTCATTCAGGAGCAGGTTGTTCAGTTTCCATGTAGTTGAGCGGCTTTGAGTGAGATTCTTAATCCTGAGTTCTAGTTTGATTGCACTGTGGTCTGAGAGATAGTTTGTTATAATTTCTGTTCTTTTACGTTTGCTGAGGAGAGCTTTACTTCCAACTATGTGGTCAATTTTGGAATAGGTGTGGTGTGGTGCTGAAAAAAATGTATATTCTGTTGATCTGGGGTGGAGAGTTCTGTAGATGTCTATTAGGTCCGCTTGGTGCAGAGCTGAGTTCAATTCCTGGGTATCCTTGTTGACTTTCTGTCTCGTTGATCTGTCTAATGTTGACAGTGGGGTGTTAAAGTATCCCATTATTAATGTGTGGGAGTCTAAGGCTCTTTGTAGGTCACTCAGGACCTGCTTTTGAAAGGATCAACAAAATTGATAGACCGCTAGCAAGACTAATAAAGAAAAAAAGAGAGAAGAATCAAATAGACACAATAAAAAATGATAAAGGGGATATCACCACTGATCCCACAGAAATACAAACTACCATCAGAGAATACTACAAACACCTCTACGCAAATAAACTAGAAAATCTAGAAGAAATGGATACATTCCTCGACACATACACTCTCCCAAGACTAAACCAGGAAGAAGTTGAATCTCTGAATAGACCAATAACAGGAGCTGAAATTGTGGCAATAATCAATAGTTTACCAACCAAAAAGAGTCCAGGACCAGATGGATTCACAGCCGAATTCTACCAGAGGTACAAGGAGGAACTGGTACCATTCCTTCTGAAACTATTCCAATCAATAGAAAAAGAGGGAATCCTCCCTAACTCATTTTATGAGGCCAGCATCATTCTGATACCAAAGCCGGGCAGAGACACAACCAAAAAAGAGAATTTTAGACCAATATCCTTGATGAACATTGATGCAAAAATCCTCAATAAAATACTGGCAAACCGAATCCAGCAGCACATCAAAAAGCTTATCCACCATGATCAAGTGGGCTTCATCCCTGGGATGCAAGGCTGGTTCAATATATGCAAATCAATAAATGTAATCCAGCATATAAACAGAGCCAAAGACAAAAGCCACATGATTATCTCAATAGATGCAGAAAAAGCCTTTGACAAAATTCAACAACCCTTCATGCTAAAAACTCTCAATAAATTAGGTATTGATGGGACGTATTTCAAAATAATAAGAGCTATCTATGGCAAACCCACAGCCAATATCATACTGAATGGGCAAAAACTGGAAGCATTCCCTTTGAAAACTGGCACAAGACAGGGATGCCCTCTCTCACCGCTCCTATTCAACATAGTGTTGGAAGTTCTGGCCAGGGCAATCAGGCAGGAGAAGGAAATAAAGGGTATTCAATTAGGAAAAGAGGAAGTCAAATTGTCCCTGTTTGCAGACGACATGATTGTTTATCTAGAAAACCCCATCGTCTCAGCCCAAAATCTCCTTAAGCTGATAAGCAACTTCAGCAAAGTCTCAGGATACAAAATCAATGTACAAAAATCACAAGCATTCCTATACACCAACAACAGACAAACAGAGAGCCAAATCATGAGTGAACTCCCATTCACAATTGCTTCAAAGAGAATAAAATACCTAGGAATCTAACTTACAAGGGATGTGAAGGACCTCTTCAAGGAGAACTACAAACCACTGCTCAAGGAAATAAAAGAGGATACAAACAAATGGAAGAACATTCCATGCTCATGGGTAGGAAGAATCAATATCGTGAAAATGGCCATACTGCCCAAGGTAATTTACAGATTCAATGCCATCCCCATCAAGCTACCAATGACTTTCTTCACAGAATTGGAAAAAACTACTTTAAAGTTCATATGGAACCAAAAAACAGCCCGCATAGCCAAGTCAATCCTAAGCCAAAAGAACAAAGCTGGAGGCATCACGCTACCTGACTTCAAACTATACTACAAGGCTACGGTAACCAAAACAGCATGGTACTGGTACCAAAACAGAGATATAGATCAATGGAACAGAACAGGGCCCTCAGAAATAACGCCGCTTACCTACAACTATCTGATCTTTGACAAACCTGAGAAAAACAAGCAATGGGGAAAGGATTCCCTATTTAATAAATGGTGCTGGGAAAATTGGCTAGCCATATGTAGAAAGCTGAAACTGGATCCCTTCCTTACACCTTATACAAAAATCAATTCAAGATGGATTAAAGATTTAAACGTTAGACCTAAAACCATAAAAACCCTAGAAGAAAACCTAGGCATTACCATTCAGGACATAGGCGTGGGCAAGGACTTCATGTCCAAAACACCAAAAGCAATGGCAACAAAAGCCAAAATTGACAAATGGGATCTAATTAAACTCAAGAGCTTCTGCACAGCAAAAGAAACTACCATCAGAGTGAACAGGCAACCTATAACATGGGAGAAAATTTTTGCAACCTACTCATCTGACAAAGGGCTAATATCCAGAATCTACAATGAACTCAAACAAATTTACAAGAAAAAAACAAACAACCCCATCAAAAAGTGGGCGAAGGACATGAACAGACACTTCTCAAAAGAAGACATTTATGCAGCCAAAACACACATGGAAAAATGCTCATCATCACTGGCCATCAGAGAAATGCAAATCAAAACCACTATGAGATATCATCTCACACCAGTTAGAATGGCAATCATTAAAAAGTCAGGAAACAACAGGTGCTGGAGAGGATGTGGAGAAATAGGAACACTTTTACACTGTTGGTGGGACTGTAAACTAGTTCAACCATTGTGGAAGTCAGTGTGGCGATTCCTCAGGGATCTAGAACTAGAAATACCATTTGACCCAGCCATCCCATTACTGGGTATATACCCAAAGGACTATAAATCATGCTGCTATAAAGACACATGCACACGTATGTTTATTGCGGCATTATTCACAATAGCAAAGACTTGGAACCAACCCAAATGTCCAACAATGATAGACTGGATTAAGAAAATGTGGCACATATACACCATGGAATACTATGCAGCCATAAAAAATGATGAGTTCATGTCCTTTGTAGGGACATGGATGAAATTGGAAACCATCATTCTCAGTAAACTATCGCAAGAACAAAAAACCAAACACCGCATATTCTCACTCATAGGTGGGAATTGAACAATGAGATCACATGGACACAGGAAGGGGAATATCACACTCTGGGGACTGTGGTGGCGGCGGGGAGGGGGGAGGGATAGCATTGGGAGATATACCTAATGCTAGATGACGAGTTAGTGGGTGCAGCGCACCAGCATGGCACATGTATACATATGTAACTAACCTGCACAATGTGCACATGTACCCTAAAACTTAAAGTATAATTAAAAAAAAAAAAAGAAAAGAAATATGCCGCTCTAGTCTTATCTCTGGGTACTCAGCCACCATCCACATTCCATCCAAAGTGAACAACTTGCTGCACCCTGCCCATGCTTTGCATTTTCACACAGCTTAGAATAGAGCTGCCCCAATCTCCTTGTTCAGGTCAGAACATAATGATTTTAGCCAAAGGCTGTTTAACAACTTAGAGAAAAATAGATCAAACAGAATGCGATCATCACAATAAATATAAAGTAATTGTTGATTTGACTTGAGGTTCTAAGAAGGAAGAAAATATGTTCTACTCTCAAGTTTTTTACAGACTCTAAGAGATCATGGAGTCATTTGAACTGATGCTTAGAGAAGCTTTGGCTCAGAGAGGTGTCATTTCAAAAAGGCAAGTTAAGAACATGTTATGCCTGATTGCAAGTTGTAGAGCTGAAAGTCCAGTGGATGAAGCCTCTGTTTTGCCACTCACACAGTCTGTAACTATGACAATGCCACTCCATTTCTTTGTGCTGTTTCCTCATCTACAAAACCAGACAGTCGGATAGTTTTCAATGCTTGCTCCAGAAATAGTGTCAGAGCTGCCTGCAGAGTGGGGATGGAGAATAGACTGGGCCTGATGGTTATGACCCACACCATAACCTAACCTTTCAGATTTATATGCTAGCCAGAAAAATGGTAAGAAACATAGGAAACATGGGCATTCCTAAAGACAGAAAAGCCATACACATCCTGCTTTCTGTTGCCAACAGGCATGTCTACATTTGATAAAGCCTACGCTTTGCCATTTGGGGGAAATACACTCTTCAGTTTTCTTCTTCATGGACAGATAACACATTTTGCCAAAGATGTCTGAGATTAAGGGAGTAGAAATGCAACAACTCTGCACACGTCCAGAGAAATATATACGTATATACAAAGAACCTGGTTTTGTTCAGCCTCAACCAAGATCGTGTATTCTTTTGCTAACACTCCTCTGTTTGATTTGCAGTCAGTTTGCTTACACAGCACTATTTGGGTTTCAAGGCTTAATTTATTTGACTATATTCATTCCCTTTCCCCATCTTCCTTCCAGCACAGCAATTCCAAGCAGAGAGAGAACACATCATACTCCCTTATACAAAGAGTTCCTCAGCTTTATATTAGAACTCTCTGGAATACTTTTTCTTTTTAGTAACCTCAAGAAAAGGCATAAATTATGTGTACCAATGTAGCTGTTCTACCTTTAAATTCTCTCACTCATTTCTAAGAGTTGTGCAATATGATCTTAGGATACTTATAGGATCCGATCACGTGATGCACAGGGCAGGTGCTGAGAGCATTCAGGCCAATCAGCTCTCACAGGTAATGATAAGAGGCGCTTCGGCCAACAAAGGGCAACTCTGTTGTTGCAGGAGGGTGTCCTGTTGATTTTCACGTAGCTTGATAAAATATACCCTTTTTCTTCCAACTAGGTCTCAAAGGTCTGGCGAGGGAGTGGACACTGGCATTTGCACTGATTTATTCTGGTTGAGAATGGACACATAGGAAATGGTAGAAAAGCTTGTTCCAACTCAGGCAATCTTTCTGCTTTCATAAGCCCACAACGATACTAAAAATGAAGCATCAGAACAAACAGAAGCTGATGACGGCAATAGAAGAAAATGAGGCTGATTAGACAATTTCACATGGCAAAAGTAGTATTTAAATTTTGGTTGTTTTGGGTTTAGGTTCTGCTTTCTTCCCTCCTCTCTTGAAAATGAGTGCTTTTGCACGTGTTTTTTACAGTGGCAAACACTTAATCAAAGAATTTAATTTTATTTGTTGTGCTATCATCCTAAGGTTTCTTCTGTTCTCAAGTTTCAGCTTGCTTTTCAAGTGGCTCGGAATAAAGATGCCTGGATCTAGATCTTACTATCATACAGCTTTATTTGTAAAGAAGAAAATATGTAAGTAAACACCATTTGTAGTTACTGTATGAAAAAAATCCTCATTGATTCTTTTAGAAAATACACTTATGTAATATATTACAACTAGATCTTCCTAAGTTAACCAAGTATTGTAGTTTTAATTTTGTGAAGCAGGTGTGTATATATTTTACATTATTTATACATTTAGTAACAATCAGGATAAAATGCTAGGGCTGTGGAAAAACATACAGTGGACCCACATACGAGTGAATTTACACTGTCCAAAATGATAGGGCTGTATTTAATTAATGCCCTCTCTTGGCAGGAAGAAGGAAAGCTGACTTTGTTAGGGTTTGAGGCACCCTCTGCCAGAGATGTGCCTACACCTCCCAAGTCCAGGTGGAGAGGAATGGACACATTTGGTACTAAAAAATTCTTCTCCCAAGACCAAACTTCTCTTGGGATTCCCCTAAGCTTTATCCCAGGATGTTTCTGGGCAGCTGGCAGAATAGTATTGAAACTCACAGAAGTTGAGTTTTCATTTCAATTTCACTGTAGCACTGCAGCACCTGATATAATCCCTTAAAGACTCTCAGTCTGGTCCTAATCTCTCTCCTAAAATACAACACAGGGAAGATCTGAATATAGATTGCAACCTGGTCCATTTGTTCTTCCTACATCAACACAAAGGAATCATGGTGGATACAGATTTAATGTCTATTTTCTCAGCTACTGATAAGCCTAGGGCTACAGAATATAGCTGAATGGAGAACCTCATATAACCAGGCTGATTGCACTTTATTAATTATTCATCATTACTTAACCTCAGGTGGAGACTCAATGCTCAGCAAAACTTCTGCACTCCACCCTTTTCTAGATGACTGTAATTCAATGCTTGCTTTCTTCTACCAGAGATTGGAGATCTGCAAGGAGGAACAGTATCAACCTCCAAAGAGTGTTTTCTAATGTGTACGTTTTGTGTGGGCTGGGTGTCATTTTTGGTTGTGGCAATAGCTGGGGTGGGACGGTGTGCTGCTAATGGCATTTAGTGAGGAAGGACCAATAAAGTGAATGCGGGTAGTCCCACACGATGCACTTACTATCTGTCTTAGGTACTGCCTATGCCCACCATCGTGCTAGGAAATTAGCAATGAGAATCCATTTTAGAAGCTTAAGAAAAACAGGGTGTCTGTGACAGCAATGATAATATTGGCCTAGATATTGTAATGTGAGCCTGGGAAAGCAGCGACAGAAGCAGAGGTGCTGCTAGATTGGTCTTGCCACCCGGTAAGTTCCAGAGACGAATGGCCAGCAGCTAGAAGAACAGATCTGTTTCCACTTCCTTCTTTTCCACCTGGGCAAGAATAGATAGCAGACGAGAGGCAACAGGGGAACCAGAGGGAACATCAATGAACTCTTCTGCTGGGTGATGTTTACCCAGTAATGAGTGAAATGAAAACTGATACAACATAGATTTCCATATCATAGGGGAATACCATGGCTACTAGAGCCAATTCATTCAACAAATATGTATCAAGTGCCTACCATGTGCCAGGCATTGTTCTACATGCTGGGGAGATATACATAGCAATGAACAAAACAGACCAAAATCCTCACCTTCTCGCAATTTAACATCCTGGTGGAGAGAGACAGACAAGCCAGTAAAATGCATACCATGTTGGATGGTGACAGTGCTATGGAAGAGGGAGAGGGAATGGGGTAGTTTTGCGATTTTAAAGAGGACGGTTGGAGAAACATTTATTGAGAAAGTAGCATTTGACCAAAGATCTGAAGTAGTAGAAGGACTGAACCTAAGGATATCCAGAAGAGAGTGCAAAGGCCCCAACACAGGAGTAGAGGCAGTGAAGTGGGAAGAGCAGGAGATGAGGTCAGAGAGAGGAAACAAAACACAGGGAAGACAGGCCACACTTCCAGGCCACAGTAAGAACCCAGCTTGCACTCTGAGTCAAATGGAAAGCCACTGTTAGAATAGAATGGTACCCAGGGATGAAGACATACATAGACAGCTACATGTGTAGGAATGTGTATATAAAAATGACTGCAATGCAGTCTGCCAGGGAAACACTCCTAAGTGGTATAGCCATGATGATAGGGATCTGGCTAGCACACTGCAGAGTCCCAAGACTGCCAGCGGACGTCTAGCTATTGTTTATCCCGTTTCCTCACAGAGTAAAGACATAGAGCACACAGCAATGCCTGGGAAAGCTTGGGAGGGAATCACCCCCACCTTCTTCTGAACTCGTGGGCTGCTGCTATTACCATCACTACCACTCTAGGATGGTGTTAAATTAGCCAGTTTAATAACAACAACAAAAAACCCCACACAAATGTAGCTTCCAATGGTGTGTTCATTTTTATTAATTGGCTAATTTAACACTGCCTTAGAACCATAATAAGAGCAGCAATCAGTGAACCCGCCAGCATGCTGCATGCTCTCATCATCCCTGTACCCTCAACTCTCATCTCAGGTGACACTTTCTATGTGTGCAGAAAATTCAGGGGACAGAGAAGTCAGTGCTTCTACTTGGGTACTCATACCTAATGCCTCCCAAAAGTTGTCCAGTGGTTTACTCTTCTGCAGCTCTCCTCTCTCTATGTATTCTACAGAGGCGGGGAAAGCAGGAGAGCCCCACTTACCTCTTTCAAAATGGAGCAGGCAGAGTTTCATAAGGGACAGGCACTCTGGACGTAAGCATGGATGAAAGTGAGGTAAAATGGTCAAGCTAAGATGTGTCATATTTATCCAGGGGTTTCACATACCTTCACACAGAAGCTCAAATCCCTGTGAGAAACCCGGACTCTAGCCTTACATGACTCTATTTAAACATTCCTGCCAATCCTGACACTGAAAGGTGGAGCAAAGTGGCTCAGGCTAGCCCTAGTTCTGCGCATCTCAGGGCCACCATGCATGGCTATGCAGTCCAGGCCCTGAATAGTTCCAGAGTTGATACGGACACAGACGACTGGACAAAGTTTCCTCACCAGCAAAATAAGGGTAACAGTGAAAATAAAAATAGGGTTGTTGTATGTATTAAATCAGATAATTTACTATGAAGCACGTAACAGCATTGGTAAACATTAAGTGCCTACTAACATAATTCAGAAGAGTGATTCATCCTAATTCACTGGTAGCAGGGACCAGTGAGATTTGACAGGGAAGAAGCTCCCAATGGCTGATCTGAATCTTGGATCTGGGTTGGCCCTATACTACTTAGCTTTCAGCAGATTCTACTGGCCTTTTGTTTCATATAGTTTGCTTTGTATCCTCATGCCCCCTAGCCTTCAACACGGACACCTGCATGAGCTGAAGAAATAGGTGAATACTTGGTGATCACGGCCCAATTAACTGCGGCTAGGCTGGGGGCAGTGGCACACGCCTGTAACCCCAGCACTTTGGGAGGCCGAGGCAGGTGGAATGCTTGAGGCAAGGAGTTTGAGACCAGCCTGGCCAACATGGTGAAACCCCATTTCTACTAAAAATACAAAAAATTAGCTGGGTGTGGTGGCTCGCGCCTGTAATCCCAGCTACTTGGGAGGCTGGGGCAGGGGAATTGCTTGAACCTGGGAGGTGGAGGTTGCAGTGAGCCGAGATTGAGCCACTGCACTCCAGCCTGGACAACAAGAGCGAAACTCCATCTCACAAAAATAAATAAATACATAAACAAATAAATAAAATAACTGCAGCCATCATTATTATCACACAATTCTTAGTCTAAGAATCCTGAGAAATCCTGCTCTGGAAGACCCAGAATATGTACTGTATAGCCAAGGCTAGCAAGGCAACGGTATAACTTTTTGCCATTTAAAAGGTACATAACAAGTGGAATAGAAACAACAGCCTTCCAAGAAACACAATGTTAGACACTGAAACTCAGGAGGTCATATTCTCAGTCTCTTTTGAATCAATAGGATGGCAGTTGTGGAAGCAGCAGAACAAGATGAGGGAATGAATTTCAATTCATCAGAAACACCCCCACAACGATAGGGCCATCTAACTGGCTATAGCGTACACAGGGCCAGGTTCTCATCAGCATGCTGAGAACTTCTACAGGAGAGGACACTAGTTAGTGAAATGCCAACCGGGCTGCTTTCCTAGTTCCAAATGATGCCAACATGGTGCTAACACTGTCATTTTGTTATTCCCATGGTTCAGAAGCAGCAGGGACAACATAACAAGATACCTTTGAAGAAAAACTGTTCTTGGACCTATCTTCTTGGGGACCTGGGGACAGAACTATAGGATCATGCAACTTAATAATTTGCTGTTCTACTGGCCACAGAACATTGAATAGTAGACTGGTAGATACTAGGTTTCTCAGACGGCCTCTCAATATTTTCCTGTTTAGGGAAACGGTCTCTATTGATTAAATGCCCACTCTGATCTAGGCAGTGTCCTAGGTGCTGAGGATATGACAGGGACTGAAACAGACAAGAATCTCTGCCTCCATGAACTTTATATTCTGAAGAGGGGGAAAAGATAGTAAAAGAAGCAAGTAAATTATACAATGTGATAGAAGGTGGTAAGTAATATCTAATAAAATAAACAAGAGATAGTGTCAAGGAAGAAGGTAGCAAAAAATTATGCACACATGCACACGTGCAGATGTGTAAACACGTATCATCAAACTATCCCAACCATAGCACTCAGGCCTGGGATAACTAAGAGATAATGTGCCCTAAACTGTAGCTTGCCCCTGTTCTTAGAACTCAGCAGTAGGCCAATAATAATCATTGGCAGTGCAGGAAACAGGACTTAGGGATCTGCTGAAGCTCTAGGCCATCCATCGAGCCTCTCCTGACCACTCTAGCCCTGTCTCCTCTTTCTCACATGAACTTCCAGAGATGTTCTGTAACCTCACCTCACCTTTATGCAGATGCTCACTGCCTGGAGTGAGCTAAAGAGAGTTAATTAAATATTAAAGGAGTATTTAATCTGATTTTCCAAGTGTACCACCTCCTCAACATGGACTTACTCCTGGAGACAAAGTATCCAGATGTATCTGCCACAGTCCAGCTATAAATGCAGGGGCAATTGGAGCAAGTGACATACTGGGGCTCTGGATTTCAGGGAGCAGGTATGGTCATAGAGCAAGGAGGCGGGAGCAGAGACTTCGCAGGAGATCACTAGATGACAATCTCTGTTCATTTGGCATACACAGATGCAACATCTGCTACAAGATAGGCATTGTGCTAAGGATTGGGCATATGGAGATAAACAAGGAACACAGGCTAGAGGAAGAGAGACATGTATGCTAAACTGAGGTTTCTTTGGAGCCATATACTTACTTACACCAGGTTCTGGGAGGTGATGATAAAAAGAGAGAAGGCAACAGGCATTCCAAGTAGAGAGCAGAAAGGGTTAGATGCCTGAGGCCAGTAAGACTAGTTTTGGACTCTTCAAGTGCTCCTGCTCAGGAAGAGCGGATGGTGGGGGAATGTGGGTAACGAAGCTAGAAGGATGAACAGGGTATAGATCATGAAGGCCATGTATGTCTTATTTTGAAGGTAAAGGAACTGATGAGAAGTTATAAGCAGGGCATGATGTGAGCAGATATGTGTCTTAGAATGGTCTCCCTTGTACAAGGCAGACAGGCCAGAAGGGTCATGAGAACAGAAGAAGACTGGTTAGGAGACAGAATCCTGTCAGAGCAAAAGACTGGAATAAACTGATTCTATAGACCCCAAGGATTGCTGATGATATGCCTGAGAAAGGGGACTGGGGGGCAGGTTGAACAAAGCATGACAGCAAAAGGAGAGCTTATTAGGAGCTACATTTTTCTCTCTCCTGTTTTAAATCCTAGATAATTTTACCACCAAAGTCTCTCTGCATAACCACGTGCCACCACCCCCCCACAACTCCACTGGCTAGGGGGAGAGAAGTAGCTTCCCACCCTGACAGTCCCAGTGCTTGGCAGGATGAGTTATGGGAATGCTCTCATCTCTCTCTCAAGATAAGGTGCGGTTCTCCATGGGAGATGCAGGCAGATATATATCAGTGCCCTAACCAACAGAAATAAATGTCATAACTCCAGCTCCTATCCATAAATACACAGCGCAGGAACAACCTTAAACAGCCCAGTGTGCCCAGAAGAGGCAGGATTTAGTGGGCTTCGTTACTTGCTCATGTGCTGAAAAGCGCTTTTAGGAGGGTGTTAAATAGGCACATTACGCAAGCTCATGGACCTAAAATAAATAAGGCATTCTCCTTATGTGGACGTCACCCACACAGAGAAGCTGCATGTGCCCTGTTCAACAAGAAAGGAGAGGAAGAGACTTTACAGAGATGCCAGATACTGCTCTTGAGCCAGTATCCTTCAAACCAGTGCCAGCAACAGGGCAGGGAGGAGATTCTTTATTGGCAGGATCCCACTGCAGATACTAGGGATACTCATTCTAAACAAGACATGAGTCTCAGCAAGAGAACCTGCTGCTTGTCATCTCCTAGAGATCTGTGATTTCTGGAAGTGGAACTGGTGGGAGACTTCTTGGTGCAACACCCTTTATGATTCTGGAGGCTGTGCTTTATCCACCTCCCATCACCTGCTCTTTGTCTTTAGGTCCAGGCCATCAATTTGGCTTTTCATACAAAGCTCTGCTCCTAAACAAGCAACTGGCTCATCTTCCCAAATCAATGAAGCTCTCCAGCTCCCTGGAGAGGGATATATTAAATATCAATCATGCATATTATTTTACAATATAATTACTTTGGCAATTAATCTGTAAGAAATATTGCTCTCCAGATCCTAACTTCTGCCAACACAAACACAAAGCTCTTGGAGAGTGGTCACATGGATGGAGCCTGAGCTTCCAGGGAAAGAGAGAGAGGGCTGCTCCATACAAAGCCGAAGACATAAGAGATTAAAAGATGAGATGATCTCCCCAGAGTCTCTTTCAACCCTGCTTCAAGAGACCATCGGAGCCACTATTTAATCAAGGAGAAGCACAACTCAAGCAAAAATGGGGGAGGGACTGTTTTACCCAAGCAGGTAATAATAAGGGCTCCTGCAGTAATGAGGTTTATAGACTGCATTTTGGGGGGAGTAAAGATAGATATTTTCACAGATAAGATCTTTAGTACAGCATCTCCATACAAAACCCCACTGTTGGCTTAATGAAGGTGGGCTTTTGTTTTGTTTCCTGCTGTGTCTCCAGAACACAGTGTGCATTCCAGAAATATTTGCTGGAGTAAGGGGGGAAGGAAGGAAAGCAGGTTCTGCCTGACTCATTTCACTGAGAGGTGCTCACATAGCCACCCTATCCACTGTCCAGTCCGCATCAATCAGCAGGTCCATCTTTGCCCACAATCCCACGAGGAGCTTGTAAGATAGCAAATATATATATATTTAAAGCCAATTCAATTTCCCAAATCTAAATGCAGTTCATCTCAAACCTATACACTGCCTTACAGTAATCAACTGATCAAATTAAAAAATAAGTAGCTACACTGAATGCTGAAATTTCATTTCCTTCCTTTTCTCCTTCCCTATGGTGGAAGAGGAACCGTGAAAAGGCTAAGAGTAGCAGCAGGAGAGACCAGAGAAGGAAGTGATAATTGCCAAATTGGATAAGCAGTCACTGAATAAATGAAAATTAACAAGACTTGTTTTCCAATACCTTCAAATCCAAGTGAAAATGATTGCTGGTGGAATGAACGAGGAAAAACATTTCTCCATCAAAAGCACTTTTCACTTTTTACTTGACATTTCTTTTACTGCCCCAATTAGTGTCATTATGACAATAAACTAAATAAAAGGCAGATTGAGAGAGTTAAGGGAGATTAAGTGTGTAATCCATATAAAAGCCACGAACACAGAGACTAACTGGTCCAGTCCACATGCACATGCAAATGTTTACTTCATATTTGCCCTCCTTTCCTATTAGAGGGAAGGAGTGGGGGAGAAAAAACTTAAAGGCAGGAAAAATAGAAGTAGGTGGGAAAAGAGATTGAAAGTAAAAAAGACTAGAAGAGGAATTTTAGAATGAGAAGTGTGTGGGGTGGTAAAATAGGAGGGAGGAAAAGTTCAGGGGACGGAAAAGAGATCCAGGACAAGACCTCTGCTCCCATTAGCAGATCTTGATGTTGGCAGGCGAGGAATCAAACACCCTATTACAGATGCTTTCTTCTTTTCATACATACACACACACACACACACACACACACACACACACACACACACACACACACACACACACACACACACACACGGTCTTGTCACCCAGGCTGGAGTGCAGTGGAGTGACCATGGCTCACTGTAGCCTCGACCTCCCAGGCTCAAGTGATCCTCCCACTTCAGCCTCCCAAGTAGCTGGTACTACAGGTGCACACCACCATGTCTGGCTAATTTTTAAATTTTTTGTAGAGATGGGGGTCTCACTATATGGCCAGGGCTGGTCTCGAACTCCTGGGATCAAGCAATCCTCCTGCCTTGGCCTCCCAAAGTGCTGGGATTACAGGTGTGAGCCACTGCAGCCAGCCCCTTTCTTCTGACTGTAGGTTTCTCTTACTTGTGCTACAGTCACCCACACTATGAAAAAATGGTTGAGATTCTATTGATAAAAGATGTTTTACAGGCATCTACATTAAGTAAAAATGTTCACGTTAATTATGGGCCTCAAAATATTGGGTATCTGACACTTTCAATTTTGATAAGCAACTTCAGAGATAATCTAGATTGTTGTTAACTGTCATGTCAAAAATGAGTTACAAGCACAGAAAGCTAAAGCAAACAGCCATAAAATCGAACACAGCTGCTTTCCTCAGTGGCTAACGGATCTACTGAGGAATCTCCAGGGGCTGCTAGGCCATGGGGTCTGAAAAAATACAAGAAAGCTCAGAGTTCCTAATTTTCAGCCTACAGCTAACAGTTTCTCAGAGACGTTTGTGTTTTCCTGCTCCCTGAGCTTGTTCCATCAATTTGCATCCTCTGTGGTTGTTGCCTGCCCTTTGGAAATAGTGATGATCTCTATTTAGATGCAGTCTTCATTCCTGGAGGTAGAACAGCCTCTCAGGAGATTCTCGGAAATGCACATTGGTGCCACAAATATGACTACAAAACAAAAATCTATTAATGTCTTGGAAATGATATCCCACAGAAATCAAGATCAAAACCTGCTAAGCAATAAACTTATATATAAGAATATACATCGCTTTCCTGTATAGATGAAATTTCCACTTATTCAACAAATATTGAGTATCTACTATGTGACAAGGACTGCTAGGTGGGGATACAATAGAGACAAGCAACACAAAAACTTCAAGGAGTTTAGAGTCTTTTGGAGAAAGCCTCCACTAAATAGGAAATAAGTAAGGGTGGGGAACTACAGGGAGCTAGAACCCATGATGAGGGGGAAGGGCTTATTCTGCTCTGGGAAAAAGTGGTATTAAAACTGAGAAGTGAAGGATGAATAGGAGCTACCTCTTTTTATGTAGCAATGTAGATTTTGCAACATGCAGGTCCAAATAAGTCCAGGAAAAGAAAGAAAGCATCCTCAGCTAGATAAAGTGGTTTTGTTTTGTTTTGTTTTTGCTTTTTTCAATGACACAAGACAACACCTAAGGTCACTTGCTAAGGCTCCCACACATACTAATAAAAGAGGGTCAGGGACCAGGATTTATGCAATGGACCCTGATCTCAGGCACATTCTTTAATCAATTCAGCCTCATATTTCCAACCCCCGTTTTGGACCACCACATTCTATCCCCCAAAATTAGCTTTACTCACAAGAAGAAATTACTTTTAAGAAGCAGAATCTCTCCCTATCCCCTTCCATAGAAATGTAAGAATACTTAACACGTGACCTACCCTCTCAACACATTTTTAAATAAAGTACTCTTACAATAGGCACAATATTGTACAGCAGATCTCTAGAACTTAATTGTCTCACATAACTGAAATTTTAGACCTGTCAAGCAACAACTCCCTGTTTCCCAAGGCTCCCAGACCCTGGCAACCACCATTCACTCTATTCTCTGTTTCTATGAGTGTCACTATTTTAGTTACCTCGCGTAACTGGAATCATGCAATATTTGTCCTGCGACTGGCTTGTGTCACTTAGCATAATGACCTGCAGATTCATCCATGTTGTCGTAAATGGCAGGATCTCCTTTTTTTTCCCTAAGGCTAGATAACATTCCATTGTAGGTATATACCACATTTTCTTTATCCATTGGTTCCTAGATGGCCATTTAGGTTGTTTGAATTATCTTGGCTATTGTGAATAAGTGCTGCAATGAACAGGGGACTGCAAGTATCTGTTCAAGATACTGATTTCATTTCCTTTGGATATATACCCAGAAGCAGAATTGCTGGATCCTATGGTAATTATATTTAAATTTTTTTTGAGGAATCTCCATACTACTTTCCATAGCAGCTGAACCATGTTACAATCTCACAAACAGTGCACAAGGGTTCCAAATCTAGATTTGTTCTGAAATGGTGCTTGCTTGCATATCAAATGTTTGGGGATTAAAAAAAATAATAAATTGGTTCTTGCTCATACTTGCTATCTTTTAGTTTTTTGATAGTAGCCATCCTAATGAGTATGCAGTCCAGAATCTTTTTTAAGAGTCTGTAATCCTATATACATCTGAGATTTAATCTGCAGCCACCATTACATCTCTGTAAGATGTGGCCACAATGACAGACCAGCCTAGTATGCACACTAAGAGCTCTGCACCTCTTACCAAACAAGGGCGAATCTGGGCAGGAGGGAGGGAATGTAACAGGACTGTAGTTTCATTTCATGGATGGGAGGGAAAGTCATGTACAGTATTGGTTCAAGGATATGCCCTAAAATGTCATAAGGCAAAGGCCTTCCCAGACAATAGCATTTATGTGGACAGGATTCAATTCATGTATCAAGTACTGGATCGAAATGGCCACTTAGGGCTTTCTTTGCATCATACAAATGCTGTGTCACCGGATAAGAGGCACATCACAAGGATGATCTGCTGATCACAATGACACTATTTTTTCTCCACTTCTTTAATGCGGAAACTGAGAGTTTCATTTATCTAGCAAGTTAGGGAGCCTAAACTTAGACTAGGTGGGGACTGGCTCCAGAACCTGTTCTCTTAGCCATTAACGCATTGTGTATACAATGAATATTTCGTAATTCCCAAACCTAGAGGAAAAAAAAAGGGGGAGGGAAGTCTAGGCCCTTTCTTCTCAAAAGAGGGGTCTGCAAATCACTGGCATTGACATCGTCTGGAAACTTGCTAGAAATGCAAATTCTCTGGCCCAACTCCAGACCCATTAAATAAGTTTGGAAAGCACTATTCTAAAGCTCTTGGGATCCTAAAGCTCATGGGGTCCTGGTGACCACAGTCTCTTTACAGCTTCTACTCTAAAGGGCAAATCAAGAAGTTCTGTCCCAGCATTCCAGTTTTCTTTCAAGTACAGTGAGAGGAAGAGAACTGAGAGGGAAGGGAGTGGAGGATAAGCACTCTTTATCTTCTATTCAGCATAAAGCCTGGCTCACCAAATGACAAGGGAAAGGCAAAACAAAGTGATAGAGCACAAAACACAGCTGGCCATTAGTGCTGACAAAGGCTGAGGGAAGCACCTTTTCCTTCTTCAGAGGATCTAACCCACATTTCACCCTGTGCTGGGGCCAAATCCAAGCTGGGAGGCAGCTTCAAATAAGGCAAAGGACCATGGATTGGAAAAGAAATTTTGTTCTCAGGTGATGTTCAAAACAAGTAAAGATGACTTCTGGTCTGCTGAGGGAAGGGTGTTTTTCAAAATGCAAGATTTCACACACAGGCACATACTGTATGAGATGCTTTTTGTCCCCCAAAACAAAAAACAACAAAAGAAACCCACACAGTTTTTTTGTTCTTAAATGCTGCTGGGAGAGTGATTCAGTTTTGAATTTAATAGTTAAAGCTGTAAGCTTACTTTCTCAGTGTGTATGCACATCTCATCTCCTTCCAAACATTAAGAGATAAAAATCCAGCTCTTTTAAACTTGGCTCATTAAAGGCAATCTTCTTGCTAAGTAGTGAACTTGAACTGCTTTTAAGTTTGATGCAAATAAAGGTCAAACTATTTTACTTTTTTCTTAAGGGTTCAGGGAAAACAAATGTGTATGAGAGAGCCTGAGGTGGAAGAACAGAATGAGCACCAAGAACTTACCATTCAAAGTGATTTAAGAGCGAACAGGGCTTCATTTATTTGCCAGCTCCCTGTCTTCTCATCCCTCCCCTTCAAATCTCTTCACATTTGCATTGTTCATGTAAAATGAGTCAGGGAATGCAAAAGTTAAGGTTCTCATAGCAACTGTTAAGAATCCCACACTGCACATAAGCAGTATTGGCAATTACTAATTGGCTGTTGCTAAAGGTGAACCCTTAATATACCACATGTGTGAAGTGGGCGAAACAGCATTCTAACAGAACTTGAAACTTATTTCTCAGCTTATGTGTTTAAATCGGTAGCCTTAAAAATGAGCACCTGACAAAGAAAGACAAATCAAAGATAAATCAAATGGTTAGCACCATGAATCTATAATCCTAACAAGAAGAGAACTGGGAACGGAAGAGGGTTGGGCTATGCAGGGGTCCAGATCTTGCACAAATATCTGGGAGACATTTGAGCAATGGGTGAATCCCAAACAAGCAGCTTGCCCCAAAGAAGCTGGTAGGGCCATTCAACATAGCTTCTCAACTTCTCTCTGGTGCTATCACCAAAGCCCAAGGTCCTCATCTCATTAGGGCCCTAATTGCTCTTCTGAGAATTGGATAGATGGCATTAGCATTAGCCCTTGGCTAGCTCACCTTTGAGCTCAGTCTACTTTAAAACTGAGCTCTGTTATCCAATTAGAGTGTTTATCTGATGAACTACGGGAAGACACAGACGGTCTTCTAAGCTGTCATCTCCTACTCATACAGATTACATTTATGTCAGGGCAAAAATTTAATCAACTCAATTTACTGATCAGCTGACTTGATTTCAAACTCAAAATGTAAGATAGTAAGGGGCAGGATTCATAAGATCATGGCATTTTAGCCCTTGAAAGAACATCAGCTACCATTTAATATAATCCAGGGCCAATAGCTAGGACTATAACCTGGAGTTAACAATGGGGGGTTGAGAGGGAGGTACAGCCTATAAAGGCAGACAATGAGAATCAGAGAAGTGGGGGCAGATACCTGTGTGAGCTTTGTTTTAAGGCCATACAGGAATCACTACAGTCTGGGTGAGAAATAAGGTCTTCCAATTTCTTATTCACTAAACTTTCCATTATCAACTTCCCTCTAAAATATTTCCACCTCATGTTTCGCCTATTTTATTCCCCTTGAATTAGGTTTCCTACCTCAACCCTACTACACTGTGTGTGTCCTGCTGTACCCAAAAGTAGCAGTCTCCTTGCAGACTTCATAGGATCATGGATAGCAATGGGGGCAAAAGAAGTGCAAAAGCTAAGAATGGTGGGGTCATTATTGGCACAATGCTTGTCATCTCTGGGGCCAATAAAACAACTGGCCATAAAATCCATACTATTCACTGATGGGTGGGAAAACAGAGCTGAGTGAGGGCAAAAGAGACATAATCAATGAGGACAAGGACACATACCAACATAGTATTCATTTCAGTGAAAATGCAGAAGGACCCAAGACTCAGAGTGGATGGGAACTGCAAATATGATAAGAGTGTGCAAAGTTGAAAAAAATAAGAGTCTTCCTTTTGGTCTGTGCCATGACATGTAAGGCCAGCGCCCAGAGTCCTCAGGTACTAGTTGCCATCCGTGCCTCTGTAGCTGGCGTCTTGGGAAGCGCCACCTTGAGGGCCCTCTCATCTCTGTGCTGTCCATCTGCATTCAGCAGGTTGGCATTCAGCTAATATTTATAGTTCACCACGAAAACACTGATATTCTCATAGTGCCATTAAATAACAGAATCCAAACATGCTTCGAAGTGTATATGAAGTGGATTATTTTGCCATACTTCTGACTCATTATTTCCTGAAATCTGAAAGAATATAACATTATAAAGCTCCTGGCATATCTAGGGGCAGCATGAAAAACTCAGACAGCAAATATGCAAATATCCTGAGATGTACACATTTCCAGAGGCTTCCAGACAGGGCTGTAAACTACATTACTTAAATGCTATTATACTTTTAGGTTCTTTCACCCCTGATAACATCTCAGCCTGACAGAAGCCCCAACCCAAAGCTGCTAGAATGCTAAGTTTTGATCCAAAAAGACCCCTGGCCTCACAGTTGGTCTGGAATTTGAACAGAGAACTTGAAAGCAGAAGTTTCCCTGGAAAACCAGGATGTACAACTGCCATGAGTCGCCTTTTAAGCTGGAACAATATCATGAAACAAGAATGGTGACCCCTTGAACTTCTAGAAAAAATATTTTCTATATGAGATGGAAAAACATTATTTTCTGTTCTTATGGATGTGAGAAGCAATCTGACCAAAATCTTCTGGTTCTAAAAATACATAAATAGCTAGTGGGGCAATATGTTAACAATTTAATAAAGGGTAAATGGAAGATCTTTGTACTTGTATTCTTGCAACTTTTCTGTAAGTGTAAAATTATATCAAAATAAAGAGGCATAAGAATTATTAAAAACAAAAATAAAAAACTTGAGGCTTAAATGGTGGATCTCCTGGGACACTTACTCGCCATAGTCATGCCATTCTGTGAAAGGTGCATCAGATGCAACAGTCCAGGAAATCTCAACAGCCACTTCCTCAGAGGAAAGCCCTTTTTTAGCAGACACTGTTAACATTTCAATGCCAGTTTCATGTACTCTATCTCAAAACTCTGCTCTTCAAGGTAGTCAGTTTAACCCTTTCACCTCCATATTAGAAAAGAGGATTCCTTGGTGGATGGCAAATATTCTATTCCTCTAACTTGCACTCTCTAAGCTATACACTTAAGTATCACCAGGACTAGGCAAGTTGCTTGGTCTTTTATTAATAAAGTAGCTGAATAATTTATAAGGGTTGCATAGGGCCCATTAGAAGTGCCAGAGCAGTAATAACTGGCTTAGGACTTTGCTTACTCAGGGCTAAAGTTTAATTTATCCATAAATGCCCCAGCTCATAAACCCATCCCACAGGTCTGACCTGCTCTCTCTTGCTCTATGATCACATGTCTTAGCCATGCTCTCATCTTAGATATGTTCCTATTGGTGTCATCTCTGGGGACAATAAAACAAATCCAAACCCCCAAACAACTAAAAATTCATACCTTCATTACTACACTTCCTACTTAGGGTCACTGCCACTGTCCCATTCTTATGCTTTGCTTTTGATCATCCCAAAAGAAAGGCAGTACCAGATTGATTCCTAGCCAATAAGAGAGTACACGCAGATGCAGTGAATGGAGGGAAGATTGGAAAGGTCCCTTGTTACCTGGAGATAAATATGTTCAATGTCAATTAGGGCATTGCGTTCTAAATGAGGAGATCAAGAAAATATGCTCTGCTATTTATTTAGTAAGTGAGTTAACTTTCCCAGGCCTTAGTTTTCTCATCTGCAAAATGGAGACTGTAGTGTAATGGTGCCTGCCTCACAGGACTGTGGGTAAGGATCAAATGAGTTAATCCACAGCATGTAAGTACTCATTAAGTGAAAACTATTATTAGAAACTCAGACGTGGAATGAATCTTAGAGAAACCTAATCCAAACCACTTATTCTGTGAAAAAAATCTGAGGCCTGGCGAGGCTCTGTGACCTGTTCAAGGCTCTGTTACTTTGGGGGCAGATCTAGGAATTAATCCAGTTCTCCTGAGAGACACCCAGTTTGGTTCCGTATGTGATTGCAGGGCTGCTGTGGCTCTAGCACTCTTTCTCTATGGAAACTGTAGGGTTATTTTGCTTTCTAAAAAAAAATTTTTTTTTTTTTGAGATGGAGTCTCGCTCTGTCACCCAGGCTGGAGTGCAGTGGTGCGATCTCGGCTCACTGCAAGCTCCGCCTCCTGGGTTCACGCCATTCTCCTGCCTCAGCCTACCAAGTAGCTGGGACTACAGGTGCCCGCCACCATGTCTGGCTAATTTTTTTATTTTTAGTAGAGACGGGGTTTCACCGTGTTAGCCAGGATGGTCTCGATCTCCTGACCTCGTGATCCGCCCACCTCGGCCTCCCAAAGTGCTGGGATTACAGGCGTGAGCCACCACGCACAGCCTTTCTAAATTTTAAAAGAGTCAAAACGTTAGCCAAGAAACATCAGTGCTCATTCATTTATCCAAGAACTTTCTAGTGAGTGCTGACTTGGTGAAGCACTATTCTAGGCAGTGTTATGGTGGGTTCAGCAGTGACAAGACAGACAAGGTCCCTACCCTCAAGCATCTTACAATCTGATGATGAAACAGTGATGTCAGAGGGAGTGATAGAGGGGGATGTAGTCAGGAGGGTGGATGGCAGTTAATTGAGGCTGTTTCTTTGCAGTGTAATCTCTAGGAAGATGGCACTGTAACACTGGTTTCAGCATATGCATATATGAATATGCATGGGAATATGTGATAAGAAGAAATTATACGAGGTGGCATTACCCTCTGAAAAGTTCATTCTTGGGCAATCATATCAGAAATAAACACTACCCCTTATCTGAATAGACCTTTTCTGGTCTTGGTCTTACCTCCCTGGCTATTCTGGAGCAGATGGGTGGATTAAGGCAAAAGGGCACTACAGTAATCAATGCAGGGCTCAATTCACTCTCAGGTGAAGTTCATTTCTCTATTCTCTCAAGGTTGGATTCTTAGCCTTTGGCATTTGTGCTATGTGCCATGAAATTCCTGCCCCAAGAACCGGTTCAGGGGATCAAAGAGCTATTATTAATGACTCAGTTTAGGCCAACTGAGGGAGGGAATGACAGTAGAGGCAGGCCACTCACCCCTCCATTCAGCCACCCTCCTCCACAACGGGGCCATTGAGCAGGCGCCACAATAGAGGGCTGAGAATAAAAGGCTGAAGGAAAGCATACAGAGTCCCTTTGCACAGACTCGGTCATTCATCACCAGGCAAGTGCCAATATCTGGGAACAGCAATCTCAATTTCTGCAAATCCTCCAACTTGCAACAGCTGCTAGTGACTCTGGTGGGCGGCTTTGCTGCTTACGCCAGATTCCAATACCAAGTCCTGGCCCAGAGCCAAGTAGACATTACTTAGGTTAGAGACACGCTGGCTGCAGAGAGCAGCAACAATGGACTTCACAGCTTATAAAGCAGCTTACAAAGGGCTCCCGTGTATTTCAAAAAGCACTTCAGATAGCTGGTGAGAGAAGCTATCTGCACAAATGCATTCAAGCAGTTTATTTCTAACCCACTTAATTCAAGGTTTCCGTCAGGAGCCAATGGCATAGTGGAAGTAGATGCAGAGAACTGCAAGAGGGCTGGATGGCTTGGCAGCTGAGGGAACGCAGTCGAGCCACATCCGCCCTCCTCTGAGGCACCAGCTCAGCAGGATGAGGAGTGACTGGCAGCAATCAGCCCTCCAACGGGTTAACAAATGTAATGAAAAAATGAAACATATTCTGTGGGATTCCATGGCTCTTTATTGAGTTGTTCGTCAAAACTGCTTTCATCAGCACAGTTAAGGAGCAATTTCTAAACGTTACCAAATGAATGTGCCGAGTGCCATCTAGGTGCCTGCTGCCACACCATCCAAATGCACCTTCATCTGATTGCACAGGTAATGCCAGCCAATGGCACCTCCTGTTCTGTCTTACCTCTCTCAAGTCTCTAGAGTCCCACTCATCTCCTCCACGAGATCTAGACTTGCCCTCATAGGCACAGCTGACCAGTTTCTAGAGAACAACTTTGCCAGGTAACAGGCACAGAGACCAAAAGAAGCTAAAGATTGAAGCACAAAGGCCTATGTCTGGAGCCTGGATTTCATGGAAGACACAGAAGGGCACAGCAAACAATGGACCCAAAATGGACCACGTTCGTAGGATAAATACAGAGATAGGTAACAATTCTTTATCAATTTTGTCTTGTCCTCCTGCCCATCACTTTTTCAAAAGAATTTCATGAGTATTTTTATTTATGGAAAATGAACTAATGTGAAGATTGAGGTGAGGTGGGAACTAAGGACCCCCTCACATGACTTTGGACCCCACTTGGAGCTCTGATGTGCTGTGTATGGATTTCTTAGAAACTATGAATCAATAGATTCCAGGTAAGAAATTATTACAATGATTAATAGAATCAAAAGAAATATACAAAGCTGTATCAAACATGAAGTAGAACTGGATTGTGAAGTGGCACAGCTCAAGTGCTACTGTGTTGAAGGAACCAAAGCTACCAACCACCCAGCACTCATTCCAATAGTAAGATGTATTCTTTAAGGGAATAAGGAGTGAGTATGATATGGCAATGTTCACTGTGAGGCCAACCTCATAGCATGAAATGGATCCACGTAAGAGGCTCAGAATGCTATTACCCCATATTATTAATGTATAATATGCCATGTGCAGCAATGAGACTCCTTAAAGGGATCAGGTTCTGAATTAATGTATCATCTGTACTTGGATTATCAGCATCAAATGCAACTCTTCGTGTCTTGGTTATTCCAACAGCTATTAGAAGAATGAAGATTATATCAGAGAAAACCTTTAGGGAGAAAGTGGGGAAATAAAAATAGTTTCTATCAACTGCAGAATTTGTGCTTGCCTAACAACAATGCACATTTACCTCCAGTATGACTTCCCTGTATTTTTCATGTGATGTTTTAAAAGTTAGCATTCACCAACAGGAAGAAACTCTGCAACAGAACTCAGAGAACCAAAATTAGAGCTCACAGAGGAAAGCAAAATGGCACAAACACAGACCTATCTACCAGAGCTCGCTTTCTGCCCTCATCCTGCTGCTAGAAACCAGACACTATGTTAGGCACAATGAGGCAAGCCTAGGAAGGCTTCAGTCACAGATCCATGATCTATGACTGTGCATTTCTGATTCAGTTCTTGAGATGCAGATGCTGAAGCTATTGTACCATCTGGCAAGAGCAACGGCTGCTCCACGAGACCTTTGCTCCTGGCAAATCTCACTTAAAAGACCCACCTCTAACTTGGTATTTTACACTCAATATTAATATTTAAGTATATGCTGTACTGTAGTGCAATATAAATGCTTGTCAAAAATAAGACCCTTGAAGGCATACACTATTTCCTTTTTTCCCCTTGCAGTGTCAAGTAATTAACAGGTGTTAAATAACCACTGACTAGTCAACTATAAAAAAGAGGGATGTGAGCAAGAATACTAGCAAGAACAAGTAACTGTTACCATGTCTTCCCACCCACCAAACTGTGGAGGAAAAAACTCCCTCCTCTCAAATCAAGGCAGGCTGCTTACAAGGAGCACCACGTGAAAGGGAAAAATGGCCACTCTACGCAATATGCCTATTTTGATATGAAGGGCTGGTCTGTCGTTAGCACTTCCCAATCAGTAGCACTCACAAATAGGTCTAAACTTGGAAAATTTAAAAAAAAAAAAAAAAAAAAAAACTCCCTATCAAACAATAAGAATCAAGAGTAAAAAAGAAATAGCAGTTTGCTAAAAAAGAGACTAAAATACATCAGGGCCTTAGAAGAGTTATTTCTGCATTCCCTGCACATACGACATCATTCATGAAGAAGGCAATGGTACAAATATAGCATAAATGTCGTCTGCTCTAGCTTGTAATTTAAAATGCAAATGCTAATGAGCGAACTGGTATATCAGTGGAGTTAATAACCGCATGCCTAGCACAGGGGCTGCATCCAAAACACACACAGAGAAGAGACAGACACCATGTTCCAATTTAAAAATAAAAACACCCAAATTAACCCTAGAAAAATCACTAGCAGATGTACAAGCTCAGGAAAAGGAGGCACACAAGGGCAGGGAAATGGGAACTTCTCCACCAGCCGCAGACTAACCAGTGGATTTAAATATTTTCCTACTCATAGTAAAGGTAAGCATGGGAGTTACGAGGGTTTACTGAGGAATGCTATTGTAACAGCATTACAGAGTATAATAAGTATATTAAGGAAAAACTACAGGGAATCCAGAAAGCTTGAATAGAAAGTTTTCTACAAAGCCTACTTTAGAAGCCTATAAGCTAATCTTGCAGGGAGCCAAATGAGATGTAGATCTCATTTACTTCATCATAGGCAAAGGGTGAAGAAGCTTTGGTTAAAAAAAGCCCAAAAACTTACAAGGTCTAGATTAAGAGGGTCATTTAAGTAAATTGGAAAAAGCTCTAATGATGAAATAAAATGACGGAGAGAATGCAGTTGTGTCTCAGATGCCTTCCAAACATGAAACGAACTTCTGTGGATTGTTCTTGCTCCTCATAGGCCAGTGCTTGGCAGCCCTGCAGCAGAATCTGGGAACACTCCACAGCACTGAGACGAAGAGCAGCTCCTTGGGCTTCCTCAGAGCCCCCCATACATGGGGAATGAGGAAGTGCATTCTGTGGTCAGTGGCCCTGTCCAGTGCCAGGACTGAAACTATGACGCCTCCTCAAGGCCAGCAGGAGAGCAAGCTTGCACATGCTGCCCACATTGGACACTTAAGTGTCTTCTAATTCCCATGTTAATGCTATTTATTCAAATTCCACACAAAGAGCCAGGCCCAAACTCTAACAGATCCAGCCCATCTGACTGGGGAAGCCTCAGAAAAACTTTTGAAAGAAACTCAAGGTGAGCAATGACCTGGAGTTTGGGGAAGGGGGCAAACAGCTTTTCAATGATGAAGAATGGTTTTATTTATTTATTTTTTAAACCCAGTCAAATCTGGTTGAAAGGGGTGGGAGATTTGTGAGGTAGTTTCCATAGCAACCAGGATTAAGTCTTACAGCAGTGTGCACTGTTCACCCTGGCGCTGCCCATTACCAGATTTCAAAGCATTAACCTTTAATTTCAAATTACCAAACCATTTACACTCCCTCTCCTGCATCCAGGTCCTGCCATTTTCTACTATTAGTCTGACCAAATGGACTCCCCCACAGGGCTGGAGTTCTGGTGAGTAGCACAGTAGCTTGTCAACATTACTACTAAGTGGCTGCTGGGAAATGCCCACAGGTTGACAAGATAGTGTTGAATAATCTACACTGAAATGTATTCCTCTGGGAAAGCCACAAGAAGGGACTTAGAACTGAGGCATTTAGGCACAACCAACGAGACAGGTGCTGTTTTTGGAAATAATCCAACAGAGAAAAGCCATCAGATTTCTGGAAGTTTCCCATTCCATCCCCCAGTGCCCACCAGGTGGAAGGCAAGCCAGACAACCCTGCATAGACTCAGACAGAACGCGCTTTAAAGTAGGAGGGAAGGAGAAGGGCCCGAAAAGGAACACCTAGGGAAAAGCTCACAGGACTGACCTTCTCTACTACTCCACTGGCCTCATTAGCTCTGCATAGGACAGGCCTCATTTTCTATCCAGGATGTTTTCTCCCCTTGTCTCATCAGTATTAAAACATGAAAGCATAAGAGTAAAAAGCACAATAGAACGCTTTAGAGTAGAAGAGTAGAAACACTAGTCAGAGAATTCAGGAGGAAGGAAACTCCTCACTGACCTACCCATCCAAAGCTAATCCACAGGCCTATCATCTAACAGCAAGGGTAAATCAACATCTATCTTTTCTTGGCACATAAAACCCAGTAGATGGTAAGGGCTGAACACCCCAATCAGGAGGCCACACCATCCTCCACAGTCTGACTCCATAGAAGGCGATGACACCACTAGGACTATCTTTTGCTAGTTATAGGAGGCCCTAGATAGGCTGGCACATAAATGCCACATCGGCCTTGCTGTCTCCCTCACCTCCAGGTCACCAGCATCACACCAAGATAAGCAGGCCAGTCTGACGGAAATAATTAATTAGGAAGCAGGAGGGCAAGAATTCATCTTTAAGTGTTTTAGCTCCAAGGTCTGTGACTGCCATTAAACCAGGCCAAACAAATCTTATTTTTAGTGATGACTTTATTTATTACTCTGGAATGGGTACTGAACAAATCATGTTTCTCTCTCTTTTACCCTGAAACACTAGATTATGTCATGGAAGTCTGTCTTTTAATTCCTACTCCCAATCTTCAGGTATTGGCATGCTGAGGCTCTTAGCATCTTTGTTCATCCTCCTCTGATCTGACCACCTGCAGTTTCCTGATGTCCTTCCTAAAAGGATGGTCCTCAGATGGTACACCGTACCACCAGGAATGCAATGACTTGGGCTGGGTCAGTACCTGGCTCCACTCCTCTCTGCGTTCTGTATTTCCGAGTTTTGAAACAGCCTTTTTGACAGCAGTTACATATTTACTCTTATTGTTTTATAAAATCTGAGCTGTTCTCATTTGTATAGTATTTAAGCCATGTTTTGCTTACCCTTATGCTTTTAAAATATTTTTTTCTTCATGTCAATACATTCTTTACTCCAGTAGACACAATTACTTTGCTCAAAGGCTGGAACTGTATCATCCATTTCTGTATTCCTAGCATTGTGCCCACTGAATATAAAAAAAAATTATTAAATAACCATGTAATTGAATGACCCACAAGTATGATGAGGCTCATTCTGGGGATGATTCATGGTGTAAAGATGAAAATAATCCTGGTGTAATTGGAGGTTTCATTCACATGACCAGTGGGTGACAGTGTGCCTGCATAGACGGAGAGCTGAAGGTGGAGCAGTGAAGGCTCAATAGCAGAAGAGCTAAGAGGGAGATTTACACACCAATACAAAAGCGGAGAGAAAAATGATTGATTAATATGTCCATTTCTTTTAGGCAACTCTTCCTGAGATCTGATACAGGCCAACTTCTTCTGCCTAGATGAATCAAACCCAGTCTGCCCAAAGAAAATGTAGCAGATCTTCTCGGAAACTCAAATGCCATCGCCCTGAGGAAAACTTTTCCATTCAACAATTGTTATTTGCTCTGTATTCTCATACTAGGTGGCCTATGCTTTTGATAACTGCTCTTTCATATTTCCTTGTTTACATTATTTGTATGGCCATCTACATAACTAGACTAAAAGATATTCGAGGGAGAAGTTATCCTACTAATTTATGTATCATCCAAAATTTATCTATTGAAGACTACTTTTCTTAATCTGTGCTTGTAAAAATCTTGTACTCATTAAAAAACACTACCCAAATCTGTTCATTGTGTTAATTCTTTCCTGTAAGTGACTCTCCAGGATCCCCGGACATGAACATAATTCTTATAATTCCTATAATGATATCTTTAAAAGTAAAGAACTAGAGCAGCTCCAGGAAAGTCTCATGTTAAGCTGCCCATTTCTAGTAATGGGACCCAACAGAAAGTAGGCAATGGAGACAGAATCAAACTGGGATATCCCAAGAGAAAGAATACCCCACTTTACAAATATCCATTAAGTTGCAATTCAATTAAAGCATCTGAAAGGAATTCATAAGTATCAGCAGACCCTGTAATTGCTTAATTAAGGATAGAAGCCTAGCAAACACAACCACAATAACAGCCTGATTCATTAGCACCTCTGTGATAGCAGAATGGGATTTCTCACTTAAACATACATTGGCTTTAATTGTGTAATTTAGTTAGGCACTGGTAATCAATGGGGATCCACCATTCCTGGGACCAGGAGATGAGAAGGATATTCCTGTTCACCTTCCCTTCCCTCCTCTCATTAGAAGTTTTTGGTCTATTGAAACAGGCAGTTGATATTCCAATGAGGATTGGCTAGAGAAGAGATCTTAAAGGAAAAGAAGGAAATGAGGAACTTCATTCAAAGGCATTCAGGGTGAAAGGACACACAGCCAAACCTTTAGTTCACCATGCACAAGCCCACCACCATTTATCAAATCCTAGACACTTAGAACTTTTCTCAATGCCTCCTTTGTCATAATCCAGCTCCAGAAAGGGAGGGAGAGGGAGAGAGAGAGGAGAAGGGACAGGGGGAGGGAGAGGGAGAGGAGAAGGGAGAAGGGTTGGGAGACGGAAAGAGAGGAAGGGGGAGGGAAAGAAAAATGCTAAAGGGCAGGAAAAGGGAAGTCTCATTTTCTTGTCTTATTTCATATGAATAGGTAACTGGTTAATTATAAGTCACCTGCTGTGATCCACATGGGAACTCCCTGCCAAGTGGCTGCTGCCTTCTAGATGGTTTGTACTATGAGTTCCATGCAAGGTGACTGGCATCCATTTCCTGCCTGCCTCACCCTGTAATTCCTCAAACTTACTGCGGTACCACCTTTAACACTAAGGAAATGCAAACACGGCATGGTGGACTCACTCAGTGAGTTGACAGAAGACTCCAAATATCTGATATAAGGCTCCTTAGATCACTTTGCACTGAAATCTCAAATTATTATTCTCTTCCAATTCAGGAGAAAAGTATTTGGTTTACAGGCACCATGCCTTGATACCTGCTATGCTCATCCAACAGGGCCACTTCCTGAACTGTGCCTGCAGCATGACCCTGATACCTAAGATCTAATAAGGGAATTACAATAAGGACACTCAATATAAAGTTCATAGTAATAAGACAAATACTCCACACCCACTGGGGGCTTTTAGGTAAAAATGTGAGGCCATGTGTCATGGTTCATGCTTATAATCCTAGCACTTTGGGAGACTAAGGCAAGAGGACTGCTTGAGGCCAGGACCCTAAGACCAGCCTGGGCAACACAGTTGAGACCCTGTCTCTACAAAAAATAAAACAATATTAGCCAGGTGTGGTGGCATGCACCTGCTGTCTCAGATACTCAGGATCTGAGGGAGGATTACTTGAGCCCAGGAGTTCGAGATTACAGTGAGCTATGATGGGGCCACTGCACTGTAGCCTGGGCAACAGAGTAAGACCCTGTCTCCAAGAAAAGAAACAAGAGAAAAAAGAAAAAGAAAGTAAAAAATAAAAGCATGACTTGAGAGCCAAATAATTTCCAAATATGTGACTCAATCTCCCCCTAGACAAAATACTAAAGTAAAATGGGACACACATGACAAGTGAAAATAAAAACTGCGTGAACCACTTTTGCTCTCATGGAAGGAAACGTGTGGGGCTCACTAAAGGCCAGATGAGGAAAAAGGATGCTTTTTAACAAATGCAGGCTGCCCAGGGATCTTGGCTTCCTTGCTAACTATGGACAAGAAGTGTCTGTGACTGCCTCCGAGACTGAAATCAGCACGCTTAGGAGGAGGCCACAGCAGCAGGCAGAGAGACCTTGAACAGTCTCAGTTCTGATGCTGTAAGGTCACCTGCTCACCAGCCAAGCCTAAGGCAGGTGCTTAAAGGACTAGAGGGCAAGAGCGTTCAGGAGGCACTGACCTGTTGGCTACAGCTGACTTCTCTAGCCCCACCTGCTATCCCATCTGACCAAGCGATCATTCTACATACAGGGGTGCAGGAACCGTGACAGAACAGCCAGCTGGCTTGGGCCAAATGCCACTCCCTATCAAGCTGTGGGGCCGTCTGCCTGAAAAAAGGCCACATAAAAATGGAAAGTGTCCACCCCACCTTGAAGTACAGAAGGCTCTCCAAAAGGCTGGGATTAATGAGAGCAGCACATAAGGGACTGCTCCCAATAATTATCTTGACTTTCCCCTTGAGAATCACAACCCAAACCCCCTCCTTACTGCAAAGAGACATTTCCAGCAGAATGCCACACTTACATAATGGAGGGTGCATACGGCAGATATCTGCAAAGCTCTAGCAGGACAATCGCTGCCCAGGCGAACAATCCCACAACATGAATAGCATGCCTACTCACTTTCAGCTTTGTAGGTAGTTTTAAAAGACCAAGGGATCTTTCTCTCTCCAAGCCTACTCCCTCAAACCACGTTCTCCATGCATCTCATCCCTTCTGCTTCTTCTAGGTCACTGCTCCATTCATTATCCCTGTGCAGCCTTTCCTGATTCCTTCTCTTCAGAATTCAGACGAGTGCTTCTCAATATTTCAAACCTCATGTTCCCCAGGATAATCTCTCACTCTATCTTTTTTTATAACCTCATTTGCCAATATTTTGTTGAGTTTTACATTCTAAAATTTATATTATGAAAACAATAGGTGTACTGAATAGCCTTTTCAGCTATCCATACCTTCTTGATTCTTGAATAAGAATTACAGTTCTAAAAGCGCACAAGATGCTGACATCCTCGGAATGTTACCTTCACCCTTTGGCTTTTACTTTCTGCACTACTTTTCCATTCTCTGTTAGATATCAGGGAAGTGCAATCTGTACTTACTAAGTCTGTTTCTTACTTCCCACTTTTACTTCCCAGTCACCTGTAATCTACCTTTAATCAACTCAACTCTGATGAAACTGTACCGAGAGGTTACCTGTGACTTACTAGTTGATAAACAGCATAAAAGCCCTTTACAGTTTTTATATACTTGATGTTTTATGTAAACTCTGACACTGCTGGTGCCTGGGAATTCTTCACTCCCTTGGCTTCCAGAAGAATGCTATCTCATGACTGTCTTACTGCTCTGACCGTATCTTCTCTGCCCATATATGAACACTCAGCCCGCTCCATGCAGGTTGGTGTCTTCCAGGGTGCTTACTCCTTGTAAACCTGTCCTCTAGGCACTGTAACAGTTTTAATTACTGCCTCTATGCTGATGGCTCCCTGACCTGAATACTTGCGTAGGCTCCTCTGCTGAGCTTGAACATTCTCATGGATATTCCAAAACCAAACGAACAACCTATTCCTAAAACCTATTCTTACTTTTGTGTTGCTCTTAATTGTGGACATCTCAATCTACCAGATTGCTCAAACCTAGGATGCTTTCATTTTCTCCCCTCCACTCAACACCACCCCCCACTCCTGACCAAAAAGAGACCAGGCATTCCCCGAATTTCAAGTCTACCTCCTACTTTTCCAAATCTATCCAGTTTTCTCCCCAGATTTCAGACCTCTACTATTCTCTTGCCTCTTAATTGCTCTCCCAGATTCTTGCGCCTCATTTATTTCAATGCATCCACCAAAATGAATTTACTTAACCCGAGTCTGAGCATGCTGCCCCCTTGCTTAATACCTTCCAGTGACTCTGAGGGTCCACTGCATAATCTGAAAGAGAAGGACTAGCTCGTGTCTGAGCTGTCAGCCTGACCCCACACTCTACCCTCCTCACTCTTTATACTCCACCAGTAACAAGGGCTATGTGGTTGCCCAGATCCATGCAGATATTCATACCTCTACAACTCTGCACACGCTGCTGTCTCTAGCTAGAATGTGCATCTCCTCCTACTCCCCTCCCCCAACACAGTAAACTCATATGTACTTCAAAACACAGCTCAAGATACCAGCACCTAGGGAGGTGTTCTCTGATGTCCACCTAAAGAAATAATCATTCCCTCCTCAGTGCTACTTCTAGACCTTGTCCATAATTCTATTCTCTCATCTAGTACTCAACTTTACATTTTGTTTACATGTCTGTATTCCCTTGGGTGTTTCCTGATACCTAGGACTGTGTCTTACTTGTGTATTCTTTGGGATGGGGTTTTAGGACAGTGCAGAGTTCCTTGCTCCAAAGTCTCAGAGGGAAAAGCCAGGAGACTTCCTTCCAGCAAGCTTAGTCAGAAGAAGGCTGGCATAGCTCCTTTTCTTGATTTATTTCCAGTAATGGGTAGGTCACAATTTCTATGGTAGAGCCATAGCTATGTGCACACATGCTGCAAAATCATGCCACTCCAAATTGAGGGGCAAGGTAAACTCTAGTTATAAAAACACTAACTCTTTGCAAGGGGAAGGATCATATTTATTGATGATCTGCTTAATAATGGGCTTGTTTCAGAGTCAACTCATTAAACTGCGACAATCATGAGGCAGGAAACAATTCCCAGTTATAATTGATGTGTAAACTGAGGCTTGAAGAGGGTAAATAACCTTGTTAAAGTCACCTGCTTATACACAGTAGAGCCATGATGCAAACTGAGATCTGCTTTCTCTTAAGACTTTTCCCTGTCCTGTATTCTTGCCAGGTTTCTGAAGAAACCAAAAGATGCATAATATAACAGCACACACTATGGCAGGAGAAAAATGTAAAAGGCTTATATTTTTATCACGTATTTGCTTCTGTGTAATCTATCTTTCACAATGTAAGTTAACTCAGGCAATGCCTTTTGAATTGCTAAGCTTAAAATAATGCCAAATACACACAGGAACTGGCTGATGCAGAGTCGAGTGATCAGACTGCTTGTGTCTAAGCAACGTAAAACTAGAAGAATTCTGCAGGAAAACTCCAGCCAAGATGGTCTGTGCTCTGAGCCGGCTCCATTCAGGTAGTTTAGAGCTTAAAAGACAAAACTTCAATGTTCTCTTTCCCCTATACATTTGTGGCCATGTTTCCCAGGAAGAATAATACTGTTTCTCTTTTTCACCTCTGGGATAAAGCTCTACATTGCCAAAAGGATGCTTTTCTTTCTCAGAGCAGAAGATGAGATGCTACAGAGCAGAGGATGAGATGAATATATACAGGCATACCTCAGAGATACTGCAAGTTTAGTTCCAGACCACTGCAATGAAGTGAATATTGCAATACAGCAAGTCACACAAATTTTTAGTTTCCCAGGGCATATAAAAGTGTTCACCCTATACTGTAGTTTAATAAAAGCACTTTATTGTTAAAAAATGCTAATGATCATCTGAGCCTTCAGTGCGTCATAATCTTTTTGCTGCTGGAGGGTCTTGCTTCCATGTTTGTGGCTGCTGACTGATCAGGGTGGTGGTTGCTGATGGAGGTGGTGGCTGTGGCAAAAAAAACAATGAGGTTTGTTCCATCAACTGGCTCTTCCTTTCACAAAGTATTTCTCTGTAGCATGGAATGCTGTGGGATAGCATTTCATTCACTGTAGAACTTCTTTCAAAATTAGAGTCCATTCTCTCAAACCCTGATGCTGTTTCATCAAGTTTAGGTAATATTCTGAATCCTTTGTTGTCATTTCTACAATGTTCACAGCATCTTTGCCGGGACTAGATTCCATTTCATGAAATAACTTTCTCTGCTCATTTATAAGATGCAACTCTTCATCTGTTCAAATTCTTTTCATGAGATTTCAGTAACTCAGTTTTATCCCCAGGCTCTACTTCTAATTCTAGTTCTTTTGCTATTTCTATCATATCTGCAGTTACTTCCTCCATTGAAGTCTTGAACTCTTCAAAGTCAACCAGGAGGCTTGGAATCAACTTCCTTCAAATCCCTGTTTATGCTGGTTGCTGTTTCAACCTCCTCCCATGAATCACAAATGTTCTCAATGGCATTTAAAGTGGTGAATCCATTCCAGAAAGTTTTCAATTTGCTTCCCAGATCCATCAGAAGAATCACTATTTATGGCAGCTTTAGGCTTACAAAACATATTTCTTAAATAGTAAGGTTTGAAAATCAAAATTACTCCTTGATACATGGGTTGCAGAATGAATGCTATGTTAGCAGGCATGTACAATCTTCTTGTACAACTCTTTCAGAGCTCTTGGGTGACCAGCTAGCTGCAGAACTGTGAATGAGCAGTAATATTTTGCAAAAAAATCTTTTTTTTTCTGAGCAGTAGGTCTCAACAAAGGGCTTAAAATATTCCATAAACCAGGCTGTCACCAGATGTGCCGTCATACAGGCTTTGCTGTTCCTTTTACAGAGCACAGGCAGAGTAGATTTAGCATCATTCTTAAGAGCCTTAGGTTTTTTGGAATGGTCAATGAGCAATGGCTTTAACTTAAAGTCACCAGCTGCATAAGGTCTTAACAACAGAGTCAACCTGTCTTTTGAAACTCAGAAGGCAGGCACTGACTTCTCTCTAGCTACCAAAATCCTGGAATGGCATCTTCTTCCAGTAGAAGGCTGTTTCATCTACACTGAAAATCTGGTGTTTGGTGTAGCCACCTTCACCAGTGATCTTAGCTGGATCTTCTGAATAACTTGTTGCAGCTTCTACATCAGCACTTGCTGCTTCACCCTGTACTTTTATGTTATGAAGATGGCTTCTCTCCTTAAACCTCATGAACCAACCTCTAACAGCTTCAAATTTTTCTTCTGCAGCTTCTTTACCTCTCAGTGTTCACAGAATTGAGGAGAGTCAAATCCAGAGGTCTTTCTCTGGATTAGACTTTGGCTTAAGGAAATATTGTGACTGGTTTGATCTTCTATCCAGACCACTAAAATTTTTCCATATAAGCAATAAGGCTGCTTCAATTTCTTTTCTATTTTGAGACAGGGTCTCATTATGTTGCCCAGGCTGATCTGCAACTCCTGGGCTCAGCCTGCTGAGTAGCTGGGAGTACAGGCATGCACCACTGCACCAAGCTTTGTTTGGTTTTCTTATCATTCAATGGGTGGAGCAGTCAGAACACATACAACATTTATCAATTAAGTTTACCATCTTATATGACTGTGGTTCATGGCGACCCGAAACAATTGAAATAATAACATCAAACATCACTGGTCACAGATCACCATAACAGATATAATAATAATAAAGTTTGAAATGTGAAAATTACCAAATGTGATAGACACATGCTGCTGGAGAAATGGCACTGACATACTTGCTTAACACAGGTTGTCACAATCCTCCTATCTATAAAAAAAATGCAATATCTGAAGCACAATAAAAAGAAGTGCAATAAACCTGGATATGCCTGTGCCTCCAACTCTCTAGCAAAAGTTCACTACCAAGAAACTTCATGGGTATAGAAACCTTGGTAAAAAGGTACAAATGGCTGCATAAAAGGACTCTCTCACACAACTGCCACACTGCCTTTCAGTTTACCATAACTCACATTAGCAAAAATAAAACCACAGCCCTCCAATAAGGTATGAATTTTTTTGCATCTCTTCTTTTGCGTAGCTGCCCTGAGCTTGGTGTCACACTTCAATGAGTCCCTTCAGAAGGCCTGCAGAGCTGTGCAGTGATCAAGTTCATAAGAGTATGTACAAGAGCCACAATGAGAAGTGACAGCCAAGCAGCAGCAGTGAGCTCCATGGTCATGTGTTCAGGGAGTGATTTATCTCTCATAACTCAATCCATTTAGTTGGGGCCTGAGGGAGACCCTTATCCAGACAAGAAACTACCTGTGCCTTCTAGGAAAAGGAGGCCAAGGCGATCTGGCAGGAGGCAGCAAGCATGACTCCCGTTTCTCTTTCCCCATAGCAAATTCTATTCAGTAATTCAATGTAAGAAGTGCTGAGACAACAGGACACTAGCAAAAAAGGCAAGGTGGGGACCATGTGCATCTGGGGACCACGGCGGGATATGTCTTTTGCAAGTGAATGAATATTTGTGTGTGCAAGGGTGGCTGGGCGGGGTGGGGGTGGTGGTGGAAGTAAAATGACAGCTTTCCCTCAAAGACTGCAGTCTCTGTGAAGTACCAACTGGAAATAAATAACTATTATTTGCCAGCAGCAAAGAAATGAAGCAGTTTGTTCCTTGAATGCATAAATGTAAATTGCTCAAAGAGCACAGTTTATACATAGCCTTCTGGCTTGTGAAATATTAAGCTACCAGAAAAGATAGGGTAAGACACACATTAAGTCAGCAAAGAAAGGAGCATCTTTGCCTTAGCACGTCAACCTTAGCACAACAAGAAATACTATCGATGTGGGAAGAGCGTGTGAAAGCAACGTCATGGCTGGGGTTTCATAAAGGACTGGGATCTTAATGGCATTTGAAAAGAATGAAAGGGAGACAAAGGGCACTGCTTGGGGAGCTACAGGGGAAGAGTGTCTTGGCTCCTCTGAGGCCTCCCCACAACTAACATAGCATGGGCAGTCTGTTTCAAGTGGGTAATGAAGGCCAACTCTGAGAATTCCATGGCTGGTATTTTCCTAGTCTGGAACTTCCTTTGCTCTAGCTCTATAAGGGCTGCGTGCTTGCAAGTTGCTCTACTCCTACATCCTGTGCTTGGTAGAAATGAGGAGCAGAAAGGGGGTGCAGTGCTGGGTCTGCAGGCACAGGAGGATCCAATCTAGAAACTGTGTTTGCATATCCCAACCAGAGAGGAAGAGCATGCTGGTGGGCTCTAGGGCCTATCTAGAACACAGGGGGAAAGGAGGGTATGTGGTTTCCAGGGATGACTTCTGAGCTCAGAGTAACATGTAACACATAAGACTTACCTGCAAGCAAGAAGGTGATAAGGCAAGTTTCCTTTGGCAAATAGAGTTTGAGACGAGAACCACTGAAGACGTATTCCACCACAGCTTCAGAACGACCTGCCCGCTGAAGAAAAGGCAGGAACTGCTTTGCTTTTTGGGTATCCTGATGGAGAAAAGAGGAAAAGAGTAACTGGAAAGTAATAAAACCCAACGTTTCTTTCTTTATAGTCTAGGACAAAAAGTTTGGCAGGAAGCTAAGCAAATAACCCTATTTATAGACATTTCTGAAACCAAGACATAGACATGATACCCATGAGGCCTCAGTAGAAGAAATATAGTTAATCGACAGTTTCCAGATTAACTTAAATACTCAGTTAAAAGGGTGCTTGGAAAATGAGACTTTCACACCAGAGTTCTCTGGGGCAAGAAGAGCTCATCTTCCTTTAACACAAAATTGAGGTGCCAGGCGCAGTGGCTCACGCCTGCAATCCCAGCACTTTGGGAGGCTGAGGCGGGTGGATCACCTGAGGTCAGGGGTTTGAAACCATCCTGGCCAACATGGCAAAACCCTGTCTCTACTAAAAATAGAAAAAAATTAGCCGGGCATGGTGGCACATGCCTGTAATCCCAGCTACTTGGGAGGCTGAGGCAGGAGAATCGCTTGAACCTGGGAGGTGGAGGTTGCAGTGAGCTGAAATCGTGCCATTTGCACTCCAACCTGGGCAACAAGAGCGAAACTCTTTCTCAAAAAAAAGAAAGAAAGAAAGAAAAAAAAGTTGAGGTAAGAAGACCAGTACTAACCTTCCATTTAACCTTTAATATTCATTAAAAAAAAAAAAAAAAGCGACGCCTAGGCTATCTCACATAGTCCCTATAACCCTGTCCCAGGAAGCCAAAAGTAGTTTATCTTTAAATAGGTTATGTAAGATTCAGAGCTCACAGTTTCTTAACCTTGAGAAGTGGCCAGCCTTCTCCAGGCACTAGTACAGCAACTCCTGCTCTATGTTCATTTTGGGGATGAGATGATACCTGGGGCATACTGTTCCTACCCAGGGAAATCTAGAACAGCAGGATGTGGTCAATGGAGACAAATACTACTTCATGTCAGCAGGAATCATTATAGAAATAATAAAAACACATAAAACGGAATAGCAGTTTAAAAACCTTTTTTGGTGCATCAACACAAAGTCTGTGTGCTCTATCCTCCAGAGTGCCAAATCATGGACATTTCGACTCTCAGAACTCAGTCACATAGATGCGAAGGGCCTTCAAATCCTTTCAGTCTCTCAAGCTAATTAAACAGGTGATAGAGTAAGTGAGCATCAAAATATCACATCGTATATGCTAGGGGAATAGTCACTGGATTTTAGAGTTTCAGGTTTTCAGCCCAGCCAGCAGAACTGAAAACTCCCTCTGAGGACACCAAGTTCTGCAAACTTTCCTGACTTCTGTGACACAAGCAGTCTGCACCCAGCCAAGCTTTTCCTTTTTGACTCTTCTTCTAACAACAGAGCTATTTTATTTAAATTAATGCACATTAGATAATGAAAACATAACAAGCCATCAAGTATTTCAAGAGTTTTCAGAGCAGCCAAAGGGGCTCCTCTCATTCAGAAGCAGTGAGGTAGGCTGGGATGAAAACAGTATTCATAGTAACTAAGATTCATGCTTCCCATCAAACGGATTCTTAGAGAAAAAGAGAGACAGCGATCCATTCTCAGTGTCTCTAACAGTACAGTGGTAAAAGGCAAGGTAACCATGAGCTTTAGGGGGTTGGAAACTTCCCCATTGAACACTTAAGCAACACATTCTCCTACACATATACACATGAAAAATGCCTGTCTGGCAGCTGGCTGAAGTCCAGAACAGTCAAACAAGATAAATGCTCCATGGGAAAGAAAGCACTACTTGATTAAAATCCTTGTGCCATACTAGTCTAAATCTGGGACACTATTCATGAGCTGAACCAGTAAGTCAACAACAATTATCAAATTGATTATCGCAAATCATGAGGCAACCTAACATCTCAGAAGAGAAGGTCTTTTTCCTCAAGATCAGAGCAAATTACATTTTTCAGAAATAGACTTCTACTCATCACTATCCTTTGGATGTAGTTATCTGGAAAAAATGCTTATAGGAATAACAATGGCACACACACAGGCATGCCTTTCATGTTTAAACTAACAAGGAGGTTGCAGCACCCTCTCTTCCTTTTTTGCTAAACTCTTACCTACTTTATAAAGAGAGAAACCTACTCAGACTGAGAATAATCAAGGAGCCTCAAAGGGACCTTAGTGCTACCCATGTCATAAAAATCAATACATGTTCCTGACTCCTCCTAAGTCTCAATGCACAACTCAACAGCTCTATTCCAGAAATGACAAATGGGAAGATAGCCAAGAGGATGACATGTCATTGATTATGGCAAAGATCAGAAGTGAAAGCCAACTATGAAAATCAGGCTGGGCGTGGTGGCTCATGCCTGTAATCTCAGCACTTTGGGAGGCTGAGGCAGGCAAATCACGAGGTCAGGAGATCGAGAGTATCCTGGCTAACACGGTGAAACCCCGTCTCTACTAAAAGTACAACAACAACAACAACAACAACAACAACAACAACAACAACAACAAAATAGCCGGGTGTGGTGGTGGGCACCTGTAGTCCCAGCTACTTGGGAAGCTGAGGCAGGAGAATGGTATGAACCTGAGAGGCGGAGCTTGCAGTGAGCCAAGATTGTGCCACTGCACTCCAGCCTGGGTGATAGAGCGAGACTCCGACAAAAAAAAAAAAAAAAAAAAAAAGAAAAAGAAAATCAAAGGCATACAGCAAATTTTAAAACCTCATCAGAACTGGCCATGTTTATTTCCAGATAAAAATTATAAGGTAAGAACATGGAGTTCCCCATATTCTTGAGGCAAGTATTTCGAAGGCTTGGATGAGGTGATATGCCTGTGGACCAGTCACTAAGTGGAAAGATGGATATTTCATCCAAGCTGACAGAATATTAAGTTCTTATAAAGTCAATTAAATTGATTATAAGAACCCAAAGATGTCGGCACTTTCAAATCTCAGTCACAGCCACACAAAAGTGTATGTCTTTCCTTGTCATCTCAAGCATTTTTTTGCTTGGCATGTTCCTTTTCAAACATTCTTGAAATCTTTAATATTTGTTTCAGTGGCTCAAATGAAAACACTGGTTAGGAAGACTGGCACGTTTCCTCAGGCGATGTAGCTATAAATCCTCCCTGGTAATTTAGTTATGGAAATTATTTATTTTAGAAATTCTGATTATAACAATATAAAATTGACAGAATTCAGTTAAGTAATTTGCCTTCCAAAGAGAGAGTGCAAGTAGCAATGTGCTTCAGTCTCTTAGACACATTTCCAGGGTTAATAAGAGCCGGGAGACAGAGATTTTCTCTCTTAAAAAAAAAAAGAAAAAAGAAAAAAAGACCTGGCCGGGCGCGATGGCTCACGGCTGTAATCCCAGCACTTTGGGACGCGGAGGCAGGAGGATCATCTGAGATCACGAGTTCGAGACCAGCCTGGCCAACATGGTGAAACCCTAAAAATACAAAAATTAGTTGGGTATAGCAGGGTGTGCCTGTAATCCCAGCTACTTGGGAGGCTGAGGCAGGAGAATCGCTTGAACCTGGGAGGCGGAGGTTGCAGTGAGCCCAATCATGCCATTGCACTCAAGCCTGGGTGACAAAAGTGAAACTCCATTTCAAAAAAAAAAAAAAGAAACACCCACAACCATATATATAAATAAAGATTTAAGACCTTAGATTTAAAGAGATAACAACTACAGGACTTGTTACACAGAATGCTCATTTCAAGGTAATATCAAATATTTCTGCTTATGTATCTATATGCTAAGGCTTTCACTCTCAGTTTTCATTGCTATTGCTTCCTTACATAAGGTCTGGGATTCTATTTGCCAGTTTTCTGCCACTATGTTGGCTCATAGCTTTGAGAAATCAAGTAAATAAATTAGTTGTGGTTTTCTGTTATCTACACCAATATTCCCCTCCACTGGTGTAAATAATCAGGAAGCAACTGGATTTCTGACAAGAGAAGTCTTTTTTTGTTGTTGTTGCACTGGTAGTTTTCACATTACCTGTGCTCTACAGCAAACTATACATAAGTATTTTCCTGTACTCTTAGAAAAGCTAATTTAAGATTGCATTAGCTACATTTAACCTGCTATTGTGGATGGCATCTCTTTAAGAAATGTTTCTGCCTCCTCAATGCACCTTGAAATTGAGAAAGTAATGATGCAACAAATGTGCCTGGGGTGACTTCATTTCAAAGGATGTTAGTATCTATATCTCAAACTTAGAGGAACAGGGTTCTGAATGACCCTCCAGAATGGCAGGATGACCCTTAGAGAGAAGCAGAGAAGCAAAGGTTATAAAAACACCTTAATTATAAACTCTCACTCTGCCCTGACTTCTGGCTTGTCAGGCTACATCTCTTCCAAATGTGGGTACATCTATCTATGGCTATAAGATATCCCCTTCAGCAGTTAGATTGGAACTTATCTCTATAAAGTACCTTGCTGTGTATACAAATATATGTTTAAAATAATTTAGTATGATGAATTCCCAGGCTTGGGAGAATGGGAGATTTGGGTGGGTAGGTGGGAGAGCAGACGAAGCAGAATCCTTGTACAGCAGGCACAGGATAGAAGTGTCTGAAAGACCACCACCCCAGACAGCCAGGTCACCTGCTTCCTAGAGGACCTGAACTACAGAAATCACAATTCTGTGAATTCTGGAACAGGGTTTAGGATGTCGGTGTGCACTAGATGTATGCAAAGTGATTCCCATGATTTCTCCAATGAAAGTCCCCAAATAGTAGGCATGAAACTAGAAAGGGCTGGTGAGAGGTAAACATAACAGCACAGAAAACAGCATGGGAAAATGGGAATAGACTAAACCTATTAGTTAACAATTAACCACTCAGGATTATCATATGCAAGACTCAAATGGAAATTGTTAATAATGAAGATCACGAATTAGTTCTCATCATCACAATCTTTGATTAACATCACAGGAAAATGAACTACAAACAAATACATGCAGAACTTATTACTGGGGAAGTATACTCTACCAGCACTTGAGAAACAGCTAGAAAGAAGCCCATCAATCCTGATGGGCCTCCCTGGAGGTGCAAGCATATGCTCTACTGCCCATCCCAGGATGTTTCTTCCTATGAAGCTCTCTGTACTGCTTGGTCCCACCAGGGCTGACCTGAGGGTAAAGGACTCCAGGGCACAGTGCTGTCTGGGTCTAACCAATCTTAACTCTAAAGTAGCAAAATCCTTGTGAACAAGAGGACAGACACAGGAAAAAAAAAAAAGTGTGGAGATCAGAACGAATCGTTAAGGATACTGAAGCAAATGTGCTCTAAAGCAGCAAA
Source organism: Homo sapiens (assembly GCF_000001405.40). Lineage (NCBI taxonomy): Eukaryota > Metazoa > Chordata > Mammalia > Primates > Hominidae > Homo > Homo sapiens. The sequence goes on along the minus strand of NC_000007.14, from coordinate 127,923,926 downwards.
ATCCTTGTGAACAAGAGGACAGACACAGGAAAAAAAAGAGTGTGGAGATCAGAACAAATCGTTAAGGATACTGAAGCAAATGTGCTCTCTCATTTTAAGTGTATTGTGTATGGTGTATGGTGTATGGTGATCATTCACTGCCATCGTTATCTATGTTTTTCTGGGTTGTGCAGACCAGGAGAATTACTTTTGTGGCTATATGGAAGACAAATCACAACTACATCTCCTATCAGCAAGGCAAAACCATCACCTATCGCTCCACACTCTTCCTCCTTTCCACATCTTGGGCGCTATGGCCCCAAGTGCCATTTTAATTCACAGAATGAGTTTATGATTCGATGAAGAGCCAGTTATACAGCATGATCATCTCTTGAAATACATGGAACCCTGCGGGGGGAGGATACTCTGAGAATGCCCTCGAGCTCCTGTGTTACCATAAAGCACTTTCAAATTTGAAACTGCTCTTCCCTGGCTGGTTATCAATGCTTTGTGGTGAGATGTGTACTAGAGAGACCAGGGAGGGCGTAAACTTCAGTGAATTGCAAGTTTAACAGGAATGAAGTGAACACAGAGGAGAACACTGACAAAAACAAACCCCCAAACAAAAAAATTACAACAGAAAAAAAAGGTGCTAAAGCTAGGCCATCAATTATCTTTCAATAATTGGGCAGGGTGGCGCATGCCTGTAATCCTAGCGCTCTGAGAGGCTGAGATGGGAGTATCACATGAGGCTAGGAGTTCAATACCCCATCTCTACAAAAAATTTAAAAATTAGCCAAGCATGGTGGTGCGGGCCTGTAGTCCCAGCTGCTTGGGAGGCTAAGGCAAGAGGATTGCTTCAGCCCAGGAGTTTGAGGCTGCCGAGAGCTATAATCATGCCACAACACTCTACCCTGGGTGACACTCTAGCCTTGTCTCTTAAAAAATGGAAAATCATTAAGTGTTGTCTGTGGTTTACAGATTCTCACACTGTTTACTTGGTTGGTAAAGCACCTCACTCAGGCCTGCACCATGTTGAACATAGGAGAAACCGCAGCCCAGGCTCTGAGCTCCAGTTCTGGGAGCATGAGTCAAGAGGACATTTGGACATCTGTAGGAGCATTAAGCTGGAAGAAAGCCCTGAGCTTAGGATGTATCATTCCAATCAGTGATGCCCTCAACAGAGAGTATTACAATTATTAAAAGAAATATCCTGGCTAAGCAAAGTTTCCAAAGGGGGCAGGAATGGTATGCTTGCCCAACTAGAAGAAGGAAGCCACAGGGCAAAGTAGTGCAAGGATAGCACTCCAACATATGGAAGAAAACAATTACTCTCCAATCAGACTTGCAAGGAACTAAATCATCTAAGAGTTTAAGGAGCCCTAAGAAAGTCAGACATCTACAAACACTTTTATTTGGTTGGTCCTACCCACCATTTATTTCTTCCTTTCCACAGTGTACAATACTGAGAAATGAAACCAGAACTTGGCAAATACTTAGGAAGAGAAGACACATCTCTATGTTTAGAATGAAAACATGCAAAGCACCATTCGGACAATCACCGCAGTTCACTAAGATAAAGTGAAATAATGTTAGAGGAATAGATTAGGGACCCTCAGAAAATGGTCTGAGCCAGGCACGGTGGCCTCATGCCTGTAATGTTTTGCCTGAGGCAAAAACATTGCTTGAGCCCGGGAGTTAGAGACCAGCCTGGCCATCACAGTGGGATCTTGCCTCACAAAACAAAAAAAAAAAAAAAAAAAAAAAAAAAAGGAAAGAAAAAAAGAAAATCAGCTGGGCATGGTGCTGCACACCTGTAGTCTTATCTACTCAGGAGGCTGATGTGGGAGGATAGCTTAAGCCTGGGAGGTCGAGGCTACAGTGAGCAGTGATGGCGCACCACTGCACTCCCAGCCTGGATGACAGAGTAAGACCCTGTCTCATTCTTTAAAAAAAACAAAGCAAGGCAAAGCAAAGATAATGGTCTGGACGTTATTCATAATCACTAAAATTGGAAATAACCTAAATATCCCTCAACTGGGTATAAATTATAGTACACCACACAATGGAATACTACTCTACGCTAAAAAAGACATGGGCAACAACACGTATGAATCTCAAATACATGATTGCATTTGTATGACATTCTGACAAAGGTTAAACTATAGTTAAACAGAAAAACATGAGTGGTTGCCAGGGACTAGAAGTTGACTCTAAAAGGAATGGAGGAATTGGGACAATGGAACAGCTCTAATATCTTGACTATGGTGATGATTTCATAAATATACGTTTCTCAAAATGCACATTTGCCAAAACTCACAGAATTATATGCTAAAAATGAGAACATTTTACTGTATATAAATTATACCTTTAAGAATATACAACAACACAATAAAAACAACGTGCACAGGAAGAATATACAATATTTTAATTTTTAACTCAAGAAAACTTTTCCCCTAACTAATCTGTAAGTAGTTTGGAGAGAATATCAAGTTCAAAATTAACCACCCATTCATTATGTTTTAAATCATCTACTTTGATCACTACTTTGAATACTAGTGTATTAAAATACTTAAAAAATTTAAAAAGAAAATGGTTTAGATGAGAAAGCAAGGGGTTAGAAAAGCACAGAAAAAAAGTCTCACTGGTTCCACAAAAGCAGCTTAAGAAAGTCTAAACTCTTGGGCAATAGCTAAAAGAAAGCATCAGATGGAGCATGAGGTCATCCTCACAGGCCATAAAGAGGACACATTTTGTTCAAATAAAGAAAAAAGTTCTACTAAGTACTTATGCCTACTGACATTTCTTTTCTACCTTGAAATAAAATCATGTGATACAGCTTAATGTGAATAAAGTAATACCCAATTCTCAATCAAATACAAATTCTATACAAGCTCAGAGATTGTTCTCTTACTGAATGACTTTCAGTTTCCCAAATTTAACCATATGAAATTATGCTGTGAGAACCATTCAATTTAACCTTTAGAAATGAAGTCATTGCCTTTTAGTGGTAAAAATCTGCATTTTATCATCGACAGAAAATACAATGCCCTTGGCTTATTCTAGAGAATGCTTTTTTTTTTTTTTTTGTTAAGATAAGTTAGGCACAGAAAGTGCAGATGATGGTGTATCTGTGCCTCAAGTAAAAAGGGCGGAAATAAGAATATACCTAGTTAGGATAAAGTATCAAGCACATAAGCTTGCTTTCTTCCTGTCTTCAATCCTCTTTCTCTAACTTGGGTGAGAGGCAGCTATCAAGGCAGTGCCAAAGGTGCCAGGTGATGAGGGCTGCCAACCCACAGAACTATCTGAAAGGTATGGCTCATAATTCTTGCTGTATAGAAAAGCTTCCATGAATAAATCTGCCTCCCTACCTCATCCCAAACTGTCCCTTTTCCCCTTTTTTCCATACTCTAACTTCTCAACACACTAGTCTTACAATTTTTTGTTAACTCAATACTCAGTGTTTATAGTATCATGGCTTTGTAAATGATAGCCCTCCAGTTAGAGAGCTTCCTCCCAAGAGTTCTTCCATCCTCCTGCGACCTCTGCAGGGTGGCTTGCTAGGATTCCCCTTGACCAAGACTCTGGCAATTCTTTTCACAACCTTTCCCAGATTGCTTCCTCAATCCATGCCTTCTGCTTTATTGGTTTATTTCCCTTCATTTTTGTTTAACAAACAAACAAAAAACTATAAACTATTTCATAGACAAAATGTCTTATCTCTTTGAGGTCAAGTAAGTAAATCCACTATTGATTTTGTAGTTTTATTCAGGAGAAAAACTATCCTACTCTTGAATATGTTGAATCAACAGACAAACTTCTTCCATTATTCATCAGTATAGTAATGTACTATATTTTTGAAATAACTGAATGCTTTAGTAATGATGTGAAGAAAATTTATTTTAGTATGAAACTTAATTGTATCTACTCAAACACAGGAATAAGAGATAGTGGTTCAGAAATACCAATTTGTAAGAAGAAAATGTTTATAGGAGAGTTTAACACTGGGAGGTATACCTTCCAATTATTTTCAGCTAAAATATTCTACGAAAGCAGGTACTTTACTCAAATCGTAAACATCCAATTTATATCAAATACACCATTAAATTGTAATAGTTAAAAGTAGCATTTCTATTTTGAACTGGTAAAGATAAACACAGAAAAAGGCCATTTAGACTTTTAACAACTCTAGAGTTACTTTTCTAAGAATTAAATGATAATGAATTTTTATAGGAATACTACAATAAACATCTTCCACATTTTCAGAATTGAGACATGAGACCGGGCTAAAAACATAGCTTACACATGGTATATGGCATTGAGAATACAAAATAAAGCAAATCAACCACCATCTACAACTGTGCACATCAATTACAAGGCTAGGATTAAACAATAACTTAACAGGTTTAAAATACTATTTTTTTCTTTAACAGTTTTAGATCAATTTTTATCACTTCCAAAGTCTCTATAGGCAAGAGGTAAGAACTTATTACAGAACCAGAAAATGCCTTCAGAGATAATTAAAATAAAATGTGCAGAGTAAAAAATTTAAAAGACATCTGATGAGGCACAAGTCTTCATTTCATGGGCAAATCAAGAACTTGGGGCAAGGAAATTCATGTCACACTTAACTGTGTCCCACCCAACACAAGAATGCAACTTCAGAAAAGAACAGAGAAGAAAAAAAGTCAGCAAGTAACCTATAATATAAAAATTACCTTAAAATCAAAATAAATGTTAGTAAAGGCTAAATGGCTAAAACACTTTTCATACTTCCTAAAAGTACTTTGAACATTCATTTTTGCCTGCAGACATACCAGTATAGGTTCAATAAACCTTAAGTGAAAGTTTTATTTTTATGTCTAATTAGTCTTTTAAAAGCCTTACATTTTTAAAGCATTAATAAAAATAGATAATTATACAATTCAGAAGAGAAAGTTCCAGTTTTTTCTAACATGGAGAAAAATGGCAACAATTATGATAGAAATTTATTACTAATTAAAACAGAAAGTGGTCAATATTTTGAAGAACAACAAATGCATCCAATTAAAAACCCAATCATTTTACTCAATAAAGATTTATAGGATGATGTTGTTAAAAAATATATGCTATTCTTTGGCCTAGGTTTCTACTTTATGGACATGTTCTGAGAAAATAATTATAGACTGTGATTTATCTGAAGGAACAAATGTTTATGAGAAGAAAAAACAATAAAACAACCCCAACATCCAACAATAGAAGGCTGATTAAATCAATTCTAGTAGAACTATTTACAGCGTTCATTCATCCAACAATATCTGCTAAGCACCTACTTGGTGCCATATACTCTTCTAGGACCTGACTGTATAGTTAAGAATAACACAGTAAGGCCTCCCATCCTGAAAAGAGCTTACAATACTTAAAAGAAAAAGAAATAAATAAGGAAACCCACATTGTGGTGAATAGAAGAGTTAGTAGTACAGATAATTTCTATCCTTTTCACTCACTTATATTTGATGCATTTAAAAACAGAAACTTTGACAAAAAATTCGAATAAAGAAAAATATGCCTAAGGTTTTGTTTCTAAAAGAAAAAAAGTCATCTGGGGGCGGTGACTCACGCCTGTAATCTCAGAACTTTGGGAGGCTGAGGCGAGTGGATCACTTGAGGTCAGGAGTTCGAGACCAGCCTGGCCAACACGGTGAAAGCCCTTCTCTACTGAAAAAAAAAAATACAAAAATTAGCCGGCTATGGTGGCAGGCACTTATAATCCCACCTTCTCGGGAGACATGAGAATCACTTGAACTTGTGGGAGGCAGAGGTTGCAGTGAGCTGGGATTGCGCCACTGCACTCCAGCCTGGGCTACAAAGTCAGACTCTGTCTAAAAAAGAAAAAGAAAAAAAAAAAAAGAAAAAATCTATGGCCGATTAAGCTTTGCCTAGATAAACTTGTAAATTATTAAAGGTCAGATAACTAATTGTCCCTTTAGTTTGTAAGTGTCAGCATTCAACATTCACTGCAGTGAATTAGTTCTTATAATTAATTGTTCTACATATTTTGAAACAAATAAATATTATTGATGCTATAATAAAGTCTGTAAACTGATGTGGAAACAGTTTGACCTGAAGCTGCATGTGAAATTTGCTCTGTGATTCCATCAAAAACAGATTTAAGCACAGTGTTTTATGGTACTAACGACACCAAACTAAGTAGCCTGTTTCTAAGGACTAAGAGTTTAATGTGGCTGCGTGCAGTGGCTCACACCTGTGTTCCCAGCACTTTGGGAGGCCCAGGTGGGAGAATCACTTGAGCTCAGGAGTTCTAAATCAGCTCTGGCAACATAGCAGATCCTATCAGTATAGGATAGAGATTCTCTCTCTACAAAAAAAATTTTAAAAATTAGCCAGGTGTGGTAGTGTGCCTGAAGTCACAGCTACCCGCGCAAAAAAGAGTGTGGACAATGGGTAGAAAACAAACAAAAACCACACATTAATATGATGTGAGAATAAAAATTTGTTCCTAGTAAAGAGAGCAACTTGTAAAAGCCCAACAGTCAGGCTCAGAAATAGATTTAATAAAGCATATACATGCATGCATACAAATACGTGAAAACAAGCTTAAACAATAATGAAACTACTTTTACAGAATGATACTTCTAAAGTAGTTAGAAATATAGTTAGTGCTTTCGGTGTATTTGGGAATTCTAATTCTTCTTAAGGAAAATATAGAATTAATCTTACCCCACCCAGTGGCTTTACAACTTTGTTATGATGTAACCACATGTGGATATTATATTGGGGTTCTAGAATTGAGACTCTAAGGACCTTGTCTATCAGTGGAAAATGATGTACCACAGAGTGCGTAAGTGATGGCAGAGAATTGAGATAGCTTTGGTGAAGATAACATAAGTTAGTTTGTTCAGTTAAGGATCTCACATCATTGTCATTTCTTTCTCCATCAGTGCACACTTGCTGATGGATGCCCTCAAGATTCCTCACTCATTCAAAACTACATAGACGCCATCATTATGTACATGTATGCATTTCCTATTGTTACGAAACTCCTAAAAACTACAGATCTAGAGATAAGACACAGTTTCTGCTGACAACTCAGGTGGGAAGATATCTAGCTTTTGCTGCCCCCCTGCTTTCCTTCATTCCACAAATACTGCTCTATGGTCACCAGTAACTCATGGAATTGCACTGTCCACTGGATAGTTTTCAATTTCATCTTACTTTACCTTGAAGCTGGAGACTCAATTCTTGCCTTGTGAAGCTCTCTCTATTAATTTGTACATTATACTCACCTGATTTATCTCCGACAGCTTGGGCGGCAACGTTTTAAAGTCTGTTTGTTCAAACACTCCCCATCCATACGTAATCTTGAAATAAAGGGCTTGGTCTAGGGACTCTTCTCTCTTAATATTCTCTGGACAATTTGGTACACTCACATCTAGGTGTCCTATAGTCCTAAACTCATGCATGAAGCCTAGGTCACTAATGGCTCATTAGTGCCTCAATTTTAACATGTTCAGAAAGTCTTAATTTTCCTTGCAAATCTACTCTGCCATCATTTACAATATCAGACAAGGAGCACCACCATCAACCAGATATTTGTGCCAGACATTTGGAAAGCTCATGCATGACACTTGATTTCACTTCCCTTCCTTGACCCCAATCCAATCAACCACTCAGTTCTACCAGTTCTTATACCAAAATAGATCTCACATTTATCTTTCCGCCTCCATTGCCACAATCCTAGTTCCAGCCACTATTCAGCAATCACCAGGTGAACTGCAAATTCTCCCCTAACCATTGTTTCAAGTCTATCTCCAAATAAAAGCCACAATGGAAAAAAAGAAAAATTAATAGATATATACCTAGCTAACTCTCTCTCTCTCTATATATATATGTATACATATACACACATAAACACACACACACACACACACACACACACACACACACATATGCTGTTCTAATTATTCTACTCCCATTTCAAAGATTTCTCACTGTTCTTCAGATAAAATTCAAAATCCTTTTCAAGGACTATAACGTCCAAATTATTCAGTTATTCATTCTCCCATTACTATCCTCACATTGCAGCAATGCTGACTGGTCTTCCATTGTGAACACAAACAATCTTCCACCTCAGGACCTTTGTATACAACATTTTATCCTTTGGCCCTGAACAAGATCTTCTGCTAACTCCTTCTTTGGGTCTCACTTTGAAATCACTTCAAGGACTTTATCAGACCACTTAGAATAAGCTGTGGCCACCAGTATACACTCTCCCAGGACTCTGTACTCCCATTACAATTGTAATTATATAACAAATTGTGTATTCCCTGTAAAGACTATAGCTGTCTTGTTTAATATATTCTCAACACTCAGCATTCTTGCTGGCATATGAAAAGCTCTTGATAAATACTTATTGTTTGATCATTCATTCACTGATTCAACATGAGGAATGCATTTAAAAAACAAGACAGAGATGGCATATGTTAAATGTCAAAAAAGAGATAAAGAGGCAGTAAAAGAACTCAGGAGAGGGAGCGGTAGGATTTGGAACCTGAACTGGATGAAGAGTTTGCAATGTAAATATTACTGAGGATGATAATGACAGCTCTCATTTACAGAGGACTTTCTGTGTGCTAGGCAGACTGCTAAGCAATTTAATAATAATGAACACCAGGCTGGGTGCAGTGGCTCGCGCTTGAGCCCAGGAGTTCGAGATCATCATGGGCAACATGGCAAAACCCCATCTCTACAAAAAAATAAAAAATTAGCCTGGCGTAGTGGTACACATGTAGTTAGCTACTCAGGAGGCTAATGCAGGAGGATCACCTGAGCCTGGGAGGCAGAGGTTGCAGTGAGCTGAGATTGCGCCACTGCACTCCAGCCTGGGAAATAGAGCTGAGATCCTGTCTCAAAAAAAAATAATGAACACCGGCATGTGAACCACTGCTCTCTGTTGAGCTCTTACGTCAACTGTTTAAAACAGCTACATTTATTAATTCATTCAATCACACCACAATCCAATGAGGTAAGTGCCATTATCATACCCATTTCCCACAGGGGAAAACTGAGGTACAGAAAGAAAAAATAACTTCCCCAAGGCGTCAAGGTAATAAGCAATGGAGGCACAACTGAACCCCAGTAATCTAATGTTAGAGCCAGTGCTAATAATCATGACCCCATACTGCCACTATATTCTAGAAGACATGCACCCTTTCTGCTGCGTTCTTTTACTAACCAGCCCGCTTATAGTTACTAACCAGTACAGCCAATCCTGTACCTTGGAGGATGGGGCACTTTTCTCCAAATACAAGTTCATGCTGTTTGAGCCCATCACTTGGCAAACTGAATGTAAACTGGGCACTATAATGAGATACAAAAAGATCCCCTTCTTAGGAGTTTAGAAACTAGTAAGGAAAACCAATGCACACATATTAAACAACTTATGAAATTATCAATTTATCAACAAGCACAAAATCATGGTAATATGATTATGTAAATGTTGAAGAAGGGCATGATCAGAAGGCAATGGGGATAAAAAGGGAGAAATTACCTGGAAGAAGAGACATATGCCAGGGAAGAAGGCATGGCCAGCAGGGGAGAAGAGACAGCATTGCAAAAAGAAGAAATGTGATTCAACAAATGCTAATTAACAATGAAGTCCGAGTCAGTCAACTGAGGACCTTAAGTAGTGGAGGAGATGAATATGATCTAAAGAAAATAAATGGGCTCTACTGCGGGTGAAGTATCTGGGGATGTTGCAGTAATACAAATCAATATAACACAGGTCTTCCTCCAATTTAGAAATCTGGGTAATAGCTTACATTTTCAGGCCCCTTCCAAATTCGATACTGTATTAGGAATTCTATAATTTCTTCCTGAGAACACCATTTGCTGAACAACTGAGGCAGAAAACGACCAGGGCATTTCAAAGCAACCCTGAGCTCTAATTTCAAAATATCTGGATGTTAACACTGCAAGGAGTGTCCAAAATTCTGTACGACATAGTCTGTAGGGAATATGTTGTAAGCATGCTAAATAAAGACTTAAAATACAAGTAAGCAGAATGTCTATGTTAGTGAAATTACTTACTTTGAAATGTTTATATAAGCAATAGCCACAGGACACAATGAGTTCAATCCAAGGCTAAGTAGTGTTATGATGGTAAAGTGGAGAGTGAATCTGGGGCTATGCAGAAATATTTCAAATTTTATCACATCACTCAGCAGCCATGGGACAGATCAGACAATCCAATCACACACCTCAACCTGGGAATCTGAAATTTTGTCAACTGCTGCCAAAATATACTTACAATCATCCCTGTAATGGGCTCATTTAACCTATTTTGACCCATGAAATAGAATCATAGAGTGTTATCTACATACACCCAGAGAATGGGAAAGAGAACAACCGAAGAGCATGGACCAGCTATAGCCAAATCTATGGCCAGAGGAACTCTCTTTGGAAAAATATGCTACTTTATTTGGAAAAAATGTTCCTAACTCCCTCAATTTCCTTTCTCATGTCTTTGAACAAAGAAGAAAGGCAAAAATCATTATAGCTCAGTACACTTCACTAAAAGCTAGGACCCTGTTGCAAATGCTGAGTGCATTTGCATGCACTCCTGTTTGTGAAGGCACAGTTAAACAAGGAAGCAGAAGGAAACTAGAAAAATTTATGGCAGAAAGTTTCCTGATAATAGAATCCACGACAGTGACATGCTACTGATTATACTGGGAGGAAGATGTTTTTGTTATATAAGAACGAACAAATAAAGAAGCCCTGTCTCTTAACAGTGCTCCACCTCTGGGCAGCTCACCTGAGCAAACATTTTCTGAGGTGTTGAATTGCAGAGCTAGGACACTCATATCAAAGGACAAGAAGCTGTGCCCTGCTTTCAAAGTCCAATCCTAGCTCCCTACCTCAAGGTTATCTGCTCTGGTGCCTGAATTTTCCAAGACAAGACTGTTCTGAATAAAAAGTTAAACCAAGTAAGGTACAGACTTGGAACCAGACATGATGCAGATGAAAGAGACATATTCACTTTCTAAATTTTTCTTTTTTTTAGAACTTTCACAACCAAATTATTGTTCATGTTTCCAGGTACAGAGGAGGCAACAAAACTAAGATTTTCAAAGCATATAATTCTATAATCCTTTATTGCCCACTATATATGTGGTTTTGTATTTCTCTTGCTTCTACAATTGTTTCCCCTGTTAAAAGATAATTTTCAATAAGGTAAAGTCTTGACTCTTATTCAAATATAAAATAAACTCATGTAGAAAATTTCATTTTAACCCCACTAATTAATGAGGGAACCAGAAAGGCTCAAAGAGACTAAAGAACAGATATAGATAAGTTACTAGGAATACTGAGGTGAATTTGCTACAGACGCAAAAACAGAGTCAAACTAGGGAGTAAAAATGTAAAGTTTGAAATCATTTCTCTTACAGGGTGGGAATCAATTGTATCTCTTCAGGACTACATTTCTACATCTCTATTTACAAAGATGCAAAACAGCCCAACTAAATGAAGCTAAATAAGAGAAGTGAGAAACCATGTCCTAAATTGGGTGCCCTCCAAAAACAACACAACTCAGTCAAAAAGTGGACTAAGATCTACAAAAGGAGGTAATGAAACACAACCATCATTAACTGTGGTACCTGCTGCAATGAAATTTTGAAAAAAATTCCCATGTAAATCAAAAATGCTTTCAAATTTATTTAAGAGAGGGATGGCCCTGTAGTTCTGGCAAATTTGAATAGGGGAGTTTCAAAAAACAGAAAGTGGTTGCACAGAACCACTTTGTCATATGAACAAAGAAACTATAGACAGCCAGGTGTTGTGGCTTATGCCTGTAAGTCCCAGTTACTTGGGAGGTTGAGGCAGGAGGATCTCTTGAGCCCAGGAGTTCGAGTCCAGCCTGAGCAACATAGTAAGATCTCATCTTAAAAAAGAAATAAAAGAAAGAGAGAGAGAAACAAACCATGTACAAAAAAACTCCAACACAATAAAGCTATGTCTTCCATCATAAGGGTGAGGGCAACTGGCTGAAGCAACTCTCTGGCAGAATCAAGATCAAGGTCTTCTTAGTAACATCCAACTCTTAGCAGAGACATGCTTTAGAAGAGGTGAAAAGAAAAAAGAGGGCCGGATGCAGTGGCTCATGCCTGTAATCCTAGCACTTTGGGAGGCCAAGGTGGGCAGATCATGAGGTCAGGAGTTCAAGACCAGCCTGACCAACATGGTGAAACCCCGTCTCTACTAAAAATACAAAAACTAGCTGTAATCCCAGCTACTCAGGAGGCTGAGGCAGGAGAATTGCTTGAACCTGGGAGGCAGAGGTTGCAGTGAGCTGAGATGGCGCCACTGCACTCCAGCCTGGGCAACAGAGGGAGACTCCATCTCAACAAAAGAGAGAAAGAGAGAGAGAAAAGAGGCCAGCCATGGTAGCTCACTCCTGCAATCCCAGCACTTTGGAAGGCTGAGGTGGGAGGATCACTTGAGCCCAGGAGTTTGAGACCAAGCCTGGACAACAAAGTGAGACCCCATCTCTATTTTTTTGAAATAAAAAATTAAATTGAAAATATAAGAGAAAAGAAAAGAAAGAGAAAGAGTTTGAAGTTTTTTCCAAAGTCTGGGAGAAACTTACGAGGTGGCTGCCACTTTGGCATCAGAGGTTGTGTGCCACAGAGGTGATGGCATGTTTCTGTGCAGTGAGGATCCAAGCCAGTCACCTGTACATTGTAGTCCAACTAGAGTTCAATAAACTTTGCTTGAAGAAAGAAGAAGAAAGAAATAGAGCAATAGCTTTTCCTAAATTAGTGACAACTTGAGCTACGAAACACAACAGGGAGGCAAGGAAGCCACCAGGATAACCCAACACTCCCACCAACCATGGCTTCCAGGCAAGGGGCCAACCATATTTAGAGAGGACACACTGCCTGCTCTGGAGAGCAAGTTCTGCAGACAGTGAGCTGGCTCTTCCAGAGTTCCTTTGGGATTTTCTCGGATACCAAATGCAGAGCCCAGCAGTGGAGCCAGCAGCTACTGTGTGAATGAAGCTCCAGTGCTAGGCAACCCCTCCAGGTCACAGAAACCCACCCGGCAGAACCATAGGCCTTGATGTTGTGCCATCTGTACAATAACTTAGACTGCAGTTGGCAAGAGAGACGTGAGAACATGATGTAGGGCCATGATTTTAGCCAAGTGGGGTAAAAAAGGGAAGGGCTATTTAAAACAACAAAAAACAAATACACTCAGAGAGCATTTGTGCCATCAAATACCAGAGACTAGAAAAAACAGAAAGCTGAAAGGAACATTAGAATCATATGAGGGTAAGAAAAATAAATCTAAACTAGGTGGGCCAGAAAACATATAAGAAAAACTGCAATTTAACACAGACCTAACTCATAAAGCCCCTGGGTGATTTTGCTCCTTTTACCTTCTTCAGACTTACCAGGCAAACCACTTTTTTCTTTTTTTAATTCTCTCTTTTTTTTTGAGATGGAGTCTCACTCTGTCACCCAGGCTGGAATGCAGTGATGCTATCTTAGCTCACTGCAACCTCTGCCTCCCAGGTTCAAGCAATTCTCCCTGCCTCAGCCTCCCAAGTAGCTGGGATTACAGGTGCCCGCGACCACGCCTGGCTAATTTTTTTGGTATTTTTTAGTAGAGATGGGGTTTTGCCATGTTGGCCAGGCTGGTCTTGAACTCCTGACCTCAGGAGATCCGCCCACCTCAGCCTCCCAAAGTGCTGGGATTACAGGCGTGAGCCACCGTGCCTGGGCTTTTTAAAACTCTCTTTAGCCAAAAAGAGTAATAATTTTTTTCTTATGCTTCCATCAAGGCCTAAATATTAATAAAGAGCTAAGGAAAGGTAACACCTACAGAAACCTCAAAGAAAGGATGACAGTGCTATTAAAGTTTAAGAGGGCAATGAAAACCAGAAACTGAAGGCAGAGGTCAGGAGCAGATGCTGGAGAAAATCCAACCCTGTCTACCAATCTATTTCTTATCTATTGATTTAATCTTATCTAACTGTTTTAAAGGAACACTTCAATCCTTCACATTAGCAAGTCAGAATCCTACTGGTCAACTCTGTAAGACTTCGTTTCATGAATAACAGGGCCCCAAATGTCTGACCTTCTTCCCCTGTGCCCTGCACCTTCCCCAAAGCTAGTCACTGGATCATTCCAAACCATGGCTTAATTTTTAGGCTAGGGTGGTGGCTCATGCCTATAATAGCAATACTTTGGGAGGCCAAAGTGGGAGGATCACTTGAGGCCAGGGGTTTCAGATTGGCCTGGACAACATAGCAAGATCCTGTGGGTGTGATGGTGTGCACCTGTAGACCCAGTTACTCAGGAGGCTGAGTCAGGAGGATCACTTGAGCCCAGGAGTGAAAGGCCACAGTGAGCTATGACTGTGCCACTGTACTTTCAGTCCAGCCTTGGTGATAAAGTGAGACTCCGTATCCTTAAAAAAAAAAAAAAAATCAGAAATACTACGTATTTCTAACAAAATCAGTCACGGAGAAAGGTGGTTATAAAAAAGTGCTATGTGACATGAGCATGAAACCAAGCCATGATGTGATTAAACGTCCAAAGGAGCACAGCAGCAGTTAACAGATTAAAAAGACCCATGGATTAAGAGAGTAAATACTGTAATAGTGAAATTAACAGAGGAGCTGTCAGGACTACATAATATGAAATGGCAGAATATATTCAAAAGAAGACAATCCCTATTCTGGGACTTTCAGAAATAAGACTGAAGAGGATGCTATCTTCTTGTACCATCAAACAAACATCGTAACTCCTCATGCACAGAGGACAGACACAAAAGGAAAAGGACAGAGAAGAAAACTCAGATATACACTATGACTCATTGAGTCCTACTCCCATATAAGAGGAAGATGGAGAAGTGGAGGTAAAGGTAAATGGTAAAATCAGCACTCGCAGGGCTGGCTGCAACTTGAGGAGTGGGGAGCTCTCTCTAATCTCAGAACCATAATTGATTTGTCTGATCTACCAGAACAACAGTAAGCCATGTACCAGCCCCATTTTATTGCCTGTTTTACACTCTGTATCTGCAGGAGATTGTATTTATTACGGAGCAGGCTACAGCAAAAACAATAATAAACCTAAGATAAAGAACAGCTGAGAAACCTGAGATAAAGAACACTGACACACATACTCCAATTTTTTCTATGCTGGTGAGGGAGGGAGCTCAGACAGGATCAATGAAAAACAAAACCAACTAATAATGAAAACATGTATGTATGAAGTCAGTCACCACAGAACCATCCTTCAAATCAAGTAAGACCTAGTACCAAGTCGGTCAAATTCTCAGCTGGTTCTACACACTCTGGAACACCCTGGCTTGAAAGGAAACTAGACTATGATAGAAATGGCAGCAGTGGCTGGTACTTCTAATAGCCCAGTTCCTACTCTGTGAAAAATTGGAAATAACAAAAAACCAGTAACTTCTTCAGGATCTAAGGTACCAGCTTGGGAGTATGTAATTTTCTTCCTTTAGTGGTTACCCTAAAAATAGGTGTAAGAGACGCAGATGGGTCAACACGCACGCACACACACACACACACACACACACACACACACACACACACATTTATTATTATTTTTTTTTTGGTAGAGATGGGGTCTCACTACACTGACTACAAGACCAAGTTGGTCTTGCATTCCTGACCTTAAGCAATCCTCCCACCTCGGCCTCCCAAAGTGCTGGGATTATAGGTGTGAGCCACCACGCCCGGTCTAGAGGGCCAAATTTTTTATCAAAGCCCTAGACAAACTGGGGGTTCATTCAGTTGGTGTTATATGCAGATGTTCTGTCCATCTTATGGACAACTCAAAACTCAGTTGACCTTGACATCAAAACCCATCTGTAATAACAAACAAAAAGGCCGGCTTATTTGGCCACTACAGAGGCTGGTATCTTACGTTCTAAGCCATAAACCTCACACTCCTGTGCTTAGATGAGTCACTTCCAACCATAAGCAATCAGCCAAGCAGGTCTTGTATTTGCTAGGTCTTCATACAAAAGCATTTTAACGCACTCTGACCTTTACTCTGTGAAATCATTTTTTAAACAGCAAGAGAAGAGATCATGGAAAAGGAGTAGAAACTCAACCCCTAAAATGGAGGCAGTTAACACTAGAACAAAATTACAGGTTATTTGCTCCACCATTATGATATAATCTCTTCCATACAACACATTTCTTAAGAGTGTTTAGGAGACAGAATGTGCACTTAAGCATGTCTTTTTCCTCACCAACAATGTGTACTGGGATGGAGAGGAGGGTGGTGAGAGATATTATGCACAAACACCAGTTCATTGTAAATTATTTTGGCAGATATTGCCTACACTGTCAGCTCAACAAAAACCTCCATTTATCATGGCCTGCAACTAAGAGGGGGATCAATCTGGGGCAGTAGGTAACACAGTTAAAGATTAAAAAACAATTAAGAAACCTCTGTGAAACCATTACGTATATGTGCATTACATTGTCTTTTTCCCTGTTTATTTTTCATCTGGCTGTAAGCCGTCTGCCCATCTGACCTCACACCTGTCCCACAGACAGCAAAATTGCCAGCATGCTTCAGGAAGCAGAAAACCCATACATCTCACTTAAATTGAACAAGGGCACCCAACATACACACAGACTTAACACTGTGATGGAAAGAAGGGAAGAAGGTGGGAAAAGACAAAACTCCTCTATTAAAGAGGGCACCAAAAAAACTGCACTCTTAGGTGAATAATTTGTGATTCAGGCAGACAAGGTCATATCTGACATCCATTTAAATCGAGCAGCTTTTTCACTTTCAGTCTCCCACTTGCTCAAGCTTTACTCTTTTATTTATGTGGTGACTGAGAGAAATTTAATTGGCATTTATGTTTAACTTAAGAGCAAACCAATCCTCCAATACTGAGACAGAAAAGATAATAAAAATTGGTATGAAACTGAGCTAGAGTTTAAGGGGGAATTGGTGGGGTAGGAACAAAAGTAAATAAATAAATGAAGACAAGTTTCACAAGACCCACTGCTAATGACAACGGAAATAAAGGAATAAAAAAAGCATCAGAAATCATCAAGGCAGGAGGCAGCATAAGATTCAGAGACAGCAATAAAGATCTTTAGGATACCACACTGAGGGGTGTGGAGAGGACAACCCTGAGACTGGTGTGCCTGAACCTCAAAACCTCCTTAGAGTTGCTTCACCTCACTGTTGGTGCCAAATCAGAACTAGAAATGAACTCAGGTGGGCCCAAGGAGAGAGCCTATCCCTAAGGTTGAAATCAGCTTCTGGAAGGCCCTGGAGTATGGGCCCCACATAAGTTTTTGGATGGGCATATTTGGCCCTTTGTGTAGACGGGTTTTCATTGCATTTTCCAAAGCACTTATAACTTTTTTCTCCTGCTGAGGAACCACCAAAAATTTGCCCTTTTATTACTATAACAGCTTTACCAAAAGACAAATATTAAGGAAAGCATTGTTGAGAATGCCATGCACATACATAAAAATATTAGCAATATATATGCAAAGAATAACTCAGCTGGGTAAGCTACACAGAAAACAGGCCAAGTAACATCGCACTGGATGAGTTACACCTGTTAAAAATGAACATTAGCAGATACACCATAGTTACCTGTGGCTCAAAGGCCATTAGCTACAGGTTTCTGGGCTTCTCAGGATTCTAAGCCACAAAAAGTGCATATCACTTTACTTCACCCACTTAACAGAGGCCCCAACCTGTAGACTGAAGTCCAGTTAACATGTTGTAGGTAACATTGTTTAACCTATAATCTGCAGTGACTGGTTATAGAGAAAGAAAAGCTCAACAGAGTCCCATTGTTTAAGATGAGCAGGAAACCACTACACCTAGGCAAGGGGGAGCCTGCCAGACACATTTGTAGCAAGCAATCACCAGGAGCAACAGAAAAAGCCTCCACCAGGCCTGGGCACACCACATAACAGGAAGATAATACACTCTGATTCATCTCTCCTGCAGCCTAGGCTGAGCTCTAGCACTTTTGTTTATACTAGTATTTTCTTCTCAGGGCCCAAGGCAAATTCCCTGAGTGCCTAAGCTAAGATTTACCAGCTCTTCCTCCTTCCATCTACCCTGGGCTTCATCTCCCCTGGGCATCTTCCCTATGCATGGCACAGACCTGATCCTCTCTTTAACCATTAGTGACTGTGGTGTTGAAATGGATGGTATGTGTCTTGGCAACAGAGAGTGCCTTTCCTGGCCACCTGATCAAAATCAGCACTTACACCACTCACTATCCCCTCGGCCAGTTTTACTTCTCTTCACAGTAGTTTTCGCTACCTGACATTGCAACTGCCTCCCTTTCCAACTTGAATGCAGGGACTTCAGTAGTTTTCTTCATTGTTATATTCTCAGAGCTTAGAGCAATTCCTGGCATACAGCAGGCACTCAACAAATACTTGTTGACTAAATGAATAAACTAGCTCAACTATCAAACGGATCTATGCAGCCAAAGAGACCCTAAACATTCAAAGGTAAAGTCCTTACAGTTAAAGAAACATTTGGACACAGCCTATTGGGAGCTCTAAAATATTGGTGCCATTGATTCTTCTTTATTATCTATATGTAATTATCTCAAAGGATGTTCATACATTTCTCCATTCTGTCCCACTTACAGGCAAGCAGAGGAACAAGAGGTCATGAGGAAATCATGATGAATTCATATACTTCTCCTGAAATCTATACTTGACCTTTTGCTACTAAGACTTCCCACTCACAGCAAGAACTGGACAGGGGTTTTAAAAAGAGGCAATTTTATTTTAATACAACCAAGAAGAACTACCTTCCAAACTCAAAATACAGTAATTAAAAATGAAAAAGCAACATAGAAACAGTTCAGGTAAAGAAAAAGAATGAAGTTAATTCTGCTTTTCCAGATAATAAAACAGGCTCCCTATAGATACCTAAGTAGATGCCCCGGGGTGGGGAAAAGTCACAGTCAGTGCCTGAAAAGGAGCGAGCTAGAGAAAATACATAAGCTGAAGTCCTTCAGCAAATATGCAGACACGCTCTTGAGCCTCTGAGCCACACAGCTTGATTCAGGGACTCGACTCACCCCAGATATATCTGCAACACGGTGGATAGGCACTTCCTTCTTGCTATGCAATCCTTTGCCATTCTTAATAGCTCTGTTAAGGAAGAAGAGAAAAACCGATTAAAACAAGAATCACAATGGGAAGGGGTAGGAGGGTGCAAAAATGAAGAGAGAAGCGAGGGTTGTTAAAGTGGGGATGTATGACTACACAAGTCACACTGTACACTGCTGAGTAGCCAGTCTGTGCAAGAGGATTTGGTGGAGGGGGGATTATAAAGCTGCTCTTCTCTTAAGCCCTGTTACCAGCACTTGGCTGCCAGTTTCCACTAACAGTGTGCTTAGTAATCAGAGGGCTGCCTTACTTGTTTTCAAATTAAAGGCATTGTTCCAGGCACAAAAGAAGAATCAGTTAGAGGAGCACAGGCCTAAGAAACAGAAGTAATAACATTTCTTTCCGTGTTTAATCACATGAAACATTTTAAATGCAAAATATGTGGCTAGTGTTCCAATTCTAATGGAAATAAGTTCCTCCCAGGTAAAAAGATAAGTTGCCCTGAATGGAGCAATACTGTAGAGAAAAGTCATGTAACAGTAGGAAAAAAAATTAGCAAATGCTACATAACTGACATTAAGTCTCATTTTCAATCAGTCTTAGCTATAATAAGAGGGGATTTAACAGGGAACTCTGGGACTCTGCCAACCTCAGCCATGGGTTGGTTTGCTCTAATCACCCAGTCCTCTGAGTGGTAGCTCTGGGGACAGAAGCCTACGCCTCACTAGGTACGATCACTGGTATAACAATGAAGGACCACAGAATAAAAGCTGACTGGTGAATTACTTGGTCTGTACACTGTTGGATAAGGCCTTCTTGTGTACTGCCAGCCTGCAGACATCAGCAGGTAAGAGTTCTGAGCTTAGAGATAGAGAACTAGAGATTAGGGGATGTTCCCACAAATCTTGTCTATGGAGACTCAACTTTTTAGGGTTTTTGAATTCCAGAGGAAGTGTTGAGAAAGCTGCCCAGCCCAGGGCCAAATGTCAGGGACCCTCACACTGTCAGCCACATTTCCACCTCTTCCCTTTCAGGAACTCACTCAAGGAGCAGAGGTAGAGGACACACTTCTGCAGGGGTTACTTTCAGGGTCATCACTTTCTAAAGTAAACCCTCATAAGCCAAATTGGGTGGGTTTTGCTCAGTGCTAGGTAGAATAGTCTTATTTCTTTCACACTTGGGCTTTTATCATCCACCTGAGCCCCCTTGCTTCATCCCAGGGGATGTGTCCCTCACTCAACTCATCTGAAATGCTTCTGGTTCAGAAACAACAAAAGTTTTCCTACTATCTAGTTTCTACTCCTTGATGAGGGCAAGTACTGAATTAACAAGAAAATAAAAATCATACCCTCTCTCTCACTCTTATCTGAAATGCTAACTGAAAGACAGCACTTCCAAGCTCCTTGAATCCCGTGGCTTCTTCTGAATTTGAATCAAGGGCTTCAGCTTTAGAAATGGCAAATGGGGCCGGGTGCAGTGGTTCACACCTGTAATCCCAGTACTTTGGGAAGCCAAGGCGGGCAGATCACTTGAGGTCAGGAGTTCGAGACCAGTCTGGCCAATATGCGAAACCCTGTCCCTACAAAAAATAAAATAAAAAAAAATCGGGCTGGGTGTGGGGGCTCAAGCCTGTAATCTCAGCACTTTGGGAGGCCGAGGAAGGTAGATCACAAGGTCAGGAGTTTGAGACCAGCCTGGCCAATATGGTGAAACCCTGTCTCTACTAAAAATACAAAAAAATTAGCTGGGTGTGGTGGCAGGTACCTGGAATCCCAGCTACTCGGGAGGCTGAGGCAGGAGAATTCCTTGAACCCGGGAGGTGGAGGTTGCAGTGAGCCAAGATTGCGCAACTGCACTCCAGCCTGGGCGAGAGAGACTCCATCTCAAAAAAAAATAAAATAAAATAAATCAGCCAGGTGTGGTGGCACACACCTGTAATCCTAGCTACTTGGGAGGCTGAGGCAGAACTGCTTGAACTCAGGAGGTGGAGGTTGCAGTGAGCCAAGATCACTCCACTGCACTCTAACCTGGGCGAAAGAGCAAGACTTTGTCTCAAAAAAAAAAAGTAAAAGAAATTGTAAATGGGTAAAAATATTTCCCTTTACAATTTCCTCTAGTGATTTATCATTCAGGGATCCTGGTAGTGGTCAGCAACCAAGGCGATTCTCAAGCTTTGCCACTCACCCTTTGGGATTTGCAAGCTACCAGTAAAAGACTAGAGGTTGGTGGCTAGAAGCCAACTAACAATCCAACTCTTCCACCTCCCCAAAGCCCTGCTTACATCTTGCATGTCCTATTTCTATAACCTCCTCTGCCACCAACAGGCTCTCCTTATTTTGCTACTGCAAATTGGAAGGAGCAGCCGTAAGACTGAAGCTTCTGTGATGCAAGACAAGCTCCTTCCCACCCTGACCATACCTCACCTCCTTCAAGGCAAGGCCTGCAAAGCATTCTGCAGGTCCTATGGGGCACTAAATGCCTACAGCCTTATCCTTTAACAACAAGGACAACCAAAATAAATAGATCTGTTCTGTAAACAGACAGGTTCAAGTTAGAGCACTGCTGAAATTGTGGCCTTTCCTGGGGCTGGAGAACATCTCATGTACTATGAGAAAAAAAGAACAGGGCCTGAGCAGTAAGTTAGAAAGCAAAGATCCTCGAGGCAAAAGCAGTGAGGTGGGAAACTATAATTCTGCTTTCTTTCTGTGACCACAAAGTAGCTCTGTGCTATAAGCAGAAATCTAGGACTTAACCACAACTAAATACGCTACCAAAGAGGAAAAAACTAACATCAGAAACTGGAAGACGTGGATAATAGTATACATATGACATTTAAAACAATAACAGCAAAATGATTCTTTAAAATGGTCTTAGTATTAATATTATTCATGCTCTACCCTGCTTCTAAAAAGCATATTATCAGATACTTATTTGTGTTCTGGCATAAATTTTGGGAAAACGTTCAAAGACAATTTTTTCACACTTAAAATATTACTGTTAAACTCTTATCAATTTCTGGCACATTCAAGAGGAAGCAAGAAAGTAGCACTGTACCAGCATATGTAAACTGAGAAGTAGCCCTTATTTTGTTAATTCTTCATGAAAGAGAAGCAAAATTCAAAGTTAACAATAGGTAGTTAACCACTAAATTCAAATATGCCCACCCAGGAAGCACTCTAGCCTCTTAGTAGCACACTAGACCCAGGCTGCAAAGTGGGAGGGATCTGTGAGAAAAGAGCAGAATAACCTGCGGCAGCACAGGTCTCCTTTCCCTGTGCAGAGGCTTCTTCACTTCTGGTTCCCACACTGCTGCAGGAACGATGCTGAGTGAGCCATTTCCAGAAAACCTCCCTCTGCTTGTCACAAGTCTGATGCCACAGCAAGAGATTCTCCACGAAAGAGTATCTGGGGGAAGTAGGAATTCAGGAATGAATCTCACAGAGGAGAGGAGCAAATTCCAAGAGGGGAGGCCTGCCACCACTATCTGCAAAGGGAGAGTACCATCTTTATTCCAGGCTATGAGGATACATGACATGGAGACCCAGGCTCTGCTGAAAACAAGGTGTACTGCCTTGCTACCACTTCTCAGTGGGGTTCTCCTCTGCATCTCACATAACCCAGTTTCTCTGGGATAGATTTGTGGAGCTCTGTCTTTGAGACATGGGAAGGTAGGCAGACCGCAGGCTGGCTTCCACCTTATCTGCTCCACAGAGCAAACACTAATTCCTGCTCCCCATACTGCCTTTCCCTGTTGGCCTCAGCCACAAGTCTGCATCCCTTTTCATTAGGCAAGGAATGAAACTCCTGACTTCTAAACTTCTCCTGCTGTGTCTGCTTAACAGCCGCTTCCTCACAAAGGCAGGCTAGTGTGCAGGCCAGCCAGCAGAAAGGAAACAGTGGGGCAGAACATAGCCTACTCCTCTCAGCAGCTTTCTTCTCCAAGATGCAGCAGTACAAAGACAGCAAAGACTACCAGTGTCAATAACTGACAAACATCATCACCAGTCAGGGAAAGAAAGTATATATCCACACACATGCCAAGGAGTGGCAGGGCAACAGAAAGATGAAAACACAGCTTTCTAGGTTGTTTCTAGGAGCCACAGGGCTGTATGGTACTACAGTGTGGGAAGATGAACTCTATTCAGACCACTGGAAAACTCTGCTTTCTTTAAACAGCAAAGCTCGAAACTCTCACATATTAGCTGCTGCTTTTCCTCTAGAAGAAAAAACCTACAACTTTGCAAAGGCAGACAACATTTTTGCAGGGAGATCATCTCCATGGCCTCAGCACAAGATTAGAATCTGCACACATTTCATGCCAAGGAAGAGTCTGCTCTTAGGTTTGCAGTCTCTAGTTCATCCAGAAAATCTCAAGACCAATGCTCTCCAAGCTGGATGTCTGAGCACCGCAGTCACAGTCCCTCCCGTGCCAACAAACAGGCCTCCATCTTACTGCCAATTCAACGACAGTAGATTGTTATTCTGAACAAATATTTTTGTGAGCTTACAAAGAAATTCAAAGGATTTATGGCTAGATCCAACCTTATCACAATCATAAAATAGTTATCACATCAGGAATTCTTAACCTGGGGACATAGTGCACGTCAGCTCAGATGCTAGAAATATCTCTGATCCACCCTAAAGTATCTGTGAATTTTCTGAGGGAGCAGGAGCTTTCAACAGAGTTTTACAAAAAGAACTACTTTCATACATGAAAGAGATCTAAAGAAAATAAAATGACAGAAAGCAGAAATGGCATGCAATAGGTGGCAGGGAGATGACGGGGAAAGGAGGCTACAGAGCTGAGAGAGATTAGGACCCCTGAACACGTCTCCTCATCTGTAACTTCCTTTTAACAATGCTTTCCTGGTAAGCAGCCTCCATGATGTCTCTTCACTCTGCTTTTGCTTTACCCCAACATCCAACATTCTTCTTTCATAATTGTGCTCACTTGGCCCTTTTGGAACCCTCTTGGTCTAGGCCCTCACCAATTTATTTCAAGATAACATCAGGGATATCTTAACTAAATTCATGCAATCCCTTTTGAAGCTACACACACTTTGACTGAATATTGCACACCACTCCCACATCACTTCTCAATAAAAATCGACATCATCATTTTCCTCCCCTACTTATACTCCAAACAAAGACAACCAACCAGCTTGTGAAATCAAGTGGAAATTCTCAGACTTGGCTTTCATGGGTCTCGACCATGTGGCCCCAGTTTACATATCCACATGATTTCCACATTACTCCTAATCCAATTAGGCCCATTTTCTTCATGCCCCCTACATGCCAGTAATTAATTATGTGTGTCCCCTGGGCTTTTGCTTTCCCCTTGATTCCACTTGTTGTTCTAGGTCAACACTACAATGAAAAGAGTATCACCTATCTGTAGCCACAACCTCACTACAATCGTAAAATAGTTGGGAGAACAGAAATTTTTAACCTGGGGTCCTAGGTGAACTCCTTTGAAATGGTAGTATAATGTGTGTGTGTGTGTGTGTGTGTTGTGTGCAGGTATCACTCAGTTCAGCATGTAATTATAAACTGCAACATATGACTTTCAAATTGTTTCATGTGTTAATCTTTATTTCTGTATCTAGACTACAGGTCCCTTGAGGGTTAGTATTCTGCCCTTAATCTTTATTATAGTATTTTAACAGACAGCTATCTTTCCATAATTATAAATTCAGGGCCATCTAGTTCAATTAAAGTGTGCCAAGTAAAGCTGAACAAATGCTTGGTAACTGACTGATTAATGCGGAACAGTGAAAATATTTCAAATTGGAGACAGTGACAATGCCAAAGTGACTGTAGGGCAAAAAAATGAGGTTTGTTGGCTTTCCCAGATACACAGTTTCATGATCTATGCTCCAGGGCAGAAGCAGCTAAAGACTGGCCTCTGAGCAGAAACAGAAGCAGAGGAGCATCCAGAACAAAAGCATCACATCCCACATCAAGTCTCCTGGAACTACAAGAGATGGGCAAGAATCTAAGTGGCAGTGAGTGGGAGCAAAGCTTGACCACTGTAAACAATAAAACAGAACCAAGTAGCAGGATTGTAAGGAACACCTATTAAATAATCAAGGAAAAATGACTCAGTAGGAAGAAAAATTAATTCCAACAGAAAAGGTTGAAAAGCAGAACAAAGAGTAAAAAACTTGGTAAACTTCCGAAGCACTTCTCATTGTGTTTCAGGTCACATTGAGGAATATGGTTTTTCAGCATGAACCAAATACAGACATCAGTGAAACATGGTAGCAATAAACAATTCCTTCGGCCTTTCTCCTGGTTACTTGGGAGCTGGAGGAAGCGACAGGGTGGCACCACTCAGAAAATAAGATACAGAGCAGGAGCAGGTGCAGAATGGTAGGTGGGGGCACTAAGATTATGCAGCTGCATTTTCAATGTAATTGAGAATTACCGATGAGAAAGACAGAAAAGATTGAGAGTGCATAGACTGGAAATGAGGAAATTGAGTCCTACAGTCAAGGGGAGGTGGGCGGACTAATGAGTCAGTAGGTATTATGAGGCAGTGAAGCAAATAACAAAGAACTCTAGGTCATCATCTCGTCTAAAGCTAATATAAGGAAGGAATGAAGATACATGCTATTGTGCTGGGTATGACAATGGATCTACAGTGGCAGGTAAGGGGGAGGAAAGGGATTATGAACTCCAAGGCAGAGAACAACCAACTCAATGCTAGAGATGAGGGGAACACAGTTGCAAACTCTACTATCCCAGATTAGGATCAAAGGATTATTAGAGCTGGGTAGTAGTGGTTATGAGCAGTCTAAAGTCTTCTTGAGAGGATAGGGCCTCAGGAAGGTAGATTACTCAAAACTGCCTCAATGACACTGATTTTATAGTTTTTGCTGTTCTGATTACAAAGTTCATCAGAAAAAAATTTCAGGAAACAATGACTCATAATCCTATTTCAAGAAAAAAAACACCGTTTAAGTACCACTTTTAATAGGTGCACAGGAAATCCATCATATATGGATGTATGGTTCAAAATTTTAATCAATCCCCTGTTGCTAGATATTTATGTGAATAGTTCTACTACTATAGATAATGCCATGAGGAATAACTTCTAAGCACCTTGCCAATTACTTCCTTAGGATAAGGAACTGCTGTCATAGGGCAAGAAATTGGCATTTGCTTTCCATCTCCCTTTACCAAGGCAAACCAAACAGAACATGCCTTCTCTTGTGGACTCTATTGGTGGATAACCCATCAATCTGGGTGCTCCTTTCCCTATGAATCCCAACTACCCACATATATTCTCCATTTTTGTAACTATATTTGTAATTATTTACTTGTTCACTGAAATCACCACTAGATCCTGTGTTTTTGTTTTTACCCCCAAAATACCTGATAAAATACTTGTTACATAACACAAACACATCAGTTACAGAAAACTTTAATGTGTCTTTTGACTGAGTGAAAAGCAACAATTCTGTGACAATGTTCAGTTTGGAAAATGGTTTTCCAATGTGAGCTATATTTATTCTGACTTACTGGAAAAAATTCATTGCCATAGCCCAGAGATTTGGCTCTCTGGCCTTGATGCAAAAGCAAGAGCAATGGGAAGTAATTCTTCTCAACTTCTGGGCCCAAAGTTGGAGGGTGCTGGCGGGAGGCAGAGTCAGAAGCAGCTTAGGATAAAACAGAAATGCACAAGGAAGTTTACAAGAAATTTAGATGTAAAGAATCCTGCAAATGAAAGAAGCTATGAAGCGGATTTCCCGTTCACAATCAGCTACAAAATTCTGTGCATTGATGTATCAGTGATTAATTATTTGAACTATAGTCCTCCTGAGAGACTTCTAAGGATTAGAGCAGAAGCATGATAGGGATATGCCTAATAGAGACTCAGCTCTCCAATCCACTCAGCCACCTGACGCTGCAGATGAGCCAAAGCAAGCAAGCACTGTAACACTCGAGATGATTTCACATTAAATTAGCCAAGAGCTGGTGGAGGCTATTCAGAAGGAATCGAATTAAGGAGCCATGAACTCAGAGTCTGAGGAAGGGGGAAAGAGACAGGAGTCAAGGGGAATAAAGAGCTGGGACATACTATAGAAATCCAAAGCTCATCCATTCCATGCCTTGTTCTCTGTTACTTATAACCACGACTGTAATTCCAATTACAATGAAGATTAAATGATCAATCTTCCATGAAAGGGCATACACTTTGATTTGTTTTACAATGATCAGGAACTGATTAGGGCAGTGCTTCTCAAATTTTAGTGTGCATCAGAATCACCTAAAGAATGTGTTAGACTGCAGGGGGCAGGGTGCTGAGAATTCACATTTCTAACAAGTTTCCGAGCGATAGTGATGTGCCTGGTCTGAGAGCCACTGGTTTAGGGAAGCAAGTTGTAAGACATTCAAGAAAGTCAAGGGTCAAGTGTTATCACTTTATAGTTACAATTTATTTTGGATTGAAATTATATTCCCAGTACAAGAACCTCCCAACATATCAAATATTTTGGGTTGTGTGAAAGAAGCAAGAGCCTCTTAGCCAAGAGGAGAGTGAGACGGAAGAAAATAGACAAGTGGCTCTGGACAGATAAGTGGTCATAGCTGAACCTATTTTGGCGGATGGGGGTGGGGGAAGACACATTGATGGCTAATTCATGTAGGAAGTTTAGCCTAGAACAATGTCCTCTCTGAAGGAATACAACCAGTGTAGACTAATGATTACAGAACAGAGCCAAGGAGGACTGCTTTCCAGCAGTTAATCATCCACCCATGATCTGCAGGACTACCCACGGCTTGCTAGTCAAGACAGGAGATAAAGCTAAAGGGCGTCAGCTATACCCCAGCCCCTCATGAATCATAAAGAAAAGTCTCACAGCATGAGTTATGTCAGAAGGAACTAGGGGTGGGGAGGGAAGAGAAGGATGGGATGGAGGGAGTGAACAGATCCTCTTAATATCCTGAAGGAGAAAACTATTTGGAAATGGAGACATCATACAGCTCTCCAGAAGTGGCCATTTGTGCTGCCTTAAATGCAGATTGATTACTGCTATTTGGATGTTGAGTGCATCATCTTTTC
This sequence comes from Homo sapiens, assembly GCF_000001405.40. Lineage (NCBI taxonomy): Eukaryota > Metazoa > Chordata > Mammalia > Primates > Hominidae > Homo > Homo sapiens. The sequence goes on along the minus strand of NC_000007.14, from coordinate 127,895,721 downwards.
TGAAGAAAGGGAAAAGCTAAATTTCCCCACGTTCAGCTGCATCGTCAAATCACTTCCCAACACCAGCTCTTTTAATGCATTTTCCTGTTATCACATCCACTTGCAAAAACTTATCTTCCCTACTCCCCAACAGCGAAACCCTCCACAGACACATAATGACACGTGCTGAATCCAGTTAGCAACCTCATGATCGTGACACTTAACTGCAACCCCAAAATGTAGGGTGGGGTGTGCATTTCCAAAGTTAAAAAAGAACGGAAGCCATTAGGACATTTAAGAGAAAGGCCAGTCTCCTCCTCTGTGCTGGCTTTCAACCTGTACTGGCATGATGTAATGCAGAGGGTGAAGAGGGCAGTCGTAAGGCACCGAACTACCGCTTCCTATGATGCTTGAGCTAAAAATCCAACAGTACCCTGGTGTTACAGGAATCTACCATTAAACTTCAAGTAAGAGCTCTGTTTTTCACCATATTCAATAGGTTCTACTTTTATTCAAAAAGAATTTTCCCTTGTTGAGGTCATTAGATTGAAGGTGAGAAATCATGGTTTATTTAAAAGCCATACCATTAAACTGTTGAGAAGATAAGAACAGAGGCTGGACAGAGAAGATGAATTTCAGGAATATACTCTCACAGGACAATTTAATAGAAATGAGAGATGGCATAAAAAAGATGTAAGGCAAGCAGTGTCAAAAATAAAGAGGGAGGAAAGAGGGAGGGCTAAGAAAACAGGTAAGAAAAGAGAAGAAATAGGAAAAACAGCAATATCCAGCAGTACTAATAAAATTATTTAATGCCTGTCCCTCTGAGATTGCATGCTTTGTAAAGGGTTGAGTCTATTATCTTTTTTGTTCACCGCTATTATCGCCCATGCCTGGAAGCCAGGATACACTTAAAAGAAAAAAAAAAAAAAAGGAATAAAGAGAAGAAATGAATGCAAAGCCATCACATGCAACACAGACCAGCCTTGACCACTGTTTCTGACAGAGGAAAGATATGCTTTCTTGGAGAACTGATTAACCCATTTAATCTACACTCTGTGATAGGATATATCAGTTTTAAAGTTTCAAAACACATAAATTCAATGCCAACTGTCTAAACAGACTGGTATAGAAATGAAATTTTCTTATCAAAACATTTAACAAATCACAATAGTGTCAAACCAATATACTCCTCTTCCATTTCAGAGTCCTAAAATTCTATCTTTTAACTTAGCAACAGAAAATACTGGCAAGTAACTCTTCACATTCCATTCATAACCAGTATGTGAATGCTAGTAAAACTGAAGACACAGATATGAAGGACCAGTCAACAGTTTCTTTCTTCTTTTTTTTTTTTTTAAGGCACACATTACTTTTTCCATTTATTGAAATTTTATGGAAAAACTTCCCTATAAATCAGAAAAAAGGGAGAGCTCCTCTAGCTAAGTCCAGGGTGGAAGACCAAGAGCATTTCCTTCCCAGTGGAAGCTCTTCATTCAATGGAATTGCAAAATATATTTACAAGTCACTGCTACAAACATATGGAACTTAGAAAGCCCACTGTGGCCCCCATTAACTGCGTTACCAAGAGAGATATGCAATTAATACTGAATCCCTCTTAATAATAGCCAGGGATATTGGTTTAAGAAAGAAAGAGTTATTGATATGTTTATAGCTTTTTGACTAAAGTCTGTGACAGAAATGCCAGCACAGATTTCCTACAGGTTCAAACACAGAAGCCTAAAATATGAGGGCACTGCCAATCTCACTAAAAAAAGCAAGAGACTGGTGCTTATGGGGTTTGGAGTTTGGAGATTGGAGATGTAGAACACAGCAAGGCTGGAGTGCTAGTTTTTTGTTTTTTAGAAAGAGGGTTTGCTGAATCAGAAAAATGAGTCCTTCAGGGGACCAGGAAGAGAAGTAGCCAAGGCGATGCTGAGATGAGGGCAGGTTCACACTTGCCTCTCAAAGATGGATGACACCACCATGGTTTTCTAAATCTGCAGTGTGCCAGGCAAGAAATAGAATACACATGAAAAGATAAGAGAGAGCCTGCCCTTTTCTCTTCTCCTGAGATAACCCTAACTTCATTATGTATGACCAGACTGAATCTAAATTCATTTAAATCTGCTCAGACACTAGGTTGTTCAATACAATTGCTTTCCTACAGTCAGGCTGGAGCATCAATTTCTTTTCTGAATATATACATCCGATCTTGAAATTGCAAATCTTAGAATTAAAAGATACCTTAAAGGAATAAAGCCCCAACTTCTGAACTAACATAACTTCTGTGTTTTCCTGCAAAGAGCCAGATTCTAACAATTTCTAGGAATTCTTAAAATAAAGCTACTGGTAGCATCAGAAGATGTACATAGATGATATCCCCCATGTATAAAGAAAACATAGCACACAGCCACGTTTTGATCGGACTCTAAACATTACCAACTTGTATTCAGTGTCCATAACATGCTCAACAAAAGCTCCACTTGGAAGACATCTAGCATGATGACGAAATTCACATTCTGGCCTCTCCAAAATCAAAACTTGGATGTGTTACACCAAATACATAAAATAGAGCATATGAAAGATTTTTATGACACTTCAGAAAGTAAAAAGGGTCCCGGTAATGACTCACTATCTTGGAAATACCGCAGAAGGATATACGGAATATTCCCTGAAGAAGTTAAAAGCTCTGCCTAAAGTTTGGAAGGCTCGCCAAGACTAGGCATATGTAGCAGGCCAGCTAACTGAGAAACACTAAAACAAAAAGAGGAACTGGAAATGCTGGAAAGTCAATATGGGAATCAAACAGGAACATGCAGAACAGAAATAATGTTTCACACTCCCTAAGGAGTCCATATGATGCTTCTAAAAAGGGAGACCAAGTTCAGGAGTGTCACAGAGAACTGTGGGTCAGCTGCACCTAAATTCGGGGTGGGGAGGGGGGGACAAAAAACAGAGGCTACACACACTGGAACTCTCAGAACTGTGGGACAACATCAAGGGCTTTTCAACGAAGTCTATGAGATAAAGAAGGCCTGAGAGTATATGAGAAAATGCCAAAACCTTATCTTGCTAGGACATAAGGTAATGAGGCAGGGGTCAGCTGATGATAGACAACAGAGCTGGAAAGGAAGGCCAGAAGGCCGAAAGGCCGCCTTTTGGGAATGTGAGGTTTATTTACCCTTTAAACAAAAAAAGATGTGACTTCCTCTAGATGGGCCATGTATTTAAGACATTATGAGGGTTTCCCAGAAGCAGAGAGGCACCTGAGTAAAGGAGCGCTGAAGGGTCAGCGAACTGAACAGAGCTGCTGATGTGGTAGAGTTTGTTTCTATGCAGGCAGGTGGATATGCTTGAAAGCAACAGGCAAACTGCAAATTGGTATTCTTCTTCCCCCTCTGTCTCATCTAGTCTCCCAATGAGTGCCTACCGCATCACTCCCTGAGCGCCCATGAAATGATATGAGAAAGGTTGGCAGATCATATCCCTTTGCAGAGGAAGTAGGGGCTGCAGAGCCCTGAGAAAGCTCATCAACTTCTAGGCAGGCAGCTGTGCTGACCTAAGTCAGACAAGTTTAATGGGCTGCCCTTTCCCCAAAGCTTACAATGTTTCTCTGAAAGTACTAATGGCCAAGCAGTGCACTGGAAAGCAAAGTCAACAGAAGAGCACTCTGCACCACTGCCGATATCACCAGCAATAACCAGGGTCAAAGAAGTCTGTTGGAATCAACACCCTGGTAGGGAGGAACAGAGCAGAATGATGCCTTGCCACCTGACCTGTCTATTATTTACCTAAAGAGTGTCAGAACGAATGACTGATATGAATGTGGCAGATGTTATGAATTTGGCTTTTGCCAAAGCATTAAATACAGTACCTTAAGAAATTTTGCTTGGGAAATTAATTCAAACTGGCTTGGTTCAGTACACAATCGCTGAAGATTAAAAAGTGGCTGAAGAATGATAAACAAAAGACAGTTAAGTGATAGTTCAAGCAGTGAGAGACTTGGGGTCAACACCAAAGCCATTCTTGTTTAGGGGTTTTATTCAGGGCCCAGAAAAGGAGTAAACAACTCACTAATGAGATCTGCAGAGGACACGAAGCTGGGAGGTAGAGAAAATGCATTGACAGGGGCATAAAATCACAAAGCAGAGTTCACCTAGAAAACATACAGCTAATCTATCTAGGAAAAAACAACCCTAAACTCAGATAATATTCAATACCTGGCCAGATAAGGGGCAGAAGCAGCAGTGAAAGAGCTCTGACACGCTGTAACGTGAGAGAGGTGAGAAGAATGCTAAGGGAACATGGGGAATGTTCATAGGAGAACGAGGTGCTTCAAACTAAAGGCAAACTCAAATAAGCCAGTGTCAGGACATAAGTGGTCTTGAAAAGTGTTCAACTTTACCATTTTCAAGAAAGGGAGGCTGCAGTGAGTCATGATTGTGCCACTGCATTCCCGCCTGGACACAGAGCAAAGCCCTGTCTCAAAACAACCACAGCCACCAAAACAAAACACCAAACCATGAGGATGGGGATTCTGCACTGAAAATCTTTTTTAATGGCTACAAAACCACCATTCCTATCTAGCAAGCATTCTGATCTTTCTTGAATCTGACTTCACTTTCCTGGGGGTTAGCATCGAGAAGATGGCACCAGGCTTAGAGTCCTGGGGCTCACTGACAAGACTGCTCCAAATAAAAATTCACTCACAGTTCATGCTGAGTATTTCTCCCCATTCTTTATGGGGCCTGTATTTCCTTATGGCAATGCCTCATGGGCAAAGGGAAGTGGTTAATTCTCTCCGTTTACTCAACCTGCAACAGTGCAATGACCCTGAAGCCAATTTTCTCACCATCAGTCTGAAAGCAATGGCTCAACACAATTATCTCTAGGCAGCTCACTGCCTTAGCAAGCAAGCATCTTGTTACATTACTTCTGCACAAAATAAGCACTAGACTAAAAAGGCTGTTTTCATTTTAAAACCTAAAACTTAAAAAATTTCACTATCTATGAATGCTCATTAAGTATTATAGCAAAACATGGCTATTTCTAACAGCATAATAAGAGAGCTTATTCTGGCCTCACTTTCCAGAGCAGCCCTGCAAATTATTTCCATGCTTACCTGCCTGTCAGAATTAACATATTCACTGGTGGCAGTGTGAAGCCTGCATGGAAAATATAACTATACATTCCACTGTATTGCTGAGGGCTCCTGCTACTCTGGAAATGCATAACCTGTTCTTCAAGTTACCATCAGATTGGGCTGAATATGCCCAGCATGGACCAACCCCCCAAATCCCATGGATAGTTTAGTAATTGTTCCATTTCCTACTGGAGCTGGATGATCAAACAGTACCAAGACTAATAATCCAATTAAAATAATAGGCAAAATATTTGAATAGACATTTCTCAAAAGAAGACATAAAAAGGGCAAATGGGCGTGTGAAAAGGTGCTCAACATCACTGATCATCAGAGAAATGCATATCAAAACTACAATGAGGTATCATCTCACCCCAGTTAAAATGGCTTATATCCAAAAGACAGGCAATAAATTCTGGCAAGGATGTGGAGAAAAGGGAGCCCTCGTACACTGCTGGTGGGAATATAAATTAGTACAACCACTACGGGGAAAAGTTTGGAGGATCTTCAAGAAACTAAAAATAGAGCTACCATATGATCCAGCAATCACACTGCTGGGTATATACCGCCTAAAAAAGGGAAATTAGTATATCGAAGAGATATCTGTACTCCCATGTTTGCTACAGTCCTGTTCACAACAGCCAAAACTTGGAAGTAACCTAAGTGTCCATCAACAGATGAACGGATAAAGAAACTGTGGTACTTATACACAATGGAGTACTATTCAGCCATTAAAAAAGAATGAGATCCTGTCATTTGCAACAACATGGATGGAACTGGAGGTCATAATGCCAAGTGAAATAAGCCAGGCACAGAGAGAAAAAACACTGCATGTTCTGACTTATATGTGAGATCTAAAAATCAAAACAATTGAACTCATGGAAACACAGAGTAGAGAGGTTACCAAAGGCTGGGAGGGGTAGTGAGAAGGTGGAGGAGAGGTAGGGATGGATAATGGGTACAAAAAAAAAAATAGCTTGAAAGAATCAATAAGACCTAGTATTTGATTACACAGCAGGGTCACTATAGTCAATAATAATTTAATTGTACATTTCAAAATAACTAAAAGAGTATAACTAGATTGTTTGTAACATGAAGGATAAATACTTGAGAGGACAGATACCCCATTTTACATAATGTGATTATTACGCATTGCATGCCTGTATCAAAACATCTTATGTAACCCATAAATACATACATCTGTTATATACTCACAAAAAGTAAAATTAAAAAAATTAAAAAAAAAACAAAACAGAACCAAGATCATGAGAAATCATGATCACATTTCTCATCATGAGTTCTTTGGGACTGTCTTGCTTACTGATAATATAGGTAGGGAGAGAAGAAAGTAAGGAGGTTTATGAGAAAACACCAATCACGAACTACGTATTTTAAATGACCATTAATGAGCTTTAAAAAACCAAAGATGTGAGTATTTTCACTGGATTCTTTGTACTTAAGAATGAGGTCCTCAACAGGGTCTATTGGGAAAAGCCCACAAGAAAGAATCCAAAAGCCACAGCAGCCTGACAGACTGATTTCTCGGCTGACATTCTGTGTGACATTCTACAGATGCTCTATCCATCAGGATGTGACACGGTGTTAGAGGTAAATGTCACATATCAGGGCAATGTTATGGGCCAAAGAGCAAGAGAAGTGATCTCAATGACAAAATCTGAAGCCGAGATTAGATAACATGTGCCCAGAATCATTCCTCCTCTAACTATAGAAAATAACCTGACAATTACCAAACTCCTAGAACTAAATGGGTCCTAGAGGCTATGGAAAAACTGCTGAGTGAGGCAGGCCTCTGAAATCACGTTTAAACAATGGATATATTTTGGTTGAGTCCAAGCAGTCTGCTGAGCTATCCAAGTCAGTTCAGCAATAAGTAGCTCAGTTCTTGCTCTGTTTCCCAGGAAGTCTGGGAATCACTCAACTACCACACTACCCAGTGACAAAAGACTCCCTGAGTAAGAGCCTTGAGGGATGACAATGGCCAGAAATACTGCTGAGCAGCATGCATGTCCTTGGGGCAACCAGCCACAGGGATGAAGGACAAAAGTAAAATGTCACAGGGCTTCTCAAATGGTCTCCTGCCAGCTGTCAGAAGTGTTTGAAACTAAAACTCATTTCCTAATAAATGTTTTCTTTCCTTTGTACATGACAAAAGGTCTAGAGGTGGTAAACGGGAGGGGCTAGGAGTAGAGGCCTTTGGAGGTAAGAAACAGAGGCAAATGTACTACAGACATAAGCACGGCTTCACAGTTAGTCCCGGAATGATGATAAACATATCTCCTATAGAGCACTCATTCATGCTTTCTTTTATACAGCTACAAAGGGAGATCATATCTAATATATACCTATTTTACATATTTTTTAAAATGGAAGACCAAGTGCACTTAAACAAAATTAGACAGCAAGTTCAAAGTGTGTCCTTCTTTTCATGGGGAAAATCTAGAATAATAATACATGCTTTCTCAGCATATTATTTTCCAACACATTCTGCTCAGGTATAGGCACAAAACTGGGAAAGAAAAAAGTGAGGGTGTGGGTTCCCCATGTGTTTAGTAATGTTTGGTCTTACCTGGCCTCTGCAGCAAGCAGTTCATCGTAGTGTGATGATCTCTGGTCATCATCCTGCCGGTATCTGATCACTGTGGCTAGACCTTTGCTGACAAGAGCCTCAGCAATGTTTCTGCAACAGAAAAGATAGGTCAGTGAGCACTAGAAGTGCATATGGGGCTCAGTCAACAGAAATAATAACAGTTAGCACCTGGAGGTCTTAACGCATTCTGGCAGAGGGAGAGAGAAGCCAAGGTTTCAAGACCTATGAGTTGCTAAGCTAGAAATCCAAATAAAAGGTTAAATAACAAAGTTCCCTAGCTCAGCATTTTTCTGGTTAGTACAGTCAGATGCTATATCAATCCAAATATTAAAAACTAGCAAAAAAAAAAAAATCTGTAAAAAGCCCACATTGCACCAGGCTATTTACAGAATGTTATAAACAAGCCACTGCCCTCAAGAAAAGTCTGCTATAAAATATTAGGCACATAGAGAAAAAAATGGAACATATAAAAGCATGACCTAAATTTCTCAAAATCTTTCTAGCCGACAGAACAACCAGAAAATGTCTTCTTTTAGTTTGGCAACGTTAGAAACATTGGTTTTACATAACGAAGTGTTTCTCTTATAAGAACTCCTGAGAGTAGATCTTCTACCCAAAGTGGGCTTGGAAAAGATAAGACTATGAATGAAGAGAGAAGAGGCAGGCAGGAGGGAGGCATTCTAGTAGAAAGGAAATTCTTTGTGCTGTGGCTCATGCCTATGATCCCAACACTTTGGGAGGCCCGGGCGCTGGGATCACTTGAGCCCAGGAGTTTGTGAGCAGCCTGGACAACACAATGAGACCCCCATCTCCATAATAAAAATTTAAAAATTAGCCGAGTGTGGTGGTGCATGCCTGTAGTTCCAGCTACTTGGAATGCTGAGGGAGGAGGATCAGGAGTTTGAGGTTGCTGTGAGCTGTGATCACACCACTACACTGCAGCATGGGTAAAAGAATGAGGCCCTATCTCAAAAAAGAAAGAAAAAAGCAAATCAAGATGGGGAACAAAGAAAGTAAACAATATAAAATCTGAGATGACCAGTTTTGGAGCAATACTCCATGGGAGCTACAAAAAATCTCAGGTTAGACTCTAATGCAAAGTAATTCTCAAATGCAACAAATCTTTTTTTTTTTTTTTTTTTGCCAGAATAAGAAAATTGCTCACACTTGGGAATGAGAGATGCCACTCTATGTGGCCTGCATCTACTAGCTAGAGAAGGATGAATGGGAAATGATATGCAGACACTTAATGATACATATTTGAATGGTTCCTCCCCAACCTGGAAAGGGAACTTTGTTATGAACAATCAAACTGCAAAAACAAATTTTCAAAAATTAAGTATAATTAACTATAGCAAATACTGGAAAACAAGAAGCATGATATTATTGAGGGAGAATGGTGGTTATGTCTTTCTTTGTGTCTGTCATAATTACACCAAAGGCCCTACTCAAACCATCTGGTTTGCTGCCCTTTAGGGAGAGGCTATGGTAAGCAATAGGCTACCGTGCCATATGCTATGACTGAGTATTGTTTGAAAATGTGGTTAACTCCTAACACACCAGTGGTTCTTAGAAAGTTATACTGTGGGGATGCTGGGAGCTGAACCAACCAGTATCTGTGCATGTTTACGCAATTTAAGGGCTCTATTCGTCAAAACCCAGGAGAACATGCTTTTTTTTTTTTAAAGAAGAAAAAATAAATGTGTTGGTAGAGCAAGGAGGAAAAGATGCAGTGGCTGATTATCTTCTCATTATATGCCCCTCGGATGTCTGTTTATCTACTGCCAGCACGGTATTAATATCTCCAAACTGCCACGGAATTAGCACTTCTCAAAATCCACTCCCACAAAGAGGCTGCTTTGCTGGCCACCCTGTCTCCTGAGTCACCACATAAGCGTGCTGGCAAATGCTGTCATTATCACAGAGTTGTGTTTGGCAGCATGGAGAAGGCAACAGCCTCAAATCAGCAGATGTAGATGTTGATACATGGTGAGGATTTAAACTAAGGTTGTCACTAAGGGGCCCTAGCAGGGAACAAGAGAGGCTCCACCCATCAAAGAGCTAGTAAGAAGGCTGGGGAGTGGCATGGGGGACAACTCCACTTTTGATAGTTTGAGATGTCCTGGCTGTTTTAAATGCCAAGAAAACAAAGAAATATTTGTTACTGCATTTTGAATTACTGAGCATTGACATTTTACAGTAAATACATGGGGTTTGGAGGAGAAAGTGGGAATGGCAGAGCAGGCAAGGAAAAATTCACACAAACAAGCTTTGATATATAAAGAAAAACAACACAAATGTTTAATGATCCACCCCAGTTAATGCTGCTCAAATCAATACACAGAATTACTGAGTACCTGCCTGGCCGGGAAAAACCAAGGGCACTTTCTCTACTCTTCCTTGTCCCTGCCCTCTTTATCCTATCAGCAAATGTCTACAAACCAGTTAAGACCTGCCATATGGAGTTCCTGAGGCCTTAGATTCCCAAATCACTCCACACCCTGCCCACTAACTTTCTTCTCTCTTTCCTTTAAAGCTCAGCATCTAAGCCATGTTCTCTTAGCTTCTTATCCCCTAATTATAGATTTCTCCTGGAGGAACAGTTGTGATGCTGGTGCTTAGCGGTAACAAGAGTAAAAATACATGAAATGATAACAACCATCACCATTGGGCATTCACTACGTGCAATGCATATGAGAATCACATGTGTTCTCTTCTTGGTGGGTTCCCCATGTGATACACCATCACAATATATGGCAATTATTCATTCATTGTTTATCTTCCTTGGTGAGTGATAAACACTGTGAGGGCAGGGGCCATGCTTTTCTTGCTCTATATCCCAGTTCCAAGCACAGTATTTTGCACAAAGTATAGGCTAGTCTGGCTTGGGGTGTCAGAGCCCCATAGGAAGGTAAGGATGATCACTCATACAAGGTATCAGAGTTCAACCTGGGTGCAAACATCCACATGGAAGGTGGCTCCATAGCCAGGCATTAAAGACTGAGTGTCCACTTGGGAGGGGTGACATCAGTGTTACAAGATTGGTTACACTAAGGAATATCAACCCTACCAGTGAAAGTACTAAGGATAAGCCAGGTTTCTCACTGTCAGAGTAGGTATATACAAATATGGAAAGGAAGAAAACTAGAATGAACCCTGTAGCAGTGGATTGGAATTTTAGGTATTTGTGTGAACTCATGGTATGTTGGTTCAGGTTCTATAAGAGGCACGTGCCAAGAAGGATTAGATGTGCAAGAGATTAATTGGAGAAAACTCATCTCAAGGAAGGTGGGAAGGGAACCCCAGGAGGCCTGGGAAGAGCCAACAGACTGCAGTGCAGGTCAAACCCCTGTGCAGAATGGAGGGAATGAAGGAAGGTTAGATAGGGAACATCTGAGCTACGGGCCTGTTCCAAAGAGTTTCGTCAAAGCTTGATAAGAAGTCAAAATTGTCCGTCAGAGGAACCCTATGTCCCTCAGCAATAGGCCTGCCTTAGTATCTCTGTTGCGCTCCGCTATTGGCTGGGAGCAGCTGGTGGGAAGCATAGCCTTGGCTGAAGTAGCAGTGATTGATTTCAAAGCACAGCAGCTGGGCTGTCAGTCTATTATGTTTCCTGCAGTTGGAGATCCAGGAGGCACATTTTCATGACTGCCACACATGGTTTTCAATAGATATAGATAGATTTAGAAATAAACATATAAAAATAAATATAGATGGAAATGTGGGCTCCTTAGATAAATGGCTAATTTCAGATCTGGGGAAGACAGTACAAGATAAGCCTGGAACATGTAGTACCAGAAAACAAGGAAGTGCTCAAAAAAAAATAGGAGACATGTCCAAAGGACACAGAAGTCCTGGCTCCTACTGGCCAAATTGGGAACAATTTGAGTGGATTATAACTGTTTGAATAAAATGAGATTCCATGAATTCATTCTAATATAAACAAATAAATAACTTGGGAGTTTAATGAGAGGTGAAAACTATGTAGTTCAAAGTGTCTCCTCACAAAATATCTATTAATTAGAAAGAGTAAAATAGTACCTTTACAGTGGAGAAGCCTGGTAGACACGACTCAAATCAAATGATCAAGACTACCATCATCAATAAATGATGAATCAGTGCTTAACTTTATGGTCATGAAGAAACATCAGACAAACCAAAATAACTGACCTGTACTCTTCAGAAGTGTCAAGGCCATGATGGTCAAAGAAAGACTGAAGAACTATTCCAGACTAGAGTGACATGACCTCTAACTGCAACACCTGATTCTGAACTAGATCGTTTTCTTGAAGTATTCCATTAGAACAGTTGGCAAAATTTGAGTAGGTTTGTGGATTAGATGATAGCAATGTGTTAATATCCAAGTTCTAATGTTTTCTGAGTATGCAGGAAAATGTCCTGCCTCATAGAAAATGCAAGATAAATTATCTGAGGAGAGGTACAATAGATCGGCCAGTTGCTCTTAAATAGTTGAAAGGTATGCTCTTTGTACAGTTATGTGCAACTTTTCTATAAGCTTAAGTGGTTTCAAAATTAACACAAACACACATTGTGAAGTAAACTGGACAGTTTTAGACAAATTATCAATTGTCAATATATTGTTACTTCCAATATTGTTAGAGGTAGGGAAGGCAGGCAAAAATATGATCAAACAATTAAGGCCTACTACAATTGAATTTTACCCCCTAGGATTCCTGTTCTCTTGTATGGGTATGGAACATATTTTCTCCATGTTGGCATAATATTGGACCCCACGGTTTCACTACTATCTTATAGTGGCTAAGTTTGAGCTTATATTACAACCTGCTTGCATGGAAATTAACTAGAGGGGAAGATGTCAACTGCTCGTCTATCTTTTGGGCAAGACTGCCTGTGAGACCCATGTCACCTGTGTTTGTTTATATCAGGAACCACCTGATCATGCCTAATGGAAACTGTTGACTTTTAGTAGAACCCTAAACATCTCTTTTAGTTTGGAGAAGCATTTCAGTCCTAGCACTAATTCTCTTTTTGTTTCTAGCTGACATGGAGAGTGATGGCTTACTGTTAGACTTCCAAGGTTGTTAGGTCCCTTTTTATATGCCGATTGTGAATTATCCATTCAGGCCAGACATGTGTAATTGGAGTAGAATTACTGATACACTCAAGAAAGCAGAATTTATAAATTTGTCTAAAGCAGCATAATGTCATGGCACACAATTTAATGTTCTCTTTTCTTACTGGGCAACTGATCAACTCAGTAGTGTCAGGTTCTGAGCCATCTGTAGCCAGGGGAAAATTTCCTGACCTTTCATTAGCAGCCAAAAGAAATGAATGAGACAGTCAAGTACATGGATCTAGGCTAATTCCACTTTCTCTCCCTCCCTTTCATTCTCTTTTTAAATTGAAGTCCCAGATAATTGAGAGGAGGAAGACAAAAGCTGGGAAAGCATGCAGAAAGTTATCGTCCTTGATTACATGCTGGGAAAACTTGGCTAGGAAAATAATGTTCCAGTGCTCTATTTCCAAAATAATTAAATTCCTCTCCTCTCCTCTCCCCTCTCTTCCCCTCCCCTCCCCTCCCCTCCTCTCCTCTTTTCTCCTCCGTCCCTCCCTCCCTCCCTCCCTTCCTCCCTCCCTTCCTGCCTGCCTTCCTTCCCCTCCTATGGGGCTCTGACACCCCAAGCCAGACTACCCCTCTGAGCACATATGCCTTTGATCTGCCTTAATTGCTTTTCCTTTTTTTAACATATATAAAAGGGACAGGGTCATGCCCTGTCACCCAGGCTACAGTGCAGTGGTATGATCATAGTAACTACAGCCTCAAACTCCTGGGCTTAAGGGATCCTCCTACCCCAGCCCCCTGAGTAGCTAGGACTACAGGCACATGCCACCATGCTTGGCTCATTTTTGAATTTTTACTGTAGAGACAGGGGCTTGCTATATTGCCCAGGATGGTTGTGAACTCCTGGGCCCAAGTGATCCTCTCACCTTGGCCTCCCAAAGTGCTGAGATTACAGGCATGAGCCACTGCGTCCAGCCTCTGCCCCAACTGCTTTAAGAATGAATTGTTTTGGCTGTTGGGGTGGCTCACGCCTATAATTCTAACACTTTGGGAGGGCGAGGCAGGAGGATCTCTTGCGTCCAGGAGATCAAGGCTACAGTGAGCCATGGTCACACCACTGCACTCCAGACTGGGTGACAGAGTGTCACATCACTGCACTCCAGACTCGGTGACAGAGTGAGACTGTCTCAAAAACAAAAAAAATTGTTTCCATTTGACACCAAACACCAACCACCGCTAACTTTCCATAGAGTCAAACCATGAAGGGGCAGAGCGAGCTTTTCAATGAGAGAACCAGACTGTGTGTTTTGCATTTGCCTGTCCAGTTATATTTACAGCCAAAGGTAATGCATATTTCAACGGGGACAATAAAGATAAAACTTTCCCCATATACATATATACTCTTTCTCACTCATTCATGCATTCTGTGACTTTGAATATTTGGTGCCCATAAGTAGAGCTAACTTAAAAGGAATATACTACTTGGTAAAAAAGAACCTGGGTTAAATGAATAAAAATATTATAGGGGCTGAGGGTAAACTCCCCCTTTGCCCTCTGGAGGTTCCCTAAAAATCAGCTGACAAAAGGCAGATTAACAAAAGAAAGAGCATAAAAAATTTAATTTTAATGTGCATAGCATGGAGGGAATCATAGAATGATTATCCAATAACCTAGGGTGGAACAGAAGCTTATGTACCCCTTTTCATAGGGGAGGGGTGAGATGGGGAATGTGGTAATTCTTTGAGGAGCAGTAAATCTTCAGGGAGAATAAATGGACCCAGAGAGTGGGAGGCAGACATTACTGGAAGGTGAGAAGTGAAGCTGCACAGAAACAAAGGTTGTCTTATTAAGCCAATAGTCTCCCAGGTTAATCCCTCAGAGCTGCCCTCAGAACTATAGATGAAAAGTCTGAGCATGGTGATGGTGCCCACTCTCTATTATACTGCAGTGGTACATCTTTCCTGATTATCTGGTGAGATCTCTAGAAAGGGAATTTAAGACAATTGCATTTCTGTTGGAAAGAAGCTATCTTAGTCAAATAGGAAATTCCAGAAAGAGTCCCTCCCTGCGCTGTGGGAGACGGTGGGTAGCTGGGTGAGGTAGACAAAATTAAGAGACCTCTGGGCATGTAAAAATGTCACCCTGTGGGGTATCACGTTCTGGGCCTCAACAGTATCAAGAAAGTGGGCACAGGGAATAACACCATTATACACACACACACACACACACACCCCTGCATTCTCCAGCTGAAAAGGATGCAGATAACTCAGTGGCTCTGTTTCTTAGATCTTTATCTAGCTCTTTGAACTTAACATTTTTCACCTACAAACTATCTACATTTTATCAGTCTCTGAGGCATCCATGGAGATCAGAAAAGCCGAATATTTTCCTTAAGGTAAACACATGTGGGCACATATTCAGAATAAAGTAAACCTATAAAGAAGAGAGCCTGCAATATATTTTAGTCATGGGCAAAGGAAAGAAATGAAATATAATTAATAGGGTAGTATATCCATAATACAGTAGTCCCTCCTTATCCGCAAGAAATATATGCTCCAAGACCCCCAGTAAATGCCTGAAATTGCACATAGTACTGAACTCTGTATTTTTTCCTATATATACATACCTATAATAAAGTTTAACCTATAATTTAGCACAGTAAGAGATTAACAACAATAACTACTAATAAAACAGAACAATTATAACAATATGCAAGCATCCATAGCCAGTCGATCTAATTACTGAGATGGCTACTAAGAGACTAAGATGCAGGTAGTGTATACAATCTGGATACAGTGGAGAAAGCGATGATTCATAGCCTACGCTGGAAGGTGAGATATCTCTTCACCGAATGGGGCTCCTCAGAAAGGCACACAATTTAAAATTTATGCGTTGTTTATTTCTAGGATTTTCCATTTAATATTTTCAGACTGTGGTTGATCATGGGCAACTAAAATTGCAGGTCAAGGGGAACTACTACTTCACTGATAGTAGAGGCATATATCTCATGCAGATGCCTGCATGCATGCACACACATATATTTATTACATATTCTTTATGGTAACTTCAAGGCCCTGTGATAAAATCTTATAAACTCAGCACAAAAGGCACCTTATGGCTGTTTACTGTGAGACATCAGGCATGTATCCTAGGCCTCTGTCACCCATGACCCTCAAAAACTCCAATGTCTTAATGCTGGAAAACTGCCTCTACTCCCTTTACACATTGACTATACTTTCCCCACAATTACAGGCATTCTCAGAAGAGCCAGGATGGAGGTCTGAAGGCGACAGAGTTCCGATATTGATTCCTAACATACCACATGGCTGATCTCACTTATCGTCAGCTATGCAGGGGATGTTTTACCATGGGGCTGATCTAGAAGGAAAGCTACAGGGTGCTGATATCTTTCTTTGCAACTAGGTTAGAAACGAGTAAGGAAGGTCACCACAGGATTCAACAACAGGGTGGAAAGCTCAGAAGACTGAAAAACTATTTTCTTCAGATTATTAGTTCCTTTGCTCATATATATGGAGGATGTGGGCTACCTATCCCAAAAGACAGTTAGCAAGTAGGAAAAATGCTCAATGGTGAACAGGCCCAAAGCAAGGCTCTCTTCAGATCTTCCCTACAAGTTCAGACTAAGATGTCTAACATCCATGTTCTTTCAAGCAGGAACCTGACCATTTCAGACTTGAGACAGATTTGGCTTCTGTAAGCTGACAAAAGAAATCTCTAAAGGGTAAGGGCAAAAATTATAGTTGAGAGAGATCTAGAGACAATGGGCAATGTGCAAATATCTTTTATGAAGTTACTATTTTCCAACCAGGTCTCCAACAAGGAAAAAGTCATAGAAACTAACAGGGAACTTCCAAAAGCTAGTGTGATGGCATCTTCAAGGAGTCACACCACACCCTTCCCACCCAGTGTTTTTTATTCTCCAGTCTTCACTGGTTGAATTCCTGTGAATCTGGATCATCGATATTTTTGTCCCCATTTTTGTTCTTCATATATATCTAGGAGGTACTTCTCACATAACCAAGCTGCATCCGTAGACAGGAGATTCTGTTTTGGAAGCCTCGATAATTGGAAACATTTGAGGTGGCACACATGCTTTATAGATTTACTAAATCTCTCTCCCACCTTCTTCACTATTTTTCACTTCCCCCTTAAACTTATGTAGTTCTAAAAATGACTGAAATTGATTTTTTAAATCCATTTACACTGATTAACAATTTAAAGCCCATTCTCTGTTTAACAAGTCCTGCCACCAAGAAAACCACCAGAGGATCAAAACAGTGGCTACAGACTTTCCCAGAATTCATAATACAGATTGAAAACGGAGAAAAATACAAATGCTTCGACATCCCTAGCCAGGCTTTGGTAACTAGTGTGGAGTGACGGGAAAACCAAGGGTTGTCAAGAGCTGCAGCGCCTTGGGGCAGGGCATCCTTACTCCAGGCTGTGAGAGCCAATTGTCTATAACCTTTGACAACCCACCAGCACAGCTGTGGTTATATGGCAACATAAAGGCATGACCCCAAAAAGTCACACTCATGAATGGGCAGGTATGGAACTTAGAGCAAATAAAGCAAAAAGAATATTCTCCTAAATGAATCTCTCTAATAAGTTTTAGTTCATATTTAAGGAGCATTCAGAGTATGTACAGGTCTGTGATCGTAAATACAACTGAGAGTTGAGAGCATTTTCTAGATACTGGAGATACAAAAATCAAGAACTCGTGGGAACAATGACTGTGCATTAATGAATCCTAATCATTCTTCCTCATGGGAGGAGGAAGTGGAAAGAAAACAATGAAGATTGATATATGGACTTAGTCCTATTTTAAGAACTCAAAAGGATGCATGGTTAGAATGAAACCAAAGGACACCCATAAACAACATTGGTAGAAATGCTGCATGAAAGAAACAAGGGAGGTAGGGAAGGGGAAAGAGAAGAAGGAGGAGAGAGAACGGGGAGAAAAAAGTCATTCCATAAAATGAAAACAAGACTTTTTTGTAGACAAATACACCCTTGAATCCCTACAGCACATACCCATTGAAACTTCATTATTAATAAGCAGCTTACATTTGAGCCCTGACAAACACCTCTCCAGCTTCAGAGGCCACATCTCACTGAGTACCAATAGCTCCCTTCAGTTTGGGAAGAAAAGAAACAAAACCAAAGATACCTGGGGTTTTAAAAGTGGGTGATCGGCTGGACGCGGTAGCTCATGTCTGTAATCCTAGCACTTTGGGAAGCCTAGGTGGGTGGATCCCTTGAGCTCAGGAGTTTGAGACCAGCCTGGGCAACACGGCAAAACCTCACCTCTTATAAATAAATAAATAAGAAGGATGATAGAGAAATGTCACTTCATAATCCCCTAGCCAAAAGAGCTACTGGTCTGCTCCAAGGTATCTCTGAGAAACAGCATACCCATTACCTCATTTCTACTTATTCCCTTCCTACCCAGGAAGGCAGTATTTGGAATTGGTCAGCATCTACCTGAGATCTCAGGAAAGAACAACAAACGGGCAGAGGAAGATAAGATAGAAATATACATGGAAGCAGTAGAATTCAACAACTAACCCACTTTATAAAGCTGGCAAGTAGAGAATACAGTGTTAAAAGTATGGGCCAAAGCAATTTAGCAAAGGAGAAGGAAGAAGGCATAACATCAAACAGTTATATCAAATAGTTATGCTTAGTAAATAGACAATTTTATTCTGCCCCCAGGATTTCTGCAGTACTGTAATCTTGTTGCCACCTCTTATTTGATAGTCTCATTTATTCAGCAATATCATGGTTATGGCTTTATAAGACAAGTAAAACTGGTATTAGACTCCACTATGCCAGCTCCTCTCTGAATACCACTGCATTTCCATGTCAGCAAAATATCTAGGGAAGTTAGGACATGATGAATGTTGGCTGAAGTATGCAGGGCATATTAAATATAAGCGGTAATAAAACAATGTCCATCTTCAAATATCTAATATTTTCCCTGATCTTCAATCATCACAATGAGAGAAGAAAAACAAGAAAAAGAAACCTGTTCAATAGAAAGAAACTGCATAGACTTGTCTGAATCTCTCTAAATGGGACAGAACATGCGGTAATGTCCCCAAAGTGACACTCCTGCTATACAACAAACATGCTTCTTTCCCAGAAGGAAACAAATAGATACTTCAAAAACATTAAGATTAGACCAATCAAATACTGGATCAAGCTTGAAGAAAGTAAACTACATGAACTTCCAATCCAACTAAACTGGTCCACTCACTGCTAAATATGCCATGCATTCACATTTTCAACTATCTGCAGGACATGTGAATTTGTATGATTCATCATTGTGTAAAACTCAGCATTTCAAAAATAAAACTCACTTCCCTAGATAAAAGCTTTTTTGAATCTTACCAAATCAGCTCCTCCTCCCAACAGCCCTATCTGGAGGACCATCATACTCTCAGCACCTAGGCCTGACATCTCTCTCATTCCTGTATAAAAATCTCTGAACTCAAACCTACAGTGTTTTTCCCATGAACATTTTCTTTTCGATTCTCTCTCTACCCCAGTTGAGGCTCCTACTGCCTCTCACAGGGACTATTACAGCCTCCCATACCTGGTCTCCTGGTGATGCTGACCAATTCCAAACACTGTCAGCTGAATCTTCTTAAAGGATTAGGTTGGCAAGTAATCCTCATTCTTAAACACACCACAACCACCACAGAAAACTTTTTTAGAAATTTTCTAATACGAAGACAATCATTAGCATCATATCTGAATAATGACAATGAAGGGGGAAGGAGCAAAGGACAAAGAGAAGGAGAGGGGCAAAGGGGAGCAGGAAAAGGAAATGGTTAGGGGAGAGGAGGAAGCCTAAAGTTTACTGAGCACTATTCTAAACGCTGTACATTTATTAACTCATTTGATCTTCACAAAATTCTGATGAGATAGGGACTATTATTATTCCCTATTTTACAAATGAGAAACCTGAAGCACAGAAAGGTTACAAAGCTTGTAAGTGAAAAAGAACCAAGGAGGCACACACAGGCTGGAGGTAGAAACATGGTGTTTCTGTGATAAAAAGGACATTGCCAATGACCTTGTCCAACCTATAATCTGAAAACATCTGATGACACAACTCTCATCCATTTTTACTCAAAAGAATATTTCAGACATAATGAACATCTACAGGATGTCCACCATGGAACAGGCATTTAAACACACATTAACCTAATCATCCTAGTAATACAGAATACAAAGGCAGTATATATTGCTTCCAAAAAAGAGAAAAACATTGCAGCCTTGCCACATGTAATCATTTTGTAAGTGGCAGAGCCATGATTAGAAGCCAGGTTTTCTGATTTCAAACCTGGTTTTCTTTTGACTCAACAGTGCCACAATTCCAGGGCAACAGACTATTAAAGGTATTCTACAATCTACCCTCATACCTCTGACCCTATTCCATTAAATCCCTTCCAACTTTCTGCTTTAGCCTGAACAGGCTACTCCTTAGCCACCAACCAAGCCTGGCATTCTCCCCATGCCGGTGCCTGTAGCTGCACCACTCATCTGGCACTCAGCTTTTATTGCTGTATATTATCTTTTCTGGGTACATATCTTGTCTTCCCAACTAGATCATATTCCCTACAGATCCAAGAAGAGCAAAACACTTAGTAGGCACTCAATAAATATTTATTGGCTAGCTGATTGATTTTACTCACTGAGTTCCTAGGAGGTTCTGTGGGCTGTTGGATGAAAACAAAGTAATAACTGACTGAGTCATAGAATTTTTGAGCAAAAAGACTCCATAGAGAGAAACTAATCCAAATGCCTTCATACGCAGATGAAGACAGATCCAGAGAGAAACCAAGGAAATTTTTTAATGAGTTGTTGTCTAAAAGAAAAACAGAGTGACACCAGCATAATGGGCATCTAAGAGCCTTCTGATTCTTAGCCTGTTTCCCTTTATTACACTGCTGTGCTTTTATAATTCTGTAAAATAGAAATAAGTATACTGTGTGCATGAATTATCTAGGTTGCCCTTAATACATTAAAAATGTATTAGCATATTAAAAATAATCTATCCACATATTGTAAATTTGAGCACTCTAGTTCTAATATGTTAGCTAAATTATATATTAAACATTTAATTACAATAATTTGCAGGCCTTCTGGGGATTCAGAGGATTTTTTTGAGGGGTATGGGAGAAATGATTCGAAAATGTCTGATGACCCCTTCTTTTTTCTCAGGATATATTCCAACGTAAAGTAGAAATGTTTATTGTAGATCTAGGTATGTTTCCTTCATTCCTTATTTTTTTTTCTGCTCCTCTATCCTTTGAGAAACAAAATTTCACAAAAAATATCAGTATGGGGAGTGTGAATAGAAGTATCAAAAAACACCCTCAGCTTCTCTCAAGTCATTGATGGCGGGAGTAGGAATTGAGAGTTTGTGTAGTCACTCAGGGGACTTTTCTCTACTCCACCACTGTCCTAGACTCTGGACTCAAGTCAGTAACCTCAAAGGGTCCTGATACAAAAAATGATAACAGTCATTACATACTTTTGTGCATAATATGGTCTTTCAATATGTGTTTGAAAGTCAACTTTCACATGTTAAACAATGGATGTAACAGTCAACTGTTATCTCCCTTTTAACATATCACACTGTTGTACTCTTAATAGGATGCAATGCTAAGCTGTACACCACAGAAGATGAAAATCATCAGATGACTACCCTGTCCCTGTCCCTGGCAGGTGGGGCAGAGACACATGACAGAGTCTCTGCCTATTAAATGCTTCTGCGTGGAGAGTAATACAAAATAGAGGGAAGAGTCAAATTTCATTTACAGTGGTGTCCTGCCCCTGTGACACCATAAGGGAGGGTGTCCTGGCCAGACTGCTCCTAATTAAGACAACAAATCTGCATCCTGCTTCTTGGCCCTTTGCAGGAGCCCTGTTCTCCATCTATTTTCCAAGCCTGATGCTCCAGTGAGTTCTATTAGCTCTTCATAATGTCCCATACATCTTCCTTTTGTTTAGAATAGTCAGAGTTGTTGTTGTTTCTTGCAACCAGAAGGATCTTAACAGTACATTATGAGGTTCGATTTCAAGAGCTGAATAATAAAAAGTCCAGCTGGGTGTGGTGGCATGTGCCTATAGTCCCAACTACTTGGGATGCTGTTGTGGGAAGAACACTTGAGTCTAGGGGTTCAAGGAAGCAATATGCTATAATCATGCCTAAGAATGGCCACTGCACTCCAGTCTGGGCAACACAGCCTGTCTCTTAAAAAACACAAAACAAAACAAAATAAAAATAAATGGTCCCTAAGCCTGAGTTGCATAGGCCATGCTTTCTTCTAAACTAGGAAACACCGGAGCCCAGGCCCAGGGTGAGAGGTAGGTGACACAGTTAGGCTTCAAGAAGTCTTGAAGGCTCAGGTAAGGACATACAACAGGATTTTCTCTTCTCGGTCTTGCCCTGTATTACCCAATTCCCATTCCAGCTGCAGTGTCTAAGGTGGGTGGTTGGGCAAATCCCACTCCAATTACGGAGTCCAGGAAAGGTGGCTGGGTAGTGATTAATCTTTAATCCTCTGCTTAGGTACTTAGGATAGAGTAAGAGGGAAGGACTCTGTCTTACTCTGTCACCTCACCACTAGCTGAGTAGGAACTTAATGACGTGTTCTCTACCTGAACACATAAATTCCTGTGAGGTTCCCTAACCCACCTGAAACCCAACAGTTTCAGTCACCCTGCTCAGAAAAAGGAGAAAGGCAAGAGAAGACTGGTGATGAAGTGAAGGTGGCTTCAAGGATACTGCCACTGGGTGAAGAATAAAATCAAGTTTAGAAATATCCGTGAACGGCATATTAAAGGGTGGAATATATAAGAGATGAGTATCTTAAAGTCAAGAACATATCAATCTCTGGTTTTCACAAAGATACCACTATATTCCAGCAAAGAGATCAATTTAGGTGCTCTTAAGAATGAATGAACAAGGTAAATGTGATGTAGGTCTGTTGTTGGTCAAAGAGATATTCTCCTAGTTATTTTCTTTACATTTCTAACCAAATATGACTCCCCAACTACATTCATTTTCCCAATAGAAAAAAATCGATCGCAGACAGTAAACTTCTTACCAGTTAAAATAATTTCACATCTGTAGGTACCAAAAATATATTCAGCTTTTAGCTTAGCTTATTATGTTTGTTTTCTAAAGCTTAGAAAAGAGGAAACCAACATTCTAAAAAAGATTCACTGCGTGGCAGAGTCGTGTGTGTGTGTGTGTGTGTGTGTGTGTGTGTGTGTGTGTGCGTGTGTGTTAAAAAAGGTCTAATGTAAGATACTGTGTCATATCAACACTTTAACAGGAAAAAAAAATCCTCATCTAAATTATAAAAAATAGGTGAAGAGTGAGAAGAGCACAACAAAACAAATGTATATGGCCAAACAGAAATGCTGGGAATAAACACTGATCAATTAATTCTCCATCATCCATACCAACAAAAGAAAGAAGTTACACACAGCATTGGTATTTATTCTTCAGTACTGAAAGTCATCTTATGCACTTCCTCCAGCCCTCTCAGGCCAGAAAGCAATTCTGAGCCTGTTTCACAAAACCCCACATGGCACAGAGCAGGAACACAGAGCAGAGGATATGGGTTCTCACCCCAGCTCTCTCTATAGCTGCTTCACCTCATGTAAATGTGCTAAGCCTGTGCCAGTTTCCATACCTATAAAATGAGATGCTAGATCTAAATGCTCTACAAAATAACTTCTAGCTCAGACATATTATAATGAGTTTTCTTTTTGAGACACGGTCTCACTTTGTTGCCCAGGCTGGAGTACGTGGCACAATCCTAGCTCACCACAGACTCGAACTTCTGGGCTCAAGCAATCCTCCTGCCTCAGCCTCCTGATGAATTAGACTACAGGCGTGCACCACCACACCTGGCTAATCTTTTAAATTTTTTTGCAGAGATGGGGTGTCGCTATGTTGCCCAGGTTGGTCTCACACTCCTGACCTCAAGAGTTCTTCCTGCCTCGGCCTCCCAAAGTGTTGGGATTACAGGTGTGAGTCCCTCCTCCCAGCCTATAATTTTTAACATGAACTAGGATCTACTTATTAATAGTCACGTAGTGCATGTTCAATGTAGATTCACACTTCTATCCATATCTTTATAATGACACTTGATGATAATGTTTGAGGCCAACAAGATTGTTTATCATTTCAATGAGCATTAAGCATACCTTACACATTTCTAGTTTGGAGCGCTATGGCAGCAGGAGAAATTTCATTATTTTCAGTGATAAGATACAGTTTTCTGCAACTTATCACTGAAAATAATGAAAAACCAAACACTCATCTTCACATTTACATACAGTCATGCACTACATAATGATGTTTTGGTCAATGATGGAGCACATATACGCAGGTGGATCCCATAAGATTATAATGGAGCTAAAAAAATCTGCTATGGCCTAGAGACTGCGTAGTCATAGCCTGCAGCACAATGCATTACTCACAAGTTTGTGGTGATGCTGGTAAAAATAAACCTACCGCACTGTGAATCCTATAAATGTATAGCACATACAATTATGTACAGGCAGTAATGGTAATGGATAACAATAATAAATGACTATGTTAATGGTGCATGTATTTACTATCATACTTATTATTGTTATTTTAGAGTGCATGCCTTCCACTTAAAGAAATTAACTGTAAAACAGCCTCAGGTAGATCCTTCAGGGGGTATCCAGAAGAAGGTATTGTTATCATAGGAGATGACAGCTCCATTTACATTATTGCCCCCTGAAAACCTTCCAGTGGGACAAGATATAGAGGTGGAAGACAGTGATAAGGATTATCCTGACTGTGTAGGTCTAGGCTAATGTGTATGTTTGTGTCTTACTTTTCAACAAACGAGTTTTAAAAAGTAAAATAAATAAATAAATTTTAAAAATAGAAAAAAGTTTACAGAATAATGATATAAAAAATATTTTTGTAGCTGTGCAATGTTTGTTTTAAGCTAAGTGTTATTACAAAGGAGTCAAAGTTTCTTTTAAAAAAATTAAGCATTATAAAAGTTACAGTAATCTAAGGTTAATTTATTATTGAAAATGAAAACTTTTTGAAATCAATTTAATGTAGCCTAAGCGTACAGTTTATAAAGTCTACAGTAGCGTACAGTAACATCCTAGGCTTTCACATTCACTTCCTATTTCATCAATGATTCACCCAAAGCAACTTCCGGTCCTGCCAGCTCCATTCACGGTAAGTACCTTTTATACTCTAATTTTACTGTACCTTTTCTATGTTTAGATGTTTACATACACAAATACTTACCATTGTGTTATATAACTGCCTATAGTATTCAGTACAGCAACATGATGTACAGTTTTTAGTATAGGAACAACAGGCTATACCATACAGCCTCTGTGTGTAGTAGGCTATACTATCAGGGTTCCTGTGAGTACACTGCATGATGTTCCAACGATGACCAAATTGCCTAAGGACACATTTCTCAGAAGGTATCCCAATTGTTAAGTAATGCATGGCTGTAGCTTGTTAAGTAGTATAGGGGCCTATTATCAAGCTTATACTCGAAAAAGACAAGTAGCAGCAATATGTCAATAAAACCACTATGAGCTGTTTCTTGAGTGGTCAGAATGAGCTTGACAATATACTAAGGACCATAGGAGATTACTGCACAGTAAGTATTAAAAAGGCAGATGGAGTTGGTGACTACTACAGTCCTCTCACCAAAAAATTATTACTGAAAGAATCTTGACTGTAATTTCTTCTTCATTTTATAGGTGGCTAAACTGAGACCCAGAGATAGTAAGTAGTATTTAGTGATGGACCTGGGCTAGAACTCAGGTCTCAAGTCATAAAACAGGCATCCTTCCACCATGACAGCCTGTCTCCTACATTCACACACAGATTAGAAGTCAACCAGAACAAACTATATAAGGAGTGACTTACATGGATCTCAAGGGCATTATGCTAAATTTAAAAAGCCCATCTCACAGAATCACATATTATGATTCCATTTATGTAATGTTCATGAAATGACAAAACTATGGAGATGGAAAACAGTTGTCAGAGGGATGATGGGAAGGGAAAGGGGTAGAAGGGGTGGCACTAGGGAGACCTTTGTGATGACTGAATAATTTTCTACCTTCATTGTGATGTATGTGAATCGACAGTTGATAAAATGGCATAGAACTATACAAAGACACTGTATCAATGTAAACTTCCTGGTTTTGATATTGTACTATAATTATATGAGATCTAACCACTGGTGGAAACTGGGTGAAAGGTACATGGGATGGCCCTCTCTCTACTACCCTTGCCACTTCAGTGAATCTACAATTATTTTTAAAAAAAAGTCAATGGGATTTTAACTTACTGAAAGGAGACAAGAAAAGCATTAATGACTCTAAACTCCATTCTCACCTAGAATAATCAGAATAGTTCTCAACCAGAATAAATCTCTGAAGGTCAAAGTAGACAAAACTTGTCACCATCCCTCTACTCCAAACTCTGTAGTGGCTCCTGTCTCACTCAAAGCAAAGGCCATGTACAGCCTACAGGTCTGCTGTCCCCATTCCCTCCTTCGCTAACCCCATCTCCCACCACCTCCACCTTTGCTCCCTCTGCTCCAACCCTAAAGCCTTCTTTGCTATCCAGGACACTTGACCATAAGACCTCTGTCTCTAGTGTTGCCTTTGCCTTCTGCCACTTGCTTTTTGCCATCCTTCAGGTCCTTGCTCCTGATACCTTGCCACTGAGGCCTCCCTGACTCTTCCCTGGCTTCCCTACTAAAAAATTTCCCCCTCGTAACCCTGGAATACCTCCCTCAACTCTTTCATAGCTTTAGTTTTCTCTATAGCACTTTTCATCACCTATATATCTTTACTGCTTCTTTATCTGATTGCCCCCATTGGAACGAAAGTGCCGCACAAAATAGATCTCTCTATCATATGCACTGATCTATCCCCAGTGCAAAGAACTGGCGCCTGGCAACGTCATGTACTCAACTCAGTAAATAAGCTGTTGACTAGAGATGGAGGAAAAAAAATACCCACAAACTAAAGTTAAAAAAAATAAAACAACCATATAATGTTCATGTGGCCTAAGAAAACAGGTGCAATTTGGAGATTACATGCAAATGAGGTTGAGTTTTACTTACATTTGGAAACATGAGATTTTAAATTCCAAGTCTGGCTTTAGTAAGATGAAACTTGAGAAAGACATTTACCTTTTAAGTCATATTTTCTGTTCTATCATACCAAGCGGACTAACTTGACCTGAAGGACCTCTAGGGTGGTAGACAAAGCTAATGCTCTAAATGATGCCACAGAAGGCATCATCTGTGTTTCGGACCTTAGCCAAGCCTAGAAATAAAGACATACCCCATGGGGAGCCATGGAAAGGACACGAGCATTTGTTAAGTCAAATACCCTCTATAAGGCAGAAAAGATATTACATACTGGGAATAAAATAGTTATTTGTCACCTAGTGCTGTGTGTGCTATGAGTCTTTTTGTTGTTGTTGGCAGTGTCTGGTTCTGTCACCCAGGCTGGAGTGCAGTGGTGCAATCACAGTTACCTGCAACCTCCACCTCCTTGGCTCAAGTGAGCCTCCCACCTCAGCCTCCTGAGTACCTGGGACTATAGGCGCATGCTGCTACACCTGGCTATTTTTTAAGTAGAGAAAGGGTTTCACCATGTTGCCCAAGCTGGACCTGAACTCTTGGGCTCAAGTGATTCACCCACCTTGGTCTCTCAAAGTGCTGGGATTACAGGCGTGAGCCACCATGCCTGACCTACTATGAGTCTTATTATAAGTAAGCACCAAGTGTTGGGGGAAGACACACACAAGATGCACAATTCAGATTTTAGACGGAGTACCTACAGCAAAACTTTCCTGAGAAATGAAGCACTGAAGAATGAGTAAGAGCTAACCAGATGAAATGTATGTTCCAGGCAGAGAGCAGATTAAGTTAAATAGTAATGCATTTAATTTTTTTTTTTTTAAAGGAATGGTGAATGAGAACCAGGGAATGTAAATATAAACATGGAGAGGTAGGGAGGGGCCAGGTCATGGCTCAGTATACTCCACTCCTAAGGTTATGGAATGATTCTAAAAATCAGATGTGTGTTTCAAAAAGAGAATTAAAGCAGTAATGTAGAAAATGGATTGGAGGGCAGTAAGACTAGAAATAGAGAGGCTAGTAAAAAGAACTGCTGAGTTATTCTACACTGACAGCATAAACCAGGCAGTGAGGAGAGCCAGGATAGGATGAACCTGATATACCAGTAGGTAATTACATACTGGGAGTTAGGAGGAGATAAAGACGACAACATGATCTCTAGACTAAAAGACTATGTAAATGGTGACACCATCAAAAGACGCGATCATTTGAGTAAAGGAACAGCAGTTGAATATAGGTGGGAAGCCTGCTAGAGACAGGGAAAGGGAAGTCAGCAGCATCACCATCAGATCACCCAGAGACTGAATAGTGGTAAGAAGAGGGACAATGACAGAAGCCTAGGAAGCACAAATATTTAAGGAGCATTCAAAGCAGACTGAGAAAAAGTTATCAGAGTTGTAGAAGGAAATCCACGAAAGTGTGGTATACTGAAAAGGTAGAAGAAAACAAGATTTTAAAAGATAAGTATTAAATACTCCAGAGAGGTCAAGTAAAAGTAAAGACTGAGAAGTGTCCTTCAGGGAAGCATTGGTGAATGATGGGGAAGGTTCAAAGCTAGAAGGGAAAGGAATGAATAGCAAACGGGACAGAATTAAAATGTCTTTTAATTATTCTAATTAACTTGGCTATGAAGAGAAGGCAAGAAGAAGAAAAGCAGATATAATAGGATAGAAGACTGAAGGACAATTAAAAATAACACTAGTTAAAAAGAGAATAGCCAATAGCACAAAATCCCAAGGAGAACAAAAGAACTGGAATCTAGAGCATGTAGGCAGAACAATTAGTTTGGAAAGAAGAAGGTGAAACTGTCTACGGAGATGGGAAGGCAGGAGGTAAGAAAGCAAGCATAACAAGGAAGGCAAACTGGAAGCTGAGAGAACAAGAAGTTAAAGGCATCTTCCTGATAACCCTATATTTACTCCATAAAGTAAGAGATGAGACTGCTGACAGTGATAGGAAGAGATATAGTTAAGTAGGGGGGCTTGGTGGACAAAAGCGGTCAAAGTCTAAAATAGCCATGGTAGTGAAATAGCACCATTAAAACAGCATTTATGGAAAATTAATCCAGGAGTATTATGCAGCAAGATTTGAAGAGGGGGAAAACCTGCAGGTACGAAATGCTTGGATCTGCCTTGTTGAGTGCATGGAGTGGAGGGATGGCAAGAGTAGAAGGAAAGAACTGATAACAGAATTCTTTAACATATAAATAACTAAATCACTACCTTCCTAATGAAATTGCTTTCTCTCAATACCCCAAGGAACACCTAGGCAGCATCAAACACCTTTAATTATTTCAGCTCCTGGTGGGAATCAAAGCTATTATTGATGGGCAGCCCCTAGCTTTTAGATTTCCCAATCCAAAATGCTATATGCTTCTTGAACCATAGCTCATAATCCAACTTAGTAACTCATTAAATATGAATGACTATGCCTACTTAAAGCACATCTGGAATATTCCCTGTACAAGTGGTGATACATTTTAATGGTTGTCCAATCAACCTGGACAGCTCTTCAAAATGAGTTGTCTAGGTTCTTGGCTTCTCTTCGAGCTCAGTATGTCTGGCCGATATGAAAAGGAATAGAATCATCTGACAGGAGAAGACTCCAATTTGTTGAGTACCAAAAAAGCTGGGTCTAGCCCACTGCTTAGGTTGTATTTTAATAAACTACACAGGTGATTCTTGGGCACACTGGAGTTTGAAACCTTCATTTTAATCAGCATTAGAGTTAAGCATGTTGGCTATGAAATGAGAGTAAGATGATACAAATGGAAATGAAAAGCAGGTATGTGGTAAAAAAAAAAAAAAGGAGAAATAAAAAGTTGATAATCATCAGCATACAAAGGGTAGATGAAGTTATGATTTAACAAAATACCACATAAAATAAATACCACAGTCTGGGCAACATAGCAAGACCCTGTCTCTATTAAAAAAAAAAAAAAGATAAATAAATTAGCTGAGCATGATGGCATGCCTGTAGTCTCAGCTACTTGGGAAGCTGAAGTAGGAGGATCCAGGAGGTCAAGGCTGCCATAAACCATGATTGTGTCACTGCATTCCAGCCTGAGTGATAGGGCAAGACCTTGTCTCAAAAACGAAACAAACAAAACAAAACCACAAAGGAGAAAAAAAAAATTACAGAATCAAGACAGTCCCTTAGAGAATGTGAAGCCAAAGGACTTAATTAAATCTTTTGTTTGTTTGTTTGTTTGTTTAATCTTGTACCAAAGATAAGGTATGGCACTTACAAAGAACACATCCAGTTCCTGCTTCTCATTTCATTTCTGGAGTTCATTTCCAAAGACAGACAAACAATGTTTTTGACATCTGTATGGCATCTTTCTTTGAAGAAAAACTGTATGATACAATAATGCTCTGAGCCACATTTCCTAACCTACTTCCAATCTTGATCTTCCTAAACGAACTTCAAATTCTTTATAGATAGAAGGACAGAGGTCCTGTAACTTAGTAAGGGCCATGGCCAAGCATATGTCAACTATAGATAATTTGAAGGAACCCACCATATGTGTAGATGCTCTCAGAGGGATACACTAATGTAATCATCAATAGTGTTTCTCTCTCAATGGAATTCCTGCCTAACTGCTGATCTGGGTGCAAGCTAATTTCCCCCATGGTGAATACTGCTGTTGAGATGCAGAACTCTCCACCATCTGTTACCCAGAATTAGCATAATGACAGATTATCTAATCCCTTACATTTAACAGATATAAATGGTGCTTCTATAACATGAGTTCACTCACATCCTCATTCATATGGTCTACCCCCACCCTATAAAAATTGGTCCTCCCATTCTCCTGGTGATGGATCTGGTCTGGAGTTTACCTCCAATCTTGCCAAAGAATCCAGGTGCTTTGCCAATGAGAAGCTTTCCTAACCCATTTTATTCAGGAGTGGGAATGCAGCTGTTATTCCAGATGCATCTGAAAAGGGGCATGCTGAAAATAAAGAAAAACTGTCTCTAGTAGACCAGCAAAATCCATAGTGCAGGGAAGTGCCTTCAATTAGATCATATTAAAAACTTTGACAAGGTATACAAAGAAAAGGGTTAGTCAGCACTGAACTGGCGAGAATGAAAAAAGGGAGAAAGACACCAGAAAGAAATCAGAAAATTAAACTGGCAGCAAAGTAATAAAATTCTAACAGGAAAGACTCTGCTGTTTTACAGATTCAGAACTGTTCTAGATAGCAAGACTTAGGTAGCATTGAACAAAATATGAGAATCAGACACCCAGAAAAACAAGGACATGCTCACAGATTCAAATAACCAGAAGAGCACCATCAGCAAGAAGTGGATGGATGGTTGCTGGTGTCACCAAACAGAAGTGGTGAACTGTTCTACCCCCAGTGACCAGTGTAGAGATGGCTCAATTGGAAGGAAGTGAGAAGCCATCAGATTGTATTGAAAACAATTTCCAAAACATGCCATTTCCTCATAAACTGAGCCTTTGATAGGGCTCAAGAGAAAAAGATGACAAGAAAACATGCTTGCATATAAAGAGCTACCTAATTTCCTGGGGTGGGGGGTGGGGGAAGACTTAGAAAAATGGGAGAAGTTTCTTATTTATCCTAAATATCTAACTAATCAAATAAAGTATTTATTTATAACATTTATACATCATCAAGTATACATTTCAGAAAAGTTCTGCTCAAGCTGCACTCGGTATGGGTGTATTCAACACCAGAGTATACACCATCAATAGAGACACTTCTTGAGGTACTTTTCTCTCACTTTGAAATTTTATCATTTGTCTTATAAGTATATCGTATATTCCTATCTCCACAACATAACCTAGGACAGGGGCAGGCAAACTCTTCTCCAGTTTTTGGAGTTAAAGTTTTATGGGGACACCACACCCATTTGCTTGCACATCATCTATGGCTGCTTTACCGCTACAAAGGCAGAGCTGAATAGCTGCAAGGGAGACCATATGACTCTCAAAGCTGAAAATATTTACCATCTGGCCCTTTGAAGAAAAGTTTGCCAACTTATACCTTAGAGCACTGCTCTTCAAGGTGAGCTTTAACAGGTTACTTTCCATGGTGCTTGTAATGAGGGGGTCACACTCACAGGAATAATTACTGTATCTGTGTAAAAAAAAGTTAGCTATTGTTTTACGATTCTGCCAATATGACATTCATATAGCACTGGTTAATTCATATGTTCAAAACAAAGTAACTAAGGCAGCACACTGTAATATGACAGCCTCTGAGAAGACTCTATGGATAAGGTGACTTCCTCTTCACTAAGCAATAATTTTTTTTTGAGGGAAGAAAGAACATGGCATTTTTTCAAGGTATATTAACACTCTGGCCATAAGACTCTACAGTAAATAAACTGGCACCTCGCTTCCATGGAACATTTGTAATGCTTCCATTAAGAGTAAGGAATGCAACCAACACTGTCTTCTCTGCTTTTAAGAGCAGCAGGAGGTACAGAAAGAAGCTGTGTGGGATACTGGACTTGCTGTGCAATGTTACCTCCTGAAGGTTTTGTGGGGAAAAAATGAATTACTACATTTAGATAGTGCCTGGCGCACAGTAAGCATTATATATGTTGGCGGTCACTGCTGTTGTTATTAATTTTCATTATTATTAGCATTGGCCTAGTTATGTCACTCCTCGTGGACTCCGCTGCCTTGTTTGCAAAATGAGGGAGGTGGACTAGATAGTCCTATCGATGTCTTTCTACTAAAAAATTATATGACTTTATTAGAAGAAAAAAATCAAAATATAGACATCAAGGGACATGTTCTCAAAGAAAGCATCTTTTAGGAAATAGTTGAAAAGGTGAAGCTTGACTTCACAAGTCCAGAGATCTAGGAGACGAAGCTGTCAGTGCAAATTCTTGCTTCAAATGCAACTGTGCTGGGAAGAGGTCACCCTGAGCTGATAAAGATATCGTGTTCACCTCTTCAGCAGCAGTGCACGGCCTGGGAGAGCACCCATCCATCCGCAACACTCTCAATCATACATGCCACTACAGAGGCAAGATTCATGGCTTCAGCAACTGCCCAGCGTTATCTGATATGCATGAAATCAAAGTTTTCATCATTGGCCAGTGAGTGTTAAATCCCAGAATACCAGGATTAATGAAGGAATCATTAAAAACTCAGCATTAAATCACTTCTGTAGCCAATGCTGAGAGTGATGTCTGTAATACATTACAAGGCTGATTTAAAAGAAACAAGTTCCAATTTAGAAATGAATTACCTGAATTTTTTTTAACTGGTTGGATGGCTATCACAGCAATTTTGTTATTACAGGGGAAAGAGAGAATGGGTAACTTATAAATTATGCTGCAAATGGGGAATTGTCCTAAGATCACCGGGCACCGGATTCCAGGGCAAAAAACCTCTTAGAGACATATTAAGAGGGAGACGAGAGTCCTGGTAATCAAGTCAGAATTTCTTTTGTCCCTCAAAATATTCCAGTGGGTAGGGTGCTGTTAACACTTCATGCTTGGGAAATAAATTTGATTTAGAAAAGTTGTAGAATAACGACATTCTGATTCTATTTCCACAGTCCCTGCCTTTAGCAGACTAGGAAAACTGGATGCATTCTTCAGCTCCTGCTTTTGAAGCTGCCATACATTAAAAAAGTGTACTTTCCAGAAAAAGACCTCTTAGGTAGTGAAATCAAAGCTAAACTGCAGAAGGTGAGGGGAATAATGTGGGGATTACCTTCTAATCCACAACGAATACTAATGTCTTATTGCTAGACATAGTCTATCAATGTCAAAAAGTCTTCAACAAATGTGTTAAAGATGAAGCACAGTGAAAAACAAAAACCTGGCACAGGTGGACACGGCCATGCTCTGCCTATACACTCCATTCTTCCCTTGAGTTCCTGGATGTGAAAATCACGGCCTCCAGACTTCTACTTACTGTTTTAGGTTATAGCATGGAATGGTACACTAATTAAAAAACAAATAAGGCCAGGAGCGGTGGCTCACGCCTGTAATCCCAGCACTTCAGGAGGCCGAGGCGGGTGGATCACCTAAGGTCAGGATCCCTAGCCTGGCCAACATGGCGAAACCCTGTCTCTACTAAAAAATGTAAAAATTAGCTGGGTGTGGTGGTGGGCACCTGTAATCCCAGCTACTTGGGAGGCTGAGACAGGAGAATCACTTAAACCTGGGAGTCGGAGGTTGCAGTGAGCCAAGACAGCGCCACTGCATTCCAGCCTAGGCAACAGAGTGAGACTCTGTCTCAAAAAACAAAAAACAAAAACGAAACAAATGAATGACACCAGGTAGACGGGCAGAGAGCATCCCTTCAAAAGCAATGATTCTCAGCCACACTAAACACACAAACCTCAACAGTGCAAGATGAGGTATAGAAAATAGTCCCAATTCAAAGGATCCAAACCAAAATGGAAACAGGCAGTCCTGATTCTCTCTTCTCTGCCAACCCATGATACAATGATTTACATCTCTCCCTGAAAAGCAACCTTGAAGGGTTATCTAAGACCAAATGATATAATTCTTAAAATATTATGTTGTAAACATGGATGATATTCAAGATATTTAACATATGGCACTGGCTAGTTTTGTTATACCTGTGTTTACTGGCTGAATAAAAGCCCCTTTTAGAAAGGTGTGAAAGAAAACAGCTAGAGTCATAAATGGGGTTATACCTAGAAGCGCATCAGCATAAAACAGCCAATCTTCTCCAGCATATTAGTTTGGATTAAAGCCTGCCAAATAATTATACTTTGGTCATCAAAATACACATTATTAATTTCATATACGTAAGGCTATCCCCCAAAACAGAACACCATAAACTCTAGGGCTTCTTGGATATTTAATTTTGGGCTTCAGTCTTTATAAACCCACCAACTGACATTGAGCCTGAAAAATGATTATACTTGAATTTATTTCATCACCCCAAATATTTATTACTTCGAGATACACAAATATTTATTACTTGGAGATACAGTTTTGGTTAGCTAGCAATAAGAGAGGCAACAAAAGAGATTAACACCTTTTACTGCCTAAGGATTCCTTCTAGGAGGGTGTTTTAAAACAACAGTAATAATAAACAGTCGCTAGCCAGATAAAATCGATGAATTTGAAAATCAGTTACAAATAGGGTTAAAAGGAACCTTACAGGTCCAAATTCACTACACCACCATTCCACTACACCACTGCTCTCTCAGACAAGCAATTCAACTAAGGTCACATCAGTGGCTAATGGCAATCAGGCCACTGAATTAACTGGTGGAGATCACTAAGAATTAACTATTTGGGTAAAGTCTGATTACATTAATGAAGAACAAGCACCTTAAGCAGACTTTTGTAAATCCAGACTTCCAAGCAAACTAATCACTTAAAATCAAGAGCCTGGGAAGGAAGAGCTACAGGGAAAATCTACAACTAGACGTTTCAGCCAACAGGAAACTTGTGGCTTCATTGCTACTGCTTGTCTCACCCATAAACATTCCCACCACTGAAATCCCCTCTACCAAGAACCTGAGAAGGGGTTTGAAGGAATTTTACATTACCAAGAAGACACACATTAAGGAAGCATAATGTTGACAGTACTGTTTATGCCACTTTCAAAAAAGGCCAGCTAAGGGCCTTAGGAAAAGAGGTTAACTGACTTGCAAGGTCACACTTTAACCTGGAGGCAGAGCTAGAAATAACCATCTCCCCATTGGCCCCTCCACCGCTCTGCCATCATGTACATCTTCCAAACAGAGATGGTATTGAAGAAATTAACAGAG
Organism: Homo sapiens; assembly: GCF_000001405.40. Classification (NCBI taxonomy): domain Eukaryota; kingdom Metazoa; phylum Chordata; class Mammalia; order Primates; family Hominidae; genus Homo; species Homo sapiens. Next base: position 127,859,978 of record NC_000007.14, on the reverse strand, counting down.
CTGTAAAAGTGATCTGAGAACATAAACATCTGTAATGTCTTTCTTATTCCTCCTATTACCTGTATCTATGCTGCAGACCTAATCTGAGAGCAGAGAAGATTGTTGGTTTTGGCCCCTCCTGTTTCCTTTAGACTCCCTTTCTCAGTGGTTAGCAATATTGGGTGCACATCAGAATCACCACTTAAAACACTAATGCCAGACCCCACACCAGACAAATAAAACAAGAACCTCTAGGGGTGAAGATTTACACTGATAAAACACCAAGCATCAGTACTTAGATTTTAATTTTGGGCATCACTATTTTTTGTAAGTGCTCCAGGTGAGTCTATCAAGTTTTATGAAAAACTACCCAGACAGAAAACTTCAGCTAATACTACTCTCCTCAAGAAATCAAGGGCCAAGAATGATGTAACACAACCTAAGGCCCCAGAATCATAAATGTGTCATATCACCTGGCCTTCCCAAAGAACACGACCCTGAGAATTCTGGGAAGGGAATAGAGCAAACTTTGGTATTATTTCAGGAACAGCAAACTCATTCCTATTGGTTCTATTTAGGTCACAGGAAGCCAACCAATCAGTTGTGGTAGCAACCAGAGAAAAGATTCCTCCTCTTTGTCTCTGCAGAATAGAACTGCCAACTGGCCATGCTGTACTTCCTAGGCAGCTGTGATGACAAGAGCCCCCTGCAAAACGTAGACATTAAGTAGGGGTGGGGAAGGGTGGCTCTCTGTGTCTCTGGGAAATAAGGATAAATAAGCTAACTTGTGGCCATTATGACAAAACCAAGCCTACATATCCATATTATTGGCTTGACATTAAACATCACTTAACAACAAAACAAAACCACCCCCCCATGCAAACACATATCCCAAGACAGAAAATTACATAATGGCATCTGGAATGATCTGCTCTGACAGTGAAAGCAGAACCAGCCAAACCAATGAGGTCTAGAAAGGTCCAAAATGGAGAGAGGCAGCCCCAGAGAGTCATTTTCACATCCCCTGTAGTTTATGTAAATGCAGGTATACATAAACAACGTTTTGTTCAGAGGAAGAAACTGAAGTAATAGTCTAGATTCTAGACGACCATCATTCTACTCAGAGAAATACCACGCCACTGCTAACTGGAAGTATAACTACGTTCTTCTACCAAATCTAATCATTCTAGATAAGAACAAATTTGTCAGAAGATACTTGTTTCAGCACATGTTGCTTTTTAGGGTAGAAGGTCAAAATAAGTTTTATTTCATATTGGTCAGAAAGGAAAAAGACGTCCAGGAAGAGGAATTCCACTACCTGTCCATTATGGTTTATGGCCTACATACTAGCCAGCTGGCATCACAGGAGCAGGAGAGTGGTGTTTTTGTTCCCTAGAGTCCATTAGCAACTGGACCAAACCCAATGTCAGTGTTGCTAAGGTCCAGATTGTGGCAGCTGCTTTAGATCTGCACTGCATAAACAAAGTACAGAACTTCTGCAGGTAAAAGCTCTAGAAATGAGACCCCACGCCAGGCCTCAGACTTGGAAGAGGAGGACAGCTTGGGCCAGACCCCAGTGAGTGCCCAAGCCTTCTTGGAGGGACTTTTGGAGCTCCTATTGCCTAGAGAGACAGTGGCTAGGGCACTGAGGCATCTGGGGGCCCGAGGAGGAGGCAAAGGGAGCAGCAAGGGGCCTGGGTGACCCAGTTCCCCGCAGTGCCCGGACCGGCTCTCCGAATTGGCCGACCAGATGGTGGCCCAGGGAAACCTTGGCATGTACCAGGAAACGAGGGAACAGTTGGCCATGCGGCTGAAGGGTTTGGGGTGCCAGGCCCTAGGGACCCCACAATCCCACACCCCCACACTCCCTAGACATGTTCGCTGAGGAAGTGGCAGAGGGGGAACTGGAGACCCCAACCCCTACCCAGAGAGGAGAAGCAGAGTTGCCAGGAGATGGTCTGGTGGATGTGATGTGGGAATATAAGTGGGAGAACCCGGGGGATGCCGAGCTGCATGGGCCCTTCACCAGCGACCAGATGCAGACCTGGGTGAGCGAAGGCTACTTTCCTGATGGTGTTTACTGCCGGAAGCTGGACCCCCTTCGTGGTCAGTTCTACAACTCCAAACGCATTGACTTTGACCTCTACACCTGAGACTGCTGGGGACCTAGTTTGGTGGGCCCTTCTTTCCTGAACTTTGTGGAGGAGGTCCAAGTGTCTCAGGCAGTGAGGAAGTTGGAGGCCATTTTTCAGTCAATTTCCCTTTCCCAATAAAAGCCTTTAGTTGTGGGGCCTTGGCTGTGCTGATGGCCAGAAGCGAGGGAACCTCTCCACAGCCCCTTTGGACTCGCCTTGGTCCCTGAGTGTTTGCTCTTATGAAAATCCTCCTTGGAGGTGCCTGTCAGGGGTCCCGTGGCCTCCCTGCCTGGACTCTGCTTGCCAAGTAAACACCCCCAACTGTGCTACGAAGAAAAAAAAAGAAACCTCACTTACAAAACTAAGTGAAAACAAAAATACATTTTTAAAAAAGTGTTCTTTGGGAGGGCGAGGCGGGCGGATCACGAGGTCAGGAGATGGAGACCATCCTGGCCAACATGGTGAAACCCCGTCTCTGCTTTAAAAAAAAAAAAAAAAAAAAAAATTAGCCGGGGGCGGTGGCGGGCGCCTGTAGTCCCAGCTGCTCGGGAGGTTGAGGCAGGAGAATGGTGTGAACCTGGGAGGCAGAGCTTGCAGTGAGCTGAGATAGGACCACTGCACTCCAGCCTGGGCGGAAGAGTGAGACTCCATCTCAAAAAAAAAAAAAAAAAAAAAAAAAAAGTGTTGACATTTTTCCTAAGAATTGGAAACCAGAATATTTTTTAACTTAATGATTCATAGTTCTAGTACAAGCAATAAATAGGTCCAGCAAAAGTTTAAGGGCTTTGAAATTCTCTCCTTCTCTTTGGAAAGGAAGGGGTATTTTTGGTTTCTTGCTTTGAAAGACAGTAAGCCACTACAAAGACTCTGTGGTTAACCTTCACTCAATGATCTGATCTTTCCACAGCTGCAGAGGGTGCTAAGTGACACAAGAAGCAATATAAACATTTCAGAGGGAAATTTCTGAAAAAGTGGTGACAGGAATAAATGAATTGTTTAGTTGCTTCTTGGTGTAAAAAAAAGAAAAGGTGATTTTGTAGTCAATGCCAAAATGATCCCTTTTTCATTGGGAAGGAAGAGGGATGGTATGAGAACTGTAATATAGTTCCCATTGCTACTGACCTAATGCGTGATGGCTTATAAACCACATTTTAAACACAATAGATAAAGCAACAGTCTGCTGAATCCCAGTTTATATGTAAGCAGATATATTAGAAAGTCAGAAGACTCCATGTAAAACCAACAATGGAAATCTGATAGAAGGCAGTCCACCTCCCTTTATGAAGCTAATGCTCTTAAACATCTCCCAATCCTACCATACATACTCACCTCCAAGATCGCAATATTTGCTAAATCCTTCCAAGTTCCTTTTGTTTCCCTGTTTAAAACACATTTTCACTAAAGGCAGAAAAATTAACTAAGGCATCACAGCAGGAAGGGCCATTCTAAAAGCTCCATGGACTATGGCTTTGAGTAAGCCTTTTCAGGTGGGGGTAGAGTAAAAACATTTCCAAAAACACTAATTTGGTAGCCCTGTGCCTTTTCATCACCTCAGATAAACAGGTAAAGTAGATAGCTAGCATACCCAGGGAAGTAGCTGGCTAGCACACCTCTTGATTTGAAAGGTATCCAATATACTGTTTTTATTAAAGAATAAATTGTGTGCCTACTAAATGGTAAATATGTGTTAAGCTTCCTGAAACATTAAGCATTACTCATGCATATCCATTACTTCTACCTGTATGCAAGTACTTATCAATCATTACTGTCTTAAGGAAACAGTATACATTCAATACTTAGGGGGAAAATGAATGCAATTGCCGTCATGAAAACTGAAAAAGTGATGTGAGGAGACTAATACAAACCAAAGTGCCTCCAATGGAACAATAAAATGCCCTAGTACCACAGAGTCCTCAACCATAATCCAATGAGGCATTTTGTTTTGTTTTGTAAATTAAACCTTGGGTAGCTACTACTTACTAAATTCATCCTTAAAAGAATCTGTTGGGTAGCAATCACATTAGTGGATGAGTTGGCCACAGGGAGTGTGATGAAGAAAAAGAGAACAGAATATAAAATCAAGTTTGAGCTTAAAGAAATAGCTGGACATGTGAGAGAGAGGTGGGAAAGAGGACAGAGAAAGATGGAAGAAACTATTAGATTTTAAAATTAGGTCAATGGTAAGCAGCTCCCCTCTGGAGGGCTTAGGGCTCACTTTAGTATTTGATTGTTATGTCTTAGTCACTATGCTAAACATTTAAAATGCAGTATCACCTATAATCCTCACAATATCCTTATGAGGTATATACTATTATCTCTAACTTACAGCTGGAAAAACAAAAATCAAAAAAACAAAAAAAACTAAGGCCCATGATTACACAGTATCTAATAGTAGAGCTGAGTTTTTTACCTCAGACCTATTTACTTCCAAACTCTACATTTAAAAAAATACCCAGGCCAGTGCAGTGGCTCATGATATAATCCCAGCACTTTGGGAGGCCAAGGTGGGAGAACTGCTTGAGCCCAGGAGTTCGAGACCAGCCTGAGCAACATGGCTAAACCTCGGTCTCTTCAAAAATTAGCCAGGTGGGGTGGCATTCAGCTGTGGTCCTAGCTACTTGGGAGGCTGAGGTGGGAGGATCACCTGAGCCCACAGAGATTGAGGCTGCAGTGAGCCATGATTGTACCACAGCACTCCAACATGGGTGACAGAGTGAGACCCTGTCTCAAAAAAAATTCCATAGAATCTTAATATCAACAATAGTTTGCCTTAGACTTCATCTCAACCTTATGCCGAGTGGTCCAAGTTTTTCTGCTTCTAAATTTTATATTCTTTAAAAAAAAAAAAAAGCACTCAGCACTCAAAAGAAGCACCCCCAAAATAGGAGCTATTATATTAGCAGGATGAAATAACAGGCAATTTCCCCTATTTTCTTTTGAAAATGTTACTACAATTTTTATTACTTTTTAAAAGATCACTCAGAATGAAAGGGAGCAAATCCCTTTTAAGCAGAATCACTACTGTGAGTTACAAAAATTTATAAAAACTCCATTCCTATTCCCCTTAACACTTAGTGCTGTGCTGACCACAGGAATTATAAAGAGAAGGGGGCTGAGAAATGGCATAGAAAAGACCCATAAGTTTTGCTTATTGGTAACCATGTCAAATGCCCCCTCTCCTTATCACATCAATGACACTATTCTAAATAAATAAATAAATAATGCTTATTAGTAACCATGTCGAATGCCCCCTTCTCCTTATCACATCATGGCACTATTCTAAATAAATAAATAAATAAATAAATAAATAAATAAATAAATAAATAGAATGCTAGTAGGAGGTCAGCAAGATCTACTGAGAACTTATGTCCAAACACCATCCTTTACAAGGTCCCCATGAAATAAGAGAAAGACAGATATGGAAAAGAATAAAGCCCTGGCCGGAGTGGTGGCTCACACCTGTAATCCCAGCACTTTGGGAGGCAAGGTAGGCAGATCACTTAAGGTCAGGAGTTCAAGACCAGCCTGGCCAACATGGCAAAACCCCATCTCTACTAAAAATGCAAAAATCAGCCAGGCGTGGTGGTGGGCATCTGTAATCCCAGCTACTTGGGAGGCTGAACTCAGCAAGAGAATCGCTTGAACCTGGGAGGCAGAGGTTGCAGTGAGCTGAGATCACACCCCTGCACTCCAGCCTGGGCAACAGAGTGAGACTGTGTCTCAAAACAAAACAAAACAGAACAAAAAACGAACAAAGCCCTAATGATGCTAGAAAACAAGAATGTGTGTTAGCAGCACATCAGAAAGTTTGCAAACCCTGAAAGGCAGAAAGCAGATGGGGTCAGACTAGTGGAGAAATAGTAGCACAAATACTAAGAAGTAAGAGCACTCCAAGGGCCTTTATCAATAAATACAAAAAACCACAGTGAGTAGGCTTTAGGGTCATCATCGGAGTAATTAATTAGAAATCACACTCAGAAAAGCATGGCCAGCCAGCCAGAATCTCCACTTCCCTGTGATGCCCACAGAGTAGCTAGGAGCAAAAGGTTTTGATACCTGGCAAAAGTACAGGCATAACTGGTATCATATATTTACCACAAAACTGCACAGAAAACCTTAAATAAAAAGGGCTTGTGAGAAAAATAGGGTTATGGGCAGATCATTCAAGTAAACCCTATGGAACTTTGAAGCCCAGGCACTAGTAAAAACAAGCCTAATAAAAATACAAGCCCAGTAAAATCTCTACCAGCAGGGCAGCATTAAACCCTGGGCCCTCATGCCTTCTCCTCTTCTAGAGGAGGTGCTAGAGGACTTTGCTTCTAACAGAGACCATTCATTAACCCACTGTTTTAATACTAAAGGATGTCTTCACAGTTCTTCCAATTACTGTTGCAGCTTGCTACCAAGCTTACCTGTAACGTGGTGGAAAGCATTAAAGTTCTCAAAGCCACAAAATAGTCACACTTACACTAAAGGAAGTTACTGTTGCAGATTTCTCAACATTAGATACTCAGATTTTTCTTTAAAAGTCTATTATCTATATACTACTAAAGCTGTCCCTTAATTTAACACGGGAAGAAGTTTAGATGGACGTGTGGCCACAGCATTTGAGACAGCTTCTGCAAAGCACATCCCAGTCAACCCCGAGCCCCCACTTGCAAAATAATCCTGGAAAATACATTAAAGCTCTCTACCAGAGAGCCTCTTTCCCTCGACAATTTCAGTGGGGTCTATAATTTGCTTGCTTCCTCTCTGCTGCAGGACCAGATACTTTTGGGCAGCCTTCAAGGAAGCCTGCCTCTGATACTACCTGCCTCCCTACTCGCTTTTGTGATGAAGCTGTCCAAGAGAAGTAGACCTACGTAACTGCAGAGAAATGCCATGCCTACCCCAAATAGTAAAGTTGTTCCTTCATAAATGCAGATGAAAGTTTACAAATATTTAAGGATTTATCAAAGAAAAGGAACAAAATAAAGGCAACATTTAATCTAAGAGGAAACAGATAATTCAGACAACAGAAGAGGGTGTTATTTCTTTTTCTTCTTTTTTTTTTTGAGACCAAGTCTCGCTCTGTCACCCAGGCTAGAGTGCAGTGGCGTGTTCTCGGCTCACTGCAACCTCCGCCTCCTGGGTTTGAGTGATTATACCACCTCAACCTCTTGAGCAGCTGGGACTATAGGCGTGCGCCACCACACCCAGCTAATTTTTGTATTTTTTAGTAGAGATCAAGTTTCACCATGTTGGGCAGGCTGGTCTTGAACTCCTGACCTCAGGTGATATGCCCGCCTCAGCCTCCCAAAGTGCTTGGATTACAGGCGTGAGCCACTGCACCCAGCTTTCTTTTTCTCCCTTTTTTCTTTTTTTTTTTTTTTTTAGAGGGAGTCTCACTTTGTCACCCAGGCTGGATGGAGTACAGTGGTGCGATCTTGGCTCACAGCAACTTCTGCCTCCAGGGTTCAAGCGATTCTCCTGCCTCAGCCTCCCAAGTAGCTGAGATTATAGGTGCCCACACCCTGCTAATTTTCCTATTTTTAGTAGAGATGGGGTTTCATCATATTGGCTAGGCTGGTCTGAACTCCTGGCCTCAAATGATCTGCCTGCCTCAGCCTCCCAAAGTGCTGGGATTACAGACGTGAGCCATCTCGCCCAGGATTATTTTTTTTATTTATTTTATTTTATTTTATTTATTTTATTTTATTTTTTTGGAGACTGAGTCTTGCTCTACCACCCAGGCTGGAGTGCAGTGGCACAATCTCAGCTCACTGCAACCTCCATCTCCAGGGTTCAAGTGATTCTCATGCCTCAGCCTTCCGAATAGCTCAGATAACAGACATGCATCACTACACTCAGCTAATTTTTTTGCATTTTTAATTGAGACAGGGGTTTCGCCATGTTGCCCAGGCTGGATTCGAACTCCTGGGCTGAAGTGATCCACCCACCTCCACCTCCTTAAGTGCTGGGATTATAGGCGTGAGCCACCGTGCCCAGCCAAGCGTGTTATTTCTTTTAGTTTTAAATGTTCTCAGAGATATTAGAGACAAATTGTATTCATAAACTAAGAATAGGGTGCTATTAAGACAGAACAATTAAAGAACAAAAATTTAAATATAAATGCTGAAAGAAAAATCAATAAAATGGGCTAGATTAAAAGAATAGTCTGTAAATTTTATAAGCATAGAAATAATTTCAGTTTTAGAATTACCAATATATTCATGATGCCTAACACAGTCCTTAGTACATACCAAGCATTCCACTAATACTTGATAAATGAACTAATGAGTGAGTGGCTAAATGAATAAGTGATATGAATAAATAAACAAGAGAGTGTGGATGAATGAAAATAAGTCAATATGCATGATTGGCCAGCTGTCTAGCTAAGCATATAACCTGAAAGATCAAGTTGAAGACATCTCCTTGAATATAGAAGAAAAAAAGCAAAGGAAGTTTTAAAATATTTAGAGAAACATTACAATGAGACATGAAGCAAAAGTTACAACATAAACAGATTTGGGGAAAAGCCTTACTCTCTCCTGGGCTCTCCATGGTACACTTTGGGAAACTGACAAGGGGGAGCTTCCCAAGGATCAGTGCAGTAAATATTCAAGTCATCCATCCACAGCTTGGCACTCAACTCAACTGACAGTATAAAAAGCAAAAAGGGGAAAAGAAGAAGCTCTCACATACTTCAGTAAAGGATTTTGCTGATTTGTAGGATTCAAGGGTGCCATTATGAAAAGCTAAATTGAACTTCCATCTAGAAATGATGGTAATAAAGTAATCTGAAACCACATTTTTAAGGAAATAAGACTTGGCAGTATGAGGTTGCCATAGATAGCCAGCCACGAAATATCTGAACAAAAGAGACAGATTTGTCTGAAACTCAACAATATTTTCCTGACTGTAATCCTGAACCCTGTGCAACAGCCAAGTTCCTTCTTATAGTGTTTTATGGGACAAGTGTCTTAAAATGATTGCTATGCTTGAGCTGGCAGAGGACAGGCCTAGTTATTCAACTACTTCTTTCTCAAGTATTGTTAACTAAATGCCACATAGGTTTCTGATGTCCTCAGAATGGATAGGCACACTTCTACTACTCAACACAGGAGAAGCAGCACAATTATATTAACCCAGCAGCCTATGATTTCCAGAAAACAATCTAAACTGCTCTTTTTGGGAAGGCGGAAGGTTTGGGTTGAGTTGGTTAGTGGTTTGTTACTGATTTAAGTGGAAAAAAACAACAACCCTCATTCTAGTGTCTTGTGTTCCTTCAAAGCAGGGCAGGAAGGGGGCTCAGCAGTTCTTTTCATTGACTATGATTAAAGCGTAAGTCATCAATCTGTGGGGAAAAAGGGTTGGCTATAATACAGACCCTACCTCCCGGCAGAGCCACTGCCATTATTAACACTGTAACCATACTTTCTCAAGTGCTGAAAAGGAACTTCAGGATGTTGTGGGCCTCTCTGGGTAAGATGACTAGGCCAGAAAAGAGCGATTCAAGAGGCTGCTTTTGCCCAAGTGTAGCTTGAAAGTCAGATATTAGTAATGTGTTTTAAGAATTGAAAACTCTGAGAGATAGGAGGTTTGGCTGACAGTGAAAAACCTCAAAGCTATACAACTGTAGTCAGAAAAGCTGGGGGCTGTATGACACTTATTCCTACTGTGACTGAGAAAAACCAAACTAGGATTAAAAAAGGATTATTCTAGCAGAGTAAGGATAAGACCTAACCTAATGGTTCAGTCACTAATAGAACAGCTGGGAGAAAAAAAGTATCCCTGCAAATTAGAACCAAAGAAAAAGCAAAAGCAAAGGCAGTCTTATTCTTTGCAAATTTAATAGTCTGGTTCATACAAATACATTAAAGGTAAGCGCTATCCACGAAGACTCTAAACAGACAGAAAGGATATTCATAAAGATGGCCTTGAAGCTGCTGCATGGGAAAGAATTATCTAAGATGTCCCGAGCCCCCACAGAACTTGGACAATACCTCTGATAGCAAGGTCTCATGCTCTGACAGCCATCAAGGCAGGTGGCAGTGGTGATGCATGCATCAAGAAAGAAGAGCAATGCAGGGAAGCAACAGAAGGAAAATATGAGAAAAATAAACAGAAAAAATAAAGTCACCTGTCTAAAAAGATGTGATCTTCTGCAGAAAATAAACAGGAATTTTCACTTGCTCACCTTTCAAGGTTCCATCTCTGTGCCATTCTTTAACTTTCACAAAATGGGCCATGTGTATTGTTTCCTATCATCCTGAAATACTTCACATAATGGGAAACAATAGGGAAGTGCCTTAGTGACTGTATCTTCTGTATATGTGACAGTTTTCCATGGATGAGGGGTGAGGTGGTGGTGAGAATGAGTGTGTGTATCTGTGTGGCTTACCCTAGTTATATTTTGTAGATGTCCCTTTCTAAATGTGAACACATTTTCTTCTAACACTTTTCTTTGAAAACGTGATATGCAGAAAGGCATAAGCAAGGAGTTAATAGATTCTAAGGGTTTGCCAAATTGGAGCTCAAAGTAATTGGGAAGTCCAGCACAGGGAAAGGTCACCTCAGAAAATCTCACTCTTCAAGAAGGCTCTGGCAAGAACGAAAGAAGGAGATTTTAATCACTGCAGCTAATTACATAGACGACTAAATCATAAGAAGAGTTATTTAAGTGTCTTAAATACAATAAAAAGTAATTAACAGGAAGCGCCATCTTGACAGCCTCATGTCACAAACCAGGCCTAAAACGATCAGCTAATTCCCAACCCAGGAACCAGAGAATGAGAAAAGACTCAAAGTTTGATCTTTTTATTTTTTATTTAAACAGTTTTGATTAACAGATAACAACTCTTGCCAACTCCACAGTGAAGTTAATCAAGAAAAAAATTTTAATCTATTAGAGGAATGATGAACCTTGTTTTCATTGATTCCCCAGGGGAAACAGATAGGAAGCTGAAGCCTATGTCACACCAGCAAGGCCCTGCCAGCATCCTGTGATGCGACTCCTTCCCATACATCGAGAGGAAAAAAGGATTAGACTAAACCCTATAGAAGATACAGACAATTCACACTCCCTGCATGTGAAATGCATCTAAACTTTGGCTTTGAAATAACCCTTTAAGAGACACCATCTCATCTGCCTCTTTCTTCTCAGTCCCCTAAAATCACTAGTTTCAGAGAAGCTCTTCTGTAGTTACAGAAGTCTGCTGTTCTCTTTAATAACAGGAAAGCCACTAGGTGCTGTGAAGGCCTAAATGTAGGTATATAAGCCGACAGATTACAACAAACATAATTTAGATAAGATTTCTTCTTAATTTCACATTTCTTCAAGACTGAACAGAGTGCACTTTTCAGAGGCTATGCAAGCCATAGAAGCTCTCTTTACTAACCCTTCCCTTAACTGACTTGCACATTCTATGTCCTCAGCATAGGGTACTGGCAGATGCCAGTGAGAGTGACTGAGAGCCACTGTACAACACCTGAGCACTTCTGTCCCAACCAGATGAGCCATTTGTTTTTGTCCCCAAATCTAGTTTAAACTGGTTGTGCTTGTTGTTTTAATTACATACTTCATTAAATATCATTGAAATACAAGCACACAAAGAGTGTGTATTTACTAAAACATTCGCATGTGTTAAGCACAGGGGCAGCTCAACCCAGTTCACCTCTATTGTTTAAGCATTGTTTAAGTTGTCTTGCAGATGCAGCAGAGCACAAATTGCAAATCATGGAGACAGGGCATGTGCAACAGAAAAAGGTTTTACTTCCTATAACACTCAGAACCAATGTTTCCTCCCTATGGAAACAAGAAGGCCAGGACAAGACCAAAACCTGAGTACCAGAATCCTTTTAGAAGTAAAGGGTCAGTTATCTAGAAAGATCTGGTGCTGAAATCCACCATTCCATACCTTATCCTAAATGGCCAAGTTTAAAGTCCTCCAGTTAAACCTACCCTCCCAGCACTTCTGCACACCAAATAACCCTCCATAACCCATAAAAGTTTGACCTAACACCCAGATTGAGAAAACAGAATTGAGTCCTGCCTCCTGTCTCCTTGCCAGTTGACCTCACAATAAAGCCCTTTCTTTTCCCAAAAACCAGTGCCATATTATTGGCATCTACGCACTTCGGGCAGTGAGCCCGTTGCTCAATAACACATGCTTTAAAAAATTTAATAAAGAGGAAAGGCTTTAAAGTAGCTGCAAAATAAATATGTGTGGGACAACTGTAACAGATGAGGGGGTGTAAATCACAAAAATATAAGGTTCTATAATTAGTGTTTTTCAAGTCCTCATTTCAAACAGGAAGTTATGTAATTCAACAAGATATCAAATAGGTGGTCCATGCTGCCCAGACAGCAAAGATTTAAAAATATGTACACATTTTTATGTTTAAAATGAAAATAAAATATTTAAGATGTAGTGTTTTTTAAAAAGCCTCTTCTCTGGCTAGTGTTTATAAATCACCATTAAGTAAGATAAAAGGCTCTTAGTAGTATAACTTAATTCTGAAAATAAGCTAAGTATTTGGAGATTCTTAATTATCAATACCTCAAATTTTCTATAATATTAATGGAGTTTTTTGTTTGTTTGTTTGTTTTTTGAGACAAAGTCTCACTCTATTGCCCAGGCTGGAGTGCAGTGGCATGATCTCGGCTCACTGCAACTCCCGCCTCCGGGGTTCAAGCAATTCTCATGCCTCAGCCTCCCAAGTAGCTAAGATTACAGGCACCTGCCACCAGACTCAGCTAATTTTTTTTTGTATTTTTAGTAGAGACGAGGTTTCACCATGTTGGTTAGGCTACTCTCAAACTCCTGATCTCAGGTGATCCAACCGCCTCGGCCTCCCAAAGTGCTGGGATTACAGGCATGAGCCATCGCGCCTGGCCAAGATTTTTTAAAATATAGAAAATTCAGAAAAAAAAAGGATAAATAAAAACAAAAGCAAGATAAAAGGAAAACAAACAGAAGCAGTGACTAAGATTAGAACACAGAAAGTGTGCAGCTAGGTCTATTTGCTAGAGATGGCCTCTCTTTGGCAGTGAGCTTCCAATCATCAAATAAAAGAATAAAATTATCTGGGAGTCTCTCTGAATCTGCTGTGATTCTGGGGGCCGCCTGATAAAGAAAAATAAAAAACAGAATAAAATTATCAGTTATAAGTTTTACAGTACTGATTAGATAAAAACAAACCTGTGGTCATGCCTTAGATGCTACTAACATCCAAGTTATGCTTCATAAAGGAAGAGTTTGCAATAAAGTTAATGAATCACTCAACAAATTCATTGATTTCCTACCATATGCTAGATACTAGGGCTACAACAGGGAATAAGACACAAAATTCCCTATCTTTAGGGACACAACAGTCTAATGAAGGATGGTTTCAGTATCAGTAAATTCCTTACATTTCTCCTGTTTGCAGCCTACCCATTTAACCACAAACTATAGTTCAGGATGAAAAACCCTATGAAGAAACTCATAATGCTTTCCAGGTACCTGCCAGGCTGGTCTAATCCAAGGAGACAATTTAAGTATCTAGAAGAGTACTTGTAAAATTCTTCTAAACTTGTACATGCTTCTAAACTTCTAAAAAAAAAATTTTACTTTGGTAAATCACAAAAAAAAGAATATTTCATACAATCCAATTACAAGAACTGGGAAGCAGAAAATTCAAGTTCATTATCTCTGGCACAAACCTGGAGTATAGATATTGTAGGTTGTCAATTAAGACCAACCAACCTGTGTTGTTAAACAGCCAACAGAATTGACACCTTCTTACAAGGACTCAAGAATGTAATAGAAACCCAGACTAGAACAGACAGCTACCCCACATTTGCAGAGAGGAAGGCTGAAAGAGTAATCTCTGTCAAAGCCAAAATAAACACAGTGGAGATCTCAAGGTTTTAAGGCACAAAGCATGGCCACAACACTCTGCCCTGTAAAGTATTTTAAATTATCTGTCTCAAATTATCTTAAAAATAAAAAGATTGCTATAAAATACTCCCTGAATATCTCATTTTAAGCAGTGTAAACTTATTTTTTAAATATTCTTCAGTGGTAACTAAAGGAGATAATCCATTCTAATAGAATGTTAAATACTGGTGGAGGCCACCTGCCAAAAATAAAGACACGTGGTTTTGTACAACAGTGAAGTTGTTTTCACCAGTACTTAAAAGCAGCAGTATCTATGGAGATGGCTTTCTGTGGCAGTAAAAATATTTAGATAGAATACTAAGATTCCAGGTCTCTACAACAGGGAAGCATACAACTGACTCCTAAGAAGTGGTAACAAATTGGTAACAAATAACTATTGTAATTTATACAGATAGAATAATGACCAAAATATGTCCTAGTTTTTCCCAGTTCAAAAATATTACTTGATTTGTCAAGAACCTGCTTCTAACAAAACCTGTGATGGCGTGAAGGTAAACATCAAATGCCTATACTGAGCGCCTCCTGGCAAAGACGAAACCTCCAATTGTTGTGTGAACATTAACAACATTAATAAATATAGGATCGGTAGCAGTGGCTAAAAATAGTCATTTCCAAATGTGAAAGCACGAATGAGGTGAAAGAGGCTCCTGTTAGGAGACTTTCATGAAGCTAAGCAGCTACAAAATGCTTATTCCTTTCAGAGGCCTGCAATAGCTTGGAGGTACTTCTCCTAAGTGGCTTCACTGTACTTTCAGTAACACAATCCTTGTTTTGATGACAAACCTATTATTTTCTTCCCCATCAATATGCCCACTTAAAAGAAATGAAAAATAACAGTTTGGTAACAACTAGCATATAAGATTGTTAAATGGAAAAGGAGACAATTACCATACTGGTATATTTTATGCAAAGTAAGAATTGCTATTGGGGACTGGCTGACTGTTGTAATATTTATTGGGGAAGCAGGGCCCAGCAGGCTTCCTCCTTCCCCTATCAGATATCTCCCCTGAAAGACTCTTCCTCAGCCTGGCTGCCAACAGACCTTGGAATCTAACCAGGTTACAGCCAGTACAGCAGAATAGGATGACCTCATCGTCTACTGATTACATACAAGAAAATGTCCAATTAACCTCTCCTCTTCTTCCCTCTTTGTTACCTGCTATTCTATACCTAGACTTCCTAAACCAATATGCAGAGACCATTTTAGACAGTATCTAGGGCCTGCTTGATACTCAATAAATGGCATTATTAATAGTAATGATGTGTACTTCATAGTGCCAGGCACACAGAGCCCAATAAATCTTAAATAACTACAATAATGAAAGTATACGATTAGCTAATGAGTGATTATAAAGTACTTACAAATATAAAGTGCTACACAGGCACAAAATTATAAACCACTGAGTTAAGAGCAGGAGAAAGCAAAGCAGAGTGAAAGGAAGGAAAGATTCAAATGAGCAAAGAACTCTTAGCTACTTGAGATGACAGCTGAGTCCATGCCAGCCAGAACACTCACATTCCTCCAATGGTGACAGTGGCACAGGTACGCTCTGAAAAGGCAGGCACTGTCTCTGTGGCTGGGCTGGCTGGTCTAATGTAGTCCACCGTCACATTGACCTGGAAACAAAGAATCAAGGGAATTAGGGTTGAGAGTCTGCAACATAGCTCACTAGCAGCCACATGTGCCTGCTCAACTGTGAAAGATCAGCTCACTCCAGTTTGGTTTTCTGAATCTAAGATTTTTAAAACCAATTAAAAGAAATAGCTGAGCAACAGACTGGGAGAAAATGTTGGCAAAAGACATAACTAATAAAGAACATTTATCTAAAATATACAAAAAACTCTTAAAACTCAACAATAATAAAACAACCTGATTTTAAAATGCAAAAGATCCAAACAGCTTACTAAAGAATACATACAAGTGGCAAATAAGAACAGGAAAAGATGTTCTACATTACATGTGATTAGAAAATTGCCAACTTAAACAACAATGAGATACCACTGCTCGTTGTAGCATAGTCAAAATTCAGAACACTGACAACACCAAAGGCAGGCAAGGATGTGGAGCAATAGGAACTCTAATTCATTGATGGTAGGAATGCAAAATGATACAGCCACTTTGGAAGATAGTTTAGTCATTTCTTATAGAACTGAACATGTACTCTTACCATTTGATCCAGGAATACAGCTCCTTGAAATTTACTTGAGGAGTTGAAAACATACACAAAACCTGCCCATGGATATTAACAGTGGCTTTGTTCATAACTGTCAAAATGTGGAAGGAATCCATATATCCTTCAGTAGGTGAATGGATAAATTGTGGTATATCCAGATGACAGAATATTATTCAGTGATAAAAAGAAATGAGCTATCAAGCCATGAAAAGACATGGAGGAAGCTTAGACATATATTACTAAGTGAAAGCAGACACTTTAAAAGGTGTACTGTATGATTCCAACTATACGACATTCTAGAAAAGGTTAAACTACAAAGACAATAAAAATATCAGTGGTTGCCAGGAGTTAGAAGGAGAGAAGGAATTTTGCCAGGAGTTATAGGCAGAGAATAGGGAATTTTTAGCGTAATGAAACTATTCTGTACGACACTATAGTGGTGAATACATGCCACTATACATATATCAAAGCCCACAGATGATATAACACCAAGCACAAACCCTATGGACTTTGTGTGATAATGATGTGTTAAGGTAGGCTCAACAATTGTAATAAATATACCACTCTGGTGTGGAAGATTGTGTGTAGGGGGCAGAAGGTATATGGGAAATCTCTGTAACTTCTGCTCAATTCTCCTGTTAATCCAAAACTGCTCTAAAAAAAAAAGTCCATTTTAAAAAGAAAGAAAAAAGCTGATAACCAAAGATGTAAATCAAACAACTAAACACATAGGTCCCCACAGCAATTTTACTTTACAGAGAAGAGGTTTGCAACATTCCTGTTGGACTCCTAGACATTATGATAAAGCAGTGCTTTAACCTCTTCTGGGTCAGACTACTTTGAAAACCTGTATTTAAAAATATGAACTGCCTCCATAGAAAAACTCCATATAATCTGTCTGTCACAGCTTCCTAAGGACCAGATTAAGAGTTATTAAGAACAACAAACAAGGTGGGCACAATAGCTTGCTCCTATAACTGCAGCACTTTGGAAGGCCCAGGTAGAAGAATTGCTTGAGGCCAGGAGTTCAAGACCAGTCTGGGAAACAAAGCAAGACCCCCATCTCTCTGAAAAATAAAAAATATAAATAAATAAATACATAGAAGAACAAACAAGATAACAATTACAAAGATGCTTGGAATTGGTTTCACAGTATGTAAATCAAAAAGATACAGCTAATTAAGCCCAACACCAACATACTTGAGAGTTAAGCAGTGTGCAGGTAGGGGAGATAGAATGGACTAGATGAATCCTTAGATTTTGAATTAATTTTGCAGACAGGAAGTTAGACGCACAAAATGCAAAAATGGTTTAACCCTAGAATACACTAAATAAATGGATATGAACACACTAAACAATGCTTTTTTATTATGAAAACTTTGAAGATAAACATAGTATCCTGTAGCAAACATATAGGGCAAGTCTTCACAGAATGAAGTTGTAGGCTTGGTTTGGGTCAAAACCAAGGTTTACAAACCCACACTGAAGAGGTGCATGGGGATCAAGGAGACGGAAGCCTTCTCCACAGTCTGGAATCCCTTTTCTAAATACATCTTCAGCTCTCACTGATCAGCTTAAAGACAGCATATTGCAGAAGCATGGAGTTCAGCCACACTGCTAGTGAGCACCGTTAAAATCCTTTCAAACTGTCTTCTCTTCAAAAACTCATCTTGAAAATGAACATGGAAATCTGGAAAAGGATAGATGCCTCAAAATTCCAACTGTCAGATCACCCACTTGAACACTCCATTGAATCATGCTTTAGAAGCAGCAGAATGGAGCCATATCAGAGCCCAAGCCAATTAAGGGCTGAGGTTAAGGTAAATCATTCTTATGAGAAGTATGGTCATAGCACAACAACACAGAAAGTAAGAAAATATAAAGATGACTCCTAAAATTAGATACCTAGCTTTAAATTATTGCAAGGTCTTAACAACTACTATAAAACTCAGGAAATGAGTAAAAATGTGAGAAATGTGTTCAGACAGGGGGATTGAACAACTAGTGCCCTCCAACAAAAAGGTTTTTAATACTTTCCCTGCATGCTGCTGGCCAGAGTTAATATAGGCCAAAAAAAGGGCAAGGAATGAGAGGGCTGCACACAGACAGGCCTGAGTAACTCAGAACCAGGGAAGGGAAGAAGTGGTCTTGATGCTAATACACCCTGGAACTCTCCTCAGACAAGGCCTCACAACAAGCTTATAGAAGCAGGTGAGGAAAACAACAAGATAGCTGGAGTCATGGCAAAAAATCACGAGTGTACAGAAGGTAGACAGTGAAGGTGGCTATACCATGTAAAGTATCTCAGGGCCCATTTTAAATAGGACAAGGCCACAGGGTATGGTCCAATTTGGGGGCATTCGCTGGGAAGTTAATAAATATGTGGAAATGAGGAACGAGGTCCATGTATCTTTCGTGTTTTCACCCAATCCATCTAACAAGCTCAAGCCCTCAATTCTACTACCTAGGGAAAAAATCAGCACTGCTTAAAAAAAAAAACTAAGTTAATCTCAAGGTTACCTTGTGCCTCCCAATGCCAAATCTCCTTCTCAGTAGGCAGACAGGGGTGGGACAGCAGCTGTTTAGCACAGAGGAACATTAGCTCTCAACCCAGAGAGAGAGCTAATTCATCAAGAGGGCTAATTCACTATGCCACATGTGTGGGAGTAATAATAGGAGGAATAACAAACAAAAGTGAACACCTGTGTATCTCTCAGGCCAGAAGGCCAAAGTGAGGTGCTGTTCCAAAACTGTCTTCCAGGGAAATCAGTGGGAAGACAAAAAAATTTTAATCTTCAATAACCAAAAGAAACAACTACATTCACCTGCCAATTAATTGTTTCCCATATCAAGAGAATAAGAACTGTAAATAAGTCAGAGATTAAACAGTTATTTGTGGATGCAACATTATTAAAGAAAATCTGAAATACAAATGAGGCCCGGAGAATAGCCCACAGCCAAGATATACACCTGCAGGCAGCTATGACAAATCAGGAATTAAAGTCAATGTGTAATTAGCATTTGTGTCCCTCCCCTGTGGATTCTGAGATCTCTTCCTCTACCCTGGAATTTTTCATCTCAAGATATTCAACACTGACCTGTCAATCACTTGAAAAAGAACCATGGTTTTAACAGCTTCAATTAAAACCAGTGTAAATCTTAGCAACATCTTCGTCTAAATAAATGATAACCTGAATTTTGTGTTTGTGGGTAAGTATGTATAAAACGGCATGAGAGAAGAAACTGATTAATATAGATGGGTTCTCCTTTTTAAGATATTCCTGAAATGTTTTGTATGCAAGTATTTTACGAATACATGACCAAGGGCTATATAACTGACTCAGACCCTGATCCCTGTTTATAGCAATGAGTGACCACAAAGAGCCCTGGGCTCTTGCTTGGTGCTACTTGAAGCTCCCTTACAAATGAGGCACGTAACATCTTTGGGTCTCAGTTTCCCTTGACCTTAAAAACGAGAGCACTAGATTAGAACATCAGAGCATCATTTCACTCTAGAATTCTAAAAGATAATTTAGTCAGACATGGGGTACTATATACTGTTTTCTTAAATCTTTGTATTTCCTACCTTACATTTACTACATGGTATTGGAACACACCAACTGTAAGCTCCAAGAGTGGGGAGACCATGTCTTATTCACTCAAAGAGCTGGCATGGGCCTGTAAGGCAGGAGACTACGCTGTAAATGTTTGTTGCATGAGTAAATATATAATCAATAATCTTTTCAGACATAACATTATGAAGGATACCCTTGAAGTGGGAAGGCAGGGCATCCTGAGGACCATTTTGTCAAGCTGTTGATCATTCTGCTGTTTTATATAGTAAAAATATATTTATTTAAACCGTGGAGGATAGGGAGGAGGAACTGGGGGAGGAGCAATATTTTAAAACTGTGATAAAGCTCTAGCGCAAACAACCATGAAAGATGAAGCAAGCCAAATATGAAACATACATACTTTCTCATATTATTTATTCCTCAAAGAGGTTCTCAAAGGTAAGAGGGTAGCAGGCAACCTTCGTCTATTAGATTATAGAATTTTCCTTGAAAGCAATTTCAGGGACCCTTCAGAGGAACTAAGATGGTAACTTCAAACTAAATTTATATATTAATTGCTTGTAAAGTCTGGAATAGTTTAGTATAGAACAGCTATGGGCCACACAACAGAATTCTCAGGCTCTCTGGATATTCTTCATACAATGTATGACTAGAACAGTATCAAACCACCAAAGAACTTCACAGACTGATGCTGATGATAACAAAACGCCAAAAAGTGAACTACCTAAGCATAAAAGGTTAGAGGAGGTAGGAAGGAAAACAACTGCAGAGCCACATTTCCAGGTTGTAGCCTGAGCTTAGTTTTAATATAACTAGAGCTGTTACGTAAGGCTTTGGGGCATAATCGCCACATAATCCCACCCACTATTCCACATAGCCACTCATAAATTCACAAAGAGCTAAATAAACACCTTGTCTCTCAAAATAACCCCTTTATTACCCCTCTCATGACAGAATTTCCAGACTTTATGGAAAGCCTCTACGCACCCCTAATACTGAAAAGACGACACCATTTGGCCTGAGTCCCACGGATGCTGCCTAGAAACAAAAGTAAGTAAAATGGAATGTTTCACATAGGCTCGATAAGAACACGGACACTTCAGAACAGCCAGGCTGCAGTGACTGGTTCCCAGCAATTCTAGAAAGGAGCTGTGTGAACTTAGATAAGCGACCTAACTTCTCTGCTTATGTTTAACACATTTACTGTGCGTATCTCACTGCTGTAGGAAGATACATATGTATCATTTAGAACAGTGCTTGAATCATTGTACGTTCTATCTAAGTGCCAGTTATTTTTAGATAAACATGTACTAATTTTCTTAGGGCAGTGTCTGGCACAGAGTTAAATGCTAAATAAGTATCCATGAGATAAACACATACACAAATACATACATGCATAAATCAGATACATGTTGATTTAAATCATTAGACTTTGGAAATCATCAGGCAGAAAGACTAAATTAAATACACTTTTCTCTTTAAAGAGCCACAGCAAACAAAAATATGTAGTACTTCATACATATTCATCCCAACTTAGAGCTAAGTAAGGATTATTTTAAAGAATGATACACTAGTATTTATTTAGATATTTAACATTAATTTTGCAGCTACCAGTTATTGGATATTTTATTTACCAAAGACAATTGAAGCACAGTGTTGTGAACCATCTCAAATAATAGGTTAACTATGGATATTTGGGGCAGGATACTTCTTGCCTTACTAAATTAGGAAGACAGTGAACATCAAATAGTAACCAAGTTTCCATTTGCTTTGGGCTTAACAGTGTAGGATATAATAAATTTCTCTTCAAAGGTTTTTAGCCTGTAAATTGTTAAGTACGATGAGTTCTGAGATCCTCTCCAAAGAACCAGTGCATCAGTATGTTCAGCTCCCCTGTTCCTTGTTCTCCATTTTAAAGTTTAACTTCCTCATTCTCCTTGCCCCTAGTTTCAGTAAACAACCTTTTCCACCAGTTCTAATCAGTAGTTGACATCTGTTCCCCTGGTCACCTGCTCCGTCCTTTGAGTCACCCCTGGTCACCTGCTCTGAACTGAATCATCTTGAGTCACCTGTTCTGTAAGCCCTTCCCACCAAACTACTCATTCCGCCACTCAGGCTCGTACCCCTGCTCTCTTTAAAATAGCCAATTGGAATTAGCTTAGACTGTGCGGTCCAACCCTAGCCAACAGGGGAACAACATAGCAGTAGGGGCTACCTGCCTGTTCCCCTCCCTTGTTGAAGTGTGCTCTCACCATTACTCCATCCAGGAGTCGCACCCTTCTATAGAAGTAAAAATTGCCTTGCTGAGAAAATTAAATTTATGTTCGAGTGCTACTTCTCTTGCAGCACTGAAAATTTATTTATAACAACAGGATCTTCCATACAAAGTGCTCCTTAATATTTACATAATGTAGTTTTAATAATTTTTCTCTGTTAAAAGTATATTATCATTCTAAACTTATAAAAGTGATACATATTTTTAAACATTTTAAAACACACATCAATCACCCATTCATCGAGGTACAGGAAGAGCTTCAAAACAAATTGCTAAGGAGCCTGTTGGTCCTGCCTCTGGGCATGCTCTGAGCTTACCTCCAAGCTAATTCAGACATTAGCCGTTGTGGAACTGCTCATCTCTCAAGAGAGGATGTTAAACTTACCTCCTTCTAGGCAAGTACTGTGTAATGGAAATATAATAAGTGACAAATGAGACCCACATGTGTATGTTCACATTTTCCTAGTAGCCATGTTGAAACATTAAAAAGAAACAAGTGAAATTAATTTTAATATGATTTTTTATTTAATGCAAAATTTCTAAAACATCGTGTCAATATATAACAAATATTATAAAAGTGTTGAGATCTTTTTTTGTATTAAATCTTTACTATCTGGTGTGTACTTTACAAACATCTCAATTTGGACCAGCCACACTGCAATGCTTAAAACTCAGTGGGCATTCCTAGAGTATCAGTTAAGGCACAAGTCTTAGCCTCATTCCTCTATCCTATCTGTGGTTCTGATTTCTCTCTGTATTTTTCCCTGTGAACGTATGTTTTATGAATCTTTGTAAACATTCTTAAACCAAATATGAAAAAAATATGATATAAAAACCCTGGTATCAAAAATAAAATATTTAGCCTTCATTTTCTTTTTCAAATCTATTATCTGACTAGATTACAAAGATAAGCCACATACATTTTTAGTTCAGAAAAAGAATTTCAGGTGTGAGGATAAATTTATACACTGAGGGAAAAATCCCTTAGTCTGTACTATATATGTAAAATATATTCTATTCAGTAGTTTGGTGAAGGTATTTTTCAGTTCCTTCTACCAATTCAATAGCTGAATTTTATTAATTCCTGATTTGTCAACATGATTCTAGAATTCTTTACCTTAGTGTTTGAAGTTTATTCTAATGGATGGATGGTGGGTAGATGGTGGCTGTGGCCAGAAACTCAGGTTAAGAAATAACTGTTTTTGTAGTTAATAATTAAGGCTTCTGTTAATTGCTGATATTATTAAAAAGAAAACAAATAACTGGTAGATGTAACCTACTTATTTTTATATATTTTTATAATTATAAAATGCTGAAATTTACCTCTTCCATCAGGACATCTTTGAGCTCTGCAACAACCTTTATAAATACGTTCAGAAAAAATTATACATTTTGTTGTCTCATCTATGCTACAAAGATTAGAAGACATAAACCAATGCTCCCTTCCTAACTCTCCAATCCAGCCCAGATGTATTCTCTAACACCCCCTTCCAAATCATTGTAATTAGGTGCTTAGGCTGGTTGTTTCTTCACATGTATTTATGCTGCTCTCTCCCATCTAAAATCACCATCCTACCCCCAAACCCCAAAACTATTTTGACTACATTTCATTTTCATCAATGGAATTTTAATCTATAATGCCTATAAACCTTTATAAACACATTTAGAAAGTGTTCTTATTTGATACATTTTTGACAAAATGAGTCTCCTATCCCAACCACTCCTCTGTCCCCGGGATGGGCAGACGCTTTTATCTGTTTTGAGGGGAAAGGTAAAATACAGCTGAATATGGCGTCCATGGAGATGTTAAGAGTCTCTATCTGACATCATGCATTCATTTAAGTGGACATCACTGCTCCCTGATAAACCTTCACTTCGGTAAATATTTAATTAGGAGCATACACAAACTCGAGATCCACAAAACATTAAAACATTTTAGGTAAGGGGCCATTAGAAAATGGCAAAGATTTCTAGAAGTAGTGATAACAACCTGAAAACAAACATAATAAAATGATCTGAAAATATACTGACCAAGCAGTTTCTATACGGAAGTAAATAATAGGCACATATAAACATCAAATTTTGACAAATGACAATATTTTAAATAAATCTGAGGGGTACCTTAGAGAAAGACACAGAGATCACTATTTGAAAATAGTGATCCCAGCTTCCAGCAGTTTCATTAAATCTCGATTCTCCAGGATTTATAATCCTACAAACATACTTAAAAAGTATAATGTGTGTTTGTGCTAATGCTCCATTATCTTACTCATTATTTTATCACAGGCATAACTCACACCAATACCTACTTTTAATACAACCTGCTTGTCCCTAAGGAGGAATGTCAAAAGGTTTCAGAGGCACTACTGGAAACTGTCCCTTGTGTAGCCTGTATGTCCCTTCTTATTCCTCACCAGAGCTGCCAACTCCCATTGCCTTCCTCTAAAGGATGAAAGTTGAGGGTGGGTCTTTTTTCTCCATTATACAAGCGTCAATCACAGTCATCTATGGCCAAAATTTCCAAGGTCACCAGCAGTCAGGAGAAATTAAATCCCTTTTTCCAGAACTCTCCCTGGAGGAGTTCCAGCCACACAAGCAGCACAAATTTTACATGGAGATACTTCTGCCTTTATGTCAAATACACCCAATGTCACCCAATCTTTAAAACAACAGCAGTAATGAAACTATGATGAGAGGAACAAGAATATGAAGAAAGGAGACTTGCTTAATGGCTTCTAAGAATAATTAGTGGGGGGAAGGGGATATTATTAAGAAATGGATGAAAACAAAAGGTTACATTACATTTGCTCTGTCTATAAAGATTTTGAATGCCTGCACCCACCAAAATACCAGGGAAATCTAATCAATAAAAGTGGGGACTAAAGTATTCACCCTGCCAAGAGTTCCAATAAACTCCTATTTCCCTGGGGAGTAGGTATTGCTTGGGTGAGCAAAACCAGAACACAAAAGCCATCCTGCATTGACTACAATTCAGAGCACTCCCATTTCTCCAGCATGCCCATGAGCTGGCATCAAGAAGTCACTCAGACAAGGAAAATATATGTTTAGGTAAATTAAATAAAGGCCAAAGTTAGAATGGTGAGCTGACCTCAAGGATGTATATAATGATGTCAAAGGAAAATCATGAAGAAAAAACACAATAATTCTTTAGGAATACACGCCAATGACTAAATAACACAAGGATATAGCACTTGTGTATATAAATTGTCAGTTTTGTGGCTAAGTAAACATTCCAAGAAAATCAGGTATCAATATCAGCCTTTCTTCCTGTAAACATACCACACCATCCCTCTATTTCACAAAGTAGAGGCCTACTAAATGAAGCAAGGTTCCATGATCAAAGGCACGGCGTGCATAGAACAATGACAACTAAAGTCACAGACACCGATCAAAGACCATCCTGCATTGTATCTGCGTCTCCCTTCAAATTCAGGTCTCTTGATTTACAGTCATTGTTTTGGAAAACAGTGAACAGGCACACAACCAACTCCTTGGCCTACAATTACACACATTCACAAACTGGGCAGTTACCAGTGGAGGATAATTCTAGATCAAACCATTTCTCAGTTCCACAGTGTTCCAGTTTCCACTCCTAAATTATCAGAAATATGATGCAAAAATATTGCTTAGCTTTCCAAAAAAATTAAAAATAGAATTACTATATGATCCACCAATTCCACTTCTAGGTATACATCAGTGGAATTGGAAGCAGGATCTTAAAGAGATATCTCAATACCCAGGCTCACAGAAGAATTTATTTACAACAGCCAAAGGTGGAAGCAACTGACATACCCATTGTTGGATAAGTAGATAAACAAAATATGGTAGATACATACAATAGAATGTTATTCAGCTTTAAAAAGGAAGGAAATTCTCATTATCTTGAGGACATTATAAGTGAAGGAAGTCAGTCACAAAAAAAAAACTTACTTACAAAAAAGAATACTGTGTGATTCCATTTAAATAAGGTACCTAGAGTAGTCAAATTCTTAGACCAAAAATAGGAACATGGTTGACAGGGGATGGAGAGATTTATTTAATGGGTATAGAGTTTCGATTGTGCAAGAGGAAAGAAAAAGTTCTGGGGATGGACAGTGATGGTTGCACAACAATGTGAATGAATGTGCTTAATGTCACTGAATTGTACACTTAAAATTGAATAAGAAGGTAAATTTTATTTTATGTATCTGCCTTTCTCTCTCTCTCTCTCTCTCAACCCCCCAGGCTGTTCTGCCCACACATTAGTAAATAACAGCGGCAGGAGCGAGGCAACTCTGAACCCAAACCCAGCTAACTCCTGAATCTACTGGTTACTTCAATAAGACAGTTCAGGCTGGGTGTGGTGGCTCATGCCTGTAATCCCAGTATTTTGGCAGGCCAAGGTGGGTGGATCATTTGAGGTCAAGAGTTCGAGACCAGCCTGACCAACATGGCGAAACCCAGTCTCTACCAAAAATACAAAAATTAGCCAGGCATGGTGGTATGTGCCTTTAGTCCCAGCACTCGGGAGGCTGAGACATGAGAATCACTTGAACCTTGGAGGCAGAGGTTGCGGCGAGCCAACATCGAGCCACTGCACTCCAGCCTGGGTGACAGAGCAAGACTCCATCTCATTAAAAAAAAAAAAAAAAAAAAGACAGTTCAATCACATTCCCAAGAAAATATACGGATGGTTTCCCAAAACCATAATTAGAAGTCATGTTCAATAACCCCTAAATAAGGACACAGAAGTCTCCGGTTGTCATATAAGATAAAATAGTCTACCTTTTAGGCCACCTTTCTCAGGATATAAAATACACTTGGCTATTTTCTTACATTCTGAAAAGAGTCAACACTCTAAGAAAGTGGTCCCCAACCCTTTTGGCACCAGGGACCGATTTTGTAGAAGACAATTTTTACATGGATGGTGGGGAGGATGATTTCGGGATGAAACTGTCCCACCTTCAGATCATCAAGCATTAGATTCTCATAAAGAGCATGAGACCTAGATCCCTCGCACGTGTAGTTCACACTAGGCTTTGCACTTCTATGAGAATCTAATGCTGCTGCTGATCTGACAGGAGGCAGAGCTCAGGCAGTGACGCTGGCTGGCCTGCTGCTCATGTCCTGCTGTGCAGCCTGCTTCCTAACAGGCCAGGGACCAGTACCGGTCCGCAGTCCGGGGCTTGGGGACCCTTGCTCTAAGGCACAAGCTGCATGTCTACCACAAGTCAACCCAAATATGCCTTTCTTACCATTTCTCAGAGGCAGTCATAGAAGGGAGATAAGAATAGTCTATGGCTCACTGACTTCCTATAAAATTGACAAATTTTGATGTCCTGCGCTGTGACAGAATTTTTCTATGAAGAATTGTCTGCCTTAGAGATCTATCACGTGCAGATCTACAGAATTTTCAGTGCATTCACCATCATTTTCCCACCTTTATCTACTTCTCTAGTTGCTGAATTTAATCACTGTTGTCTGTGCTTTTGTCCAATGAACTTCCAATTTCCACATGCTTCTCTAAGTGGTATTTTTCACTGTTGGCAGGAGTCTAAATTATTATAACATCATTGGAGGTCAGGCTGGCAATTCTACTAACATTTAATATGTGGATGTCCTTTAACCCAGCAGTTCCACTTCTAGGAATTCAATCTACAGAAACAAAGATGTATGTACAAATGTGGTGTCCTTTGCATTCATAGTAGTTTAACACAAATGCATAATTACAAGTTGAGATTTCAGTAATCTTAAATCTCATGAGTTATAAGTTGGCAGAAACCTTGCCTATCTTTTTCACCTACATATTACCAATACTGAATAAATATGATGTAGCTGCTGAGAACACGTGGGAGCTACACATTCTGCTATGGAAAGATGTCCAAAGAGAAAGGCAAATGAACAATGGTAAATATGATGTAATCCTTTTAGGGGAACAAAAGTGAGGGAAACATGGAACAGAATCCAGAGGAACATACTTGGCACTGTAGAAGGGCTTATCTTCAAAGGTGCAATTATAAGGTACTTCCAATTTTTCACATCGTACATTTCCACAGGGATTAAAATGTTTAAATTACATTTGGAAAGGGGAAAAATTTGATTAAGTCTTAAGAGAAACAATACGGTGAGCTAAGTAAATATATAAAGAAAACATCTGCCTTTAAAAACAAAAAACAGCAAAAAACACAAAAAAGTAGCCTCCTCACAAGCAGGGTCTTCACCTTTGAGCATCTGTTTCATCACAATAGTTCCCACACTGAGGCCACGGTCACTGCTCAGTAATGTCTGCCAACCAGTAAGGATTATGCAGGGCAGGCTAAACACTGTTAGAAGGACATGATCATGAGGGCTTCTGGGTGCCCAGTGGTGTACTGTTGCCATGGCAGGTGGGCATCACTCTCTGCAAATGAACTGCCAATCTCACTCTGAGCTGATAATGATCCTGCCACCACCACCTGCCTGCCATATGTTTTCTCTACTTGTCACGTAACAAGGAACTGCATTTTGGCATGCTGATCACTGACAATCTAATACTACTGGTTGATGTTTGTTATACCTAGCTGCAGCCCTTCAGAGAGAGCTGGAAAAGAGTGGAAGAAGGATATAAAATAATGCTTTGCCTACTGACCATTCACTAAGACCCAACACTTTGCAGTGGGTTAGCCAGCCAGTTCTAAGACAGCTGGTAATATGTGAAGGGCTGTGCCCCATCCCCCTTGTGCCCTCTGATCCTGTTTCTCATCAGCAGAGTAGAAAAGGAACCCAGACTTCCCAATAGAACAAACTGGATTCATTCTGTCTCCCTTAACCAACACAGTACAGTCAATAAAAACCATGGAGTTTTGTTTTTTACTTTAATACTGAGGTAAGCACAGGGTGTGGCATCAGAAGTCAAGAATTCATGTTCATGGAGCCCTTTCTCTGAGCAGCAGATCATCTGATGAAGAGAATATAATATGGAAAAATAGGGTTCATGTAACTGCCTCCCAATTTGCCCCTTTTACTAGAACTCTAACTCATACATTTATAACTATATATCCCAGAGAGTCTCAAAATAAATATAGGGCTTGTTATCTACTCCTAGACAGCAAACTAGGAGCTAGTTTCTGAACAGAGGGAGGGAAGAACAGTTTCAGTAGAGTTTAGGTAAAAGATACTGAATGCACAAGAGACTGGAATCAGTCAAGCAGGTTAACCAAACCCCTCATATTCCCATTGATAATGAGAATGTGAAGATGATTATCCAACAGCACTTTCCATGAATTAAAAGGTCATTGGATACATATATACTTCTCTTAATGAGGAGGATCATTAAGAGAAGGATATATTCTGCTATGGAAAGATGTCCAAATAGAAAAGCAAATAAACAATGATAAATATGATGTAATCCTACCAGGGGAAGAAAAGTGAGGGAAACATGGAACAGAATCCAGAGGAACATACTTGGCACTGTAGAAGGGCTTATCTTCAAAGGTGCAATTATAAGGTACTTCCTCTCCCCACTCTCACCAACACTTAACCAATTGGCTAAAATGCCAACCAGCATTAGCACCAAGAAACACCAAGGCCTTCTTGGCACAATCTCGGCTCACTGCAACCTCTGCCTCCTGGGTTCAGGCAATTCTCCTGTCTCAGCCCCCTGAGTAGCTGGGACTACAGGCGCCCACCACCACGCCCAGCTAATTTTTGTATTTTTAGTAGAGATGGGGTTTCACCTTGTTGGTCAGGCTGGTCTCTAACTCCTGACCTCATGTGATCCACCCACCTCGGCCTCCCAGAGTGTTGGGATTACAGGCATGAGCCACCGCACCCGGCCACCAAGGCCTTCTTGATTCAGCAACCACAGCATTAACATACAGATTTACTATTTAATTAAGATCAAATTTATGTAACATGAAATCCACCATCTCAATCATTTTAAGGTGTACCAGTTCAGTGGATTTTAGTATATTCACAATGCTGTGCAACATCATGCTTATCCAATTCACTGAAAAGAAACTATATCCATGAAGCAGTCACTTCTTTTTCCCAACTTCCCCTACCTCTAGCCCCTGGAAACCATCAACCACCTATAGATCCCTATAAAAATTCTGTATAAATGGAATCATATAATATGCAGTCTTTTGTGTCTAAATTCTTTTACTTGGGACAAGTTTTCCAGGTTCATCTATGCTGAAGTATACAGCAGACTTCATTCCTTTTTAGGACAGAATGTACTGATTGTAAGGATATACCATACTTTGTTTATCCACTACGGTGTACTTTTGAGACTGCAGCTATAATAAGAGAAAGTATGCTGAGAACCACTTTAATAAAAAATCTTGTAATAATATTTTTAATAATAAGAGAAAGTGTGTTGAGAATCAGTTGAGAGCAGTCAGTGGCCTAAGGAGAAGAGTTTTCATTGACAAACACAAACTAAGCTATCAGAGTCAAATCATATAAAAGGAGTCTTTTAATCTCCTAATCTGTCCACTTCAGAGAACCTCAACCAAATCCATTTTTTTTAAATTAAAAGTCTCTCATAATGAGGAAGAAATCTTTCAGTGTCTCAAGGGATGGTCCAAACAATAAACCAACCTACCAATCACCTCAGAGGAAATGAAACTGCCTCACAGCAGGTCCTTTGCTCCAGATGAAGAGTACAGCCACTGTTCAGGATGCAAAGAAGACACAGATCTAAACTATGTGGGGGAGGGGGCAGGGGGCAGGATCCCTACAGGCTTTTCCCTCATCTGCTGCATTTGCTTCCAAGATTCCTGGCACATACTCATTCAAACGAACCAGACTGTAATTCGGGTTTTAAGGACTCTCCTATCTTAGTTAATAATACATACCCTGTTTGAATGTATCGCTAGTATACACAGCAACAAATCTCTCCCTGATGCATCACCTGTGGTCTTTCCTGTGTGATGCTCTTCAGATCAGCTAAGCTGACTCCTCTTCCGCCCCTACCTCTAAGAGGTCAGGTGGAAAACTAATGATAAATTCTTCTACAAGACAGGAGTAAAGCAATAAACAAAAATGACCCAGGGAGCTCTGCTCCATGATTTAATATGGAAATAATTTTTATTCTTGGGCTATTAAAGAAAAGTCTCTGGGTCTTTTAGCCCAGGAGATAAGTCAATACCTCAAGAATAGAAGAATTGTGTTTGCTCTGGAGGTAACATTTTGAGCTATAAATTTATTATCCTGATTATCAAAAGACCAGCCCAAGAAAGCAGTGATGATATTTAATAATATTTTGACACTATAGATTTTCCAGAAAATTTTAGACAACTCTACAAGAAAGAAGAACAAAGCCAAAATTTCTAGCAGTTCCAGAGAAAATGCCCAGGCAGTAAAAGAAGCATCATGATACAATAACCAAGATTATACAAAAGTACCAACTTTCAAACACTAGAAAATCCTCAAATGAGGTTTCCAACTACAGACAGGAATTTACTGTAATCGCTGTCCAAGATCTTCACAGAAATCACTCTAAATGAGGGTGGTCAAACAATCTCAAAAAAAAGTAAAGGAATGATCCAAAGCCCCACCACTGAAAGAATATGTATATATATTCTGATATATATATATCAGAACAACCAGAAGGTATAGGAAATAGAAATGAAATTTGCGGCTGGGCGCAGTGGCTCACACCCGTAATCCCAGCACTTTGGGAGGCTGAGGCAGGCAGATCACCTGAGGTCAGGAGCTTGAGACCAGCCTGGCCAACGTGGTGAAACCCCGTCTCTACTAAAAATACCAAAATTAGCCGGGCATGGTGGTGGGCGCCTGTAATCCCAGCTACTTGGGAGGCTGAGGCAGAAGAATCACTTGAACCTGTGAGGCAGAGTCTTCAGTGAGCCGAGAACATGCCGTTGCACTCCAGCCTGGGCAACAGCGAGACTGCCTCAAACAAACAAAAAAACTTGCTACATTAGAAAAATAGTAAGAAAAATGCTAACTATATATGTTATTAAAGAAACCACCCAGAAAAGTAATGCAAATAAATGTATTAAGGAACAACTACATTTCAGGTTAATTATATCTAGTATAATTACATCTGAAATATTAAAAATAGGTGCATAATATACTATTCCTTTATTTTTCTCTGTAAAAGACAAACCAAGATGCATAGGCATGTTGAGAATAAAATGATACTTATTAATAAAACCCGCATAATAAATGGTTAAAACTGACAGAAGATTATAAAATGAAATGCCATATCAGATCTAATAAGTATTTGATTAGTGACATCTGCTATAATTCCTGTGAATATGCATCGTGATAAACATAAGAATAGAATAAATTAAGTAATATCCAATGATAAGTCTGGGCTAAAAAGTCTAGAAAAACAATCCATAGTTAATAGGGCTGGGGAGCGGTGGAAAGATACATCAATAACATCTACAATGACAATACAAGAGTTATTAATCATTCACAGAAGCTAAACAATTTGCCCCCAAATTATGAAAAGGGGTATTTTGAAAGAGATGTGAAATATAAATTGCAAAGTCATAATTTGCAATTAGGCTAGGTTATAAAACAGTAAACACAAAATGTATCTGCATAGGAAAAATTAATTTTAAAAAATGATCAATATTTAAATTTTTAACGATTTAATTATTGGAAGATTTCATTTTAAATTCCAACTCTTAATTGGTTAAGTGAGCTTTTAAGGGATAAATTAAAATGAAAGCTTTACTTTAAATCAGAATGAAAAGGGCCACAGTTATCACCTAGAGCACTCATACACTGTAAGAGAAAACAGATTCAGAAGTTATGTGGCTTCCCCAAGTTTAAACATCTAGTTACTAAAAGAGTTATAACTAAGATCCTAAATATCAGAATAATATCTGAAGTGCGAGGATAGGAAACCACGTAAAAGGTATAGTATCAACATCATTTCAATAAAGAAAGTCTATTTTATGCCTGGATTGAACTTCAGTCTGGAAAGGCCAGCCCAAGGGCCTTCCAAGTTGGAGTCATTTTAGAAGCTACCCTTTAAAAGAAATGAATGACACAGGGAGATGGCTAAGAGGGTGGTCCACAAGAAGACTGACATACAGAGACCTCCAAATTCTGTTAATGACTCTGGCTCTCTCCAAAACTATCCACTCTACAGCTATACCTCTTGCTGATCTATATAAAAGCACGTCAAAAATTTTAAAAATTTAAAAAAGGGAGTATTTGTTGCTATGTTGTTTTAAAATAAGGGAATCATAAATTAATCATTAGTACCTAGGCTAAATGGTATTTAAGATAAAAAAGGGAATGAAATTAAGGTTTAATATGAGAGAAGTAAAACCCCAGGAAACAAAAAACGTTGACTTTTTCAATGAGATAAAATACAAGGACATAAAAGGATGGGAAAAATCTATCAAGCTTCTTAAATGACCAAATCCTATGTAAGAAAGTGCTCAACACTGTCAATAAATAGACATAGAAGATTTTTGTCTTTAACTCTTCTAATCTTTACATCCTCTCAAATCTAGATGACTATAATTTTGTAGGGCTTAGTGAATCTAGTTGATACCAATATACAGTATGGCTTGTTTATTAAAACAAAATAAAACCACATCACCATAGTTCAAAAAAAAATAAGATGAACATACACCAGTTAAATAAATTATATACTCATGGAATAAAATAACATAAAGCCATTAAAATCAATACATAAAAGTTTATTTAAGGATGTGAGGAGATGTTCAGAATCCACTGTCAACTTTATTTTATTTTTGAGACTGAGTTTCGCTCTTGTGGCCCAGGCTGGAGTGTGGTGGCGCAATCTTGGCTCACTGCAACCTCCACCTCCTAGGTTCAAGTAATTCACCTGCCTCAGCCTCCCAAGTAGCTGGGATTATGGGCACCTGCCACCATGCCCAGCTAATTTTTGTATTTTTAGTAGAGATGGGGGTTTCGCCATGTTGGCCAGGTGGTCTCAAACTCCTGACCTCAGGTGATCCACCGCCTCGGCTTCCCAAAGTGCTGGGATTACAGGCATGAGCCACCACGCCCGGCCTCCATTGTCCATTTTAAAAAAGGACACACAGACAGATTAGAATATAAATGTATAAGTGAAAGAAAATACACCAAAATGTTATTTGAATTACTTTTATTTTTCCTTTATACTTGCCAAACTTAGCATAATAAACATATATTGCTTTTATAATCAGAAAAAAATACAGAAGAGACATGGAAGATATTCATGGTTCAGGTATGTTCTGGCCAGGTGCGGTGGCTCACGCCTGTAATCCCACACTTTGGGAGGCCGGGGTGGGCGGATCACCTGAAGTCGGGAGTTCAAGACCAGCCTGGCCAACATGGCGAAATCCCGTCTCTACTAAAGTACAAAAATTAGCTGGGCATGGTGGCACACACTATTAATCCCAGCTACTCGGGAGGTTGAGGCACAAGAATTGCTTGAACCTGGGAGGCAGAGGTTGTAGTGAACCAAGATCATACCACTACACTTCAGCCTGGGCAACAAGAACAAAATTCAGTTTCAAAAAAAAAAAAAGGTGGCCAGGAGCAGTGGCTCACGCCTGTCACCCCAGCACTTTGGGAGGCCAAGGCAGGTGGATCATGTGGTCAGGAGATTGAGACCATCCTGGCCAACATGGTGAAACCCCATCTCTACTAAAAATACAAAAATTAGCCAGGTGTGGTGGCATGCGCCTGTAGTCCCAGCTACTCAGGAGACTAAGGCAGGAGAATCACTTGAACCCGGGAGGCGGAGATTGCAGTGAGCCCACATCGCGCCATTGCACTCCAGCCTTGGTGACAGAGCAAGGCTCTGTCTCTTATTTAAAAAAAATATATGTTTTAAGGTAACATTAGTAACTGTCATTTCTAAAAAGCAGTGACACATATATTACTGTCAATAAGGGAGATTAGATTCCCTACATATAATTCTCCAGCTGGCTTGTAATCAACCCACCAATTTTTATTCGGTGTCCACATGTTTCTACTCCCTTTCAAGTAACAAAACTATTATAGTTGTACATACATTCCAGAAAACAGACCAAAAATTTGGCAAATACACCATCTGAGGTGGAAGACAATGGGGTTAGTCACAAAGAAGATGAAGATTAGAGGTTTGTAAAGCTTTCCAAGGTCAGGAACTAAGAAAACAGGATGGTAAACAACAGCAAAATGGTTAGAACTACTAAAAATGATGACATTCCACTGCTCATCAAGTATTTTTTAAAGCAAGCTGAAAAAAAAAAGAATGCATGAGGAGTCTCATATATGTGCAAACATTAAAGGAATACTCCATCTTTTTTTTAGCACTGGGACTGCTACTCTTGCTGAAGTGACGGAAGAGAAGAAAAGATAAAGTAATTGGGACAATGAAAATGGATAAAGATCAGAATTTTCATTCTAGGCTATACAGAGCTGAAATGGATCCCAAACCTAATTGCTTCAGTCCTTAGAATAAACAACTTATCAAGAATCAGGTAGCAAGAAGGAAAACCACAGAGGTGGCCTTGAACACTTGTTATGTCTCCAATGAACAAGGAGAGAAAACAGATTTCATCTACATCACGGAATATGGCTTATAAAAACAAAATAAAACCTCAATACTTTCCCAAGAACAAAGCACCAACTGCCTTTCCTTGAAGAATTAAAAGAACTGGTAGATAAGTTTTCTGAGATGACAAATAACACTATTGCTGTGGATGTATATAAAATCAGATTTTTTTCTATCACCTAGTGCAGTCAATATGCACTTAATTTTGAAAGGGGTATTATTTAAAATCAGTGGAAACTTAAAGATACCACCATGGGAAAAGGATAGTATAAAAATATAGCACTGCATTTACAAAAGTAGTTATTTACTTTTTTAAAAAGTTTGCCTACATTTTTTAATAAAGCAGCATTTCTGCTTCATTTTGTTGTCGTCATACTCAATATTTAATACCAGCGCAAATCCTTCATTGCTTAAGTGTTGACTATGATATGAGTAAATAAAATGCATCACTCTATAACATAAATCACAACAAATCTCTCTTTCACTTTAAATATCAAGGTCACTTTAAACAAAATATGCTACCTATGGGATTAGAAATAAACTCACTTTATAATATTATCTAAATTTGATCAATATCTGAATTCGCCAATACCTCCTCAATTAAGTCTGACTTTTAAAAGCAAATATGTCAAAGTGAATAGAAAAAAAAAAGAACAGTTTGTAATGCTGGATTAATTAATTGAGCGTTCATTTGCAGAGCTCGAAAATGTTGAGAGAGGCAAGGCATCCAACATTTGTTCCTAACTGATGATCAAACAAACTTATGGTTAGACAGGTAAATTCAGGGGATTGAGAATCTTTAATTTTGAGCTTTAGTAAGTCTGAGACTTTCAGAGAAACTTGGATTTTAAAAAACCTGCTGGTAGGGTGCATACTTTGCCCTTTCTTTAGTTTCTTTTGGGTCACAGTAAATTAAGTCCCCCTGAGATGTCCCGCCAATTCCCATGGGAACCTTACCTGGTTGTGAAAAATGTGTCAAGAAACTCAGAAAAGAAGGAAATAAGATGTTGAGTTCTCTCCCAGCTCCCCCTTCCCAAGGCCATTCCCACTTCCTCCCAGACTCATAACATCCTAGTCAGGGGAACCAAGCACCTGGGAGGGAAAAAGACTTCCTAAAGAGGGACACGCAATAGACTGTAATCTTGCTGGACTGGTTTTGAAAGCAACTAGGAGGTGTGGGGGTTTAAGGGAAATAAGGCTGGCTGCCTTCTTCCTCTTAAGAACTCACTCTGTATCTCCCCCAACCACACTGCTCACTTTGCTCATCCCCTTCTGTCTCTCACTCAGCCTTATCAGGACCCAGAACTAGTTCATTTTATTTGTCATATTGTGTACTGCTCTCTGTTCTTAATTTTCCTAAACCCTGACTCAGTAGTTTGCTGTTATCGATTACGCTCTTACAATGTGCCCAAGCACTGCACTAAATGCTTAACGTATATTACCTCATTTAATGGTCATGACAGGACTGATTTAGGTAATGCTACCCCAGAGATTCAAACTCATGTCTATTTGGTTTCAAAGTCCATACACTAAACCACTACAAATAGCCAACAACAGGATATTGATTAAACATTCAATGATATTAAATGATAAAGTACCTCATGTAGAAGACTATTTAATGACATGGAGAAACCATCATATTGCAGGTTACAAAACAGTAAGTAACATATAATTACTAGCTAAGTTGAAAATTATGCAAACACAAGTGCATTTAAAAAAGGATTAGAGTAATACACACTCAAGTATTAACAGATGCTACCCTGAATGGTAGGGGTTTTTTCCCTTTATCTTCTCTTTTTTTCAAAAAACATTTTTAGAATAAACAAGTGCTTTTATGATTGAAAAAATGAGCAGTAAATGTTATTTAAAACAAAACAGCAAAAAAAATGCAG
Source organism: Homo sapiens (assembly GCF_000001405.40). Lineage (NCBI taxonomy): Eukaryota > Metazoa > Chordata > Mammalia > Primates > Hominidae > Homo > Homo sapiens. The sequence continues at coordinate 127,822,505 of NC_000007.14, read as the reverse complement.
TATCATAAACAAAGACAGAATGAACAATATCACCAGTATTAGTAGAATTCACAGTTGCATTTTCAAGTAGGAAAATTATGGCCATAGAGAAAACTAGACTAAAATTTTACGGGAAAGTTGCAAGCTTTCTCTAAGTTGTACAGATCAAATATGATAATCCTTTACTACTTGTAAGCACATAGAATTGAAACACAAATGCAAAGACACTATTTTTGGTGGTATGTATGAAATTTAAACTTATTTATGATGCTAGTATATGTGTAAAAAGGGAGAATACCTACCCACAAACGTATCTTCCCGGGTAGGCCTAAAATAACCCTGAAAGGACTTACAAGGAAATCGTAATACTAATTGCTTCTTGGGTGGTAAAATGAACCTGTGAAGGACTAGGGCAAAAGAAAGGTCTCTAACTTATACCCTTTATTAGCATTTGAATTTTAAACCAATTAAATGCATTATCTACTCAAAATAATAATTAAAATAAAAAATGAATACATAAGAGAAAAACCTTAAAATGATATTGATTTCCCCATAAATAAAAATGTCTAAAAGATAAAAGGGATGTTAAATAATTCAAATGTCTGCCCATTTTATATAATAGCTTGTCAAAAAATAACCTGTTTCCATAATGGCTTTCCTGCCAAATGACGTCAAAATGTCTGTTTCGGCAATAAAACAACCAAATTCATTTACTTTCTTGATTTGACTTTTAAAATCTTTAGAAGAAAAATTTTTTAAAATCACTGCTTTATCCATATATGTGCTTTCTACGCAGCTATTTTTTTTTTAACACATCCTTTCTACATCTATTTTTAAAATGTAAAGAACAAGTTATGTTACATAAAACAAAAATTTTTTAAAAATTATATCTTCCTGGCAGTTTAAAAACTAAATTTAAAAAAATCCTGTAAGGAAAAGTACCTTTGCCTGACCACAGAAATCATCCCAATGTAAAAAGCAATCCCTGAAAGAAACAGAAAAAAACAAGGACACAGAGAAATCAATCCTGTACTGGTACCCATCAACCTGGAGACAACAGTTGGAGAGCAGAGATGATGACATGGAGTCCAGGAAAAAACAATCCAATCCAAAGGTGAATTACAGAAAGCTGGGTCATCCAAGGAAAACAACATACTCTGAAGCAGGTCAGTGTTATCCAAACAGGTATTTTTTTGCTAACTGAAACAATGGCCAAGCACCCCGCATGCTACTTGTGCCTGGGGCAGCATCAGGCTACTGCATCATTAGAGCACCCAGCAAGGACACACATACACTGGCCCATCAACTAGAATTCCTCAGGAAGGGAAACCTGGACTAAGAGGAATGACTGGCACAACATTTTCCTTGTCCATGTTTTCTCTTTTCCAAAAACAATGGAAAATGACAGTTAAAGAAGGCAGAGAGTTCTAAATGTACTACACAATATCATCTCGCTGAGAACATTCTGAGTGTTCATTCGGGAGGATCCAAGGCCAACAATAAACTGGAACCATCAAGCAAAAACTTAAGCAGACCTGGCTCAGAGAAAAGCTAATACTCTGTCAACTCTGGTACTCAACCAAGCTTCATGCTGCTGGAAGAAGAACAGAAACAAGAAAAAATGGCATTTAGCAAATCACTTTTTCCTTGCTAAGGTCAGAAAGGTCCCAGGGATCCACTACAACAGCCAAGTCAGACATAAAGGCAGATGGAGCATACACATTGGAAAGTGAGTGCTACTACAAGCTTAGCATTTTGACAATTTCATGTTGGAGGTCTAAGAAACTTTGAGGAGGAGGAAGGAAAATGGAAGGCAGAAGGAAAGGGGGAAAAAGGAAAGATAGAGAGGGACAAAAGAAAATGAGGTTAGAGAGAAAGAAAGGAAGGGGAAGTTTGTGTCTGTGACGTAAAAAAGACTATCAATTCTACTTTCAGTCTCTGAATGTTGAGACATCATAAATCTATCTAGACTTAGTGATCTTATTACCATTTGCCCCTTGGAAAGCTGTGATTAACTACACCAAAGCAGAAATACCGAAGAACAGCAACATGACTCATCTTTGTCTTTGATCTTCAAAAACTCTCCCATGCTGTGGAGTTCAAACTACATGCTGCTTTGCTTCCAAACTGCCGACAGCAAGCAAACTCCACCACTAGCAATAGGAGAAACTAGGGAAAAATGTGAAAAAGCACCTGGCTAATGTCAAGAAGTCAATCATTCTGATGGCACTGGATTCCTAAAGCCATTATTTCAAAATGTAGTGAACTGACAAATGACAGAAGGAAACCACCACCAGCCCTCAAATGAGAGAAAACCATTGGGAACCACACATCTTAGAAAAAGAGGAAACAATTCCTTTCCCCAGTAACTAACTGAATTGTAACCCCAGCCTAACCACTTAAACATTTCAGATAAAAAGATCTGCTTTGACCCTAACCTGGTAACATAAGCAGAGGTGGAGAAAGAATGAATTCAATCTCCTAGCTTGTAGGGGTTGGGAGAAGGCGGGCATAATGGGTGATTAAGATAATTAAAGTCACTGCACAGAAACAGTAGAGATTTACATTATAGCATTCTCAGCAAACAGGCCTTTAACAATCAGTGTTCACAGTAAGTTCAAAGAATCACCCAGTGGCCACAGGACTCAGGGGTTTGTGTGTGACACATAGCCATCACATCAGTATTCATCAAATTCACTGATATTTAAAATAAAACAATCTTTGATGACAAAAAGATTAAACTTTTGGAACCCTAAAAGTAGTCCAATCAATGCAAAACCGGGCAACAAATCTTCAAACGGGTTTATGAAATGATCTTCAGAGGTGGCCTGCTGGTTCCTTCTGTTTTTAGAGAGGGGTTAACTAAGGGCCAAAATAGAAAGCGGGTGAGGTGAACAAAGACTAGATGCACTTCAGGCCAGGACTCCAGACTCCTGAATTTTTCTACCTCCAGCCCATCCTACAAGGTGGGGCCACCTGCCTCTTTATGGTGGCCCTCCTCAGAGTCAATACTAGGAAAACTACATTTTTAAAAGTAAATGTTGTTAAGTCAGAATCTGATTAGAAATACCAGGAAGACAAATTGAGTCTTTCTGGATACCTTAGTAAGATCATCTTTTTAGAGGGTAGAAAAAAGTATCCTTTGGATATTCCAAATTAAGAAAATGAGGAACAATGAAAGAAATGAATTCATCCCAAGTGTAAGAATGTGATGATACACAATCTTCAACTGCATATCTTCCTGACTCTGAGGTCACTGAAATGTCTCATCTCTTCATTTTTATGTAGCCTGACAAATTTTGGACAAGGCTGCAGGTCTGCATTTGAAGTACTAACTTCTATAGTTCCACCCTGAAGAAATAAAACAGTTCCTTCCATTTTGCCCTGCTCAAATTTACTCCTAATGTGACTGTTTGCTTACATTCTCTCCCTATACTATTACAAACACAAGGAATTAGAGGTGTCAAACATGATGTCCATTTTATAAATGAAGAAATGGAGGTGTCATAAATGCAGAGACCATCAAATTATGATTTTCTCACTCAAATGTTGAGAGATTCAATCAGAAAGCTAAAAAAGCCTCCCCAGCTCTCTAGCTGCACGTGACACCATCTCACCAAAACATGGTCACCTAAACTTCTAATCAAAGACCAGGTCACCTCTGTGACTTTCTCCCTTCCTTTCTTCCATTCTTTACTTCTCCTTTCCTTGCTTTTCTTTTGGTGTCTTTTTTAAATAAATGGTGGTTAAAAGTTTGGAGATGGTGGAAACCGAGCCTGGTGGAGGAAACTCTGCTGTTTCACTGCCCACCCTGTGCATCAAATTCTACTAGGACAGGCTCTGAGGAGCTGGGCTCAGCAGCAACCTGCCAGGCAAAAAGGTCCATCATACAACGCACACACAGCAGAGTGGAGCAAGGCACTGACGTACTGACTTCCAACTCATTTGCACTATTACTGGGGAATAGGAACATTAAGAATCCCAAGCCAGGGGCTGAGAGGGAGATGGGAACAGCAGGGTTCAGTCAAGGTCCATCAACCTTAAGTTACTTAGAACTTTAAAATAATAATAGAGAATTCAAGCCAAAAAATAGTATTTATTGCCTATTAGTTGAGTAAATCCTTCTGTGATTTTTAATGATGCACAGTTTCAATAATGAAAAAGACACAGAAAAGCCCCAAATCAGACCTACAGTACTAAGGAGTGACTGCTCAGCTTCCCTCATGAAGACTTCACACTAGGCAACAAGCATGCTGCCAATCAGATGGAGCAATAATCCAACAATTTCAATTCACACATAGCAAAACAAAAGAAAACATATTTATCCAACCTATTTTTAAGGTCTTGGTTTGTATTTCAACCAGACAGTACTTATACCTAAAGTCTCCCTGAATTAGGGCTCCAAGTCTATATTATTATATAACAGTATGAGGAAATTTAAAAAGCAGGTGACAAGGAAACCATTTCCCCAGCTCAGAGCTATATGACAGGCCTTCTCCATATCCAAATCTTCCATATGACAAAGCAGAGGACAAATCCCACCCCTTCTGTAAAGATCTATTGAGGATCTCGACGTCATTGTCAATGTCAAGCACAGTCTTAGGAACTGTGAGCTGATGAAAAGACAAGAGAGGCTCTTTGCCCTATAGGGGTGGGGAGGAAGGTCAGACCTGGGAACTACTACAACAGAAAGGGTCACAAAAATATTATCGGAGGACAAAGAACACCAGACTTTACATGGGGAACCAGGAATACAGAACAGAGGTAAGATTCCTGACCAAAAAAAAAAAAAAAAAAAAAAAAAAGTATGAAGGAAAGAAGTTGTGAAATGGCTTGGCATGTCCATGGAATGGTGAGAAGTTCTTTGTGACATATTATGTGGACAGCAATGCCAGAAGTCAGACTGGAAATGGAAGCAAGATGCTCACTTGAAGTTACAATATTTTATATACAGCTGCCTTTCCTTTGCTTTTTATTATATAATCATTTAAGGAATCAGATTTTTTTTCTGCAGGCAAATGGGTATCAGCAGAGTTGGTGACGTGGTCAGGTCTACGCATTTTGAAAGCAATTGTGATAGTAATCTGCAAGATGGCATAGACAGAAGAAACAGGGCAAGTCTATAAGCAGAGAAAGAAGTTAGGAGGGGAAATATTCCTATTCCTAAGAGTCAGGGTTATGACTGGAAGCTGAGACCATTAAATACATAAGGTCACCCAGCAGGTGAGACCTCTCCTATCTGTGAAAGATAACCACAATCAGTACACTTCGCATTAATATTTATCAAATACCATCAAGTGATACATTTCTGTTGTCTTACCAGTTATTCAAATCTGTTCTTATTCAACTTCTTATACAACAGATGTCATCTCACTCCAGTTAGACTGCAAGCAACTTGCAACAGAGATGATATTTTATTCATCCTTACTGCACCTCTACAAAGGTACCCAACAACTATGTGTGTTTTCTAAAATATTAGTACTATAAAAATAGGCTCTATCCCCAATGCCTTGGCACAGAGTAGCTGTCCAAAAAATATCTGCTGAATGAATAACAAAAATGAACTAGCTAGGTGGAGTGGCTCATACCTGTAATTCTAGCACTTTGGGAGGCCAAAGCAGACAGATCACCTGAGATTGGGAGTTCGAGACCCCTAGCCAACATGGTGAAACCCTATCCCTACTAAAAATACAACAATTAGCTGGGCTTGGTGGTACATGCCTGTAGTCCAGCTACTCAGAAGACTGGGGCATGAGAACTGCTTGAACCCAGGAGGCAGACGTTGCAGTGAGCCAAGATCGCATCACTGCACTCCAGCCTGGGTGACAGAGCGAGACACTGTTACAAAAAAAAAAAAAAAAAAAGAGTTTGAGAAATGAATTGGTGTTACTAGGTTACTTGTTAACGTATTAAGGCCTTCTTAACATAGCAAGTGTTTACACATGACCAAAGCTTCAGGGACTGAGTTCTAAAGAAAATAAGCACACCAACTATTGAGCAAATACCTTTCAGAGGACTTGCTCTTCAGCCCAGCCCACTTGTTGAAGCCAGAAGAGGTGAGAAGGCAAAGCTGCAGAAAAAATATCTTATCCAAAAAGGCCAGGTTAAGGAGAACACCTGGGATTCCTATAGTTACTGAAGAAAATTCCTGCACAGTGCCACATAATGCTCTATGTAAAAGAGATAGTGTTCCAGTAGACAGTCTTGTGCTAATTATTCTTAATGTTCTATTCATCAACCTTGAATGGGATGAGCACGGCTCACCAAGAGCTCCTGCCAGGAATGATTTCTCCCAGGGTGTGTCATATTTCAAAATGCTGCTAATTACTAAGTAGAAGTGATGGAGGCCCTGTGACTGGGATGGCCATGAGACAGGGCAGCCTTCTTAAGTGGACATCAGTGTTCATGCTTCAAGGAAAGAAAACAGGACACTGGTTTGGAGGTAAGCCTATGGACAACACTGGAAATGTGCTTGGGTGTATCAATTCCTCCACACCAACTGTCAGCTGGTCTGCAGGAGGGAAGGCATTACCACCCAGGAGGAGTATTCACAGAAAGAATAAACACAAATAAAGGAAGTAAGACAAAACAGGCATGAAATCGGAGATGAAAGAATGCTGACATTATCAAACCCTATCTCACAGATTACTTGGTAAAGAAACTAACTACTGAAGTAGAAACCCAGAAACAAGAGGTTCGGCCAAGAGTCAAGTGGCCAGATACAAGCTAAATTGCTTTCCTAGGGCTGCCATAACAAAGTACCGCAAATTACCCCCTCAAAATTCCAAAAGCTCCAAGTTGAAAATCAAGGTGTAGGCAGGATCATTATACCTCTAAAGGCCCCAGGGAGGTATCCTTCCTTGCCTCTTCCTAGCTGGTGCATCCTGGCAATTGTTGGCATTTCCTGGCTTGTAGCTAAAACCACTCCAATTTCTACCTCCACTGTCACATGGTCTCTTTCTCTCTGTGCCCAATACTCCTCCTCGTCCTCCTCCTCCTTCTCTTCTTCTCCCCTCCTCCTCCTCCTTCTTCTTCTAGAGTTGGGGTCTCACTCTGTTGCACAGACTAGAGTCCAGTGGCATGATCATGGTTCACTGCGGCCTCCAACTCCTAGGCTCAAGTGATTCTCCTATCTCAGCCACCCAAATAGCTGGGACTACAGGTGCAGTCCACCACGCCTGGCTATAGATCGTCTTCTTATTAGGATACTGGTCAATGAATTTAGGGTCCATCATAATCCAGTATCACTTAATTTTACCTTAACTAATTACATCTGCAAAGACCTTATTTCCAAATAAGGTCACACTCTAAGGTTCGAGATGGATGGGTATTCTGGGGAGATGCTGTGCAACCCCACTACACATATCATCATGAAAACATCAGGAAGGACTGTCCAAGCTAGCAATACTCATGGGATAGAACTGTTACACTTTAGGGATACCTTAAGTTTTGCCAGAAGAAGATAACTGCTCAGGTAAAAGTAAAAAAAAGCCAATTCTGGGTGTCAATAAAAATAATTTCTTTCACATAAGAGCAAAAAGTATCACTCAGATTTTAAATACATTAAAACAAGGGGCTCATTTTTTAACTTACAACTACATGACCCAAATTATGAAGATGTAGCCTTTAAAATATCACTTCTATCACCCAACTATAAAAAGTCGACAAATTTCAACCTTAGAACCAACAGACACTTGTGCATCCTACCTTCTCACACGCAAACAAACTGTTTATACCCTTGGGAAAGAAATATTCAAGCAACCTAAACAATTAGCCCAACTTTACAGAGCATAACAAAAAGAGATCCACTTACATAGAAACCCTGGAATGTTGGTGCTTTCCAATTGGACTCTTTCTGAATGATATGGGTTATTTTGCAGATACACAAGAAAACGTTTTTCTCATTAGAAAATTTATATCTAGTATCCCTACATAGATCCTTGTAAGTGGACAAAACTGATCGTATGCTGGAGAAAAAAATACTGAAAAAAGATAGCAATAGTCAGGTTTCCTTTCCAAATGAGCACATCTGCATCCAGCCTCACTTCACACTCGTCTACAACATAAGATATTCTGCACAGTATCATCAAGCCCAAGCTCAAAAGAATCTATTCTCTGTAAACCAGGAGGTATAGGAAGTTGGAAGATTTGCAATTCAGCACATTTTATAGGGTTTTTTGGCACATAAGGGTTATTTTTAAAGTGGGAAAAAAAGCCTGTCCTCTCCCTACCCCCAAACACAGCTGAGCTGATTCAGCACAAATCTCCCCTAAAATAAAATCTTGGTTTGCAGAGAGTAAGCATGGAAAGTTCCAGCCCCAAGGACGACATTTCAGAAACCCAGCTGAAAAGATCAGGAGTGGGTGGCTTAAGACAAGCCGACCACAAATCATGTTATAAATATGGGAACATTCACCAGAAAAATATGAGCAACTTGGGAGTCCAAGTAAGAAAGTCTTTAATAATAAGCAAATTAATATAAGAGTATATCCCAGAGATATGAGAATCTCGAGGATTCTGGTAGCTAATAAATCATTTCCCTCAGGTGAGCATACGGAAGAAATTTCCAGGAACGCAGTTGAAAACTCTAGCTTCTTCATTTAACTTAGAGATGCTTTTTAAAGAGGATATTACAACATACATCACACAAATAACACACTTCAAGGCCGAGCGTGGTGGCTTACACCTGTAATCCCAGCACTTTGGGAGGCCAAGGCAGGTGGATCACCTGAGGTCAGGAGTTTGAGACCTGCCTGGCCAACATGGTGAAACCCCATCTCCACTAAAAATATAAAAAATTAGCCAGGTGTGGTGGCAGGTGCCCATAATCCCAGCTACTTGGGCGGCTAAGGCAGGAGAATCACTTGAACCTGGGAGGCGGACGTTGCAGTGAGCCAAGATCCTGCCATTGCTTGCACTCCAGCCTGGGCCACAAGAGCAAAACTCCATTTCAAGAAAACAACAACAACAACAACAACAAATAACACACTTCACCAAAGAAATGTGTGCTCAGCTCAACACCCTGATAGTCCTCAAAGAACAGAGGTACTTTTCAGAGTCTGCAGGGAAAACAACAACAACAACAAACAACCAAAAACTCATTATCGAAAAGACCATTTAGGTGGCAGCAGGAAGAAAGCTACCTTGCTGAGCTTCCAGAAACAGGCAACTCCAGTCATTTCTGTTAATCAACCTTCTCTTTACAAGAGAGCTCAAGAATCAAGGGGTAAAAGATTAGGATCCTTCCCAAAACCCAAAGGGTAAAGAGCATCTAAAATGAAACATGGTCTCCAATGCATGTTGACACATTACTACCACTTCCAAGTGGGAGAACTCTTCCTAGAAAAATGCATGGTCGGAAATTACAAGTCATTCAAAACAGCTCTCAATTTGGCAAATATCTTCAGTCATTTGTTCAAAAAATTTACAGCCACACCGAACAGCTGGCACTGAGGAGGCAAGGACAAGCAACCTTGTATAAACCTGTCAATTTAAATCACAATGCATTCACAACCTTAGGGCCTGCTTTGATCATTAATGTAAAGGACTTTTCCATAGCATGAATGAATCAAATTAATATGAGGTGAAAAATGTGGAGATGACAAAAGAAATGTTTATAAAATCCAAACTTAAATAGAGGTAATTAGGAACAAGAATCCCCAGAATCCCAGCTTTTTGTACTTAACACAGCTGATTAGGTAACACACTGCAACAGACAGAACACAAGTGTTTTTAAGGAAAAGCACAACCCTGATAAATAGCCAGGGAGAAGGGTGGAGTCCTCCTCAGGAAAGCTGTGTGCCCTTGAAGAGCTCTCACTAGCAGAGTGAAAAACTGGTCCTGCTAAGCAATGTTACTCCCGGTACCTTCGGAGATCTATTCTCATACAGTGGAACAAGCACCTACAGTGCCCCTCAACTTCTCCGTGACCCTGTGCCAAGATAAAAAAAAGCAACACCTGTCCTTCCTTTCTCCCTGATGCTCCCAGAAGTCACACCTATGCCAAGCGAATGAAGAGAAAGAGAAATCAAGCTTCAAAATTGGCTTAGCAATGTTATCGAGGACTTCACATTGTCTGTATATTTAGGCGAAGAACATGTAATCTGACACTGCTTTCTCTGAAGAACGACTTGATGAAACACAACTTCACAGGGACATCTCAAAGACTAATGAGATACTGTCTAGAGGGCTAAAAGCACTCTGAAGGCAGATATACAGTGCTATTACCACCTCCTGATAGCCACAGACTACCTGAAGAAATCTACTTTCTTGCAGCATGTAAAGGATGTATTATATACAGGAACAGACATTATTCCAAAAATACCACGACCCTGTCTATATCTGACTCAGTATACACAACAGAGAAGTAAACATTTCTAAAAGTCTTTAATTCAGCATAGCAATTAAAAGCATTGGCATCTGAGTAAAGTACTTTTCTGTGGGCTCCAGTTTCTTTACTTGTAAAGACCAGAACAACATGTAGATCTTGCAGGGTGGAGGCAAAAATTAAAAGTGAAAACAAAGTTCTCAGAGTTCAGTGCTTACTATGAAGAGAGAACCCAATAAACAGCAGTCCTAACCCTTGAAGATATAATCGGCATTCTATCAAATGCTTTACCAAAAAAAATAGTCTACTTCACAGAAGAAATTTCAATGGCATGAAAATCATAAAATGGTAGCCACCAAATTACAAATGAGCCACATCTCCAAAACTCTGCTTAGACATTTAGAATATTTTATTTTATTTTATAGAAACAAGTCTATAAACAGTAGTTGGGTTGCCAACCTAGCTCACAGAAGCACATTTACCCAGAATAGAGATAATATCATTACATATATTAACCATTTCCAGATTGATTTTGGATTACTGATACGAGGAGGTAGTCTAACACCCTGATTCTTGTGGCAAAACCAGTAGGAAGGCCACATAGGAGTCCAGGCTAGACGAGATATAAGCAAGGTAGGCGCCGTGCACTGGAAAGGAGGAATCATTCAGATACATATCCAGCAGAAGTGGGTGAGGGACTGGAATAAGGGTGTCAAAGATGTCTGATAGCAATAGATAATGGGGTAACTCCCATAACACCGGAGGAGAGCCAGATGTCCACCAGAAGATCAAGAGATTAGTCTTGGAAATTCTGGATTTATAAGTCTGGTGCACATGGAGATCATTTCCATCTCCACACCCTAAAAGTACATACCTCAAGAAAGACAGATTTTGAAAAGAGAACAACAATCTAAGGCAATCTGGATTTGAAATAACTCACTAAATGATTTATAGCCCCATAACTTCCCAAATGTCTGCACTGATCAAGAAAAATGCCCAATTCTAAGTGCCTAAAAAGAGCTGGGTTAGTTCAGATAACAAATTTCAATGGCATGAAAGCCACAAAAAGGCTGCTGTTAGTTTACAAATGAGGCTCATCCCCAATATTTGCTCATCAAAAGAAATAGTAAAAGGGACATTAAAGCAATAGGCATATATTTTCAGGACAGTCTCTGATGATAGAACAGTTTACAATGAGCATCTACTGTCAGCACAGAAGCTTCAATGCACTCTGGCTTCTTACAATTCCATCTTTTCCATCATTTTTGAAACTCCAGTTGTCCAAACAAATTGCAAGTTTAAATACAATGGTTCCCATGGTGATAGAAATTCTGCAATTAAGGGACAAGAGCTATAGAAATGACTCATATGTCATTTTAAAAAACTGTATCACATGGATAAACCATACTGAGTCTCAACTTTAGATATTTTATAAGATAGCTGGAGGGAAATCCCAATGAAGATCCCAGTTACTACCTTATTCTCCTGAAAGCAAAATGACTAGGGCAATGCAAACTGATCTCTAAGCGTTAAGGGAAATAAATTATAAACACAGAAAAAGATTGCTCCTGCTATCAGAAGAAGACCACAGCCTAAGGACACCAGTCTCACCATCGTATTCACACAGCGAGAAAATCATTCTGGAAAACCAGAAAACATGTTAAAGTTATTACAAATTCCATTTCATGATGAGCCTGTGAAGAAATTAACACAAAACTCTTTGCTGTGAATATTCCTTAGTCAAGATTTTAGTGAAAGAGGGCAGATGGTAAACAGGAGATGGGAAGAGAGTTCTACTAGGCAGTATGGCAATTGAGGGAGTTTCCAAAATGCTTCAAGGATACACACAGTATTCTTCTACCACTCTCTCAATTAGAAACACACACATACACACCCTTTAGCACCAGCACATACTCATCTTCTGAAAGCTAAAGCCCTCATGCACATCTAATTAAATAACACTGGAATTCATGCAATGGGTTGAAAAGGCAATAAAGTCAGCAGAACCAACAAAGAAAGGGAAAAATACTCCTTATGATGTCAGATTAGTCGCACGCTGATGCACTTCTCATAACCTCAGAACCAGGAATATATCATAACTGAAAAAGTAGGGCTATGAAAGATTCTATATAAAAACAGTATTAAGCAAAATCAAACCATATACTTTACTGGCATCTGGACAAACATGAAATACTACCATCATCCTATATTCTCATAACTCAACTTCATGAGAGAAGGAAAGCAAGTAATAGTCCCGGTTCACAAATTACGAAACAAAGCCTCCAAGAGAAGTATGGGTAATTTAATTAAAGGCATTAATCCAGAATTAAATCCAGGAAGTGAATCCATTTCCAAAAACTAGGATGGAGGTCATCAAAGCCAACAAAACACCTTAGCAGTTTACCTTCAGTCTTATTTCTCTGCATTCTAGCAACTCCTCAAAATTGTCATATTATGGAATCCCTGAGAAGGTCAAATAATAGTCTAGGCAGAGAAGATGATTTTACCTCCATTATCTTTCTTAAGCTGTGACAGGCTGCCCTAATCAGCTTTCGTGCACACAGGCACATAGATACACATGCTCCCTCGTGGTGCCTCTTAATCACCATGTGCCATGCTGAACAGCTGCAGAGGTCTGAAGGGAATTGGTAGAAATGTGCAATGATGTGCTAGCCACTCCCCTGAGGCAGCAACTGCCCTGCCTGCTCCCAGACGCCAGAGTACATGGGTGTTCACTGTGGCAAGTGACAGGCCCAGAAGACAGGCAAGTGGTTTCAGGTGGTGAGTCAGGAAAAGCAGTTTGCATCAGGAATGTTCCAGCCCAGCAGAGCTGAGTTGCATCCTACTCACTACTCAGGGATACAATATTCATCATTTATACAATGTCACTCTGGGGAACAAAACTTGAGCTCAGCACAAATAGAATACAATCAACTCTGTTGCACAGGAACCAATAAAGGAGGCTTCTCTCACCAAGAGGGAACCTAATTGATTAAGAATTGACTCCATATCTGACACTGGAGGTTAGTCCTTTTATCCTGTGACAGAGCACTTTACAATGGCCTGGCATACAGTTCTTGAGAGCAGAACCTTGGTCTAACCTTCCAAGGCCATTAGCAGCTGCTGCAATAAGCTATGATCTATGGTCCCAGGGATGAAACAGAATCAGGGTTAAGGCAATATTCAAATAAACCAGGTGGATGCCATAATACACGCCACACAACTGGCTACACACGAATCAGATATGTGCTGCCACTCCTTTCAATGTGATTTTAGATAAATTTCAATAGAAACCCACACTTGTGAAGAAATTCCTTGGCTATCTGTAAGCAACTGTTTATAAGCCAGTAAATGAGCGAAATGATATCAACTTGGTGTAATAGAGATGTCAGACATTAGATCAGATAACAGGAGATCTAGAAATTGAAAGAAGCTTAAAGCCATCATTCGTACTCCACCTCATGAATGAATACAGCATGCTGTCAAGTTTTGTACAATGACAGATGAACCTATTCTCTGAAGAAACCTGAGTAGATCGAATACTCATTTTTGAGAATCCAGTTTGGTTTCTCTTCCTCAAAATTAGCAATTTTACCTTATGTCCAACTTCAAAATCTCTTACTATAATTATCATCCTAGTGACTATGGTATACAATAAAAATGGTTGTATTTATAATTAGGATACACCATTTTGGTATTAGTTCAAAAGTCAGAGGCTTATTAAACCTGTCACAAGGCCGGGTGCAGTGGCCCATGCCTGTAATCCCAGCACTTTGGGAGGCTGAGGCGGGTGGATCACTTGAGGTCAGGAGTTCAAGACCAGCCTGGCCACCATGGTGAAACTCCGTCTCGACCAAAAAAATACAAAAATTAGCCAGGCGTGGTGGTGCATACCTGCAGTCCCAGCTATTCTGGAGGCTGAGGTGGTAGAAATGCTTGAACTCAGGGTGCAGAGGTTGCAGTGAGCTGAGATCACACCTCTGCACTCCAGACTAGGCAACAGAGTGAGATGTTGTCTCAAAAAAAAAAAAAAAAAGAAGCCATCAAGCTACACAAAAATCTGCACATGAACTATCAGGAAGCCACACACCCCTTCCTGAAAAAAAAAACTCCCACAGGGTATAGGAAATTCTGCCAGCCAGAAGAATAGAGGGAGCATTGATGCCACAGTGCATTACAATAGGCGTGCTCTTAGTCCAGGTCATCCCCTCTTCCCCTTATAGCCAGCCTATCCCTCAGAAGTAGGGGAAGCATGAAAAAGCAGCAACCTTCCCTCGCTAGTAAATTCCATAGCCCTGGACATTTAATGAAGGTGGCTGGAGAGAACAAGAGAGCCAACTGAATGGAGCTCAGGGCAATATGCAATTATTAAAACTGGAGTTGAGCCCGGACCCTGCTGTGAGACTATTGGCAATCAAACTGTGGTCAGGGCCCCAATTTTAAACCTCTCCCATCGGGTACCGTTTCTGACACATAAACACGCCTCTCTTCATATCAAAGTAATTCCATTTGACTTGATGGAGAAGTGTCATCTGCTGGTAAAGGGCCCAGCTTATAACAATTGCCTCCAAAAGATTAGCTTAAGCCCAACCACTTGCAAATATGCTTCTGTCATCAATTACTTACCTTCTTCCCAATAAGCTTTTTTCGAAGAAATTCCCGGGCCTCAAACATGTAAGGAATGTCATACAGGGGACGCAGTTTCTTGTTCTTATCCTAAAAGTAAAATAAAACATGACATCAGGAATGAACAATATCAAATGAACATGTACAACAGCACAAGATATAGGAATGTGTCTGAAATTGGTTATCTCTTAGTATCGCAAATATTAAATGTGTTAAGACACATAATAAATGATTAAAAGTATTTGGTTGAAATGCTTTACTGAGAATAGGGCTACCTTTTTCACATAACAGGCTCACAAATAAGAAATGAAGTGTTTGTAATTACCCAAACTGGAAACAAATGGTCTTTAACACAGACATAGAGGCATAAACTGTATTACAGAAGAAGCTCAATTAAGTATTAGGACCCTTCAAATATTTATAGATATTTTAAATCCAATTCTATTACTCAAAAAATCTTTACTGAGCACCTACCAACTGTTAGTTCCATACAAAGCATTCTGTAAATACATATATAATCCTGGACTCAAAAATTATGAAACTTAAAATAGTAATAACAGAAATCCTACAGATATGAAATAGCAACACAAAGCAGTTTTTTTCTTCCTTTTTTTTCAGACAGAGTCTTGCTCTGTTGCCCAGGCTGGAGTGCAGGGGCATGATCTTGGCTCACTGCAACCTCCGCCTCCTGGGTTCAAGCAACTCTTGTGCCTCAGCCTCCACAGTAGCTGGGATTACAGGCATGTGTCACCACACCCAGCTAATTTTTGTATTTTTAGTAGAGATGGGGTTTCACCTATTGGCTAGGCTGGTCTCAAACTCCTGACCTCAAATGATCCACCTGCCTCTGCCTCCCACCCAAAGTGCTGGGATTACAGGCCTGAGCCATCACACCTGGACAAGTGTTTTGATTAAGTGCTATGCTAATACATGTGATACAGACTAGGGACTAAATGCTATAAGTGTTCAGGGAAGTGGAAAGAAGTAATCAGGAAATGTTTCATTGACAAGGTCAGATTTAATATGAGTTTGCAGGATAGTAAAGAAATAGGAGGAAAATTAAAGTTGGAAAAAACAGAAAAACCAAAAGAAGAGAGGCAGGAAGAAATAGTATGTCAACACATACACACTTACTTCATTATCTCATAGGCCCCAGACTTCTCCTAAAAGAGGTGGCTATTCTAAGCAATGCCATTTTTAGATGATATAAGAGGGTCTATCTAGATGAAGGTAACAGAAGTAGGAAAGGACAGGAGCCCGAGAGATGATGAGAACCACTTGAAGAAATGAATTAACGGGAACTGACAATGGTGTAGAAAGGGAGGATAAAGGAGTAGGAATCCAATGTGGAGTCATGATGACATGCGTAAGTCAAGAGACTTTTGTCTTTGTATAAGAAATAAGAGATCCTGACTACACCAGTTGGTATACTTCACTTTAATGTTTCCCTCCCAGAAGCCTATAAGTTCCAAGACAAAAAAGACCCATTTGTTTTTCTTTAACTCCCCAGAGCCAAGTACAGTACCTCCCTCATTAGTACATACTCAATAACTACAGTTAGATTTAAGTAGCTCCAAAGAAACATGCAGACTGATATACAAAGATCAAGTATGCTAGGAGAACAGGACTGCTTTGCAGACTTGAGAACCTCCAGGAAAATATTTGCAAAAAGTATAGAAAGACAGGAGAAAATCAAGGACTAACCCCTACCCTAGATGTACACCATTGATTCCACATCCTCTATGCTTATCCAATCTGGCCGAACCTTTGCCACCTATTATGCACCTGACAAAACAAGACACCTCTGTGCAGTCCAAACTGTACTCAAAGCAGATATTACATTTTTTCCTAAATAGCCGCTACTCTTAAGTAAACAGCCTTCATCATTTCAATGCCCCATTTAAAAATCATCCTAAGGTCGATATTATGGTTAAGGGGATCTATGAAATAGATGCTTCCTCCTCGATGCAAACTAAGCCTCCATGCCTCTAGCACATACAAACATTTCAATTCATTGACTACGACCAAGAAAATCTCTTATGAGAATGCAGATAACACTTTCAGTGTCAAGGAAATTTGAGTTTCATATTCACTAATCAGCTGTTTTCTACCTCCTGTTAAAAAAAGTGGGGGCAGAGGGCATAATGATCATCATTCCAGTGCTCTTCTAGAAACTTAAGGTAGCTCCTTCTCCCAGATCATATGTGGAAATCAACATACTCCAGATAGAAGCCTCTGGGGTGGCTGAGCTCTGATCAAGGCCCAGGTGTGTCATGATCACTGTCTAATGGGAAGGATATGACCGTAAACATGAAAATCTTTAGAGGAACAAAATAACATTGAGGTTTTCTTATAGAAAATAAAGGAAATGGGATGCATAGAAATTGCCTGGGTTAGGGGAATCCTGGTTAACACAAGGGACAGATGTACAGGATTATGGATATTTTATAAAAATAGATTACAAATCAGAGATCTCTTAAGGAGCCAAGTGTAACATAAGCTGTAAAGCAGAGTTGGTGATGGCGCTCAATCATACGTAAGAATGCTTGCCAGACAGAAGATACCAGGTGCCGGTAATAAACAGGATTTTAAATAAAGACAAAATCAATGGTTATCACAACCAGCCCTCAGGAATAAAGAAGTGTCAGCGTACTCATATTCACCAAACAACAGTGGACATTCTATTTTCTGAGGGTAGCTCTGTGATTACTAAAGACTAAGTGAACATTTTGAAAAATGAATTGAACAAAATAACGACACTGACCTTACATAGCCTTATGATTTGCCTCAGAACCCAAAATCCTGCAACTTACCTACATTTTTTTTTTTTTAAAGATATGGGGTCTTACTATGTTGCTCAGGCTAGTCTTGAACTCCTGGCTTCAGGCAGTCCTCCCATCTCGGCCTCCTGAGTAGCTAGGACTATAAGCATGCACCGCTACATCTGTCTCCCCACATATTCTGAAACAGCACAGAGGTAGAAAGGAATGTCAGTTGGCTGTAATTCCAAAACTAGGAATAAAAGGTAAGAAACACTGTTCCAATGAGCCTTCAAATGAAGATTATGGGTTGAGGTACAACTAAATGTTTGAAAATGTTTGTCTAAATAAGAATCTTGCTTTTAAGACACTCCACAGGACAAAATACCCTCAAAAGAATGAAGGAAAATAAAAAGTGTATCAACAAACATCCCAATAAAAAACAAGGCACCTTCAGAGTCTGATTATATGTCTCTCATGAAGCTAGAAAAGAACTAATAGCACAAGCAGAAAACAAGATACCACAGAATGATCTTGTTACTCTAACCCCTCAGAGCTAGTAGCTATTGACATCTGCAAACATCTTACAAGAGAGATATTAGAAGTCCCTGAGAAACCACAAAATAAAAGCAATTCCTGCAAATTACCAGGTATATAAAAGCCTTTGAAATCTCCAAGAGGCAAGTGAGGTATGGAATGTATTCTCAATTCTCAGAAAACAGGACTTTAGCTGAATTTTGCCTGCTTAAACAGAACTGTCTAGTTTAGATTCTAATTTACATGGAAATATTTTTTAAAAAATAAAAATAGGAAAAAATGCTTGCTTCATAAACTCGTGGGTGGATAATACACAAACCAATATGTGCTGTAATCACTGTTCATCCTGAGAAATGACATTGCATGTAGGCCCTGCAATGACTCACATTAGAGATGGAAGAGGTAACGTCAGTCATCTGTACCTCTCATCAGTTTGGGAAGGAGGCCCAATATCCACATCTCAGCATCTGAAGATACAGCTAGCATTTTTTCAGGAAGGTATTTTTGGCTGGTTGCCAAAATTGGGAGTCTGGCCAATGTTCATTAGGAGGGAATGAAAGAGAACTTGAATCAAGTCCTTATTCTCAACCCCCATTCAGGCCTAATTTTACCTAGCCCATTCTTAAACATTGTACCCCAAAACTAAATGACCTTGGGATACTGTAGGATTATTATAAATGAGGGAGAAATGAAGGCAGAAAAAAGAATATAAATTGATTGCCACTGATATACACTCAAAATGGTGAAGATGGTAAATTTTATATGTATATTTGATCTCATTTTTTAAAGTGTAAAAAATAAAAATTTTTTAATAGTAACAAATTATATATTTAAAAAAGGTTGAAATGTGTGGCTCCACTAAAATTTTAAAAGTTCTGTACTGAAAAGACATCATGAATGAAGTGAAAAGTCAAAGAAAGCACTGACAGTAGGGATAAGTGAAATGGAAAAAAGAACATGGAGAGCAGGAAAGGGAACAGGGGTGCAGGGCCACAGCTGTAATATCAGGGCAGGCCGCACTGAGATTGATTTTATCAAAAACTCAAAGAGGTATGGGATGCCCAGTCATCGGAAGAAAAGCAAAGATAACAGCCAATGCACATTAGCAACAAAGGCACCACCACTGCAGCTAGAGCAGAATGCAGGAGCGGGAGGCAGCAGGAGATGAAGACACAGAGCTGACTTCACATTTGAAAGAATTATTTTGCCTTTTGTGTTGAAAACAGACACTGTGACAAGAAAAGGATGGAGCAGAGGAAACAAATTAGGAGATTATGATAGTAATCTGGGCAGGAAATCATAAGAGATTACATCAAGGCAGCGGCAGTGAGGAAGGCAAGAAGTGGTCAGAACTGGATACATTCTGAAAGAAGACGGATGGAACGTTAGGAATGAAAGAAAAGGAGGAATCAAGAATGACTCCTTTTTTATCTGAGCAAATGTAAAGATGGCTGGGGTCCATCAAATAAGATCGGGAAGATTCACCAGTAGAATAGACGAACGGAGAAGGGTAAGATCAGGAGACATGCTAAGCTTCAGCTATTAGATACCTGAGTGGAGATGTTGAATGGGCAGTTGGGTATACAAACATGGAGTTTGGACCCAGCAAAATACGTTTGGGAGTTGTTGGCATATAGGTAGTATCTTCTAACATTAAAAGGTCATGAATATGCAACAGGAGACTGAGAAGGAGCAACCAGTAAGCAGGGCGGAAGGAAAATACCAGAATGCTGTGTTCTGGAAACCAAGAAAAGAAAACGAGTGGACAAGAAGGAATGATCAACTGTGTCAAATGCCACAAACTAAGGCAAGCAAAATGGGAACTAAGATTTGCACTTTGGATCTAGCTAAGTGTGGGTCATTGGTAGTTTGATGAGCATACTTTTGGTAGAGCACTAGGGGTAAAAGCCTGGTTGAAACTACAAATGGGTGCACAAGAGAATGTTAAGAAAAAACCTGAGGACAGCAAGAACAGTTGACCCTTGAATGACATGGGTTTAAACTGTGCAGGCCCACTTACATCTGGATTTTCTCCTGCCCCTGCCATTCCTGTGACAGCAAGACCAACCTCTCCTGTTCTGGTCAACAGTAGGCAATTAGTAGTTGAATTTTGGGGGGAGTAAAAAGTTCTAGAGCTGGGCGCGGTGGTTCACGCCTGTAATCCCAGCACTTTGGGAGGCCAAGGAAGGTGGATCATGAGGTCAGGAGATCAAGACCATCCTGGCTAACACAGTGAAACCCCATCTCTACTAAAAATACAAAAAAAAATTTAGCCAAGCATGGTGGTGGGTGCCTGTAGTCCCAGCTACTCGGGAGGCTGAGGCAGGAGAATGGCGTGAACTCTGGAGGTGGAGCTTGCAGTGAGCTGAGATCGCGCCACTGCACTCCAGCGGGGGCGACAGAGCAAGACTCTGTCTCAAAAAAAAAGAGTTCTATACATGAATTTTTGACCACGCGGAGGCTGGCAATCCTAAACCCCACACTATTCAAGGGTCAAGTGTATATACAGTCCTTTCAAAAGCTGTGTCATGAAGGAGTACGAAGAGACTATGGTGGCGTGCACCTTCCCCGGCAAGGAGGCGGCAGAGCGAAGATAAGGTTTTTGGGTTTGATTTCAGATTGGAGAAATAACAGGCAATGGTCTAGTGGTGAGCAAAGGAGAGAGAGAAGAGAACTGCTAAAGCAATGTCCATGCCATGGACAGAATGGCTTTCCACAGAGCACCAGTAGTTCATCTGCAGGTGTATGGATGCAGATTCCAGTAGGTGGGTGGATAGATGTGGTACTGAGAGTTGGTGGGGTTTCTCTTCTGATTACTTTGATTTACTCAGTAAATAACGGACAATTGATAAGAAAAAGAGAAATAAACCCATAGATGAATTGGCAAAAGATATAAACAGGTACTTCACTGAAGAAGTCCAAGGACACATTAAGTATGCAAAAAAGTATAACTTGATAATTGTCAGAAAAATGTAAATTGAGATACAGTACCTCCAACATATTGGCAAATATTTTAAAGAATGTGGAGAAATAGGAATGCCCCTTAACCACTGATGGGAGTATAAAAAGGTTAAATACTTTGGCACTTTGATGTGGCGCTATGTGGCACTGTTTGGTTAAAGGTGGTAACACACATACCTCTAACTACGAAATGCTACTTACAGGTAGGTATATGCCCCAGAAAATTCTCATACGTGCAAGACAAGTATAACAACATCCATATTAACACTGGATATGGTATAGTCACCCAATGGAATACACAGTAGTTTGGCTGATTTAGAGCAACATAGCAAATGGACAGACTGAAAAAACAAAATTGAGCTGGAAAAGCAAGTTGTAGACTGATATAGTAAAACCCAATATAAATGCAGACTAAAAACAGATACAAACAATAGTATATTATTCATAGAGCTATGTAAGCAGCAAAAGAATAAAAATGCACAATGGTTACTGATGTGGAATGGGTGGGGAGAGAAAGAGAAAACCTCAAAATGGGGTTGAGGACAAGTACACAGGGACTTTCAACTGTGTGTGTAATACACAACAGTAAAAAGGAAAAAAACAAGGCTCTGAAGCACACAGGGAAGAATATCAAGGCTGAAAAAGGAACCCAGATGTTTGTTATGTTATTCTATAAACTTATATTTCTTTTTTAAGACAAAAGTGTTGAGGGAGAGAAAATCTCCAAAGCTTCTTTGATCACCCTTTCCCATTTCTCCCAATATTTCATACTTTTATTCCTCTCTTCAGCAGAATAACTGGCCATTCTTTTCCTCATAAGAAATGTATTAAATTCCACTTATTTCCTCAAAAAAAGGATACTCTTCTACAGATATATCCTTCTGTGAGGCAGAGGAAATAAATTTAACTACAAAAGTTCTATAAACAGGGTCAAAAACAAGTTTGATTTTTATTTTTAAAAGGAGCCTCAACAATAATATATGAATTAATGTGCCCAAGTGGAATTATACTCCATGATGATCTTAAAACTGACTGTTGAATTACAATAAGAACTACAGACATGATCAGATTAAAATGGGTAAGATTTCAAACAGTAAATAATGGACCAGTCCCAGTTGCCCTGCCACACATGCCATTTTAATAAACAAAGGCTGCAATTTCCATTTCAATTATAGACTTAAAATAGGAGCATTACCACATGCCCTGGGCATATTTACAATTAAGGACCTTTCAATTCCCTTGGCATCCAGGAGACAGAACACACAGGGATAGCCACTGTTTTATGGTCCTTAACACATACAGTAGCACATTTCTATAAAAGGCAGGTCTGATAACTAGAAAGCTACAAGCTAGCAGCAGGAGGAAGGTTTAAAATTGTGACCACCTGGCCGAATAGAAGGTATCTTTTATCTTCCTAAGATACCTAAGTATTCCTAAAGGACCATACACAGAAGCCTCATAGATCCAAATACCTCAAGAGTTGTTTCAAGGAAAAAGCAGCTTTATTTCCAACCAGCTCTATTTCATTCTCTCCACTCAAAATACCTCTTAAAAGTAAATACAGTCTATAACAGAGACATGATCTGAGCAAGTGCCAAATTCACAGCAACGCAATACATTTAGCATATCTTCCAGGAAGCAAAGACGAAATGGAAAACAATAGAAACTAAAATCCAACTTTTTTAAAAACTGGAATCTACGTGATAAAATGTACAGGTGTGAGGTTAGAAGGAGGTGATTATGAAGATAACTACCTCCCTTAAGTGTTTCATTGTGGCTTGTGTAGGACCCTCCAATTTCTCAATCTTTCTGACAACCCTATTTGATCCTGCTGATCCCATCTTTAAGGCCCTATTAGCATGTGTGAAAAGCACTAGAACTTAAAGAATAATAATAGTTACAGATAACCCTATCAAATAGGCTTAATGCTGATAGCAGTCCTACCTGGTAAGGATCATGATCCCCCTTTTACTAGAAGGCAACTGAGGCTTACAGTTTAAGTAACTTGCCTGATGTCACATAACTAGTAATAGCAAAGCTGGGATTTTGATCCCAGGTACCCCAGAGGCTCATGGCTTGTGAGCCAGGCACTGCAGCTCTTGGTTTTTTACTGCCAAAAGACAATCACCACCTGTCGGTGGTTGTCAGGTTTCAGTGTGCCTAAGAATCTCCTGGGAGCTTATAACCATGCAGACTACCAAGCCCACACCAGATAATCTGACTCAGTAGGTCTGGTGTGATTCCCACAAACGTGCTTTTTAATTTTTGTTCTTTAACACAGTCTCGCTATGTTGTTGCTCCTGATGCAATGGCATGACAAGGGCTCACTGTAGCCTTGACGTTCCAGGCTCACATGATCCTTCCACCTCAGCCTGCCGAGTAGCTGGGGACTATAGGTATGCACCACCACACCCAGCTAATTATTTTAATTTTCTGTAGAGACAGGGTCTTGTTATGTTACCAGGGCTGATATCAAATTCCTGGGTTCAAGTGATCCTCCCGCCTCAGCCTTTCAAAGAGCTAGGATTATAGGCATGAGCCACTGTATCTGACCATGTGAATTTTTAAATAAGTAGCAAGGAGGTCTCCAGGCCACAAAAATGTCTATATTTTAGGCACTTGGCCCCATGACTTTTAAATCGAAGGCAATAAAACAAAGAGGGGGTCAGAGTTTTATTAAATGCAGAAAGCCACACTGGAGAACTTGATTAATGCCAAAATAGTTCAATTAAAAAAAAAAGTAAGTAGGTTAATAAAAATGGGAGAATTCAATACCCCTCCAACTTCTATACAAATAAGACACCAGGAAACATTGTAGTAACAGTGACAAAACAAAATTTCCAAATATTCCTTAGTTCCAGCTACTGGAAGCCTGGGTGTGGGATCTGAGAATCTAAGACAGCAAACCAACCTGGCCATGACAGGAATGGCAAGAGTAGGCATGTCTTGTCTCCTTTCCTGCCCAAGCCCCCAAAGCCATCCAGGGGTCTGGACCCACACTAGCCACAGTGAGAGCAGAAAAGAAGAGGCAGTGGCAATTCCAAGAAACAGTCTTGATTACAAATGTCCCCTGGCAGCTTGCCAGTAGGAGAACAAGAGTTTCACAGGACCAAAGAGGGAAGAAGTAAAGCAAATTTAGGCGGCCTCATGTCCTTAAAGAGCCTGACCCGTTATCTCCAGTGCACAGCATATGATTATATTCCACAGGTACCTGCACACCCTGAAATTAAAGTACCATTTTCAAGACCATCATGTAAGAAAAAAAATCTGCGTCTAAAGAGTGTTCTTCTACTCAATTACATTAGCCAACTAAGAGTATTTCAGAAGCACTTGCTATTTATTGCTCAGACGCAGTAAGGATGAGAGAGGGAAGAGGACAGAGAGAAGGATGGGGAGGAAATAGCAGGAGCCAAGCATGAGGTCTTTGTTCCCCCAAGACCCTGTCAGGACTTTAAATAGCTTAAAGGCTCTAGGGGCTCCCAAACCATTATCCAAGTAGCAAACCATATGCGGTCCCTTCACTTAGCTACAAATACTACTGCAAGGGGGGAAAAAAGGTGAAATAAAAGAACAGTATCACCCCTCACAAACCTAAATGTGAAAGGACCTGAAGGCTCACAAGAAGTTGGGCCACCAGCAGCAAAGTGGCTCCCACACCCACTGAAGAAAATTGAAAACAAAAAGATGCTGGGGCCCTGCCCCATCTTCCTTTCCCTGTGCAGGCATGGCTTCCAACATGTAACCGGACACAAACATTTCCCACCCCCGAAGTGCTCTGAAAGTAAAAATCTGCTCCAAGAGGGAATGAAGTCTATGCTACTTTTCCTAGAGGAACAGTGAGGACTCAGCCAGTAAGCCTGGGATAATGAAGCAGAAAGGGCATCAATTCCTGAAGAGAACAAGGCTTGAGTTCAGTTCTCCTGAAGGCAATGAGGAAAAGAGCTGCCCTCAACCTTGAAATCAAACATTCCCTGAATATTTCATGGCAAACAAATGGCCAAGAGTAGCAGGCAGCTTGATGCTGATCTACTAGAAACCTGGGCTCTACACAGTGATTGTGGCCCAACCTACTGGCCTCCTACTTGGTGGCTTGCCTCGGTTTCCTCTTAAGAATCAGCAAAATAGCCCGGGCACAGCGGCTCACACCTGTAATCCCAGCACTGTGGGAGGGTGAGGTGGGTGGATAACCTGAGGTCAAGAGTTCAAGACCGGCCTGACCAGCATGGTGAAACCCTGTCTCCACTAAAAATACAAAAATTAGCCCAGCATGGTGGCGTTCACCTGTAATCCCAGCTACTCGGGAGGCTGAGATAGGAGAATCGCTTGAACCCAGGAGGTGGAGGTTGCGTTTAGCTGAGATCATGCCACTGCACTCCAGCCTGGGTGACAGAGAGAGACTCAATAGCAAAAAAAAAAAAAAAAAAAAGACTCAGGAAAATAAAAATTATCTGGACTTACTTATGACTTTGTGGTGAAAACCAAGCAAAATTATTTCAAAACTGTAAAAATCAGAAATGGGCTAATTAGTACGAATTAAGGCAAGTCTAAGTTCACACTCAAGGAACATTTTGGCAAATATAAACTCCGTGAGAAAACCAGATCTATACTTTTACTGCTGCTAAGAAGCAAAGCTACTTAGCTTAAGTTTTACAGCATCTAACATGGATGTTAACAAGAGCAAAAATGTCAAGGGACAGAAGACGAGATAAGCCAAAGTTATAGCACTAATCACTTTCTGCCTTGTATTATTGTAATTTAATTACTTTATACAGGTCTTACTGCCTCTGCCAGACTACATGAGGGAAGATCTATGAACGAGAAAAAAAGCTGTTTATGGTACCTAGAAAGTGCCCAGCATAGTGCCACATTCCTAGAAATATCAAAATACTGAGGGAATATAATGGGGAATATAGAAAGACCTATCTAAAAAATTTATTTTTGACAACTAAAACTCTATTTCTTGTGATTATGGGATTTAATAAATCTGGTTAGTAAATCTCAAAGTGAACTTTAAAGGGGGGGCAGTTGTATCACTGCAACTTTATACCATTGTTAGCAAATTCATAGAATGAAGGCGCTTATACTATACTAGTTGAATACAAACTGTTCCTCAACCTTCTGGCTACTATTACTAAATATGATTTTATACTATACTAGATAAGTCCATTAATCAATAAAGATTAGAAAACATCAGCACTTTGGGAGGCCAAGGAGGGCGGATCACAAGGTCAGGAGATCGAGACCATCCTGGCTAACATGGTGAAACCCCGTCTCCACTAAAAATATAAAAAATTAGCTGGTAGTGGTGATGGGCGCCCGTAGTCCCAGCTACTAGGGAGGCTGAGGCAGGACAATGGCGTGAACCCGGGAGGCGGAGCTTGCAGTGAACCGAGATCACGCCACTGCACTCCAGCCTGGGTGACAGAGCAAGACTGTGTCTCAAAAATAAATAAAATAAAATAAATAAATAAATAAATAAAAGATTAGAAAACATTTAACTAGATATCTCATTGTACAACTGCAAAACCTAGACCCTTTGTAATTGCTAATGAAAAAGTAGTACTCTTGGCAGCCTGCGTCTAATGTTAGAGAAAATCCAAATTTACAAAATCCAAATAATCACTATGCTCTCTTTTGACCTAAGACTTTAAAACAATCTTCTATTCTCTCTACACCTACAAGTTTGACATAATGAATTATATTACTTATGATCTTGAAAAAACACACCCTCAGTCTATTATTAGCTAAGTTAGCAGAAATCCTTACAGAACACATATAATACCATTCAGAGTTCAAGTAAAGCTGAACTGATACACTAAAAATATTTTATGTGTGACAGTTCAACGCTAAAATAAATATGATAGTAAACTACCATATAAAGAGGAATATTTTCAAAAGAACTAGCTTCCTCAAAAAAACTCATGAAGTTGAGATTAACCCTAAGTAAACACAGTTGCTGGGGTTGGTATATTTTGAGGTTAAATTGGAAGAAAAGAAGGAAAGGGTAGTGAAAGATCATAGAGCTCTTCCTTTGCTCTGGAAAGACTCATCTGCAGCAATACAGGCATGAAGTTTTGGTGAATGAAATCTCTTTGGGTGCTGTTTAAATGAGCAAGTAGAGCTGAGAAGAAATAAAATATAATTAGTGTCTCTGCAGAAGAGCATCTTTCTACCTAGCTAATAGTTGTGAAGATCAACTAGAAACATGAATCAACATTAAAAAGGGGAAATTTCCTTCATTGGAAAGGACATTTAAAAAAATCTACAAATAAGAAGCCAGAGTTTAAAAGCAGTAGAGGAAAATGAGCAGAGAGAAAGAAGCCTTCAAAGACAAAAGCAGGTCTAAAGGTTTTCAAGGTAATGGAAACCAGTATGGTAACCGGTGGCAGCAAGGACCAGTATATCACAACTGGCTATGCCCTTCTGGCACTACTTTCCTTTTCATTGGAAGCTCATAATTAACCAGTTGGCCCCAGATCATGTTTTCTAGTAATGGAGAAATCTTCTCCCACATTTCTTACTGTTCATACCCCGGCTAAAAATGGAGAGCCAATGCCCTCAGAAGAGACAACCCCGTTACTTAAAGTACAGGCACCAAGCCAGATGAAACCCATCCAGCACAGGGATGTGCCACAAACCCTCCCACAGTTACAGAAGAGGGGAAAAGAACAGGAGGAAAAGAAAATAAATCTCTGACAACAGGAAACCAATTTTCTCTGTAACAGACAGAAGGAGCGGGTGAGCCCATTCAGAGGATAATATCATTTTGTTAGAGAAATGCTTCTTTGTGTATGTCTTCCTTTCTTCACCATATTAAAAAATAATTATTATTATTAAAGTTTCTTCCTGGAAGAACACAGAAGGGAAAATAAGGCTGGATATGACACCATTATTTAGCTGGTGCCAGTGGAACCTTCAACTGAGCCAGATTTCCAGTCAAATTTGTGCAATGAATTGTTGTGCATTTCAAAACACAAGACTGAATTATGTAAGTGCACACAGAAAGGTCTCCCTTTAGACACTGGGTTTCTGTTTAGTTGCTGCGTCCCTCCAAGGTCTAAATCAGGATGCCAGGTCTAGTGCCACATATTTTATCCACCAAATTCAAAGTATTCTAAGCCTGTGCATAAATATTCAGTAAAATGAGGCCTGTACCTTTTCAGGACAGATATCAGTCTAACCTTAACGAAGGAAGATGACTTTCTTTTACTTTACAGTCTACTTGACATCAATCAGAAAACTTCAACATTTATCACCCACTACTATCATGGAGAAATACGGGCAAAT
The DNA here is from genome assembly GCF_000001405.40 of Homo sapiens. Taxonomy (NCBI): domain Eukaryota; kingdom Metazoa; phylum Chordata; class Mammalia; order Primates; family Hominidae; genus Homo; species Homo sapiens. The sequence continues at coordinate 127,794,029 of NC_000007.14, read as the reverse complement.
AAACTTAAAAGAACTATGAACAGCACAGACATGTAGATGCAGTACCCAGCTGGCATAGCAATTTCATTATATATATATAGCATGCCTTGCCCCACTGTGTGAAGGGACCGTAACAAACTTGAAGCCATACTCAGGAATTTGTTGGGGTTCTTTTCTCCAGTTGGTTGCACCTAGTAAACAGGCAGGCAAGTCACAGTGCACAGGACAGTCAGGTGAGGGTGGAGGGGAGGAGGGCAAGAATGGGGAACTTCTCGCTCTATAACTGCGGTAGCTGTTCACAGCTGTTTCATCTGTGGGGAATGACATGGGACGTGAGACTGGTGCCTTGATCTGTGAGAACACAGTTTTATATCCTCCTTCATGTAATGTCACCCTAAATACCCTTGTCCTTCCAGCCATAAAATAACTGAAATGGTGCCTGTTTAACAATGTTTTTATGTCAATCCTATCACCATTGCGTTGTGACAATGAAACCCTTACCTTTCCTACTGCTGGCACCCTAACCTAACTCCCTTAACACAAAGGGTTGGCGCCACTCTAAATTTCTACAATTCATTAAAAAACAAAACAAACACCACTAACTCTTTGAGTGGTGCTATCTGCTTGCACATTAAACATATTAATTCTAATCCTCGCAATAGCAAATAAAGCTGGAATTATGATAGCTTTACTTCACTGAGAGACCTGAGAAGTTAGGTGCCCAGAGAAATAACACGCCCGATATCACATATGTCAGAGCAAAAAGCTCCCACAAAGATCTGTCTGCCCCAGAACCTATGACAGTTTCTATCGTCTGCCTCCCAACTGCTGTGGTAGCAAGAACTGGCAGATTACCCACTGGCTTTTCACTCACCACACACAATGTCCCCTAGACCTGAAAAGGTCAATTAATTTCAACACATAATGCGTGCTTGCCCACCCTGGGAAACTCATCAAACTGGAAAAAGTTGGATCTAGTAGTTATGCCCATTATGAAGCTACTGTGATGCAGTTTCAAAACTGATCTTTCTAAACTTTTCCTTGGTGATGCTGGGGCAGGGAACCTGCAAACCCCATTTCTGCCTTGCCACCTGGCTTCCTTAGGCTCTGCCAATAGGGGGTGCCAGAGAGAGCCAGAACTGGAAGAAGGGGCAGATCTTTCCTATTCCTGCCAGTGGCTCCAGAGCACTACTTCTTCCTCCCAGCAATGGTAGCTTGTTCCAGCAGCAGCAAGCGAGTTCAGCTTGCTGTCTTCCCAACACTCCCAGAAACAGGTTATCACACCTCCTCAGATTCATCAGAACCAATCAACTGGCAGCACTCCTGGGAGGTCTGGGTCCCAAGACCTTGGAGTCCCAGTCCTAGTCTCCAAGCTTAGAGACACAAGCATCAGTTAACAGCAGTCTATGTCCCAGCTTCACATGGTCTCCCTCTAAATTTCTATGTTCTTATATGTTTTCTTTTCTTATTCCCCCAACCTTAGAGGGTAGGAGCTGCATCATGTAGTTATTACCTCCATGCTACCCTTAGGGTTCTTTTCTTCACCTTGTTAGTATTCCCATATCTAGCTAATCATCTCTTAAATTATGTTCTCTGTTAAAGTAACTGGTGTGCTTTCTGTCTCCTTACTGGATCCTGACACAGTAGCTAAAAGCACCCTCTCTGCAGGTCACAATTGGACAAAGAAAAGTGACCATCAGATAGCAGCAGTCCACCTCTCTTGATAAACAACACTCTACAGAGAAAATTCCCTCTTACCTATTCCATACCACCACCTTCACCCTGCCTGCCCCCACACACCATGACCACCTCCACTGTGCAGATATGCACAAAAGATCCAATAAAAAAGGAACTAGTACACATAAAGAGCTTCCACAGTTAAAATATGTGATGACCGAGAAATGCTCACAAGATTCAACAATTGGTAACACAAAGTAAAGAGAAGACTTTCAAGTCACAGTATGTGTCTAATCCATGGAATGTGCAAGATATAAAAATTACACAATAAGAGAACAAAATAACCTATAATTTTTTCTACCTAATATGCTGTTGAACACTCTCATGGATAGTGAATCATTTTGTGGTTTTAAAGCCCAATCACAGGAAGGCTGCATTCATGGCTTTGTAAATTGCAATCATGATAGAAATGGAAGACTAAAGTTAGCTTAAATGTGTCAACGTGGTTACTATATTGCATAAAATGGGATGTAAATAAAGTAAGGGTTAACGGAGATGGCAAATCACGGGAGGCCCAAAATACCAGCAAAATGTCATTTTTCTACTATAGCAAGATGAAAAAAATCCCAGATTTGTTATCACATATTTTATCATGCAATGTTTCTGAATGAAGTCTAGGAACTTCTCTTAAGCCAGCTGTCAAAAATAAGTGGAGCTGGGTGCATAACCAGGGCTAAGAGAAGGGGAAAAGGGAAATCACTGTTTAATGGGGACAGAGTTTCAGTTGTGTAAGACGAAAATGTTCTATAGATATGTTTCACAATAAAGTGAATATATTTAACATTTCAGAGCTGTAAATAAAAATGGTGAAGATGGTAAATTTTATGTTATATATGTGTTACCACAATTAAAAAAAAGTAACGTTGGGCATGGTGGCTCATGCCTTTAATCCCAGCAGTTTGGGCAGCCAAGGCAGGTGAATCACTTGAGCCCAAGAGTTAGAAACCAGCCTTGGCAACAGAGTGAGACCCTGTCTCTACAAAAAATAAAAACAGAAATTAGTTGGGTGTGGTGGCATGTGCCTGTAGTTGTAGCTGTCTGGGAGGCTGAGGTAGGAGAACTGCTTGAGTCCAGGAGGTTGCAAGCCCAGTGAGTGGAGATAGCACCACTGCACTCCAGCCAGCCTGGGGACAGAGTGAGACCCTGCCTCAAAAAAAAAAAAAAAAAAAAAAGGAGAGGTAAAGCTCATTTCATTCAATACTCTGCTGATTTATTTAATCTGGGAGAAGCATCAGGAATGCTATCAAATTCAATTTCCACATTAATATAAAAATGTTCAGTATAAAACCCTGATCTTTGGTTAACTGCAAAGATACTTAGTTACTATTTAACAATCAAGCATGCTAGCCCAGTTCTGCTCCTGACAACTATATTCCAAACTGCTTGCTGAACAAGCTCCACGAATGGATCTTATGGTCCTCTTTTGATGTTGTTTCTCCTGCCTAGATGTGACTGCCACAGCAGTGTGAAATATTTTGTTGACTCAGATGCCAAATATTCTTCAAGACATGCTCAAATGCTGCTTACCGACTCCAGGAAGCCGTCTGTGAATTTTCTAATAAAATATCCTGTATTCTCGTAATACATCTAACCCAACTCAGTATTATGCATCTGTAATCCTACAGGTGATTACAAGCTACCTGAAATTAAAAACAGCATCTTGCTCACCTTTTTGATACCACTATGCTCATTTAACCCTCAAAGCAATTCAAAAGAGTCAGCAAGTATTACCTATATTTTTACTTATGAAGAAAAAGAGGCTCAAAGAAATTGAGAGACCCTTGGCCACACCACTAAAAATGGCAGGAGCAAAAGGTGAACTCTAATTTAACTAATTCCAAATTCCATGGCCAATGGATGCTATCACAGGGCGTCGAACAATATTATGATTCCTCTTTAACGGCTTAAGACTTTGAGCAAGAGAAAAACAGTCCTTTTCCTCTCCTCCAAGCACTCAGCTCCTTGTCCTAGAAGAGCTGATCGTGTTTAAGGAGAAGGGAAGCCAGGGAGCCTAAGCATCCCCCACACAGCACCACTCCCTCCTCCAGAGGTATGTACAAGGTGACCTCCTCACCCAAACCCAAGCTCTGCCTCACCACTCGATGACAAGGATGCTGGGCGGCTCCAAACAAATGTTGCTGAATGCAAGAAATCTCTCCAGGGTCACTGCTAATGAGAAGCCAGAACATCATGCCACCTAGCTACAGAATGTTCACCTAATAAATCTTACAGACTTGAACACAACCCAAGACCAGGAGGTTATAAGAAAAACAAACAAACAAACAAACAATTCAGAACCACCAGCCTAACAATCTACGTCACCACCTCTATACTTCTAAAGATAGGAGGTTTAACATTGGAACTAATTAGAAATAAAAGGCTATAATTTAAAAATACAAATATTTCTTTCTGAATGGTTTAATGGTAACACATGGCCACTATTTCTTTTGAGGACACTCCTCTTTTTCCCTTGATTTAGTTCTATTCAGCTAATTTTGATCCAGTAAAAGTGCACAGCAAAGGATGAAGGATCAACAACATAAACAAAATGAGGAATCCAGAGAAAACACATTCTACCTCAGCAAATGAATCAGCATGCTATCAGGCCTGAAAGAACTATCATGGCCACGTAACAAGTTGAAGATGAGGCTTTAGGGAAAACCAACCTGCATGCCTTTTTATTGCAGTATGCTGGATTTCCTTAAAAGCAGACACGTGTCTTTTGCCTGTTTGGGTGCTGTCAGCATGCTGAAGACCATGAATGTTTAGCTTACGATTAAATATGGAAACAATGCCATTATGTAGGATAGTCTCTCTTCCGCAGTGAGAAACATGAAATTCCCTAATTTTAGCTATAAAAAAATTCAATTATTTGTCTCACATTAATTATGAACTCAGATTTAATCAGACAGGGCTAGGCTCGCATTTATGCATGTGTAATTTATGAATTTTTTAAAAAGGTTTGGCAATCGATTTGAGTGTAACTAAGGGTTATGTTTAAGCTTCTTAACTGGGTTAATATACTGACAGACAATTGATAGAACTATAAATCTACCATTAACAGTGAATCATCACAGGCTGTTTCTTGGCAGCAACGATACACTGGCCTAGCTCAGAGAACCCAGTAGAGTTGGGGAGGCAGACAGAGACTCACTGCTGGGGGCAGGGTGGAGGGGTAGATAGTAGGCAGAGAGTCCTGCACACATATTTGCCTAAGCAAGTGTGAAGTCTTTCAGGGTAAAACTACATTTGTTAAAATGTACATGCCAATCACTGGAGATGCTGGTTCTCAAGAGAGAAAAATTAGAAGGCACAGCTTAACATATAGACCAAAACCTTGCAGGATGAGGAAATATATACAAGGTACTATAAGAACAGAGGGAAGGAAGTGCCTAAATGCTTGAAAAGGTCAGATATGCTTCATGAGATGATACTGAGCTAAGTCTTGAAGGATGGACGACCACTGGCTACGGACATGTGCAAAAGTATGGCCCATTTAAGAAATAAGAAGTGGGCAGGTGAAACTCTAAGGAAAATGAAAACAAAAAAGGAAAAGAGCCAGGAGAATCAGGGCACCAGTGATCCCAAAGAGAAGAGAATTTGAAGAAGGAAGATATGACAACAGACTTAAAACATTCAAAGCGATTTCTGAAGACCAAAACATGCCCACTGGAAGTTCAGCAAGAGCAGTTTCAGTCAGATTTTAGTGGGTCGCATAGTTGATCAAATGTACATGATTAATGTACACGAATCTTTCAAGAAAGAATGGCAGCTAAAGGAGGGTATTGGGTCAAGAGAGAACATGGATTTTATTTTGTTTAAAAAGTGAAAATCGACTTTATTAAATGAGTAAATTAAAAGGTACAAAAAAGGACAGCTGAGAGCATTTCTGTCACAATACAGAAAGACTGGATTATGAATGATTCATAAATATTCTATTCTCTAATCTGCTAATTACAAACTGTATGATCTGGGAACCATGTATTTGTCTCCAACAGGGACTCAAACTTATTCATCTCTGTAGCCTCCAGCACCTAGTACTGAGTCTGACACATGTTATACACTCAATTAATATTTGTTGAATAAAATTACTTAATCTCTCTGGACTTTCATTTCCTTCTCTGTTTAAAAAAAGAGAGAGAAAGGGTTGACTAGATCTAAATGATGTTCCTTCTAACTCTAAATGCCCATCGGCCTGTAAATGTTACATAAAATGGGTCAATTCCCTATGATTCCTGGAAAACATGCCACATTGTAACATTCATATTCAACCAAGGGTGTGAGAAATCAAAGCAGCACCCGTTTCGCCTACTAGTGAGAATATATGCATTCCTGAAATCCTCCTTTGAGGTGGAAATGTCTCCATTAAATCAGGTCATAGAAAGGAAATCAAAGTTAGATCCCTTCAGAAAATGTTTGGATAAATGCAACTTCTTCCCCTCCCCTCCCCCAGTGCTAGTTGTCAGTCTGCACAGACACTGGCATGACTTGAAAACCTTAAAAAATAGAAAAGAAGCCTTTAAAAGTTCATTTTCAAAAATTCAAAGATAATAAATCTACAGTTGTGTAAATGTCTTACGTCTTTTAGGCCTCTTACTCATTAAGTTTTAATCCAAATTGGGAGCCAGGGAGGAAGGAAAGGAAGAACAGAGAGAGAAGGAAAAGGAACAAAGAGCAAAATTTCAAAAGTCCTCTGTATCTGCAGGCAGCTAACAGGAAATACTTGTGGCACATTAAAACATCAACACAAATCAACAGATTCTCAGAGGATCAAATGAAAAACCAACTTCCCATTATTATCAGGAAAGCTACACAGCCTTAAAAATTGGAAGGCAACTGCCTTGAGCCTAAGAGTTCAAGACCAGCCTGGGCAACATAGTGAGACCTTGACTTTACAATGAAAATTTAAATATTAGGCAGGCATGGTAGTACACAGCTGTAGAACCAGGTACTTGGGAGGCTGAGGCAGGAGGATAGCTTGAGCCCAGCAATTTGAGGCTGCAGTGAGCTAGGATACAGCCACTGTACTATAACCTGGGTAACAGAGCAAGGCCCTGTCCCCCCTCAAAAACAAACAAACAAAGGAAAATCAATAAAAACCAACAAACAAAAAGCATAAAAAGACAGAAGAAAAGGTGTGCCAATGAGCAGATGACAATGATGAGAAGTTTAAAGTATGTACCAGAGGTTCCCTCACAAGGAGATGGGGTAGAAACTACAAGCAAATATGCAATCTGGGCCAGTCACAAAGGGATTTCTTATTCAGAGAGCCACTAAAAAATGGGTTATGTACAGGATATCACATCCATTAATCATTCCAAACTTCCTTGTAGTTTAACTCATATGCTAATTTCTTTCTTAAAAACAAACAAGGCCGGGCGCGGTGGCTCACGCCTGTAATCCCAGCACTTTGGGAGGCCGAGATGGGCGGATCACGAGGTTAGGAGATCGAGACCATCCTGGCTAACACGGTGAAACCCCGTCTCTACTAAAAATACAAAAATTAGCCGGGCATGGTGGCGCGCGCCTGTAGTCCCAGCTACACGGGAGGCTGAGGCAGGAGAATGGCGTGAACCCGGGAGGCGGAGCTAGCAGTGAGTCGAGATCGCGCCACTGCACTCCAGCCTGGGCGACAGAGCGAAACTCCGTCTCAAAAAACAAACAAACAAACAAACAAACAAAACAAAACAAAACAAAAAAACACTATGCAGCAAAGAAATCTATAGCAAAAGGGATAAGGAAAACCAAGAGCCAGTCAAGGAAAAAGTGGAGTAAAGAAACTCATAGTCCTTGTCTTGAAGGGAGGGCTGTTACCCCAAATCCTGATCTCCATGGCTTATTTTAACTCTTTAGAACAGTTAAGTTCTGCATACCAGCAGAATACATAGTTAACAAGGAGTGGGCAGAGAAATTGTTCCCAATGAGATTTTAAGTGAGTCATGCTCAGTAATCCAGATGACTTCTTTACTTATCTAACTGAACAATGTATTTTATCCAAGAAGCCATTAAAAGGGCAATGCATAAGCCTAAAATACATAGCGATCAATTTAAAATGAAATTCAAGAGAAAAATGAAATGGGTATAAAACAGATCATCTTTTAAGGAGCTCAAGATTTACCAAATTTACCCTCAAATTTTAAGTTGCAGTGTGGTAAAACCCTGGGTCTTTAAGGATAATTGAAGAAGCAGGCATTAGAAAAGGGTAAAGAAAAAAAAAAAGGATGTCAACAAATCACATAAAACTGGTCCAGGCTTCAGGAAGTGTCCGCAAAAATGTCCCTCAAATTTTTTTTAGACATCTTTCCTGATGCAAGCAGATGTTAAGGTAGAAACCAAATAATTGTTTTATTTTCTTCTGTACATGCTTAGAAAGCAGAAGGCACAGGAAGGAACCAGGACTAAATAAACATGCAGCATAGCTGGGGTTATTGAGGCAGGCAGATCTTCTGCAATCTCAGTATAACTTAAATTCAATGATCTGTGCCAAGAATCAGGTAATAGAAAAATTTAAGTATCCAATACATATTGTCCTTAAACACTATCCTGTCAGCCACCATTAAATACCATTTTGGTAGCCTGTAAAATTGATATTTCATATCTACTGAGTATACAATGAATAACTATGAGAAAGCATTCAAGACTTTAGATACACATTTGAGGTTTTGCAAATAAACACTAAGAATCAATTCAACAGCAAGAATGCTAACTAAATTTCATGACTATCGAACATCTAGCAATTACAGTCACCCAGAAAGATATTGAATTGTTAGATCACTTTTAGGCCAAAAGGCTTAAATGGCTCAAGTTCCCCAATGGCCATCAAGGATGGTATTTCTTAAAGAATGTCATCTCACCACTAATAAACTCATATAAGATTTTTCTCTTTCCTTCTGTGAAGAGCATGCATCAGAATTCACAAGATGAATCAATATCACTTCTGTCTCTGCATACTCAGGAATCATCCCACAAAACTCAAGCAGTTATTAAAAAATCTTGGAGGAGGGCTTCATGACTAGCCCTTGTTTCTCTATGCTGTTCATCTTCCAATTAATTTCTACTTTGACTTCCCTTCCTTCCTTCCACTGGTCAATCTAAATGCATTCCTGGCCGGGCATGGTGGCTTACTCCTATAATCCCAGCACTGTGGGAGGCCAAGGTGGAAGGATTACTTGAGGCCAGAACTTCTCAACCAGCCTGAGCAGCATAGTGAGATATCATCTCTACCAGAAAAGGTGTGGTGCTGTGTCCCTGTAGTCCCAGCTACTTGGGAGGCTGAGGCAGGAGGTCAAGGCAGGAGCTGAGGAGGTCAAGAGGCTACAGTAAGCCGTGATTGTGCCACTGCACTCCAGCTTGTGCAAAAGAGCAAGACCCTGTCTCAAAAAACAAAACAAAACAAAACAAGAAAAAACATTCCTTTAAGCCAGCCCCCACTTTCATGATCATGGGGTTTCTTCATGCCTTTCTGCTCTCATACTACCCATGCCTTTCTCTAAAAACTATTCTCTTCCAAAATATTCTATATTTCAATAAATAAAACCTTTTTATATTTTTCCTGCTTCACTCACATTCTCCCAATTCCAGCCTCTCTACCACTTTCACTACGTACACAAGAGGCTCAAAAATACAGGACTGTGAACAAGGGAGAGCTTATAGTGAAGTTTTTCCCAGTTCTCACAAAATGAAAAAAGGGAGAACAATGTGGTGGGAATGCACTTGGATGAATTTACTGTAAATTACTCCAGGTTGAAGGACTGTCCATTATTCTGAAATTATACCTTTTCCATGTTTCAGAATTAGTTGTTCTTTAAGAAATAATGATTTCAGAAGTAGGAGAGGGGAGAGGTACTTCTCTGAAGCTTTCAAACTTAAAGGAAGACTTAGAGTTTTCCAGAGGGAGGAAAGAAGGATAGGCAGTAGAAAAGAATGGAGAGTTCAAAAAGGAATACAACAGGAGGAGGTCATGCTAGAGAGGGAGCCAGGGGACAAGTTAGCAAGGGCCTCGCTTTGTTTGCCCGGCAGAGACGTTAACCTGTAGAATGCAAAAGTGAAGAAAACTTTTAGGAAGGGAAGTGATGTGATCTGAATTTTACAAAGAAGAAATGAACAGTCATACTTGAAACAGTGAGCCAAAAAGCTGTGTAATAAATGAGACAAGAGGTAAAGGCTTCAATGGTAGGGGGAGGCAGAACTGTGAGATAATATCCAGAAGTTTAAATCAGTTAATACATACAAAGCACCTATCACAATATAACCCATATGTAGAAACTCAACAAAAGTTAGTAATTTCCTGTTCACTTCGTTTTCTTTATACCTTGGAATATCCATTAGATGTGGTAACATTAATCCATGAATATCTAAGAACTCAAGGGTTTCCATTTAACATGTTTCCTATCAACACAATGAAAATGTCAATATAAAATAACTGGTATAGGTCCCCACCTTAAGGAACATTAATTATCCAAGTCTAAACCATACTATTTCATACATGACCAAAGTTGCCACCAAACTAGTATAAAATTTTTTAAGTCTTCAAGGCAGAGCATAAAAAGATCTGGGTACAGTAGGTGCTCAATAAGTGCTTGATGATTAAAGAGAATTTTTTTTTCTCATAAAATTTCACATGAAGCAAAAGAGCTAAGACAACCTCAAGCTAAACTCCAAGTACAGCTGCTACAGGGATCCTCAGCAATGTGTGGGTATGTCTGACCTATAACCACTCACTTTAACATGGCAATCTTAATTATCAATGTGTTAACAGCATGCAGCCTCTCTAATCATAGGTATTAATACAAGCAGATAAAAGCTAAAGTGGAAGGAAATCCATCTCCCTATGACATCAAACGAATCTGCTGTAGCACAAAGCTGCTGTAGTCTGTTAACACAATATTCATCAGGGGAAAAAGAATCACAGAATCCTGCTTATCACTGTCTACTGACCAGTATCCTGTCAATCACCAAAAAGGGAAAGCCTGTTCCCCATGGGCAAAAATTGTTGTATCTAATAAGGCTTCAAAAATCAAAACAGGCTGAGGTAGATAGAATAAGAGCCACTGAAGAGTTTAGGTAACAGCTGTCAGATTTCACTTCTGTAATAGCAGGCACATCTGGTTCAACGTCTGTTGAACAGTAACCATGGCTCTACATACCCAAATGAAAAGGGGTGCCACACTAGAAGGTGACTCATGCAATCCTCAGAAGGCATGTGATAACTAACTACCCTTTAAAGGAAATATATCCAGAATTGATATCTGTCCCCAATTTCCAATGTGCAGAATCTTACCATGAGTCCCCATTCTCCTGCAGCATGTTTGCTGAATTAAAGAGGAAATCACTGCCACATACATTACTACACTAGGTGTTGCAATAGGTCTACTTCCTATTTAGGAAAATGGGGAGGAAGATAATGCTTCACTTGCTGGGCAGTTGTAGTCTTCAGCATTTCTATAACGAATACACATACAGCAGTTGAAAAACTCAGTCCAGGCCACTGGAAAAGGTCAGTGGTGAAGCAGACAACCCTCACTCTCCCTGCCCCCACTACAGCTACTCATGATGGCCAGAAGCTCCAGTGTGCCCAACCCACAATCACACACAGAGGTCTACAGCCCTGCTTTGCAGAGGGAGGAGCCAAGTGTTCCAAGTAAGGTTTGGTTACTTTCTTTAACTTCCATACAACTTTAAAGACCTAAAAGGCTGACTGCATCATGACTCTCTTGCCAAATTAAAAATCATTATTCTGTAGAATAGCCAATTAAATTCTACTTTCAGCGAACTAACAACACATCTCTGCCCCCCAAAGGATTGTAACCTATGACAGAATGAGGCTTAAATAGAAAAATAAGCTCCCCAGGCTGTTTAATGATGCCTTAACATGAAAAGAAATACATTCCTCATCTGAAGACCAGTTATCTTATCAGAGTCCCTGGCAAAAGGCAGTGCAGGCCAATGTGAGAATGCAGGACCCCAGGACTGCTTTTCAAACTCATGCACATATATCACAGAAACCACTATTGTGATTAGGATCCTATTAAATTAACTTCCCTTTTCTGCCTGGAAAACAACCAGACCTCAACTGTGATCATCCTCAACAACCACAAAGGAGGTCAGTGTGTTTAGATTAATCTCCCCTGCTTGGGAGAGACAATCAAGAAACAATAGGAAGTCAGACAGGTAAATAAGGCACTGGACTAAGAATAGTTACTGAGGATCCAGCCAGGCAGGGCATGAAACTATTCTCTGCCTCCTCAAAGATATGCAACCTAACTAGGATCAGATATTACAGCTTGATCATCAAGAAACTGGTCACCACTCAGATTAATTGTATATAACCCAAGCGAAAATTTTATGGGATGTTGTCTTAAGTGAAAAAGGGGAATCTGGACTAAGTACTGCAAATAATTATACCAAAGTTCAGTATCTTGGGCTTCCCCTCTATGAAACGATTACTGGGAATAATCCAGGTAATTATTCTCATGTATTCTATGAGATTACAAATCTGAACATGCTTTGGAACATTTTCATTATTACTGAATTGACATTTCATTATGATTGCTTTTACTTTAATTATTAATAACAGAAGGAAAAGCTCTATCAAATATATAAGCATCTGGCTAATTTGCTCTAAGGTTAGCAAAAAGATATTCCTTGGCTAAAAGGAAGGACTTATAAATCAAACCATGAAACAAGGTTCAGAACCGGATTTCTATTCCAAGTGGAAAAAAAAAAATCAAATGAACAAAAAAGTTTCTTCTTCCTTTCTTAACTCCTATGGAGCCAAAGCACTGCTATTGTCTCTGCCCCAGCAACTTGGCATAACTGGGAGGAGTTACAATTATAAAGAAAAGTCAATATCACAAGGCAATAAAATCAGTTTTCCATTTTTCTCGATGAATTCTGTGTTCAATTATATATATTAGTATAATGAAGGGGGGGCGGGGAGGAACGATGATTGCCACATAGTGAAGGCAGCTTCAACAAGAACCAGCTAAGTCACTTGCAAGCCATGTGTGGAAATACTAATAATAACGTATTACTTCTATGGTGAACTAATTGGTCTCTTCATTTTTATAAGGTCATAGGATCACAGGGTCTGTGGGTTGGATGAGAACTTCAAAGTCTTTTAAGTTCAGCTTCCCATGTACTGTAAAATCTTCTCCATGTTCCTACCTTCTCCTGAAGCAGCTCACTCTCTTCTACCAGACACTTTTCTTAGAAAGTTATTTTCTTCACATTGAGCAGAAATATGTTCCCATATATCTGATCCTACTTTTATTCTTTGATGTCCCGCAGAACAAACCTAGTCATCTTTCTCACTGACTAGGCAATATTACAGTGTCTCTGCAATGCAGCCTAACAAAGAGGTCATAAAACTTGAGTTTTCCGTAGCTCAGAAGAATTCTAAATGCTGCCAAAATCATAAAGAATTCACTTTTCAGCCATAGGACACCTTAGGCAACTAAATCCCCAGTGCACTGTGAAACTCATTCTTTAGGAGATAGACTGCCTGGTGCTCTAAATGACCAAATAGGATAAAAAGGGATCTAAAATAAAAAATTTCTTCTTCTCATTGTCTAATTTGCCTGTTAAGGCACTGAAGCAATTCTAGCAAAAGAGAAAAGAACAATGGCGTCATTATGATTAGTGAGCAAAACCCTAAACAGAGAACACTGGGACAGGCTTTCATTAAGTCAAGAAGAAAAATTACAAAGGAAGCTCTCTTTGAAGAGGCAGGTGATTCTAAGTCCAAATCTTAGGTGTCAAAGAAAACAGAAATACAACAATGCTGAAATTATTTCTGATGGGATCCATACCTTGGACAAGTTAGCCTCACTGGGCCTCATACATTATCTGTAATATCAGGACACTGGACATAAGTACTTTAAAAGGCCATGACAATTTTGATATTCCATTATTCTAACTGAAGAAAGGAATTCTAACTCAGGCACCCATCTCACTGCTTCCTCCAAAGAAGATCCCACTTACCATGAGATCTTCTAGTTGTTTTACACATTGACTAGATTTCACAACTAGAAGCTACCATACTTTAGTCAGTGTGATGTGAAAGTTATTCCAAAACATATAAAACACATAAGAAACCAAAACTAACATAAACGATTCAGTCCCATTGGTGGGGGTTTTCAGGTAACAAACAACAATTCCTGAAATTGCTATTGCTTCAGGGTAGGAATGGACCTCTTCATCCACTCAAAACAAGTGTCTATGATCTTCAAGGAACCATCTGCATGCTGAGGATACAAAAACGAATCAAACCTGAATCCTACCTTCAAAGGAGCTAAAAGTCTAGTAATGGAGATGAGATGTGCCCACAGTGCAAAACTAGAAAAACAACGCCATAAAACAAGACATGGATAAAGTACTATGGCTGCTCAGTAAGAGATTACTTCTGACACAAAGGACCAGAGAAGCCTCACAGAGATGGTCCCGACTCCTTGAATAATGAGAGTGGGTAACACTTGCACACAAATGATAAGAAAGAGCAATCCAGGCAGGAGGCAAATCAGGAAAAGCAAAAAGGACAGAGCGCATGAAGCATATATGGAAAACCACAATCCAGTTTGGCGAACTTGTGTATTGCTCAGTGGGTGTGCCAATGCCATTTGGTCAAATCTGCAGTAGGCAGGACTGTTCCATGGAGCACTTTTGACCCCCAACCATTAAGTGTCCCCAGTGACCTGCATATTAGAAACGTCTCTACACATTTCCAAAGGCCCCTTGTTAAGAACCATTCTAAATCGGAGCAAACAGTATATAAAGGCCATTATAAGAAATGTTTGGAAGCTTAGGCCACACCATGGGAATATGGCCATTGTCTCTACGAAATGAGATCCTTTTTAAAAGTTGAGAATAAGGAGAGTGGCAGAATCAGAGGTGTAGTTCAGGATTAATGTAGCAGCCATACATATAACTGGATTAGAGAAGCAGAACAACTGGAAATAAGGAGGCCAGTTAGGACTGGCTGTTACAGCAGTCAAGGAAACATGTATTTAGGACCAGAACTACTCAAAAGGTGTTCTGTTCAACAGCACACTGTCCAAACCAATTTTAAATGACTCCAACAACCACGTATCCCTAGCTTTCATGATCTGCTCTAGTGTAATATGTCACTACCATTCACGTCAGAAGAAAAAAGATTTCTCCATGTGCTGCAACAATCCCCCCCATAGTGCAATGCGGAACTAAGGGTTTTTGCATAGAAAATTTTGTATTCAAGTATGCAGGTAGGTACCATGCCTTATTACATATGGACTAATTAGGAAACACGGTATTTGTTAAGGCATTAGCATAACAAATGAACTTAAAATGACACTTAAGAATAGGCAACTCAAAATGAATGCCAAGATTACTAGTCTAAGTCTTTTAGACCTAAGGGGATCCATCAGGGCCCTGGGAGGCAGCCAGCAGCTCCCAGCTAGGTGAGGTGGATGGGCAGTAAATGAAAAGCTAGAGGCTCCTTATAGGTGCCTTCTTAGTTAAGGATCTAAAGTGAACTCTGAGCCACTAAGTAAGCCTGAGTGACACTAATAACCACTAAATAACTATGTACCATTCAAATGTCTATTATGCATAAGCACTATGTGAGACCCATTTCATATTCACATAAGCTAAGAATTCAACAATATTACCGTTTTACAGACAAGACAACCAGAGCTCAAAGATGTTAAATAACTCATCCAAGATTAGTCACTCCTAAGTCACAGAAACCCAGGTCAGTCTGACTACAAACTATCCTCTTTCTATGGTATTCAATTCAGACATTACCATAAGATGACAAGAAAAGCATTTAGAAGACATGAATAGACCGAGTGCGGTGGCTCACGCCTGTAATCCCAGCACTTTGGGAGGCCAAGGTGGGCAGATCACAAGGTCAGGAGATCGAGACCATCCTGGCCAAAATGGTGAAACCCTGTCTCTACTAAAAATATGAAAAGTTAGCTGGGCGTGGTGGCACGCGCCTGTAGTGCTCCCAGCTACTTGGGAGGCTGAGGCCAGGGAATTGCTTGAACCCGGGAGGTGGAGGTTGCAGTGAGCCGAGATCACACCACTGCACTCCAGCCTGGCGACAGAGCGAGACTCCGTCTCAAAATAAATAAATAAATAAATAAATAAATAAATAAGACACAAATAAATGGGACTGGCAAGGAGGTAGACAAACATGACCAGTTATGGTTTTGAAACTCTAGATGGAAGGTAAGGGGCACAATGTAAAACAGAGTGCTAACTTCTGAGAAAGCCCAACAGAGCCACTAGGATGAACCAGTGTAGCTGTGAAGAAAGAAGGGCACCTCATTTTAGCAAAGTCTTTGGGCTATCTTCCAGGTAAAAGGTAGAGGTACAGATAACACACAACAAAAACACAGCATCTTTCTCCTTTCATTCATGAACTATATGAATATTTGCTTAAAAACAACAACAACTTCTCTTCTGTAGTCTAAAAAAAATCTCAAAATCAGAGACACGTGCAGGTGGCGCAGGCCTGTAATTCCAGCTATTCAAGAGGCTAAGGCAAAAAAAATTGCTCGAACCCAGGAGTTGGACACCAGATTGGTCCAAACAGGGAGACCCCCTTCTCAATCAATCATAAAGATCTCAAAACCAACTGATTTTCTTCAGTAAACTGACAAATAGTATGTCACATTTTCCCTTTGCATACTTTCCACACTAAAGTATATCATGGTTGTGTGTTTTGGAAATCAATAATGTAATATCCCATCTCATCCAGTAATATTTAATAGTGCTATCATGTCCCTACTGTCCATTCCTGACCTTGTCTCCATCCCCAAATATGGACAACCAAACTTCCTCTTCAATTTATCCAATTAAGACGGAAGTCTAGACACCCAAATCTGTGCTACAAAGCTGAAAGAATCTCTTTCCTCTACCAAATCCTCCCTAATGTCTAACAACTTTATCAACTCTTTCTGAGTTTTCCAACATTTACAGCTGTCAACTCCAAGACAATATTTTGCATATAACATTAATATCTCAGTTTTACAAGAGTTAGGAAAAATACCAATGTTTTTTCAGTCCCTACTGCCATAAGAAGGCTTCATTTCCTCTGTTCAGTGATTGCTTTCCACTTGTTACGGGGAGGTAGACAGGAGAGTGCAGCAAGTTCCTTGATCATAAAATGCAGTGGAACAGCTTTGCCTTTCCTCTTAACAAGCTGGGTCACTGAATAACTTCTTAACCTAATAGTTATAAAATTCACTATTTGTGACTGAGGATGAAAAGGGCCCAAGTGACTAAAAACCAAGAGGTTAGCATGCAGCAGTCTACAGGAGAAATGTATCACAATTCTGTGGGTGACCACAGGAATGAAGAGGAATGTGCTTTCCCTGAACCCACAGATCCCAAAGGGAAAAGGCTATGACATTCTTAAAACTAATTGGTCCCCTAGCAGAAATTTCTGTTCTGAGTTGCAGTTAAATGGGGCCTTGTCTACATGAGCTTTAGCCTAGGAGAGTGAATGCAACCCCAACACCTTCACTCCTGTTGCTGGCCATTTACATAAGGGCTTTGAACCTTTGGTTATAAGAAATACCCAGTGTTTTATACCACCCCTGTACTTGGATGTCTAAGTGACACAGTAACTGGAATCACACACACAAAAGGCTCTCTTCTCCTTAATTTCTTAACTACACCTATATATACAGGTACTATCATGTTCACATGTGTAAATATGTACCTCCTTTGATTAGTTTTAAATAAGAGGAACTATTTTATTGGCTATAAAGTTGTATCTTTCTTAGGACTTTTGTATGGGTTTTTTATTATTTACTTTTCTATATTCTATTTTAAAGATATATTTCATTTTGCAGAACTTTTTCATTTTTATATTCTAGAATATTAATCTTGTCTCTGATGTTACACACCATTTTACATCATAAATTTATTGTTTTTTCACAGCTGGACTTAATGTCTTTCTTAAATCTTACTTTTTCCACCCTGCCCCTCATTTATTTATCTGTTTAATGCTCAAGTCTGTGATAACTAGTGGAAGTTTATCATAATGCCATAAAACAATCAACATTCTTTTTAGAAACCTACTCTTGATATTGTTGTGATTGGTGCCCCATCTCATTTAGCTCATCCCAAACCATCCTTCTAAAACTGCTAGATGAAAGCCTATTTTTTCACTCAACAAACTGCTTTTTTGAACAGTCACATGTTCATGAAGCCTACTGAACTTCAAAAACTACCCAGTCACAAAACACTTGGTGCCCAGTGTTGTTTAGTGCAGAAGTTTAATCATCTCTAAAAATGAAAACTGGCTTTAACATGGACGTTGGTGGGTATTTCATGATGTGTGAAAGATCTGGGTAGAGTCTTGCTGAAGGTTGATTCCTTTGTTAATTTATAAATACATATGCAAAGTGTGTGTGAACATAGGTTTGAATGGCAGTGACAGACATTTGTTGATAGCTCCCAAGGTGCCAGACACTGCTTCTAAGTTGTCTTAGTCCATTTTGCATTGCTATATATAACAGAATACTGAGGGTGGGTGATACTGCTTGAGCTCAGGAGTTTAGGGCAGCTGAGTAACATAGCAAGACCCCATCTCAAAAAGAAGTCTCACTAGCACCAACATGAGAAAAAACACTTAGAACAAGATGTTTGGAAAAGGGCAGATGCTTAGGAAGAGATACAAGCAGATAGGGTAGAGAAATGTTTTCCTAATTTCACTGGGGGAACCAGGGTGCTCCCAGGTGTAAAGTATGAAACGAAACGTTGTACAACAATGTTTGGAAATTGGCCCATCTAGCAATTTCCAGAAATGCCAGTTCTTTTATGATCTATTGAAACATTCAAAGCAGTATTTTGGAAATCCAAATGAATACCCTTGATATATGTGATATTTGCTTAAAAACTCTGTGTGTTTTTTTTATTATATTTGTTATTATAAAAGGGAAAGTCATTCTTAATCACAAAATGGAAACTGTTAAAAAAGAAAAAAAAAAGGTGGGGGTGGGGGAATGTGCCACACAAATTACCACAAACTCTCTAGCTTAAAACAATAGGAATTTATTCTTTCACAGTTCAGAGCCAGAAGTCAGAGATTAAGATGCTAACAGGGCCATGTTCCCTTTAAAGGTTCTAAGGAATAATCCGTCCTTGCCTCTCCGAGCTTCCGGTCCTTGTTGACAATCCCTAGTATTCCTTGGCTTACAGTTGGATCATCCTCCATTATCACATGCTCTCTTCCCTCTGTGTATCTCTATGTCTTAACTTATTTTTATCAGAACACAAGCCACTGGATTTAGGGCCCATTCTAAGCCAGCATGATCGCATCTAACTTGATTACAACTGCAAAGACTCTACAGTACTGAATAGTGTAGGCAACTGTAACACAATGGTGAGTATTTGTGTAACTAAACATAGAAAAGGTACAGTAAAAATGCAGTGTAAAAGATAAAAAATGGGCACAGTGGCTCATGCCTGTAATCCCAGCACTTTGGGAGGCCGAGGTGGGCAGATCACCTGAGGTCAGGAGTTCAAGACCAGCCTGGCCAACATGGCAAAACCCTGCCTCTACTAAAAATATAAAAATTAGCCGGGCATGGTGGCACATGCCTGTAATCCTAGCTTCTCAAGAGGCTGAGACAGGAGAATTGCTGGAACCCAGGAGGCCGAGGTTGCAGTGAGCTGAGCTTGTGCCACTGCACTTCAGCCTGGGCGACAGAGAAAGACTCCGTCTCAAAAAAAAAAAAAAAATGATAAAAAATGATATGCTTGTATGGTGCACTTACCGTGACTACAGCGTGTTCCATGACTGTGGCAACAAGGGAAGTTAATTTGGGTGAGTTAGTGAGACAGCGGTGAGTGAACGTGAAGGCCTAAGACATTACTGTACACTACGATAGACTTTATAAACACTGTACACTTAAGCTACACTATATTGGTTTTTAAAAATCTTTCTTCAATAATAGATTAATCTTGGCTTACTATAACTTTTTTACTTTATAAACTTTCAATTTTAAAGTTTTATTGTCTTAAAGTTTTTTGTTTAAAACTTAAACACAAACATACACATTAGCCTAGGTTTACACAGGGTCAAGAGCATTTATATCACTGTCTTGAATCTCCACATCTTGTCCCACTTAGAAGGTCTTCAGGGGCAATAACACACATGGAGCTGTCATCTCCTCGGATAACAATGCCTTCTTCTAAAATACCTACTGCCTGAGGCTGTTTTATAGTTAACTTTTCAAAAAAATAAGCAGAAAGAGTATACTCTAAAACGATGATAGAAAGGATGGTATCGTAAATACAGAAACTAGTCATGTAGTCGTTTATTATTATTATACGACTGGAAGTGCAGTAGGCTTGTTTACACCAGCATCACCTCCAACATGTGAGTAATTCATTGTGCTATGATGTTACAAAGGCTACATCAGTAGGCAATAGGAATTTTTCAGCTCCAATGTAATCTTATGGAACCACCATCATAAAAGAGTATATGTGGTCTGTCCTTGACCAAAATGTTATGTTTCCCAAATAATGTCACCTTCATTAAAGTAGAAAATTAAATGTCACTTCAAAAAAGTAGAATTTTAAGATCTCTTCTGCGAGGGCACAATTCAACCCACAACAGATTTTTTTTCGAGGAGACAGTGAAGAAAAAGAGGGCTCAGTTAACACTGCAAGAAGTATCTATTCTTCCACATACCCAGCGATGGCCATTTCATACTGAATCCAAAAACCTCAAAATGGCTGACAAAATGCAAAAAATAGTTTCCTTTTCTTTTTTTTTTCCTAATTTCAAAATATGTTTGCAACAAACATCCCAAACCATTATTCTAACCTGACTCCTTCTCATTAATAAGAATTTTTTTTTTTTTTTGAGACGGAGTCTTGCTGTGTCACCCAGGCTAGAGTGCAGTGGCACAATCTCAGCTCACTGCAACCTCTGCCTCCCGGATTCACGCGATTCCTCTACCTCAGCCTCCTGAGTAGCTGGGACTACAGGCGTGCGCCACCACACCTTGCTAATTTTTTGCATTTTAGTAGAGACAGGGTTTCACCATGTTGGACAGAATGGTCTAGATCTCCTGACCTCGTGATCCGCCCGCCTCGGCCTCCCAAAGTGCTGGGATTACAGGCGTGAGCCACCACGCCTGGCCAAGAATTTTCATTCTCAAGGAGAGAGACAGTCCTTTTGTATATATGCTTATTTATATATCACAGACAACACTACTGTTAGAACAAACTCTTAACTCAGGACTAAAATGAAAAAGCTTTCACTGTGGTTTCTCCATTCAGTGTGTGGTGTATGCCAATCAAATAAGGTTAGCATAATCTGGAAAATAAAAACTTGGTGACCATCACCCAAATTGTCAAATGGAAAACCAAATAAGTTTCATTATTAGAAAGTGAAATATACTTGTTAAGTGAAATTAATTATACCTATTATATCAAAAAGGAAGAAACTGAAATAAATTCTGAGATTGACACTTTGGTGACAGATGATTCCTGGTTCATTCTGCTACCAAGGCAAATGTATCAAACAAATGTCACTGTTTCATAAGATTTGCTTGCAAGATAGTAGCTGGAAATGTTTGTTTAGAATACTCCTTGGTAATTAAAAAAAAAAATTACATGTTTCATAATTTATTTTTAGGCAGCATGTAAACAAGTATCAAAATGGCCCTCTGAAATATATCCTTTTAACATTCTGCATTGTGGCAGCACAGATGAGATATTGGGGGAATATTTTTTGAGGATTTCTGACAATGAGCAAAATATGGTTATGTTTTAGGAGTAGAGCTCTACACCAGATGAGACACTCCATTTCTTCCAACCCTGAAAATTACCATGTATAAGGGAACAAATCACAGACATTACTTCTGTTTTTGGGGTGTGTGTGTGTGTTTTAAAGATCGCAAAGAAGCATCTCTCTAGGACTGAAGGGACAACCGCTATTTACAGTAAGGGTTTTGTGAGCACGGGCAAATATTCTTACCGAATTACGGAGGAAATACTAAGCCCTTGTTCACATGGAAAAGGACCATTCATCTGAGTACTTAAATCTAATTTTGGCTAGTGAGAAAAGACACATACTCTCAGAGTCTCCTCCAGGTCTAAGCCTGTAAGATTCAAGGACATAGTGACTGTTCCTTCTTTATTTTGGTGAATGTAAACAGCATTAATCTAAATGAGTTTTCACTGACATATATGTTCCACTCCCCACCTCTAATGCCCCTCTGCATTGATTACATTTGTGAAGACTATGCTACCGATGCATTTAAATTAGCGTCTTTTCTATCACCCACAATTCTCAAATGTTACATAAACTCTGAAGTGTTGCATACATTATCTGATGGATAGGAAAGTACCAGTGATGAACAGTGAATAACACACATCTTTTTAAATAGATGGCCCAGCCGGAAGCGAAACCACCGAGGTGATCCAAATCTGCTGGGCAATTTACCAAGCAGACAGAAATAGACATGAGAGTTGGGGGTTAAAACCAAATAATGATGTATAATAGAGGTATCATATTTAATTAAAGTTAAGGTTCCACTTTTTTAAGACAAAATATCAAATTTAAGATTCTACTTGTAAGACACAGTATTATTTTACATACCACCATCAACTGTGACTAAGTTTCATCTCAAATTCAAATATATTAAGCTATGTGTATGTATGTGTATAGGGGGGTGCTTTTTAAGACTTCTTTTTTTTTAATTGATGATATATCTCCAATAAGCCTAAGAAGGCAGGATACACTTCATGAATACACTACAAATCTACCACAGATGGAAAATCGACTGGCAAAAATTACTTTATAGTTAATCCTACCTTTTACATTCATTCCGTATGATTCATATTAAGCATAATCAATCTACCTGCAAGTAGACCTCAATGAGTTAAGAGTATACTGTGCCAACTATTTGGAAGAACATGAACACATAAGGCACCTGACTAGCTCACAGCTTGGCCAAACATCACCCATTCATGTCACTTACACCAATCTATGGAAAACAAAAACCTTAAATTTGGTCCCTTGGGAAACCAATAGTATACGTATGCCAAGAATTAGCCTGTGGCCCCCAAGCTGATCATTTTCTTTGCTTAACTCAGGGTGAATAATGATCAGAAGGCAATTGGCAGAGGCACACAGCCTCTAGCTCTGTTTGATGTATGATCCTGTGACAACACGATTAGCAAGAACCATTTCTCTTACACGAAAATACTGAGTCCAGATGTCATCCTGGTGCCTGGAAAAGATGCTACACAGTGACAGCTGTTTGATGCTTCCATGCTGAATAGTTGCATTATGACCAGTCACATGCTTTAGCCAACGAGATATCAGTGTACTCATAAAGAAAACATTACCAAAAAGAACTCTGGCCACCAAAATTAAAAATTAGCACACTCTCTTGCTTTTTGGTCTGCCTAAATCACAGTAAAGGTGGGCACTTTTACAGAAACATTATAAAGGGACTACCGCATTTTATGTAATTAAGCAATAAGCATATAGAAGCAATTAAGTGTATGGCATGAAATAGCAATAAGCATTCAGCACAACACAAACTACTCAACACATTCATTCCACCACTTTTTTTTTTAATTGAAAGAACTGGTGACCTAGATAAAGCACTGAATTGAAAACTGAGAAAATTTAAAGAGTAAGGCATAGTGGTTACAAGTACAGCCTTTGGGTCAGGACTGGGTTCTAGTCCCAAAGACTCCACTTACCAGCTATTAGACCTTGTACAAGTAACTTAACCTTTCCAAGCCTCAGTTTCCTGACATAAAAAATAAAGATTTTAAAAGCCCTCATAGGGCTTTGACTTTGTCAGCAACCAATTAGATAGTGCAGGTAAAGTGATCTAATTAGTGCAGGTATGCAAAATGATATTGCTATTTATCCTTAGTACCAGTTACAGCAATATCAAGCTATGTAATTCCAAGCCTCAAATTTCTTTCATCCTTTGAATGTTATTTTACTTGTGTGCCTCTCTTAAAGTACTTTTATTCTACAAAACATTGTATTTATTTGTATTTCACCCTGACTCAGCCACCCACCATCCCCATTTACTTTTAGAAACATTTTCGTGTCTCCACTCCCTGGTGGCTAACATGATACTGAAAAATATTTAAGTTCTATAGTTGTGCTAAGGAAATATCTAAGCAATGAGTGCACACAATTCTGCAGGTTTAAGACCTTCTGGGCCCTGGTATCCACTGCCTGCCACCCTGCACACCGGTGACGGTGAGTGGCACAAAGCTGGAAGGTTAGGCAGCAGCAAGGTCCCAAAGCACTTCCATTTCCCTCCATTCAGAAGGATACCTCACATGAATGTGTCAACTCAAAGCAGACACTAATGTGCTACTATGGAATTCTGCCACCCTGACTCATAAATATCCTTATCAGGAAGGGTAAAAAACTATTTAATTCATTACACGCTGAGAGTTAAAAAGCAACAGAGGATTAAGCAATGCACACTCCAGCAGTGGGCTACAAAAAGGGCACTGTTCTGGTTCATACAGTTGCCTTTGTAATGGAAAAGGAAAGGGAATATAAACATATATATGGAATTCCTCATTAAATACATCTATCTATATATGCATTTATATATATACACATATACAACACACAAACACCCAGATTTTTTTTTTAAGATTCCATCAACATTATACAAGGAAAAGAAATTTCGAAGAAGCCCACTCAGGAACAAGATACATGGAATAAACAGATCTGGACAAGGAATGGAAGCTGGTCAAAACATAAGTAACAGAGAGAAACCAGGGAGGGACTGTCAGAAAAAGAGGTGACCAGAATTATTTGGACAGGTTGCTAGAGAGAAATAGCAATTTAAGTTCAGTCCTCTGAATTCAGCAGGAATTCAATACTCCAGGTAGAAGAAATCACCAAGTAATAGCACAAAGAATTCAACAGGGCTGGCAAACATGTTTACATCCTGCCCTTTGGCAAAGATGAGCATCCGTCTCCCTGACCTGTGGACAGACAGCCCAGGCTTCTGATTAGTTAGCACCCTGAGGAAACGGAGTTTACTACTGTCACTTCTAAAAAAAAAAACACTCTACCTAATACTTTTGGGCTTCGAGAAACAAACCCAAGCCCTCTCTTGACCACTCTTAATTCTACGCCAGCAGCTAACATTTTTACCAGCAGTATCAAGACCTCACTATCCCCAGTTCAGTCTCCTGATACACAAACCATATGGCAGCATTAACTTATCCAGGAGCAATTCATTTATAAACTCCAGAGATGCCATGAAGACAAAGAATTTGCCATATACACATATTTAACTTATTGGTATATAACTATATTCTCTGAGATAAAGAAGGTAGGAGAGGAGTCAGGGAGGTGGGAAATAACTTTAAATATTGATGGTTATCCATCCAGCCCTGTCCCCTCCCAATTGTACTTAAAAGAGAAAGGACTTGACTATAAACTGTTCCTGATCCTAGACAATGCATCTGACCATCCTGAAGCACTTCAGTTTGAATAAAACGACACTAAATGGATTTTCAAGAATAATTTTCACTATATACAATTTTCGTCTCATACTCTGACCTTAGATTCTACCCCTGGGTAAAATATAATTCTATTGTAATTTGTCATTCTGATATTTAAATAAAAACCACAACTCTGCTATTTGATTAGCTATAGATAATATGAGCACCATCTATACAAGCTGGAAACCTGAGAAAAATGGCTCTTCCAACCACAGGGATGTTCACACAAAGACTCATCGTCTCTAAATTTTTAGTCAGTTTTATCCCTTCATTTGAAAACATTCCTCAACTATCAAGATCATAGAAAACCTCTCTGTTCCATAAAAGTCCCCAGTGATTCAGACGGCTATACTGACAAGGCCACAATTATAAATGGAAATTATGAACTTACATAACAAAGCAAGTTTGGTGGCCATTCTGAGTCACTGAGCATACCCAAAACAGGTATTTGCCACTCTAATCCCTTTGTAATCCTCTCCTACTTGTAATTCTGCCTCACAAGTTTGTTATAAGGGAAAAGTATAAGGACCTTTGAGAATGAACAGTGAACAAGATAGAAAAGTAGTCAGTTAAAAGACAGATTTTGATTAAAATCAGAGAACACAAACATTGCCTCTAATAACGAAAGATGGAAGGTGACAGGCCGCTAATGAGGTGGTGAGAGATAACCATGGCAGCTCACCCCCACCAACCTATTCTATGTCCCAGATTATGCTGGCTAAAGAGCTGCGGCATATTCAATTATCAAGCCTAGTTTTACCAGGGGCTGACAGGTACGTATGGAAAGGGGTTGAACAGAATGAACGTTCTAAAAATTAGGCTTCAGATGGTGCCTAGTCTTCTTCTGTGAATGTGTTTATTCTGCAGCCCCTCTTTCCACACCAAAACCAATGCTTCAAGGCCTAATATAAACTGCAGGGTTTGAGGGCAATTCCTAACATGCGTACTGATATACCATATATGTCTGGCTCTACTCAGAGGTAAGATGTATCTATATAAGATTATAGAATTTAAGGAAATAAACATTTGCTCCATTGATTCTTTAGAATGAAGGAGAAAGGGAAATGAATGACATTTACAACCTTATATGACACTGCTATCCAGAGACTGTGTTCTGGTCCCCAGCACTGATCAATGAAGAGAATTAATAGATTTGTTAGAATCATTATTAGAACCTAAGAGTTATTAGAACCTCATTAGCAGAGTCCAATTACAGACAAAAAGCCAAGCTATTTTAGCTGAACATTCATACCAATGGAAGAAAATAGAACCTTCTTAATCACTTTCATTATCAAAACAGACTCCCTGCTGGAGCCTTTTAATTGGAAGTCTACCATTTCAAAGACATTTGCATTTTATCAAACTATATTGACAGGGCTAATAGAAATAGATTCGAGGGCCTAGCTTCACATCTCCCACATATAAGAAGGCAGCTGTGGTGATCTACTGAAACAAAACAGGAAGACCAGGATAGGAAGCTGGGCCCCCACCATGCAAGCATCTGGTTGGAAATCTCACCACACTGTGAACCAGCTCTTCTCCTCTTCATGTCTACTACATTAAACAGTGGAAAGGGATGGGGGAAGGGATACTGAGAAGAGGAGAACGGCACCACACCTAGTCATTACATATAAAATGTCCCAAAGATAAAGGAATGCCATCAACAAATGAACAAAAATGAGAAGTAGGATGAGTAAGTGACGATTAAGTTTTGCAAGCTAGCCACTTTGTACCCTAGATATATCTCTCTCTCTTCCCATCTAACACACACTATATCTAAACATCTAGGGTGCCACAGTGTTATTGCCATGAGCTGTATTTTGTTATTTATAGAGGCTATAAAAGTACACAGCACTTTACAAACCACAAAACGCAGGCACCAGAGCCTGGAGGAACTCAGCCTAAATTACATACAAACAGTGGTGGGGAAAACAGAAAAATACATAGTTGCACCAAATTTTGGCAATAGCAATTCTGGGAGACGGTAAGATAAGAAAAAAACTATTTTTTTTTTTTTTTTTTTTTTTTTTTTTTGAGACAAAGTCTCGCTTTGTCACCCAGGCTGGAGTGCAGTGGCGCCATCTCGGCTCACTGCAAGCTCCGCCTCCTGGGTTCACGCCATTCTGCCTCAGCCTCCTGAGTAGCTGGGACTACAGGTGCCCGCCACCACGCCCGGCTAATTTTTTGTATTTTTAGTAGAGACGGGGTTTCACCACGTTGGCCAGGATGGTCTTGATCTCCTGACCTCGTGATTCGCCCGCCTTGGCCTCCCAAAGTGCTGGGATTAAAGGCATGAGCCATCGCGCCCGGCCTAAGATAAGAAAAGAACTATTAAATAGTAACCAGTACAAGGGTCCACACAAAAGAAAATCAACCCATCAGAATCCAAAGCTTTAACTCCTGGAAAGCAAAGAGTTGATATCATCACAGCAGATCTATGGCAAGTGCCACCTTTGGCATTGTCTTAGTCCATTTATGCTGCTATAACACAATACCTGAGACTTGGTAATTTTATAAATAACAGAAACTTAACTTCCTCACAGTTCTGTAGGCTGGGAGTCCAAGATCAGGGCACCAACAGGTTCGATGTGTGGTAAGAGCTTAGTCTTTGCTTCCAAGATGGCACCTTGTTTGCTGCATCTTCCAAAGGGGAGGAGTGTGGCGTCCTCACATGGTAGAAAGGATGGAAGGGGCAACAAAGAGCCCAAATTCCCTCCAACAAGCCCTTATATGTGGGCATTAATCCATTAAACTTTCCCAAAGCCCCTACCTCTCGGCACTGTTAACACTAGAAATTAAGTTTCCAGCACATGAATTTTAGAGGACACGATCTGACCACAACAGCCATCAAAAATGAATTTTGGTTTTCTAATCATATGATGCCATGTTCATCCAAGGAATATTAAAATGTGAATGCCACATAAACATCTAAATGCTTATAAAGAAGAAATGAAAAATGGGTCAAAATATGATCTTATAATAGGTGTGGGAGTGCTGCAAACCTATTAATTATATTAAGTTCAGCCCATTCAATTGATGGTTACACAATGCTCATCAGCTAAGGGAGCCATTAGATCCTTTATCTTTCTTAATTGGAGGCCTTAATCTTCTAAAACTTCTATAAAGGAAGAATTTCCAAGAGTCATAGGGAGCTAAAATACAAGAAATTCTCTCCAGGCCTCAGCCTCGAAATATTTAATTGAAGGATTTAAAGCTTGGTCCTTACTTCAGTACTCTCAGCACTTACAAGAGATTGAGAAAAATGGACAGACAGATGTTGTTAGTATCAAGTTTTACCAATTACTAAGGGCCTAATGTTGCCACACGATTCTGTGATATTTTACTATTCTCACTGTGCACAGAGCTTAAGGGGCTTCCTCAAACACAAAGAAGATGTCTGAGTGAGACATATGTCTGAGTGAGACGTGCCAATCACAAATACTTGCATGAGGATCTGTATTCTAACATATCACCACAAATAGTCAAAACCAGCCAGGTTCATTTTTTTTAAATGCAAATCAGAAATGCTCAATGGTTGACTGTTAAATGAAAATCTGCAAGATTCTGGGCAATTCCTCGACCTCTGAGCTCACTGAGGGTAAACATCACAAAAAGTCTCTTGTTGCTACTTTTCTAATAAAGACCACTACAGAGTCCAGTGGCATCATGGTGTGTTCCTAGATGTCATTTGTAGTCAAAATTGAAAATAATCACCTAACTGATTCTGATGGTCTTCTCATAAATTCCTCTTTAGTCTCCCAAAGAGAATGTTACCAACTCGTTGCAAAAATCAGGCTTTAATCTCCTCCCATTCATCAACAGCGACACCAACCCCCATCTCTATTCAAGGGGGAAACCATCTGCAATAGTTCCGCCCGATTTCCCCTGAAATTTTAGCTTCCACTGCCTGGTTTCTGAACCCTCAGCAATGGGAGCAATTTACCTCGATCGACTTCACCAGTCACTGTTGCAATTTAGCTAAGACATTTCCCAGGGGCCCATTAGAAAAGGTTCCAATTTGAAAAACTCACATCTGATCCTTCAAACCAGTCCTGGAAACATTATTTGGTACCAAGTTAGACATTATTCTTTTTCAGATTCCAAATCCTTTACTTTGACACAGAAATGCAAATGGGAAATTTAAAAAGACAGCATTTCTGAAAATCAGCTCAACGAAAACTCAAATACACAAACATTAAAAGATATTCTGATAATAAGCACAGCCTGCCACATCGGTGTCAAAGTTCTGATTTGGTTTGGTTTTGTTACTCTACTCTATGCAGGCAAACTAAAGATGGCAGCCTAGGGCAGAGGAAGCCTTCAGCAGCATCTGCAATACAGCAACACCACAAACTTAATGAGCATGGAGTTCCTTCCAGAGTTAAGGACCATGAAAAGCCAAATTGCACTATTAAAATACTTCGCATTCACACACACACTGTACCTACTCAGTGGAGCTAACCAAAAGAGATGTGGAAGTGGAAGTACACATAATGTGTGGGAATGGCCACAGGGTAGGTGATAGCTCCTATGGCAAAAGAAACAAAAAGTGTTTTTTATTATCAATAAGTAAAAAGTCAATGGCAACCTTCAGTTTGCTCTTATGAAATCGCTAATATTCAGTTTAGAATTACATACTATCCCATAAAAAATTGTATCATTATTTGAAATTAATAGGAATCAGCAATGTATGTCAGTAGGTTTCAATTTATGCTTTTCTTTCTCTTGGGTTTTTTGTTTTTTTGTTTTTTTGTTTTTTTTTTTTTTGCGACAGGGTCTTGCTCTGTCACCCCAGCTGGAGTGCAGTGGCTCAGTCATAGCTCACTGCAACCACCTCAGCCTCCAAAGTAGCTGGGACTGCAAGCATGCACCATCACATCCAGCTGATTTGTTTTAATCTTGAGTAGAGACAGTGTCTCACTATGCTGAGGCAATCCTCCTCCCTCAGTCTCCCCAAATACTGAGATTACAGGCATTAGCCACCATGTCTGCCTGGCCCTACGCTTTTCTAGAATACTAGTGCTTCTGAAACATAATGCAGAAAAAGTATCCTCATAACTACTTAAAATAAGAATGATACCAAAAACTAAGTTAGTAAATAGAATAGTCCTGGGTTTTTTTGTCCGTAAGTTTTTCCTTAAAAAAAAGATCACCTGCTGTCAATTATCAATAAATCAATTTAACAAGTATCATATTATTATTAATAGAAATAAATGGAAACAAAAATCATGCTCAGTTTGAGACCAGCCTAGGCAACAAAGTGAGACCCTATCTCTTCAAAAAATAAAAAAATTAGCTGGGCATGGTAGTGTGCACCCGTAGTCCTAACTACTTGAAAGGCTGAGGCAGGAGTATCTCTTGAGCCCAGAACATCAAGGCTGCAATGAGCTGTGATTTTGCCACTGCACTCCAGCCTGGGCAACAGAGCAAGACTCTGTCTCAAAAAAAATTAATTTGACTGAATGTATATATATGATGTGCACATATGCTTGATTTTATGAGACAGGTCTCACTATGTTACTCAGACTGGTCTCGAATTTCTGAGTGCAAAGAACTCGAGTAGCTAGGACTACAAGTGTGCACCAACATGTCCAGCCTCACATGCTTGATTTTAAGTAACATTTATATATATTTTATACCAGAATTATTCCAGATTAGAATGACAGCATTACATATTTCTATGTGACATGAGTTCTAGGAGTTTTGTCACCTGAATGTGCTCACTATTCCCCTATTTCTGGCTATTTAGACTGTTTCTACCTTTTCTGAGAGGCCAGGTTACAGTAAACATCTTTAGGCACAAAGCTTGGCTCTTCCTTTAAATCCTTTCCTTAGAATTTTCAGAGGTGGACTACCCTGATACAGATTATGTACATTTGATGAAGTTACCTACATATTTAGCCAGCTTGACTGCATGGTCCCAAACAGCAAAACATGATGCCATTGCATATACAATTTCTTTTACAATTATTCCTTAAAAATAAAATGCAGAGAATTTTACAAACCTGTAACAGCTACTAACTGAATTTAGAAGTTACTTAAGAGTGTCAAGCTTGCTTCAGACACTCTGAGACCCATAACAGTCAGCATCACATATCAAGACAAACTTGAGTTTCAGTCATAGTTGCAGAGATAAAGATGAGGGCAAAGTATTCTCTCTACTAGACTAAGCTGCCAACTATGTTTAGGTAACTGTCATAGACTGAACTATGCTCCTCCAAAATCCATATGTTGAAGACCTAACCCTAAGCAAGTACCTGAGAATGTGACTGTATTTGGAGATGGGGCTTTAAAAAGGTGATTACATTTAAATGAGGCCATTACAGTGGGTCCTAATCTGGTGCTCCCATAAGGGGAGATTAGGACAGAGAGACGTAGGGGGTACATGTGCAGAGAGGACATGAAGAGACAGCAAGGGGGCAGTCATCTGCAAACCAATAAGAGAGGTCTCAGAAGAAACCAAACCTGAGACCAAGGGACAACAAGAGGCACTTTGATTTTGGACTTCCAGCCTCTGAAACTGTGAGAAAATAAATTTCTGTTGTATAACCCATTGAGTCTATGGTATTTTGTTATGGTAGGCCTAGCAAACTAATAAAGTTATCAATCTGAGCCCTGAGGACATTTCCATGTGTTCCCCTAGTCTACTGTAAACTTTTTCATTTACAGATATAAAATCAAGCTCGGTGTGGCCATGTTTTCACCTGTGCCCACAAAGCAAGGAAATGGAAGATCAAGGAAGAAAATCTAGATCTCTTTCTCTCACACCAAAACTCCTTCCACCATATTACTAGAATAATTATAAATGAGAGCCTCGGGTATTTCCAAGCATCAATATGAAGGACCTACAATTTAATCTTACATCAATTAATTTCTGGAATACAGTTCTTGAGCATGCTTAAAAACAGCCAGTAGTTTTTTGAACAAAAATGTACCAATGTAGAAGCCTCTGGAAAATACTGTAACAATCATACTGCTATACGGAAGATGCACCTTCAAAGGAAAACTAAAAAATGGTAACTTTAAAAATCAAGGGCTATGAGCAAATAAGAGAAACTGCTTTTGGCAGAGGAAGGAATCTAATTTTAACAGGTTTCAAGGAAAGATGGGTATAAAGAATGGGGCCAAATGACCAATAATAAAATCAGATGAATGCTAGCTTCGAACAATGGATAATAAAAGTTCAAACAACTTTCAGGTTTTCAAAAGCAAACATTTCTAGGAAAAGACAGAAGAGACAAGTGTTACAGAACAGTGTGTATACGATTATGTGTTTAAAGTCTCCGTAAATCTCCTTCTATACTCATCATATTCATTTTTTGGTGTTGTATAGCTTTCTTCCCTTGGTTGATACTTTCTCAGCTAACTGAGGGGGTAAAATACCCCAATATACTTGAAGACATGCTGACCACAGCTCTCACACCTTGAAATTCTAAGAATTTATCAAACTGTAACTGAGAAAATGATAACCACAGACAGCTTTTGAATCTTGGGGTTTCCTTTATAAAGGAATTTACATATAGATATTTGAAAATGCTGTCCTCCCCAAAACCCTCACACAAAAAGAAACTTTTGGGATGTGGGGAAGATTAACTTAGCTGAAGTCAGAGAAGTTTAATTGTAATGAGATGCAGGCAAAATACTCAAAATTCTTCAGCATGCTAATTTTGTACTTGATGGCCAAGATGATAGAGGTAGGTGGCCTAGAAAACCATATGGAGATGTGATGAAAACTATGCTTTCCAGAAGTCCTAGTTAAGGTATATATGGAGAGCAATATACCACTTGAAATCTATTTCTGAAATCTTTTTATACGGTTTAAATGTTCTCTAAAGATTATGATATAAACCAGAATTCTGAGGATCTAGAATTTCGTTGAGAATACAGTTTGCGATTACAATATAGTTTCTGGTTCATCAGGACTGCATCCTTGCAATACCAGCAACCACCAAATGGCCCAGCACTTAGTAGGGCCTCAGTGCTTGAAGGCATGAGTAAGCAACTTAAGTAAAGAAAGGAAAAGTCAGATGAAAAGCTAATACCAAAGGGCTACTGGATATAAAGATAATTAGGTTAAGGGAAAAAAGTTTGTGGAGGCTCTTCCCTTAATGTTGGCAAAGAGAAGGCAGAAAGGCGAAATGTATGGCAGAGAGGTGCCTTTTTAGACTCTTGCAAAGTTATACATTAACTTCATAACTAATCTTTCTTACTGACATCAAGGCACATAATGATTCTCCTAGGCAAAGCTAGGAAAGTTCAAAATTAATAGTGTTATTAAAGTCAAACAAAATACTTTGCCCTTAACAGGCTATGAGCAGGTGATTAGATTCCTCTTGAAAGCAAACAAAAAGACAGTAATGTTTGTTAAATGTCTTCTATGTGTTATCTTATTCAACTTCATTTACCAAGCAACAACTGAAAAGTCATCATTATGGTGCCCACTTTATGCATTCAAACAGAGAACTAAATACAGTTATCCTCCCACTATCTCAGAACTAGTGATGGGGCTGGTTTCCGACACAATTAGCCCACCCTTTAAAGTCCATTCCTTTTCCATTCCTCATCCGGTCTCTCACATAATAAATAAACAAGACAGATTAATGATTAATGAATGAAATAAGTCAAAGAAGTGCAAATCCAAATCATGAAGGGACTAAGATGACATTTCCAGAGCAAGTCTGGCATGTTGGTGCCAGAGCCCAAGTGGACTGAGGGGAGTCCATAGGGAGGGCAGCCTGTCATGAGGAGTCCGAAACCAAGCCAGGTAAGAGAGACACGTGGGAGAGACAAGAGCCCAAGTATGTCGAGCAGGTTGCCCACCTGGGGAGAGAAGGAAGGTCCTGATTGGGGCACTATAGGGTACATTCCTAGAGGAGAGGCTGGCAGCAGAAATGCGACAGTTTGTTACACACAGGGGAAATGATAAAATCAGTAAATACATTAAAGGTAACAGAAGCAAAGGCTTCTCACTGTTGGAGAAGGGAGTTACAAATACAGAAAGGGAGAAAACTAGCTGAACCCTGTGGTGTTGGATTGGAACTGGAGGTGTTGGTGTGGATATATGGTTTGCAACATAAATATGGAGTTACAGAAATACATACAGACATAAATATACGTATGGATGTATATGCCCCTATGTATTCTCTAGAGCTTATCAACTGAGATGGTCTGGGGGCAAGCAACACTCCAGTAGCAATGAGCATATCTGATGGCAAGGTCTTGACTTTTAGATACCATTTTCTACTAAAAGGAACAAGATTCCTTGGCAAAATGGCTGACTCTAGGGCTGACCTGGAGATAGTTTAAACTAAGCCTCATCCCACAAAGCAAGAAATGGATCAAAGAAGGATGGGGACACATCAAAAGGACACAGGAACTAGCTTTAAGAGCTCTCACTGGCCAAATCAGGGACAATTTAAGTATGAAAACAAACAAAAAAATTAATGTATTATAACTCACTGAATAAAGTATCAAACCAAGAGTCCATATTGATAAAAATTAATTTGATTTTATATAGTTTCAAGGCACCTCACCATGAAATGTTTATTATTTGATTAGAGAACATTCTGTTACAGTAAAAAAGCCTGACAGACACCATCTTAAGTCACATACTACATTCTGACGATTCTTATCGATTCATTTGACTTGTCTGCAAGTTGTCTACTAAGCAGTATGTATCTGCTACCACCTATCTGCCTGCCTGCCTATCTATCTATCTATCTATCTATCTATCTATCTATCTATCTATTTTTGAGACAGCATCTTGCTATGTCGCCCAGGCCAGAGTGCAGTGGCACAATCACAGCTCACTGTAGCCTCAACCTTCTGGGCTCAAGCGATGCTCCCATTTTTGTCTCCCGAGGAGCCAGGACCACAGGCATGCACCACCATGCCCAGCTAATTTTTTAATTTTTTGTAGAGATACGGTTTCCCTATGTTTCTAGGCTGGTCTCAAATTTCTGGGCTTAAGTGATCCTCCTGCCTCAGCCTCCCCAAAGTGCTGAGATCACAGGCATGAGCCACCGTGCCTAGCCTGCTACTTTAAAAATCTGACACAAATGTATCTCCTCCCTTTGAAAATTGCTATGTCAATTTTTCACTAAATCAAAATGGATTACATATTAGTTTAAAATATTAGCAAGGTTCTACTATAAAAATTTAAATATCAAAACCATATGATCAGGTAGTAGTAAATGCTGAAATCAAACCAAGGTTTCAACATAGTTGCCATATACATCAGATATTTTATAATGAAAATATTATAGCAACAAAAAAAACCATTAGTCATATATGCAAAAATCCCCTGATATACTATTAACCTTTTAACTAAACAGAGGCAATTCACAGGATAGGACATGGAATTCCTTGAGGATAGGGGATGTGTCTTTTCTAACTGACTTTCTACAGATACGCTTTGCACACACTAAAATCTCACTAAAGTAAGTAGGGAGAACAGATCCCCAGCTGTGAATGACATAAGGACATAATGTTGCAAGATCAACAATACCATGTCTGGTATTCTATCCACAGGAGACCTCTGTGAGCTTTGATTTCCTTGTTTGTCAAATGTGGATAGTACTAGCAGTACATAATCAACAATACTGTTTTATGACTTAAATGAATACATGTTTAAAAATGCTTAGACTTTGCATAGTAAGTTCACAATAACATGGCAACTATGATCACTTCTATGTAATAACATTAATTTAACTTTCTCCAAAGTAAATTTTGTGTGGGTGCCTTACAAGGAAACCTAGTATTCCTCTGAGAGTCAGGAAGATCTTGCGGCATAGCGATTGCTTACAGTTATATTGATACTTATATTCCAGCATGGCAGGAGCATCAACAGCAGGGAAGCTTTTCAAAAATAAAGAGAAGACAAGAAATGAATGTCTTCTCAAACACAAAGAAATTAAGAACACAGGAAACATTTTCAGAAACATTTAAGAAACACTGTCAGCCATTAAGAGAGTACAAAGGGCAACCACAAATTAGAAGATATTCACAAAACAACTCAACTAAGAAGTCACATTCAGAATATACAAACAGCTCCTAACAATCAATAAGAAAAGGATGAACAACCCAATTCCAAAAACTAAAATCTTTATAAGACCTGAACAAGCATTTCACAAAAGATATCCAAATGCCTGATAACCTTACAAAAAGTTGCTCCACATAAGAAATGTAAATTAAAACCAACTGAGATGCCACTATAAACAGATCTGAATAGCTAAAACTAACAACATAAAAACACCAAGTGTTGGCATGGATGTGGAACAACTTTCCATATAGTAACATTGGAAAAGTGTTTGGGAGTACTAACCACAGCTAAACATTCATCTACTGGATGACCCAACAATATAATTCCTAGATATACACAAACAAACGAATGTGCGCATCCACCAAAAGGCAGACACAAGAATGTTCATTAGCAGCTTTATCATAATAGACCCAGGCTGGAAACAATCTAAATGATCATTAACAAGAGAATAAACTGTAGTTTATTGAAACAATGGAATACTATACAGAAAAGAACCACTAGTGATATAAATAACAGCAAAGATAAATCTCACAGACATTACATTGCATGAAAAAAGCCAGATATTAAAGGCTGCCTACTGTATGATTGCACTGACTGAAGTTTGAGAAGGCATAACTAATTGATGTGGAATAATGGTTATTTCAAGGCATAAAAAACGCCATCTGGAAATGGACATGAGGGAAATTTTTGGGATACTAAAAATTTTCTATGTCTTGATTTGGGTGGTAGATACACTGGTTTATGCATATAGATATATATATTTAATTGTACATATATTTACATTTAAGATTACTGCACAGTATACAAATGACTGGATATTGACCTCAATTTAAAAAGTATTTTAAAAAAGCTTTCAGAAAGTGGCAGATACACAGATTAATACCATTTATATTTAAACAAATAATATTTTTATTAGTATTAGGAAGAGAACCTGAAAATTCTTAAAATATGTACCGTTGTGCAAATATATGCAAATTATTCCTGGTGGCCATCTGGCAATTCTACCTCTTAAGAAATGAAGAAGCTGTACATCTAATTTATTTGGGGACAGGTAAGTGATTTGGGGAAGCTCAGATTCTAAGTCGCCACATATCCTAGCAGAAGATAAGCCTTGGAGGGCAAGATCCCAGAGGAATGGCTAAAGAAGAGGCTGGTGGGAAAAAGGAATTCTAGATATGGAGGAAGATACAAGAAGAAGCAGAGTTAAGGACAGTGGAAGGCCTAAAGGCGCTACATTCTACAACACAGCTTCTGCTTCACAAGAATGAAGATAAAAAGGAAAACATACCCCCACCATATTATTTTCTAATTTGTGATCATTTTAATTACACAAAACACACTTACAGAGCTTGGCTCTAGTCCCCTCTCTGCTCTCCTGCCCCAGTTTATCTTAGATGATAAATTCCTTTCATAAACATAGCTAATCAATCCTAGTCAACAATTCAAGATTCAACTACCTTAAATTATCAAGTTTATAAGAACATGAGATGATTTGAAAAAAATACTACAGATCAAAGGCCGCAAACTGAAAATAGAATCCATCTCCCCACAGGC
This sequence comes from Homo sapiens, assembly GCF_000001405.40. Taxonomy (NCBI): domain Eukaryota; kingdom Metazoa; phylum Chordata; class Mammalia; order Primates; family Hominidae; genus Homo; species Homo sapiens. Next base: position 127,756,210 of record NC_000007.14, on the reverse strand, counting down.
CCTAGCACTCTCCCAACTGACAACCAAACTCTAGACACATTTAAGACAAAAGCTCCTCTAGCGTAATTGGTTTATAACAACCAAAAGTTTATCTACTGCCCACTGGCATTTATCAGCTCTAATACTTCAAAGGCTGATAGCCTTTTTTAAGCTCCATAAATCCCCAAGCATTCATAAATATTTTTCAATTCAAATCCAAATGAATTTTCTTTTTTGAAAACAAATGGAAACACTAAACATTGTTTAAAAAAATTAATAGACTTCCCATTATCAAACCCAGACTACAAGTATGTGTAGAGTAGCATACTCTTGTATTTGCGTATAATACTCCTACATTCATATAGCACTGCAATCCCATTAGCAGCAGGCTTAAATTAATAAAATTGTTTGTCTTGTCAGCTTGTGTTACACGTTGTACAAACTTGTTAGATAATCAGCAGAGGCATGACAATTCATTATCCTACAGGGAGCCGGTCTGAAACCGGCAGCTTCCGCTTTCAAACGGAGTCACCACATCAAATTAGACCATCATTTGCAGCTGGCTGCTGCATATTCTGAAGGGCACAGACAAAGAAACTCCACATCCATCCTATCATTCACCAGCAGCAAGAGATTTTAAATTTCACTCCCAAATGCCAAAGCACCTATGGCTGCCCAGCATCAGCAGAATTATATTTTGAGAGGTGTCTGAAACAAGACAGATTTGACTTTTTCAAGTCCTCAGTTTGGCTGGCAAGGGTAAAAGATGTGGTCTGATTTTACACCGGGTTTTAGCATCAGCACTTGGCTCCTATCAAACCAGCAAATGTTATTCTTCTCCAGCAAAGAGGGAGAAAGAAGGAAGAAAAATGAACCCTTCTTGAACAGAACTTCCTCGTTTCAGCTTTAATCAGATGCCTCACACTACAATTGAACAGAGGTAGGGGCAGTTAGCTGCCACTCCATTGGCTATGGAAGAACAAGATGTCACTCTCCTCCTGGGCTCCTTGCTAATCAACAGATAAGTAATGATACGGTGAAGAGTTAGCATGAATCTACTCAGGTATTTTGGGCAACAGGAAGTAGATATCAGTTATAATATACACTTCTTGGCATCATTTACCCAAAATACAAATTGGTGGTAGGTGGAAGATCATATGCCAAATGTTTCTGTAGGTTCAGAGATCACCCCTACAACCCGGCCCCCTGAACTAAGTAGAGCCATGCAAATTAGAATCCACAGACCCAAAGTAATTTATTTAGGTCTAAAAGAAATAAGGCTTTTGGAAACATGAAAATGCTAATGAAAATAAGACCTACAACTTGAATACTATACTCTGTTAGGCTTTTAATGCTGATGAAAATCAGACCACTGAAATATTTGCAAGCCAAAAGTTGTTTTTTAAACAACTGGTGCTCCAAAAGAATATGGGTTCCCCAGTTGAGACTGCATAAATCTGGCCAACCATCAAGTCTGTGGTATTATTTCAAAATTTTGTCTGTCCCTCTCTGGGAGAGAATAACAACCTCCCAACCCACTGCTGGTCTTGGCCATGTAGTGTTCAGTACCCTTCCCTGGGGAAGGACCATCAGCACTTCCCTGGCCTGGTGGATTTGGGAGTGGCCAGTGAAATCACAGAGTCAGCTCTTGATTGCCACATCTCTCTTTCCCTCCACTGTGATAAGGGTAAAATGCCATATAACAAATGATCTATCAACCTGGATCCCAAAGTGAAGGAAAAGTGAAGCAGAACCACAGCCTACCTATTATGGACATATGAGTGAGAAATAAACCTCTATTGTTATAAAGCCACTGAGCTTTTGTTACTGCAACATGATTTACCCTTAGTGGACTACATAAAGCCTATAGGAAATTTGGTTCTGGCAAGGATACTGATGCTGTAGTAAAAAGTAACAAAACATCCAATCAGAGAGGCACAATAGGATCTCTCAAAGCATGATGGCCCACTTTAAGAAAGAAAAATTATTTTATTCTATCTGACCTCCTCAATCTGAGCCCTATTTTCACTCAAGAAGATAATCTATACAATTCCAACAGAGAAATCATTTTCTATTCTCCAAATAGAAGATACTGTGACACAAAATGACACACCACATTCAGAGAGTCTAATATCTGTTCTATCTTTCTCTGCTTCCTATTTTGCTATCAGGATGCTAGTTCCAATTCACTTCTAATTGATAATCTACTTTGGGCTAAATGTGAATAAAATACTAATAAATAGGCTCTGAGCGTTCAAGGGGACTTTAGTGAAAGCTAATTTTTGGGAAGGGATCCATTTTGGTTCTTTAGGTGTTGAAATCTTACTTCCTCACTGAGATCTGGATGGGTGTAGTATTGACAAAGAGAGGTAACCATTTTAGCGGTAATCAATTGTTACAAAATTGTATTAGCTGGGCAGGGTTCAGTAGTAAAGACAAATTTCAGTGCTAAAAATATTCTTCAGAGCCCAAAGAAGGCAGGAAATAATAGACAGTGCTCTAATGAACACAATAAAGGGGGAAGGAAAATCCACAACACCAGACTGCTCTACCTTACTTTGTTCACACATTCTGAATTTTCTGCCAAAGTATCAAAATATTTGTCAGAAATGAAAGGTCCACTACACACCTAGGCACCCTAGGAGCCTCTCTTGCTTACTTCGGTCTCAGTTGCGTTATGTAACCATAAGAACAGAATAAGCAAGGATCTGATTGGGGACTGGCATTTCATCTTTGGTGGCAGGGGAAGAGGAAAGGCCTTTCATTTAAAAAAAAAAAAGTTTAGAAAAAAAATATCAACATCTCAATTTTCAGGCCAAACACACCTACAAACAACATCTGCCTCCTAGCATCCAAGGCTCCAGTGGGTCTATTCTGCACTGTCTCTGCTTTTCAAGACATAAAAGTACACTGTTTCCTATTATCATTGTTGCTATTGGTAAAAATTTCCATTCAGATCATCCCCCCAAAGCACAAGCCACTCCAGTAAGAATTTAAAACACCTCTGCCTGAACCCAGTCTCTTCTACATCAAACTCTGAGTCAAACAAGACACTTAACAGGAATTCATTATCCAAGAGCAGGCACTGAAATTTTGACACTTTGCAGCTCTGATGGGGGACACTATTTGTCCCTAAAAAACTGGGAGTGAGTTAAGATCACTGGGCCAATACCATGTTTATCTCCATGCTGCCAAACCACACAAACCAGAGTTCAGGAAAACAGTACCTGATCAATGCTAAATCAGCTGTCTTCAAGCAGATATTCCTTAGACAACGATGGAAGACAAGGAGGCAGAATTAGTATAAAGGCCAATGCTCAACAAAAGCATTATACCAGGGGTCAGTAAACATAACCTGGCCTTTCTGTGCAGCCTATAAGCTGAAAATGGTTTTTGTGTTTTTTAATGGTTTGAAAGAAAATCAAAAGAACAATATTTGGAGATGTGAAAACTTTATGAAATTCAGATTTCAGCATTTGAAAATAAAGTTTCATTGAAACACAGCCACATCCATTCATTCAGGCAGTTAGTGTATACGTTTAATTTCAGCTACAATGGCAGAGTTGAATAGTTGTGACAAAGAGTGCCTGGTCCACAAATCTCAATATTTGCTTACATATTTATCATTTGGCCCTTTATAGAAAATCAAGTATCCTGGCCCCTGCATTATACTTTTTAAATTCCTCTTTCACTTACCAAAGGAAACAGAGCACTACCTAAAATTCCAGCACTACCACTGGAACAACCCAGCAGTCCAGATGGGCAGCCTGTCCAGCAGTGAAAGGCTGGCTGGGTCTCCGAAGAAAAGTGGCCATATTCATCTTTCTATTTCCAATAGCTGGCACACAATAGGTATTTAATAAATGTGTTTTGTTGAACTGCTGATGAACATAAGCATTACGACGGCTGCAAAACAAAACTCACCACACAGGGTTTACCAACACACCCACCCCCTCCAAATTTCCACCTGCTCACTTTTTGAAACCACAAGACACCACAGAGAGTGAAATAAAAATCACTCATCATTTATATGGAGACCAGCATGTCAAGTACAATTCCCACTGGAATAAACTCTCCAGTTATATTAGGAAGACAATATCCTAGGATGTGACAAAATGGAAAAGATGAGAAGGGGAAAGGCAGAAATGCTACATCTAACAACATGGCTGGCTTAGCTGGATCCCAGCCAACTGGCCCCATCGATCAGATATTCACAGAGCAGCAAGGAAAAAGATGGGAAGAGGCAAGCGTGCCAGCCTTACACTTGGATGCTACTTGGGATTCAGGCAACAGCTGCACACCAGGTAATGCTCCCGCGAGCAGTCAGCTGGGGAAGCGTCGTGCCTCATCCTCACTAAGAGCTCCGGCTGCAGACCAGTCCATGCTATTTGGACAGCCAATTGCCCATGACTAGGCCAGTGTCCAGAGGGTGCTGAGTAACCAGGGAATGCAATAGGGTCATTTGTTCACAACAACTGTCTTGCAAAACTGCAAGGACTCTCCTTATTTTCCAAACCCTGCCCAGCCCACAGATTTGCTGGAACAGCGAGGTTGCTACGAGTCACATAGAACCCCACATCACTATCTTTCAAACAAATGAGGACACTGAGGCCTGTCTCTCTAGAAGTAATGTCCCTAGGCCAAATGAAGGCTATAGCCTAAGACTCTCTCTCTAGCCAACTTCCTTTTTTAACTGGTAAGCCTCAGAAAACCTTCCCCATTCTAAACCATGGCTCAATTCATCTATGTAGTATAAAAGCAGAGAGTCTGCTAAATGGGCAATGCACAGGCAGAAAAGCCACTGCTCACCTGACATTCTAAACAATGCATACTACTCTACCATGGAAACAGCCAGGACTCAGCTCTTGAAACTACACTGTCCTAATTCATGGGCTACAATATCAAATGACTCAAGTATCGGAGACAAGCCAAAATCTGCAAAAGCCCCCTAGCAATGCTAAGAATGCTTCTTTTGAGCCAAGTCTGGTCATCCACAACCTGCAGTCTAGCTAGGCTTTTACACCATTCAACAAGAGAGGGAAGACTGAATGGCTTTCAGCACGCGCGCACACACACACACACACACCCTACCATGGAAACAAAACACCAACAACACTTAAAACAGAGCTGTTTGCTTACACTAATTTTCTAGATCTGCTTCAGTAACATCAATAAAGTATATTCTACCTCTTCAGAGCCATCAGGAAACCAAAAAAATTCTACCACCAAAACAGACAAGATACAGGTTATCATTACATGCATCCCAGAGTGAAGACTAGGTTAAATGGAAGGGAAGAATGTGCGAAACATTTATTTTACACTAGTCCAAACAGACTAGTATAAACTCATCCTTATGATTTTTTATAATACATTTAGTGGTAAAACTTAACCTAAGCTGAAATTATTTGCTGCAAAACAGATGTGAGGTTACTTTAAAGCCCTTATCCTAGTTGGTGTAAATACGAGTTGAATATCCTTAATCCAAAAATCCATAACCTAAAATGATCCAAAATCTGAAACGTTTGGGCATCGACATGACACACGAAGGAAATGTTCATTTAAACATTTCAGATTTTTGGATTAGGGATGCTGAACCAGGAAATATAATGCAAATATTCAAAAATCCAAAAAAATCCAAAACACTTCTGGTCCCAAGCATTTCAGATAAGGAATACTCAACCTGTATTCATATGTTTCATTGAATAAATTTTAATGTGTTTAATTATGGGGTTCCTACCCACAACCCCACTGAGGGTAGTATGTAATTAACATACCACACACGTACCATATAACCTTTCTAAAATTCATAAACTTCTGAATTCAATCCCTAAGGATTTGTGAAAAGAGACTGTGGACCTACATTACCTTAATCTTCCTCAGCATTCCAACCAGTGGTCCAGCTCTGAAACTTTCCACTCATAAGAACCAGCATAGGGAAGACCTACAGATCCTCCAAATCAACCTTCAGCCCTTCTCAATACTTACGCTATGACCTATCTGCAGTCTGTGTAACCCGTTACTGGATGAACAATGAATCTTTACATAACCAAATCAAAATTGCTGTTGCCGTACAAAACTTTGTTTAGGTTAAACTTCACTTACTCGTTTTTTTGTTTGTTTGATTTTGTTTTTGAGACAGGGTCTCATTCTGTCACCCAGGCTAGAGTGCAGTAGCATGATTATGGCTCACTGCAGCCTTCACCTCCTGGGCTCAAATGACCCTCCCACCTCAGGCTTCCAAACAGCTGGGACCAAAGGCACATGCTACCAAGCCTGGCGTCTATGTGTGTGGAAATGCGGTCTCACTATGTTGTCCAAGTTGGTCTAGAATTCCTGGCCTCAACTGATCCTCCCATCTTGGCCTCCCAAATTGTTGGCATTGCAGGCTTGAGCCACTGCACCCAGATTCAACTTCTCATCTGAAGGTTCCCAACTGGAGGCTACACCTACCACTCTACATGTTTGAAGCTGAACTTCTTGTGGTTTCCCAGAGTCTCTTAAACCAGTTCCACCAATTTTTATTAACTTAATTCCTGTCCTCCTGGATTAAAACTTTAAATCTCTATTGATAAATCTACATCCACTAATCTACAACTTAACCATCCCATTCCAAATTTCAGCAATCCACAAACCTTGTTGACTCTTCCCGGTGTGAACGTTCTTGTATCTTTTCCTTCCTTTCCATGTACACTGTCTAATTAAGCCTCTCCACACCTCATTATTAATACCACCAACAGCCTCTTCACCACAGATAAATATTCCTAACATAACACTGTAATCACATCAAATCCCTGCTCAAGAGCCTTCAATGACAGCCCACAGAAGGAAGCCAAAGCTACACCCTTAGGATAGATAGCTTTCAAGACTGTTTCATTTGGGATCCAAGTTACCTTCCAGGCCTATCTTCGTAAGGCTAGAAGTATATCTGAATCAGGAAAGCTTTTAGAAATATATCCCACTTTGGGGATCACTTGAGCCCAGGAGTTCAAGACCAGCCTGGGCAACATGGTGAGACCCCATCTCTACAAAAAATTGCTGGGCTTGGTGGCTCATGCCTATAATCCCAGCTAGTTGGGAGGCTGACGCAGAAAGATCACCTGGGCCTGGGAGTTCAAGGCTGCAGTGAGCCATGATTGCACTACCTGGGTGACAGAGTGAGACCCTGTCTCAAAAAAAAAAAAAAAAAAACGAAAGAAAAAAATACATTAACATATCCATGTCTGCATATCCCCCTCCTACACAGATAATTCTGACTTCATGGGGGGTGCACAGCAGGAATCTGTTTTGTTACTGTTGCTATTTCTTGGTTTTGGGTGTTGTTTCTTTAAAGCTTCTCTGTGAGTCTATACTCAAGGTTTGGAGGCTACTAGTCCAAAAAAACTGTTTACTTCCAGCACCCACATAGGCCTGCACCTTCCATTCAGCTACCCTTCAAGACCTGCTTGAATGTCATTTCTTCTACTAAACCACCCTGTTCCACCCCATCCTGAAACACTTTCTCCTGCCTCTTAACAATTACAGCAGTTTCTAACAGACCAATTCATGTAGTTTTGTTCACTTTCTACTGAAGTAGGAATATGATTTCTAATGCGTATTTTCTTCTTACTTTTAAAAACATTTTGTGTGTTTAAGCTTATTGCTCAGTTAGGTTATAAATTCCTTTAGGGGAAGAAGAAATATTTCATCTCTTTCCTACTCTCACCAGATACTTAGTCCAATTCTCACTCATACTATTAGGGTATCTTGATTTTAAAATTACATCAGATTAATGATGCAATTCCGATCCAGACAATCAGACTTCATGACTACCAATTCAGACACACAACTACCAGCATACACCTGATTAATCTGATTCCGATCCAGAACCCAAAGGGGGATGAGCGTGTTCTGAAAGGACAGTACCTTGTACACAAGCATCCTAGGAAAAAGTGAAAGACCCAGTCTGGGTAAGCATACTATGGTATCACCGTTTGTGTGGAATCAAAAGGCAGGAAACAAGCTGTCAAGAGGAAGATACAGGAGACAAGGCCAGGCAAGCAAAACAAAGAATCACAGGCACAGTGGAGACAACATGGAATGATTCCCGTGAGTGTTAGATTCTCACTTCAATATCCTATTTTCATGCAAGTTTGTGTTTCCACTGGGCCAGAAACAAGGTGAACACTGACTTGGCCAGTTGGTAACCAAACATAAAAGAAAGACAGAAACAAACCAAGATGTTCTTGATCCAAAGCAATAACACATACATGGAGTAAAAGGGGTGGGAAGGGGGAACATTGACTACATTTGAGCCATCATCATACACAAACATACTAATCCTACAAGGATCAAGAAACCCTGTTCTCCCTTGTTGTCTTCTATAGTCTGTCCCTACACTAGACAAATAAAAAGCAAAGGAGGGAGAGAAAACCCAAGTAAGTGACAATACGACATGGTGACATTGACAATGGAAAGGCAAAAGTCACCTTTAGCTAAAGCACTGCTAAAAATTATTATAGTGGCATGTCCTGAAAAATTAATTCTTTAAGAAAATACCATGCTGTGGGCCTATACATGCAAGAGTCATTTCCTTAAAGCACTGATGTTCAGTCTTGTCAAATATGTCACAACCAGGTGCTGATAACTCCTGTCAGTAGAAAAAAACAATTTTTTCTAAAGGATCTTCCAGGCTGGACATGAAGTTTTTGGATTATCTGACTCCAATTTTCCTTCAAGACTGTAGCTAGAAAAATCATTCTTATCCAGAGAACTCATCCTCACAGAAAGGTCCTTCAATACCCAATGCCAATTCCTTGCAATACCATCTGAACCTTGAATAAAAACAATATAAAGCAGAAGCAGAAAGTACTTCAAGTCCATGATTCCTCAGAGAGACAAGGGCAGGAATTGCATAGGCAATCCCACACTCAACAGAGTCCTTTCCACAGCCACATGTGCTATTTATATCCAAACCATAGGATCCAGGGCCTTTGACAATTCATTTAATGATAGGGCACACCAGCGTCTCTATAATTTTCAAAGGAACAGAGATGTTTGTCACTTTGAAGAACTTGGTCGACCTGGAAAGTAGCCCTGCAAATCACATTTTTCCTTCATTTCTACATACAAATTCTAACTCTTCCACCCAAGCAACAACCTCCCTATACACAAGCAAAACATCTCATGCATGCTGAATGCAAAGGCATTTATTCTCAATTATCCCCAATGTAAGCTTTTTAAAAAATTAATAACAATAACAACAACGAGAAAACCAAAATGTGCTAGTAAAAAACACCTTGCCTCCAAGTTATACTGAATACAAACATTACTAGCATATGCTGACTACTTAAATGGCTAAGACTGAATGCTAGCAGCCTTACTTAGTCATATCTGCAGCTCACTACCATATGCTCAAAGTGGCCAGTCAGTGCTATGGACTGAAGGGGACCAGAGACTAGGCATCACATAAGCCAGGTATAAATAGGTATTTATACCTACAAAGGCCAGACATCAGTTTTCTAGCCTAAGACACCACCATACTCAAAAGATGAATGTTCATAGGAAGAAGGAATTAGTAAGAAAAGGCCGCCCACATAAAGCCAATCAAAATATCTCCCAATGAAATAAGGCACAGAAAATTGGAAAAGAGGGACATTTTCACCATACCAGCAGGATGCCTGTGGCGTTTCCATTCTTCCTTTCCTTCTCTAATGCCCTCCTCTGATGAGTCTGTGACATTACTAAAAGATTTCTCATTTAAGCATTCATTGGTTCCTGCTATTCACTCCCACCTCAAATCATAATCCCTGGAGTTTGAGGCTCAACAACAGTTGTTATGGAAATGAATGTAAGGACACATGAGCTAGGGTTGAAAATGCTGGTGTAGCGGGCAAGAAAGCAGAATGAAATCTTCAAGCTTGCTTCTGTAAGAGAATTAAGACCTCTGCCTGTTGCTATAAGATAATGATTACAGTCAAAGCTATCTATTTTTTAAAAGAACTTCTAAAATTACAATGTATCATACTGGCAGGCAGAGACTATGCTATGAAATAAAGTAAAAAAGGAGTTCTAAGATGACCATTCCCTTCAGGTACTCCCTACCGTTTCCCTACAGGTGCTTATAGGCAACACACAACACTGACACACACAAGTCACATCTGTGTGTGTCCTGTGACAGTGTTCTGTGTTGTCAAAAATCTGAACTGTGACACACACAGGTCACAGCTTCCTCAGCAGATAAAGGAGCTGACTACCCCAAAATGGATTCAAAGGTTTCTAAACTCACAATAAGCAGTGTAAGCAACCAGGCAGAGGGCAGCTGAAGTTAGGGCCTCTGTTGGAGATGCCTTGGCATGATCGCTACACCTCAACGATACACACCCTTAAATGGCCCAGGCCACCCAGGACTATTGTTTATAGTCAGTATTCAATCAGACTACACAAGGTTTTGGAAGTTCAGGGGAAGGGGTTCACAAACTTACTAAGTCTATGATCAAGCCACTCAGTGATGAAAAGAAAATAAAATCACTTTTAAGTAACTTTGTGGTAGCCCTTAGCAAAAGAGCAGGAAGCTTGTACCAGTCATAACCTCACACAAAGTCATATGCACCTAATCTGATCTCACTTTCCCCTGGTGCTAACAAGGTGTCTCGCTATCATCATTAGTCACTGATGGCATGCTATGGTAGGCATTTTAATCAGGGAAGATTCTGGTAACCCAAGCAGTAGAATTCTGAAAATAAAAAACAGCAAGATTCTTAAAGCTGTTTACAAAACAAACAAACAAAAAAATCTGAATCAAGTCCCTTGTTTCCATCCTTTTCCCAGTTGTCACACAGTTGAGTAGTCATGCGTCACATAATGACATTTCAGTCAATAATGAACCACTTATACAACGGTGGTCCCATAAAATTTACTGTACCTTTTCTATGTTTAGATACACAAATACCACTGTGTTACAACTGCCTACAGTATTCAGCACTGCAACATGCTGTACAGGTTTACAGCCTGGAGCAACAGGCTATACCATATTGCCTAGGTGTGTAGTAAGCCATACTACCTAGGTTTGTGTGAGTATGCACTATGACACTTGTGCGTCAAAATCACCTAATGACCCACTTCTCAAGAACGTATCCCCATCGTTGGGCAATGCATAACTGTATCTCTTCCCATGAGTATCTTTCTACTTACCAAGGATGTTTATAGAATTCAGGGTATTATTTTTATAGTTTAAGGTTCTTGGAATTAAACTTCCTATCAGTTTATGAATGTAACAGAAGTTTTAAAAGGGAAACCTTGCTCAGGCATTATGTAATTTGCAAGATGCAAGTTAGACAATACTTAGAATAATCAGTTGCAGTCGTGTTCATCTCAGAGTTTGCTCCAAGCAGCAATCTAAACATTCAGGGGAGTTGTGGGTGTGTCTTTACAAACAGGAGTATTTGTTGTATCTCTAAACTCTTCCTTCCCTCTATTTGCACTCCTCCAAAATCATTTCCCTTTTTGCACCTGTATTTCTGCATTTAGGGCAAAAGGACCAAGATTAAAGGTTATCATCTGACAAGGGACTTTAGCAAGTACATTATCTTTTTGAACACAAAAAAGGGAAAATATGATCATACATAGGTGATTCCTTTGAGAAAAAGCATAGGGCAGCTAAGAAGAAATGAGCATATCATCATGTAATGACAGCCCAGTTCAAAATGTCTCTTATACAGAATAGGCCAAGAAACACAGAAATAAGTGCCCAATCAGGCAACAGCATTTACTTCCACCCACTGTACATGCAACAACTTCAACCTTGGTGTTGTATGGATACAAGAATAAAAACTGTGACGTACCTAGCGAGTAAATGTTTCATTATAAAGTACCCTGCTTTTTAAAATAAAACAGTCACAGTATATATACACAAAGGGAAGTATACATAAGCAGGTCATCTGGGTGGTCTCTAAGCCGACCCAAAAACGGCAAATTGAATGAAAAGAACATGGAAGAAACGGGGGGGAAAAAAATTAAAAACCAGGAGCCTAAATATATTTAGCACACCTTCAATATCTATTAATTATAAATATAGATCTTCCCTAAATCAGTGTTAATTGCAAAGGGAATATTCATGATCGCTTTGCTAAATAAACAGATGTTTGACTAAACTTACAACTTAATCATCATCATGAAAGATATATTATAATCTACTATCATTAAAAATCACATACAAACAATTTAAAAGAGATTTTTACAGCAACTCTAGGTTCTTCATTAGAACTAGCATCATTACACATTTGAAAAATATTTGTATCTATGTGTAGTTTACATGCCCGTCGATAAAATACAGGTGGAAGGCCTGGGAAGCAGAATGTGATGTCACCAGCAGATAAGACTTCTACCATAGCCATGATTGCCTTGGCCAATTTCAACAGGAAAAATACTCAGAATTACAATATGCTCAAACTGTGAAATAACCCAAGCCTGATAGGCGTACATAGTTTAAGCCAAAAACATTCCCCTTATAACACACGCATACATACACACAACCACTTTCTTCCAAGAGCCAGAAACCATGAACTTCCTCCTAAGGAATAAGGTGACCATCTCAAGTTCACCATCAACACTAGCACCTTCAGACTTACTGAATCCAATCACTTTAAAACACAGCTTCAATGCTTTTTCAAAAACAACTTTCAGAAGGGACAGGTTATAAAGATGACAATGAGGACAGAGGAGGGAAGAGAAGGAGAGAGAGGGTGGTGACCTTTAAATGTAGTGCTACCAAAACGTTGGGGGCTATTTTGCTAGAAAGTAAAAGCATCACCTTCCTCCCTGACATCAGAGCAGTGACAGTAAATGTTTGCTGACATTCAGCAAAATGACAAGGGCTGCCTGAGGAGAAGCCTTCACAAAATGTCTAGGTAAGAGGCAAAGAAAGCTTCAAGGGAAAACACCTTGCACACCGAGGTTCCCACAGACTGTAGAGGAATCTCTTCAAATTGAAAACATTCAAACATGTACCTAATGACCAACACCTGGCAGGTTTGTGGGATTTGGACACTCTTACAATTTAGTTCCATCCCTTGTAACAGGCTCACCATCAATTTCCACCAAAAAAGTTAAGTTTGTTTGTCTGGGTAGGAGATTGGCTTCTACAACAATGGGGATGGCAAAAGAGTTTACAAGGAGAAAACAGAGACAAAAATTCCTGAAGCAAGAATAAAATGGGGGTGGGGGGTTAACATGTTAGTTACCTCCATAACTGTGCCCAGTGATAAACAGTCTCTGCATGCCCTGTACTTTGGTTTCTACCTCACAACAGATAAACCAGGAACACCACTAGAATCCAAGTGGTAAAGAACAAGTCAAAGGGGATTTCTTTCTCCTTTGAATGCCCACACCACTTGGGGTGTGTCCCTCTTGCATCTTATCATAAGCTGCCTTGATTAGCATGTGCTTGAGTTATTCCCACCACCACACAGTAGGGGCTTCATCTTGCATACCTTTGTGCCCCTCCTCATGCCTAACACAACACTCAGAGGAAAGAAAGACGAAGAAACCACCCGATGAACTAAACTTTTAGAAAATGACTACACAGTTAAAACATTCCCATGGGCCATTCTTTGTGGAGCACTTTCACACAAGAAAAGGTACATGGTACTTGCCGCCATCCCACTACCCACCCGCCCATATCTTCTACCCTATTAGTATGACAGACAGGCATTAATAGGAAGTTTTTCCTACTCTAGATTTTTAAAAAGGAAAAAAAAAAGTATTGCAGGAAAAACGAAGGTGAGTAGGGTTCAGTGGATCTGGAATAATAATTCTCCAAAGAAGTCATCCAACAGGGAGGTTTCCGGCCTCTTCAGAATGTGAGTTACTATCTCTAGTGACCCTCAGGGAGAGTGACAGTTGCAGAGGCTCAAAGCTACTGAAAATGACACTAATTCTGCCCTTTGGTGACACCACAATGGAAAATGAGAAATACCCTTTAATTTGATGCAATTTAAACATCAGCCAGAGACACATCTTGGTGGCACAAGTTGTCCTCTCGACTCATCAGTTCTGGCTTGGATCAGCCCAGTGTTCATGCAGACTTTCACACTAATGCTAACATTACAACATCCTTCTTCTAAGAATACCTAGGCCCAGCTACCAGCTGCCCATCAAGTAGATCTCTTCACTAAGGATTAGAAAGAACACCTTTCTGAAGTCCCTGCAAGACTTACCTTCTGGCTAAGAAAAGCTAGATTGTAAATCTTAATGCTCGGTTACCAGAAAGGCATTCTGGGAAACTGTCCAACCTGATAGGGACAGCATTCAAGTTGAGAACAATTGAGAACAATGTAACAGAGCCCAGCAATTTCAGGGTATTAGATTTAATAACAAGGAAACCCTTACCTCACTCTCGGGAAACACTGAGGGGATTAACAATAAGACTTTTAAGGAGATCTGAGCTACCCCAAAAGAACACTAAATAAGCATATAGTGTCATCATTTATTAAAAGCAAAGTTCAAATAGAGGAATCTACTGTGTTCCATTCTAACAAGTGGGCCTTTTAAAGTCACCTGCAGAAGTGAAATGATTAGGTCTCCTAAGGGCCATAACAGGTACACAACGGAAGGCAATGTTAGCAAAGAGTGAGGAAGGAGGAGAAAGGGCTAGTAGAGAAGCACCTCACCAAGCAACAGTCAACACAGGGGCTTGCAAGCCTCTTTCAGAATTAGAGTCACCTGCGGTACAACAAGGCCTGCACTCCACTCCCAGAGATTTGCTTTAATTATTTTAGTTGAGGCCTGGGCAGTGGTTGTTTTATTTTGTTCTCAAGTTCCCCCAGGCGATTTTAAGGTAAAAGAACAAGTACACAAACAAAAAACAAACAGGTAAAGGACAAAGGGGGAAAAGGGCATTTCAAGGAGCCATCTTATAAAATCACATTCAATATTTAAGAGTCATTTTAGATTTTACTTCTTGAGAAAGTTAATTATATATAAGGCAAATCAAGCCTGGAATGAAATTTACCCACCTAAGTATCCTGATTATGTTACAGGTATTCTTACGGGAGAATAAAAGTTTCCCAGGTAAGTTTCATAAATCAGGCCACATTATGGCTCTTAAGGAAACTACTGGCACAAACTATAGGACAGAGAAGAGAAGTCAGACACTATTATTATGTTAATGGTTTTCTCTCCCTACTTCCAGAGGAGACAGAGAAGTAATAAACCTTTTCAAGGAAAGAGCTTTCCAGATGGGAAATATTTAAACTCATCGTTAAAGAAATGAGTGGCTATGACATCTTTATTATGGAATAAGTAAAAATTCTCCAAAGTGTAAAAGAATATGATTACTTTATATAAGTCTTAAAGCAGGCTAAACAACATCTGCATCTATAAGATTTGATTTGGTTTTGATGTCATCACTTTCAAGCTTAAGACTCCCATCCAGAATCAATCTCACCAGATTTCCACTTCTACCACAGACACCCAGGACACACTAAAAAGTGGTTCTCAATCCTAGCTGCACATCAGAAGCATCTGAGGAGCTTTGGAAGGTGGAGGGAAGAAAAGCTACTAGACCACCCCCCACCCCCTTGGAAATTCTGATTCAGTAGACCTGGGGCATGTACACTAATTAAGAGCTACCTGGGTGATTTCTGATGTGCAGACTGGGGTTGAGAGCTGCATTAAAAGCATCTATTCTTAACATTTTTCCTCTGCATTATTCTGCTGATTGAGCCATGTTGCTACAGAGTCAGACCCAAAGCAGGCAATAATCGGTTCTGCTGCTTGATACACAGATGAGTTGCTGTGATTCTTTGGGGACTCTAATTTTGTGGAGTTGAGACACTGATGAGTTCATGGCTTTGTTTCTCATTAGTCTTTTATTTCATTCCAAGTTGTGTGTGCTTTTTATTCCAAATCAACACATGAAAAATAAACGCTTAAAAAAATACCCAAGCTACTTGCTAAAGAAAATGGCTTTTTTACAAACCTTATCCATTCAATAGATGCCTAATGAATAAAAGAAAGGTAGTCCACACAAACACACACACAGCCAGACATGTGTCCATTACAAACAAATATAGCCAGTTACCCTTACAGCAGGAGAGGTTACAGAAAACTGTTTTGCCCTGAACCTTAAAACAACACCTAGAATCTGTGCTTGCAGGCAGCGAGAATTTAATCATGGACAGCAACCTGAGCACAGACTTAGCAAGGGCGAATCTGCCAGCCAGAAGTGCAACTGTTTATGCTGGCAATAAGAAAGGGGAGAAGAGAACAAGCATTGTGCATAGGATGTCTCTCCACTCAGAGGCTCTCTTCTAGTCAACCTTTTACCACCATGACTTTAAGACTTGGGCCAAAAGAATTTCCAGAGACCACATATCAGAGACCACTCTCATCAGCCCCTGCCTGATTCCTTGTCCAGACAGAGGCAGGTGCTAAAGAATGTCTGAAGCACCTTGGCCAGCAATTTAACCATGTACTAAACCCTCAGACCTAGGACAAGAAATAGGCTTCCAGGGCAAGAGGACCAAGTCCAACTTGGAATGTGGCATTTTACTTCTACATCTCTTCCATGGCTGTCCCTGGGAATCAGGAGTCAGGATGCTGAGTCTTAGCTACTAATGCACCATATGCCCTAAAATGAGTTACACTCTCCCCTGGTGGGCATTTTGGTTGGATTTATTACCACCCACCCAGGGGACAGAACAGCTAGAGGCTTCATTAAAGCTAAGAAAGCTCCAAGTAATCCTTGAGGATGCAGGCCAGGGGAGGGCAGAAGATTATCACCAAAGAAATCATGATGGTTGTCTGGGCCTCAGAAAGCACCCAGCACTAGGGAGAAGCAAGTTATTAAAAAAGACAATAAAATAAATAAATCAGCCTTCTGGGTTCACATAAATATTTCACTAATCAGTAAAAGGACAGTAAAGGGCATATAGAAAGAGCGCCTAACATTTAATGGGATTTGGGTAAAAATATTATACTTTCCAAAAGCTACTCAAGTGTGACAGGAAGTCTACAAGCTAAAATTACTTTTTCAAATGACCAAGATACTAATTTATTCTTCAGAACCACAGGGAAGGACCTATACAAATGACACAGTATCACTGAATGATCACCAGCCCTGAACCCATTCTTTCTCTTACTGAAACTGCAGACACATTTCAGCACAAACCCACTGCTCTGTTTCATCAGAACTGAACCAGAGGGAGCCAATGTCGCTCCAAGCTACACACCTGTGCACAAATTAAAATATCTCCACTCACACTTCCTGTGCATCACACAAACACACCCTGCAAGTGTCCTTCCAAAGCCCTCTACTGGCTCGTAAGGCTAGCTCTCCAGAGCCAGAAAGAGAGGAACAGGGGGAAAGTATTCAAGTGGAGGCAGGAAGGTAGGAAGAATGAGTGGGAGACCACCCTGGAGGGTCATACAGGGTGACCCCCTAAAGCAAGCCAGAAACTGGTAACTTAGCTCTTACCTCCCCCATCCTCCCCTGGTCTCCTAGGTTCCCTGGAGCCTGTTTATCTGAAGAGATGATCCTCTCTGAGAGGAAGAGAGTTAAGAAAAAGACCTCAGGGAAAAAGCAGCAAACAGATGCAACTTTCATTTGGGTCTTCTCCCCTCCTACCAATGGACTTCTCCCAGATAAACACGTTAGCCTTAAAAAAACAACTTTCAGGGCCGGAAGCACTGGCCCACACCTGTAATCCCAGCACTTTGGGAGTCTGAGGCCGGTGGATCACCTGAGGTCAGGAGTTCAAGACCAGCCTGGCCAACGTGGTGAAACCCCTCTCTACTAAAAATGCAAAAAATTAGACAAGCGTGGTGGCAGGTGCCTGTAATACCAGTTACTTAGGAGGCTGAGGCAAGAGAATCGATTGAACCTGGGAGGTTGCAGTGAGCCGAGATCGCGCCATTGCACTCCAGCCTGGGCAACAAGAGCAAAACTCCATCTCAAAAAAAAAAAAAAAGAAAAAAAAAAAAGAAACACCTTTTAGGAAGGCCAGAGCGAGACTTCCAGTGGCTAAGAGAATGCACTAGGAGTAATCAATGTACCTACCAGTCCTTGGGGGTGGGAGGAGAAGCTGCCCACAGTGAGAAAGGACACATGAAAAATAATTAGAGAAGATACAAAGCTGAACATGTGAACACTCTAGAGGATCTGAGAGTGTTTTCTCATAATGCCATATACATGCTAACCATATAGAGTTATAGTCACTTCTGGGTTGGATTACTGTAACATTCTCTATGCTTTCCAGGCATCAAACCAGAATATTAAGCCAGTAAAAAATGAGCAGCTCAATTGTTGAGTGACATGGAACACAGACAGTACACTGTCCCTGGGTCTGCATTTGTCAATGGCTGCCCTCTTGCCTTAAAGTGTATTTGAGATGCGGACTCTAGGTTATACAGGTTGAGTATCCCTAATCCAAAAATCAAAATGCTCAACTGCTGAAACTCTTTGAATGCCAACATAATACTCAAAAGAAATACTCATGGGAACATTTCAGATTTCAGATTTTCCTACTAGGGATCCTCATCTAGTGAGCACATTCAAATACTCCAAAATCCAAAATCCGAATCACTTCTGGTCCCAACCACTTTAGACAGGGGATACTAAACCTGTAGAGATCTCAACAATGTGAGCCATAACCCCCCTATACATACCATACCACTTCTTTGAGACACAGTCTCATTCTTATCGCCCAGGCTGGAGTGCAATGTTGTGATCTCGGCTCCCTGCAACCTCTGCCTCCCAGGTTCAAGCGATTCTCCTGTCTCAGCCTCCCAAGTAGCTAGGATTACAGGTGCCCGCCACCACACCCAGCTAATTTTCGTATTTTCAGTAGAGATGGCGTTTCGCCATGTTGGCCAGGCTGGTCTCAAACTCCTGACCTCAGGTGATCCACCTGCCTTGGCCTCCCAAAGTGCTGGGATTACAAGCATGAGCCACCATGCCCTGCCACCATACCACTTCTTGAGAACAAACAAGACTAGGTTGACAGTACTCAGACTTCACGCACAGTAGACAGAACAGCTGGGGAGAACCCTCATTTGTCTGATTTCCTGCCAACCCTGAACTGGCAGCATCATCCTCCTCAAGGTCAGGGTGTGGTATATTTCTTTAGCAACAGTGATTTTAATTATCTACTGGTCACTTATGCTCTTATATTTTAATTACATATAATTGCTTTACATACACTTACTTGGGGGTGACTGTTTTTATCACAATAGGGGGCAATTTAATAATCTGTAATGTAATTGTGCAAATACTCACAAGTGCACTGTAGAAGTACCCGACAGAGCAGCTTATCGGCCAAAACAAGTAAATACTGCAGGCTGCATGCATGAAGCTGCCACGGGAGCCTTTGTGTTCCCATAAAACATCTCACCGGTTCCCAGCCAGGGCAACAGAAAAGAGCAGTGGTCCCCAGGAGAAGATGTACCTATCCACTCTACCCTTTATTTCAGAAGCAGCAAGTTCAGCTGTTTGGGGGGATGGGCATTCTGGCAACAAAACACAAAGGGCCTGGATCACAGCCTGCTTCTAAATAACACAAATAGATAAGGAATTAGGTGATTAGAGAGTGTACTGCCAGCAGGACTAAATATCAGCCCCTCTGGGAACATGTATCTGTGGTACAAACCGCATACATTGTACGACAGCACAACTTACCTAAGAGCTACCTCTGATCTGAACAGACCGTTTAATGCTTTGTACTTCAAGGCAAATTTTCATTTTAAGAACAAAGATATAATCATAAAAATTGGAAATAACTGATATATCCAAAAATAGGTGAAAGCTGGTTAAATTATGACACGTCCACATTAACAACTGCATAGCCATTAAAAATCATGTTTCAGGAAATTATTTAAAGGCCAGAAGAAATTCTCAGTTATAAAACATGAACAGAGAAGCTAGTGAGAAGGCCTTGCGATTATTAACAGTTGTGATGTTGCCTCTGGGCAGTTAAATTTAAGTAATTTGTATTTTCTTCTTTAAATTTTCCCAAATTTATAAAGTGATTATGTCACATTTATAATCAGGAAAATTTCTAGGGCAGAGAAGATGAAAGCAGAAACGCAAGCCATCTATCTATTGGGGTTAATGTGTGAAAATAATGAATGAAAATTAAATTGACAATGAACTATTTAGAAGCAGGTACTCTCAGGGCTCAGAAACTGTACAAAAATGACTAGTATTGAGACTCTATTAAAAAGGGAGAATTCAGTCTCTGCACAGAGTTGGCCTCACTCTTTTAAACCATGAGATCATTGCCAGGAAAACTTCAGAAAGGAGACAAGACAATTTAAAAGATACAGGTCAGGCTGGGCACGGTGGCCCACACCTGTAATCCCAGCACTTTGGGAGGCTGGGGCGGGCGGGGGATCACCTGAGGTCAGGAGTTTGAGACCAGCCTGGTCAACACAGTGAAACCCCATCTCTACTAAAAATACAAAAATTAGCCAGGCATAGTGGCACATGCCTGTAATCCCAGCTAGTTGGGAGGCTGAGGCACGAGAATCACTTGAACCCGGGAGGTGGAAGTTGCAGTGAGCCAAGATCGTGCCACTGCACTCCAGCCTGGGCAACAGAGTGAGACTCTGTCTCCAAAAAAACAACAACAACAACAAAAAAAAACAGGTCACCCTTTAGAAAAGTTACAGCCTCTTTTTTTTAAATTAAAGGTATATTTTTCTTTTTTATAGAGATGGGGGTCTCACTATGTTGCCAGGGCTGGCCTGGAACTCCTAGCCTGAAGCAATCCTCCTCTCTCGGCCTCCCAAAGTGCTAGGATTACAGGCATGAGCCACCATGCCCAGCCCTAGAGCCTCTCTTGATATAAATTATGGTGCCTCCAAAAGTGGTTGTAGGAAATATTTTCATTTGTAAAAATATGTTAAAATAAGAAAGCACGTGTTACAGTAACAAAGACAGCCAGTTACAGCTTCTGGTAGATAGTGGAAATCCTGAAAAACAGGAGCTTAGGAAGAAGTCCACTCAATACTAAGGAGAAGACCACCAACCCACCCAACCAACCTCCAGGTCCAGGTGGCACTTTTGGAGGCAATTCGAATCCTGGTTCCTCCACTTACCAGAGAAGGAACCCTGAGCAAGTTGTCATTATTCTCCCAAGGACGGGGTAGAGGAGTCAACAAAATAGTGCATGCCCAGCACCTCACGCTCTACCTGGGCCAGGCACATACTCAGGGTCACCTCAGTTTTCCTCAGTATCCAGCAACCTCCTTTACTCAGACTCTGTAAATAATAAGCAAACTTCCTCCACAAAAAGAATGCCCTTGGCCCATCAAAATATTCTGGTCTGTCTGGCAGCTGGAAATTGCATCATAAATTAATAAACCCAAAACTGACTTTTAAATCACATCTGTGCATTTATTTAGCATAAATCAGATAATTAGTCTAACAGACAGCATTTCTCATCCTGTAATGCTCAGAGCTGAGTCCTGAAAAGAACTCGGCAGAAGACTACTGTAAGGCCTCAGAACAAGGACAAGATTTCCTCCGTCAGTCCTAACACAGATCGTCCGCTAACACTAAACCTGCACACTGTGTTAGGGTGCCAGTCACAGTTCAGAAGGTGCTTGAGGATTTTGCTGTGCTGTATCCTGAACCGCCATCAAGCTCCTACGTTCTCTCTATGTACCATAAAGCACCTGTATTTTCTTCCAACCATTTGAGGGCTGCCTGCACACGCTGGAGGCAAGCACGTTCTTTAACCTGCATCCTTTTCTCTGCCTTACCGAGTTCAGCTAATATAATTGCACATGAGGTGTGACCCCAGATCTAACAAGGCACCACTTCATAAACCTTTTCTCTTTTTATCATGACGTAAAATTCAACCTGAAACTGTAAATAGCAGGCCCCACCTAAACATCAGCTCAAATAGTATGTTATAAACCCTAAGAAACTCTACTATTCCCTAGAGAACTCTGTTCTCTGAAGCAGATAAATTTCTTCAGGCAGAACTCTTATATCTCCTTTCACTGGAATCCTCAGGAGATGTTCTAAGCTAAGAGGGACATGTCTGCTTAGCATCTGGCTCTGAGACCTGGAGCGGGGAATCTCACACAGGAAATTGCAGAGATATTACTGCACTAAAGTCTGGCTCAGAAAAGAAAAATTGCATTGTCAGAGACGAAAATCCTGGAGATAGAGCTTTAGTAAGCCCACACTCTTCCATTGGTAAGAGCAACAATCTAGAACGGTGGTTCTCAAGCTGAAGTGCAGTAGAGATACCTGGCAATTGTGAAAAATGAACATTCCGATCAGAGATTTTAACACAAGTAGCTTATGAACTACATCTTAAGAAAAACTGATCTGGCCTCTACTCTAGGGGAAAAGCTCAACTAGATTTCACCATGAGAGTCAACAGGGCATGCACCTGTGCCTCTCAGCTAGGGCTTAGAGGGAGGGGAGGGAGAGAAACCATGAAAAGAAGGGCAGTGGCAGTCAGTGGCAGGCCCCAAATACACAATGCGACTCTGCTGTGCAATCAAAATATATGGCATCAACAGAAATCCACTTAATCTTTGTCCTCAGAGCAGTCCTGTGCAAACCCAGAAGGCTTGGAGCTCGTTTGTAGCAAATGAGAAGCAATAATGTTGGGCAGCCATATTTGCAGTGAATCTATCTAACAGTTAACAATCAAATGATTTGCCCTTGTAAAACTTTGCATCAGGGGATACCTTAGAACCATATATATGGACATAATTTCCCTAGCAGGGAAGGGGACCTAGGTAAAAGACAGATGTACCAAAGTCAAACTGCAGCCAGAAATAACAAAGAGTCCCTACTCCTCAGCTTCAGAACTGTTCAAAAATCACTTTAGGGACACCATGATCACTGAAAGATATACAAAGCATGGGGATGGGAGAGTCAAAACTGCTTCCTTAGATTTTACATCTTCCCAGTCCTCTACTGCATTAAGATCAGTAACCTCAAATACCGTGAGGGACTTTCCATCCCTCAATTATCCATGGCAGTAGGTTACAATTAGGCAGAAAATAGAGTCAATGTGGACTTAAGGTAAAGGGAGAAAAGGGGAAATAAAACTAACCTCTTCTTTCCTCACTCCCTTATATTAATCCTGACCAACACCAAGACAGTAATAATGAAGACCAAGCTAGGGGGAGGGAAGAGAGAGAGAGAAAGTTAAAGATGGATGTGAAAAAGGGAATGAGAAAGAAGCTGAAAAAAGTATCTTGAACCACAGCTGTCTAAAGCCTGATTCCTTCCATAGGCATCAAGGAAGTAAATCTTACAGTCTCTAAACAACTGGAGTTTTGAAACCTCCCGCCACTATTTACAAACACCAAAGTTGAAACCTGACATTACAAACAAGCCAGAATGAAGAACACTGTGCCATACCATGAGCATGCAGCATCCACTCGTTTCTGTGATCAGTGAGGTGTCTTCTTGAAATCAATACCTACAAACTACAGATTTAGAGATTTTACCAATTAAGATATAAATTTACTTAACTTCTTCTAGGAGCAGAAGAATATTGGTCTTGCTTAAACTGTACAAATGTAGTTTTCTAGAATATAAAATTGTATTTAATAAGCAGCTTAAATGTGGTTGCTCAAGAAAACTAGAATACAGTTTCGTTGTTGTCCATGTTTTAAAAAGTGACTCAGGTTAAAGATGCCACTCTTTCTGGCTGAACCCAAAGCCAGACAGCTAAAGGGCAGCAGTCAACTTCAACAATGCTAAGCATTCATTTGCAGGCTCATGCAGCATCCAAAGCATAGCACAGAGGATTTTTGAACAACACAAGACAAGGGCATATAAGAACAGCAACATACTCCTTTGTAAGGTCTGCAGGAACAACTAATAGAACGACCAAATTGTGTTGGTCAGAAATGACCTCATCATTCAAACCCAAGTTTACAAATTCCCTCTGCACTCCAAGAGGGAGGGTAGCAGGTAGAAATGGAAGGAACCACAGTGTGGCATGGGGAAGGTAATTCAAAGAAATCCAGATGACAACTAAAGTAGCAGGAGCACATACCTATACTCTTACCATTCAGATACTTCCAGAAATGCTGGCAAGTCAAAACGCAAAAGCAAACAAAGAAACAAACAAAACTTTTGAGAACCATCAGGTGGAGGAAGACAATGTGCTTGGCCAAAAGGGCCGAAGTCTCCAGATCCACCATCTCTGGGGTGGGCACAAAGGCAAAGAGACAGCGTGTTCCCACAGGAGCACACTCCACTGTATTCCTAGATAAAGAGACAAGAGAGAGACATTCAACACCATTAGCTTCTGCCCTGAGAATGCACTTCTTACTGGGTGATGGGGGTGAGAGATGAAAGGTTATAGGATTTTATCACACTGAGTTTCCAGTTTGTCAGGTTCCGTCTACGGTATCAGGTACTCTGGGACTAATTTGTATCTTTTAGGATTGAGACATATCTCTCCAGCAGAGCCCCAGTGACGGTTCTCTACCTGCTAGATTTTATGGATATCTAATAATAACAACAATGGGTCCAAAAGCTGTTATTAACTGGCTTCTCACTGGAGGAGCTTCTGTTCTCCTGAACTCTGACAGTGCTGAGGCTATGCACCTCCGGAAGAAGGGTAACTTGGCAGGCAAACAGGAGTGTCTAGGCTGAAAGAACCAGTCAGTCCTCTGAGGGAAGACTGGGAGGAGTGAGGGAAGGAAGGTAAAGCCAAAAAGCTTTAGGAGAGTGAAGAGGCAGGCAGCCACGGGGCAATCTGCGAAGGAAGGACAGAGCCTGGCTCAAGCAGCTGTGAGGAACCCTGCATGTTTTCCTGAGGAAAACGTTGAGCCGGCTACGTTGAAAGGAACAGCTAAGGGCTGGGCTAGCTTCTTTCCCCTTTATAAGAAATAGAAATAAATAAAATAAGCTGCTTTGAGCGATGTCAAGTCTCCCTCCTCTTAAAGTACAAACTGGCCTAATAATCCTGAATGTCCCAATGGCCAAAACCAGCATATGGAACTGTCTGCCAATTCTCCTGTGCAGAGCACAGTGCACTCGCTCACAGCAGCTGCGGTATGAAGTAGAGGAAAGGGGGTCCAACCAGAATCGGGCGGGCAGTGCCCCCACCCATGGCGACCATGCCTCAGGCCAGAAAGAGCCTAAGGGAGACGGGAGGCTGGAAGGGGAGCCCTGGCTACGCAGCTCCTCCCAGACCTCCACCTACCGCTTCCGCATGCCAGTCGTTCTAAAACAAGCCTCTCCAGCTGGAGAAGCAGATGCTGCTAAAGGCAGCTCCATACGAATATGAATGTGGCTTTCTCCTAATTGTGGCCCACCTTACAAAAGACAACAGCATGTGAAAAAAGTCCCGCGTTCCCAGTAGTGATGAGGAACATGTCCTAGGAAAGGCAGAGTGGTAGAATCAGAAAGCCAAGTGTCAGCATATTCTGCCCATCCCTATATCCCCAAACTATGAATAATGAGTAAAGGCCCCCAGTGAGGATGCAATGAGACACTATCTAACACCTGAGTATCAACTATGTGCTAGACATTTAGTTAGCAACAGATCTGAAGAAATGACAAATCTACATGACCCAGAAAAATCAAACTGAGTAGAGAAGGAGAAAAAAATGCAGAAAACAATGAAAAAGTATTTTACAGCAGAACTACAGGCGTCCATCATGTGGGCTATCCAGAACCAGCAGGACAGCAGAGGTAAGCAGATTCTGAGACCAATGTCTGAACACACATAAAGGGGATATTTCTGCTTATCCACACTAATTGCCCAATAAAGTGAAACAAGGATGAAGGCTATTACATCAAGTGGCTTCTAGCAGAGAAATGAAAAGGCAAGGAAGACAAAGTCTCCAGAATGTCTTCACAGCTAAACTGAATAGAGACCCTACTGTGAAACAGCAATACTCCTTGGTGGCCACCAATACACTACTAAACCAGGCAAAGGCATTTGCCAAAAACAGACGGATATCAGAGTAGATGGTGAGACTAAGAGCTGTCCAATGTCAGGCTGGGCGCGGTGGCTCACACCTGTAATCCCAGCACTTTGGGAAGCCGGGGCGGGTGGATCACCTGAGGTCGGAGTTTGAGACCAGCCTAACCAACATGGAGAAACACCATCTCTACTAAAAATACAAAATTAGCTGGATGTGGTGGCTCATGCCTGTAATCCCAGCTACTCGGGAGGCTGAGACAGGAGAATCGCTTGAAGGCAGAGGCAGAGGCAGAGGCTGTGGTGACCCGAGATCGCCACATTGCACTACAGCCTGGGCAACAAGAGCGAGACTTCGTCTCAAATAAATAAATAAATAAAGAGCTGTCCAATGTGAACAGCCCATAAATTGACCGTAGATTTTCAGAGGAAGGCTAAAATGAAAAGTGACATCAAAAATATGCCTAAGCAATTGGCCTGTCATCTGGTAGGGAAATCATTTGTGTCCTTCAGCTTCCCATTCCAGTCTCGGTTATGAAAAGCTTTTTTCTAGAACAGTGACAGAAATGATGCTGCTTCATCCATAATCCATCATCCAGTCTAAAGTCTACCTGGTGACCGACCACAACACACACACATACTTGTCAGGATTAGAGATATGGATCCTAAAATTATAAACACCTTATTCATAAAAATAATTTCCCAGACCTACAGTGCCTAAAGTACACAAGGAACTTAAATGTTTGGTTTCTGAATTGCACAAAATTTTCCCAGTACAAAGCTAATTAGCCCACCAAGGAATGAAACCTACAGCCCAGCCTGCAAAAATGCGAAGCACTGGATGACTGCACTAAACTTGCCTTGAATATAAATGTTATGTAAAAAAAAAAAAAAAAAAAAAAAGTAATTTATCTAAACACAGTGTAGGTAGCTCTGCAATCAGTATCTCATAAATAAAAGAGAAAGATGAAGGGAGAGATCTCTAATTGATTTTAAAATTAGTTCCAAGCAAAGAAATAATCTGACAACCAACAAGGTCGACAACAGTAAAATATATATATATACCCCTCAGTAAAAACTGCAACTATAAACTTCAATGAATCAAGATACCTGAACTACTATGAAAGGAAGATATTCAGAAAAGCCTGAATCAGAGTAGAGGTGCTGAAAGAAAGTCAATTGGGGACCAATCTTCAAAAGCACTTAAAATCCTGAAATTAACCCCTCTGGTGGACTGAACTCAATCTTCACTGTGCTAATGGAATATACATTATGAGGAAAACCACCACACAGAGAGAGGCAGGGCGAGTCAACCCAATGGCAGCAACTAGATTAAAACTGGGAGTGTAGAAGAAGAAGTGCCTACAGAAAACAGCCATGTGTGACCTAGCCAGCAAAACAAGCAATCCAATTAGGAAGCAGTAAAAAACAGGAGTGTAAAACCTCCCTCCGGAGATAGTTAGATACCAGCACATTGGCTCAAGTCAAGATGGCTGTCAGAGCAGTCAAGGGGGTTAGCCATGGATTGGGAGGTGGTAAAAATGATGCCCACTCACAAGCAATATATGGAATTAGGTCTAAGCCTCAGCAGATATTCTGATTCAAACATTTATTAAATGTTTATTTATTCACAGCACTCTGTAAGATTCTGAAAGAAGGGATATGAAGCTGGGAAGACCCTGCCATTCCTGGCCTTGGTAGAGGTGAGACTTCACAATGGAAGGTAGAGATGTACACAAATAAACAGTGCACGATGCTACAGAGAAGGGAAAGATGGTGTGTATGGAAGTCTCTGGCCTAAAGGGGCCTTCAAGAACTAGGTCAAGGAAGAGGGTTACCTCAGCACAGCAAGTACAGTAAATGCTCACAGGGCAGTGAATATGATGGTGCTGACAACTCTGGAAGCAACACAGAATTACTGCAGCTCACGAGACTGAGAAGAGACAAGAAATGTGAACACACCAGCACTAGAAAGATTTAGATAAATTGAAAATGTAGAACTGTGTGATAGTGATGATTAAAGGAAGAGAGAGATATGGATTGATAGAAGTAAATGCACCCAGTTCAGGGATAAACCACCAAGACTAGGAGATTGTTAAAATCCCAAAAAATTATGTGAAGGAGATAAGCAAGATCCTGGGAAAGGGAATATATAACTAAAGGAAATGAAAGAAAATATAATTTGTAATGGGGAGAAGAAAGGAAATCAAAGGGCAACAAGACAGGCACATGCTGTCTTCTCCAGTTTAAAATTCACTTAGAGAGATCAGTGAAATGTGCACTTCAGCAAAGTCTGCTATCTATCCAGATACCAAATGTCTTGACCTCATCAGAAGGAGGCAGGCTTGTACCCCTACTCCATGACCTCTACTGCTGAGGAACAGGTCACAGGGATGTTTTAAGTGTTGGTACCCAGATATTAATCTTAAAAATCAGGACATATATATCCTGGAATCTTAAATAGATGAGCTAAGACCCACCCACAGTCTTCTAATAGTAATTTTTTTCAGTCTTCTAACAAAGAAGATTTCAAGTGTTCTTCTCAAAAATGCCCAGATGAAACAAATTTGAAACTCGTACAGAATGCCTACGCCAGCCTCTAACATATTCCACATCTTTTGATCACATTGCTGCAGTCCCAAAATCTCTCCATTGGAGACTGGTGAAATGCTATATCCATTTCAAAGAGCTTTTGCTTTTCTCCAAGGTCCTTAATGCCAAGCTGGAGTCCCTCTCTAATTTGCTATTTGCCTTATGCTCCCAGTAACAAGCAGGAGATCACAGTGAGTGGGTTTACTGGCCTGCTCCAATTTCACTTAGGGTCTCTAACCCCACAGCTTTCTGTTGGCACGTGTCTCAGAGTCGGCAAAGTCGGCTTGAGGGTCCAGAGGGACCAGTCATTTTGCCTTTACAAATCTAAACTGGAGGGAATAGGTTGAAAATCGCTTTTAATGGCAAAGCACCCCGGAGCCCCTTACAATGAATGGAGTTATCAGTGCCTTACATAACCCTGCCTCTGACAAAAAGCCCTTAAGAATCCCAAGGCATCACTAATAATGCACCTATCTCAGCTCCTCTCTCCCACCTGCCTGCCCTGGAGAGCCAGGCGGGCCAGGTCTGGGAGATGAACTCCCCAAACAAAGGCAACAAGGACACTGGGGGCTTCAGCATATGGCAGCTTTAACAAAACTGATCCTTTAGCACCCGGGTCTGAATATTTGGAGGCCCTGGTGTGAACAAACCTTTATGTGGTAAATAAATTCACAGGGAGGACACTAAAAGACAGGGTGATGGAAATGAATAGAGGCTGGTAGCAGGGGGTGACTACCAGCTGAGGGAAAGACTCCACCTTTGGGTTTCCACACTTCCTTCCCAAAATACTAAGTGGGAGCGCTGGCAGTGGGGGCTGTCAGAGACAGAGAAACAGATACAAAGACAGAGAATGGGAGAGACAGACAGCTAAGAAAAGGAATCTGAGAAAAAGGCCCAGCAACCTAAAGCAAATTTTATACACCTGGGGATTGGGTAAATTATGTACCTGTTTTCAAGGTAAATTTCAGCTCTGTATCTCTTAGTCAACTACAATAGCACCGCAAGAACAGACTTCAGGGAGAATAAGTCAGCCCCTTCATCGGATGCCTGGGGGCTGTTTCCTTTGTCATTAACACTCCAAGTGTAACACAAAGCCCACAGCAGCCCTGGGCAATAGAGCACTAGGCTTTCCAGTTTCAGATCAAAGCCAAGCACTCTCTAGGAAGTCCTGAGATCGCAAAATGTGTTATCTCCTTTAAGGCAGCAGCTCAGAAAACCCACAGCCTTTCTCCAAGATTTAGCACATTCCTTTATAGCAAACAACTGGATAAAACAAACTATACCTTTAGAGAAACCCTGATACATGGCCAGGTTCACAAGAGCATCACACGTCAGCTTTCTTAACTGGCTCTCAGCCTGAAAGAGTTAACGTCTCCTACGGGTTGACACTGGATTAATCCAGAAGCAGGGTGCCACAGAAACACCGTCAACATCAGACAAATCCAGCTAGAATTCTAGAGAGGGAAATATTGCACATCCCTCCTTTTAACTCTCGCATAACACTATCTAGGAACAAACCAAGCTCCAACCAAAATCCAGAAGTGGCTACCCATGAATTTCCGGGTAATATTGGAAAGCCTAGGATGAAAACAGTTCCTTTGATCACAGTGTTTGTCCAAGTACTTCCTCTGGCTCCAATTAGAAAGTAACCAAATTAAGGGAGCAGAAATATGGTTAGCCATAGGCAAAAAGCTCATCTTCCAGTATAATTTAAGAGAAATGAACTTGTCTCTGTGTACAAAACAGAAAAAAACAATTTGCCCTACTACCCTCCAAATGTAGAGTTGTCTCGGAGGAAGAAAATATTAAAAGAACCTCCCCCATGCTTCCTTGAAGGGAAAGTCCCATTGAGTCCTCATCTGGGAGCTAGCAGTGGAGGCCCGCCCTAGAACAGGAATGTCTGCCCCATCTGCCTGTCCTTGAGGAAGCCCATGCCACAGACTTTCCCTCTTCTCCTACTCATCTAGTTCCTTATTCTGCACCCTCTCCCGCTTTGTTCTTTGGTTTGGAAAAGGCTCTGGTACCGTAAGTTTTCAGGTTATCCTTTCCATGCCAAAGCCATTGACCCCCAGGCAGAGTCCTGTAATTAGAGAGAAGGAAATGTCCTTAGTGTTTCTTTCAAGGCCCTCCACCGTCCATCCATCACAGACCTTCATCTCTTAACATTCCTCAAGCACTCCATGTTTCCGCAACTACAAAACCACTCCTCAATTTCCAAAAAATGCCCTTGATGTTTTCCTTGGAGATTCTACCAGCCTGTTCTAACTAGGGCAGGCCCATATTTTTACCCATGCTGTGCCTTGCAGAAGGGTACCTGGCAAAGCGGACAAAGGGAGAACAGGAGCTAAAATTTAGCTTCCATTCTGCTTGCCAAGCCATGGCCCCTGGCATGATGCTGACAGGAAGAAGCAGTACCCTTCTCTAAATTTGCACAAAGATGCCATATGAGCTAACAGAGGTCCTGGCCCCAACATCTATGCCATGAATACTCAACTGGGCTCCACTTGTGACTGTAACAGCTGGTACGTAGTAAATGAAACCAGAAACCTAAGACTCCGAGAGGATGCCTGTTGCTCAGTCTTTAAACACATACAGTTACAGTCACACTAGGATGCCCAGGTGATGTTTCTTACCACACCCATATTGTAAATCTCTGGTAACTTTAACATAAGCATACAGCAGGATCTTGTATTCTTTATAAGAGCTCTGGGGAATTCTTTTTTCTTCTTCTTTTTCTTTTTTCTTTTAGTAATCTCAGGCCAAGGAAAGGGGCAGGGGTTGGCGTGGGGGGATTTCTTTAAGTCAAAAGGCAAGTATAAAGAAGGACTGCTGGAGCAGCATCCATAGTTCTCACTCATCAGCCTGAAAGAGTTAACGTCTCCTAAGACATTAACTCTTCATCATGCCATTTTCCAGGTCTTTGGTCAACTGAAACTTACCAAAAGAAAATCCAGAGTTCCTTGCTAAAGTAAGTTTTTACCAGGCATAATATTCTCTCTATATGCAAACTGCTTTCATATCTTGTAAATTCAAACAACCGAAACAAGAGTATTTTAATCCAAACATGCCACTCACCAATTCAAAATTCTTCAAGACAAAACCTAAAATGCATGGCATATAAGCCTTCAACAAGTGGTCCCTGTCTAACTCCCAGGCCCATTTCTTAACACTCCCCTGAAATTTATCCTCTATTCCAGTCATACAAAATCACTTGCAGTTCATCATATGCCCCATTTTCTCTCTCCCTTCCTGAGTATCCTAAGATGTTCACAGGACATGTTTGATCTGGCCTTGCCTGTGGTTTCGTACCACACAGGTGTCATACCACTCATGCACCGTCCACAGGAGCCATCCATTCTCTAGTCCCCAAAACTCATTCTTGTCATTGCTGCTCTCCAGGTCAGAAACTGTCTTCTCCCACTTTTTATCTAGCTAATTCCTAATATCTCTTCAGGCCTTAAATGTCACTTCCTCAAAGTAGCCTTCCCAAACTATGCACTCTCCTAAACTCTAAGCTTTTCTTTCATAGCACTTAACGTAAATGAAATTACTTGTGTATTTCCCCTACTAGACTCTAAAGTTCCATGAGGCAGAGAAGGGACATCTATTTATTCCCTGCTGCACCCCCAACACAGTATCTGGCACAAAATAAGTATCTGTAAATATGTACCAACAATGACTACCTGTTCATGCAAATTTCTAAAGCTGTGCTATCCATAATGGTAGCCACTAGCCTCATGTGCCTATTGAGTCCTTGAAATATGCTATGATGAATTAAAATGTAGTGCCAATGTACAATACATACCATATTTCAAATATTCAGTTTTAAAAAGGGGAAGAACGTCTCATTTATTTTTCATATTCATTAAATGTTGAAATGATATAATAATTTGGATATAAGTCAAATTTAAAAATTACAATTAATGTTTCTTTTTAGTTTTTTAACGTAGTTATATGATAATTTAAAATAACAAATAGAGCTCACATGTGTGGCTCATATTTATATATCTGTTGGACAGCGCTGGCCTAGAGAGCCATTCCTCCTGTTGACTCACTTCTCATCCTTGACACTCACAAGGTACAGCAGCTGACCTGGGAAGATCACCCAGACCACCCACCAAAACCGGCTACTCTTCAGGGTACCTTCTACCACTACATTCAAGGTTCATTATATTAACTTATTTCTTACGTGGCCCTTCAGTAAACTCTTCCAAAGGACTTTAACAGACAAATAATGGAAATCATTCCTCCATCTTCCTCACAAGCCATATGTTGTAGATTATTGCAGCTAAGTCTTACTTAGAACTGTCTTAAAATGGAGTAAGATCTCAGGAGTGAACAGGAAGAAAAAGAAAGAATAAAGAAAAAAGAAGAAAAAAAAGAGGTAACACGCCTTGTAAGAGACAAGAAATTCTATAATCAGGATTCTGCCTAAACTAGGAAATACTCCAATTCCAACAATTTCCTGTCAGCCAGTAGGCTAAGGGAAATGCATCGTTTACCCACTGATGAGTTCCAAAGGATACTGGGACTAAAAATACTCAGTAGTAGGTTAGTGCTTACTTCAGAAAACCTGCTATCATCCTACCTAAGCTATAACACCCCCATCCCCCTAAAAACTGCTTAAAATTCAGCTATATAGTCTACATTAACATAATGCACTGGCTGATGATACAGGCACAAAAATTAACGTTCAAGAATTTCAAAGTTGTGGTTGCTGTGGGAACCTTAATTCCAACTGTACGGCACAGATGCAGAATTGTGGACTACTCCCAATACTGATAAAATTGGAGATGTGTATTTACTCTGTGCAATGAGGCAGAGCTACAGTTACTGAGAGAACCTTATTTTGGCATTTCTAGGCTTTCATACATTTAAATTCTCAACCTTACCATAATACTGTTTGCTGCATTAAACTGCCTCCTCTAAGGGAAAAAAAGAGAGAGAAAGAACTGATTGGCCAGACATTCAAATCACCCATCCTGTACGTGGTTTTTATGTATGATCTGATTCAAAAGACAATCATATTTTTATTTTACTCTTACGGGCTGTCTATAAACTCTCACACAAATGAAAACAATGCTGAATTTCAACTTGTGAATGCACCAAGATATGTATATGTGCAAAACATCAGAATAGCAAATTTCACACCTTTAGAACCACTGCACCCAACTTATCTACCTTTTTTTAGTTATCCCTTTATACAAAAGGGATTTTTTTTATCCCATCCTTTTTGTATAAAGGCATAAATAAAAAAAAGGTAGATAAGTTGGGTGCAGTGGCTCACACCTATAGTCCTAGCTACTCAGGAGGCTGAGACAGAAGGACTGTTTGAGCCCAGGAGTTTGAAGTTGCAGGGCGCAATGATCACACCTGTGAATAGCCACTGCACTCCAGTGTGGGCAACATAACAAGACCCTGTTTCTTAAAAAAAAAAAAAAAAGCAGGCAGTAGATAGTACACACAGCAGTAACTTCAATCCACAATAGTTAATTACTGAAAACTGTCCAAATGTTTGCCTTTGGCGCTGGCTCTCACTGAGGAACTAGTTCTATAACTAGTTAACATAATCACACAGTTTAGTTATCAGACGACAAAAACAGAAGCGGGAAAGACGTCTGTAAAAATATGACATAACCAAATCCCCAAAAATTTTCAACCTTAATCCCTATTCCCAATTCTCATAACTCTTATGGCTACATAACTGTCATGACTACAAAAAAAAATCAGTCTATCTGCACATGTAATACCAGCTCTTGTTAGAGTTTTCATACAAAGCATTTCTCAAAAATGATATACCTGAGTCATACACCAACCTATCTGCCAAAAGATCCAAAAAATAGCAAACAGTTTAACTACTAATTAGAGTTACTACCTGCAAAAAATGAGTAGGTGACCCCAGTGAATACATATACCAAGATTCATTTCTTCCTAGAGCAAAAACATAAAGAACTATCAAATCAAAATGACCAGCAGAAACGGGTCCTATTACAATGTACACGAGATACAGAC
This sequence comes from Homo sapiens, assembly GCF_000001405.40. NCBI lineage: Eukaryota > Metazoa > Chordata > Mammalia > Primates > Hominidae > Homo > Homo sapiens. Next base: position 127,721,738 of record NC_000007.14, on the reverse strand, counting down.
CTTCTCCTCTCCTTATTCACAGAAAAATAAGATCTTGTTAATTAAACTCATCCACCATCTCACATATCCCAACCCTCACTGCACTCAAGCCCCCTGGGGAGAAGTGCCAACAGTGCCCACGTGAAATTCGGCAGAGCAGTGGGTGTGGGCCACAAGACACTGAGACCTGCCCAATAGTAGTCAGGCTATAAATATTAGAAAATAATACTGTGGAGATTTAAAATACTTGTCCCTTTGCATTCCCACATATATGTATTATATATGTCATATATTAATCAATTCTCCAACTTCTTCCTTTTGGTTTATGCAAAGAGGCGCGGCTGCTTCCCTATTCTCACCTGGGTGTTCTCCCCCTCCAGCCTCGGTGGTCGGATGCTGGACAGGTGAATCGTCTTGTAATCGCCTGAGTTCAGCTTCACAACAATGGCATCAGCATTCAGAACCTGCATCACCTGTGAGCAAAAAGGAACATGCTTAAACCTGCTTCTATGGCCCCCATCACATGTCCAAGAGCAAGGCCCACCACCCTCACAGGTAGAAAGTGAGATCAATAGCCATTTGTGGGAAAAACAGTATCATCCTTCATGGTGCAACAATGTCAGAGAAAACTATGCTATAATTATCAGTTCCCAGAGACCTTATTATGATTTCTCAATGAGACAAAATCTGTATCATTCATAAAGATGGTCAATCTTTTTTTATTTTTGCCCTGACAAAGATTTGTGGTTCACTACAAAGCTTAAGAACTGGAAATCCTGTCTCTACATGTAATTGAAGATTTTCCTTGAAACAGCTTCTAAACTAAAATCAAAATCTCAATGTGAATCTAGAAAAAGAGGCAAGGGTTGGATTTGAAGAAGATACCAGCACTAGATGAGAAAGAACCAAAATAGGATGCCCCAATAGAGAGCAGAAAAATCAAAGGCAAGTGAAGGGCAAAAAGAATTGTCATCTCAGCATGGGAAAGGAGATGCTCAGCTGTTAATCTCACAGGCAGAAACATGAAATTACTGAGATATTACCTCAGATACTCTGAAAGCCACCTTTTCAGAGCACTACTACTACGGACATCTTTGTTTTGGAACCCAAGATCAGTAACACAGAACCCCACGCTCAGAAGAAAAAGAACTAGTCTGGGATAAATTACAAGGGTATGTAGTCAAAGGACAAAAGCATAAATACTCCTCTGTGAAGGTTATTAGAACATTCTACAATGTGTGCAGAATAAAACTCCATTCAAACTGGGATCTTACCACATCAGTGTTGTAGCTAGAACGCATAATACAGCCAGCAGTCTACAATTTGCCCAATTATATTCAATGCCTTTTTTTTTCTTTGAAGCAACACTTTATTACAAGGTAGCTGCAGACTACAAAACACTATCACCATCTACTTCATCTGCAGAATCAAAATCGAACTCTTCTAGGCTTCAATCGGGCCTCTTTAAGAGCTACCAGACTGAACAAACTTACAGGGTCAGCTGCCACACAGCAAGGGCGGACTGGCAAAATTTCCCTCCTCTTTCATGCGTGAAACAAAAGGAGCTAGACTCTTTTTTGCCATCATGGATGTCACACTGATAAGTATCTTAAAGGAGGCCTCTCTAACTATTTCTTGAAAGGCCTTAGATCTTCTAGCACAGAATGTATTCATTTACTTGCAGCTTCCTCCAAAAACAGCAATTCTCTACCTTTTCCAAAGAACCAACCAGCCACACACCGGAAACACAAAGAACCAACCAACCACACACCGAAGAGTAAGGAATGCCTTAAGAAACAATCTCAAGAAGGATAGAAAACATAAACAAGTGAGAAATTATATGTAACAGAAAACAGCAGGAGTTAAGTGCCATCAAACAGAATGAATGAAAAAACAAAGATGACAGCTGGAATCAATCTGTAAGTCCATAGAAGGTTTACTATGGCTGGTGGATGGGAAGGTATCCCTGGGTTTTACCACTGTAAGCAATGAAAGCAGTGTAGAGAAGAACAGCCCAGCAATCAGAAAAGTAATGAAAGTTCTAAGAAAGAACTGAGTAGATCAGGAGAAATTTTTAATTTTCTACTATACTTAAAATTAACTTACAACCCTGAAAACAGGAAAACGACAACTTCAAATAACCATAACCATTCTCCTATAACCTTTTTGACAGATCTGAGAATCATAGGCTAAACACTAAAACCCAGAGAGCCAGAACCCAAAATTCATCTTGCCAGAAAAACATGAAGATTAATGGTAATCAAAGGCAGGATGAGTGATCACACCAGGACCAAGGTCAGGGCTAGCTACCCCAAACCAAACAGCCCCTTAATGCCAGCCCAATCACAAAAACATATTCATGAGTTTAGAACTTAAAAACTGTCTAGACAGTATAACCAAAAATACAGATTCAGTCACTGAAAGAAAAAATAGAGTACATCTTATTCCCATTACCATCTAAACACACTAATGCCAAGTAAAAATGTACACAGTAATGGAATTCCAGTAGTGGGTTGGACAATTGACCAAAAAGAAAGACCCCAGCTAATGATTTCCTGGTCCTTCAAAATCCCACATTTGGATGAAGGGAAAGATATTATAAAATGGATAACAGAATATTTCAGGGGGGCAGTTTCCATGATATCTGCTATTGTGGTATCCTAATTTCAAGCTAAAGAAAAGAAAAAAAATTCCACTAAGCCATACCAAGCAAAATAGCTACTATAGCAAATCAATACCACTCCTCCTCCAAACAGATACCCAAAGGATAGAGGGTAACTGTCAGATGATGTATCAAAGGCACATACATCACAGGATTTCCCAAATCTTAATACTGGACAGATCTACACCTTCTCTCAAACCAAAACAAATTCTTGTTGTGAATTCCCAAAAACATAAGGAAATTCCTATAATCAAGACACGAGAAATATCTAGACGTTTTCTGCTCCCTAGTCATGCTTAGAGAGTAATAAAACCAAAGAAAGTATCATAGTGCTCACACCTTTACCTGCTGATTACAGAACATGAAGATCTAAGGATGTCCTGTAACAAGTTACTGGAATTAGGCACCCCTTGTAATATGTTAGCAGCAACGGCAGCAATGAATTCTTAGAGCTGTAAATTTTAGGCCCCAGCAGCAGACTCTCTCTGCTGCTCAGCATCTCCCTGATTAGAAACCTCCTCTTCAGGAACTGTGCACTCTGCCACTGCCAGCTAAGCAAGGTTTAGCTTGCTGGTGAAGATAGGAAGGGTGAGTGCATGCGTGCGTGTCCGCGTGTGTGTATAAGTGGGGTTTATGGTTTTTTATTCCTCTGTAAATTGTGTCATTACTGTCCAGAGAACAAGCAGCTCCTGAGCAGAGACATGGAATCGGCAATAAAATACTGATTATAGCCACGTACTGTGCAGTAAGTGAGATGCAGAGTGGATTACTGTCTGAAGCCAGCTCATCAGCACCATTACGGACCACATTTTAACAGTGATATTTCTTCTGGTGCTTTTCATCAGGATAACTGAAGTATGCCCACACTGCCCACTTTCTCTGCTAGCTACAGATCTCTAATCAAGCCAACCCCATGCACGCTCACACCCCACACACCAAGAGATAACCTAAGGCATAGGAGCAAAAGTCTACATGGAAAAAGTCATTAGCTGGACTCAAATACATGCACTAAATCCAATTCCCTCCCCATTTCTTGAAGCCCAATCATAAAAGGAAAAAATGGTTTAATGATAATAAGGTGTAGGCTAAGGGCTGCCATGAGTCAAGAAAACCAGAGTTCCGTTAGGGGAACATCCATGCCTATCTTCAGCCTCTGTCACACTCTCTCATCTGTACAGCCCATCCACAGCGCTCACTGGGTGCAACGGGCTGCTGTTATTCAGATTCTGAAAACCCTGAAGCACACATAAAACAAACAAAAAAGCTTCCTTTTTGTTCAACAGCTTCCTGAGCTGTGGACATAACCACCAATAGCCCCAATGCTGCCAAAATTTCCAGTACCAGATAGAAACAAAAGGATTCTCAGCCCAAAAGGGCCTTCTACAAGCATGACCAGAGACTGTGGTTTGATGACGTCACTGAGAATGACACACAGATACCTATTCTCCTCTCTGAAATCATGACATCTGGCTGTTTTTCCCACTCCCTAAGGTTGTATGCTATGTCTCTTCTCCCCAGTCCCCTAGAAGAGTACAGCTGCCACCCTTGTCCTCAACAAAAACAAACCACAACAATATCCTGATGCAGGCACTTCCAGGCACCTAAGCACAACCAAACCAGATACTCTTAAGATGTACTTACATGGAAATCAGGCATCAGACAACTTTCAACAGAGGGACGTCCTACACACTACCTGACCAGTACTTCAAGATTGTCAAAGTCATCCAAAACAAAAAAAAAGTCTGAGACACTGGCATATCCAAAAGGAACCTAAGGAGATATGACAACTAAATGCAATGTGGTATCCTGGAACAGAAATAAAGTATAAATAAATGAATACCTGAATAAAATATAAACTTTAGTTAATAAAAATGTATCTATATTGATATACTAACTATAACAAAAATACAATACTCCCGTAAAATATTAATGACAGAGGAAACTGGGCTGAGGGTGGATGAGTAATATAAGAACTCTGTGCTACCTGCTTAATTTTTCTGTAAATCTAAAGAGTGACCTAAAAAATGAAGTCTCTAATAATTTAATTTTTAAAGCCAGGTTAATATTCTTTCAATCTCTTCTAACTCAATCACTTTCTTTTTCTTATCAGCACACTGGTTTACTAGTATAAGCTGCAAACCAAGTCTTGATCCCTTTTTGGTTCAGCAGAGCCCACCTTTCTAGTGAGACAATCTCCAGAACTTCCTTTCCAACTGAAAGTCAAATGGCAAAAGGCAAGGAAGTGGCAGGTATTTTTTGATTCTCTCCATATTATCACATAGGAATATACTGGAGAAATCCAGATAATGCCAAAAATATTCAGCTGCATCCTTGCTTAAAAACCATGTCAGAGAGCCACTTCCATTTAACATAGTACTGACAGTCTTAGCCAAAGAAGTTCAGCAAGAAAAAGAAACAAAAGGCATCTAAATTGGAAGGAAAGAAATAAAATTATCACTGTTCCCAGATGACGTATAGGTAAAAAACTCTAATAATTCCACAAAAACTGTTAGAATAAATGAATTCATGAAGTAGCAGGATATAAAGCCAACACACAGAATCAGCTGCATTTCTATAAATAATAAACAATCCAAAAAAAAAAAAACCTAAGAAAATAGTTCCTTTTCCAGTATCATCAAAAAAGAACAAAATACTTAGGAATTAACTCAACCAAGGAAGTGAAAAACTTGTACAAAGAAAACTACAAAACACTGTTGAAAGAAATTAGAGACATAAATAAACGGAAACACGTCCCATGATCATGGACTGGAAGACAATACTGTCAAGATGTCAATACTACCCAAAAGCGATTTACAGATGTAATGCAACCCTTATCAAAATCCCAGTGATGATTTTTATGGAAACAGAACAGCTCATCCTAAAATTCATATGGAATCTCAAGAGACCCTGAATAGCCAAAACAATCCAGAAAAAGGACAAAGCAGGAAAACTCACACTTCCTGATTTCAAAGCTTACTACAAAGCTACAGTAATCAATACCACATGGTACTGGCATAAAATCAGACATACAAACCAATGAAACAGAATGAAGTCCAGAAATAAACCCTTGCATATACAGTCAAATGATTTTTGAGATGGGTGCAAAGACCATTCAATGAGGAAATGACTGTCTTCAACAAATGGTCCTAAGAAAACTAGATATCCTCATGCAAAAAAACAAAGTTGAACCCTTATGTAACACCAAAACTAAAAACAAACTCAAAATGGATTCATTACTTAAATATAAGACCTATAAAACTACAAAACTCTTAGCAGAAAACACAGGGCAGAAACTTTGCAACATTGGATTTGGCAATGATTTCTCAAATATGACACCAAAGGAACAGGCAACAATAGTACAAATACAAATTAGATTTCATGAAAATTTTGTGTAACAAAGTAAAAGGCAACTGACAAAATAGGAGAAAATATTTGCCAATCATATACCCAACAAAGGATTAATATCCAGAATATATAGAGAACTCCTAAAACTCAACAACAAAAAAACAAAAACCTCAATTAAAAAACAGGCAAAGAGGCTTACAAGTGGGAGCTAAGCACTGGGTACACATGGACTAAAGACAGGAACAATAGACACTGGGGACTCCTAGAGCTGGGGGAGAGTAAGGGAGGGGACCAGGGCTGAAAAACTTCCTATTGGGTACTACGCTCATGACCTGGGTGACTGGATCATTCCTACTCCAAACAATATACCCATGTAACAAACCTGCATATGTATCCCCGAATCTAAAAGAAAAGTTGAAATTTCTTTTTCAAATGCGCAAAGGACTTGAATAGACATTTCTCCAAAGAAGATATGCAAATGCACAGGAAAAGATGCTCAACATTACTAATCATTAGGGAAATACAAATGAAAACCACAATGAGACATCACCTCACACCTATTAGGGCGGCCACTATAAAAAAAAAAAACAAAACCAAAAAAAACCCAGAAAATAACAAATGTTGGTGAGGATGTACAGAAAGTAGAACCCTCGTGCACCGATGTAAAATGGTACAATATAGTAATTCCCTCAACAACTTAAAAATACAATTACCATATAATCCAGCAATTCCATTTTTGGGTACAAACTCAAAATAATTGAAAACAGGGTCTCAAAGAGATATTTGTATAACCATGTTGATAGCAGCATTGTTCATAATAGTTAAAATGTAGAAGCAACCCAAGTGTGTCCCCATGGACACATGAACAGGTTGTAAGCAAAATGTATACACATACAATGGAATATTATTTACCCTTAAAAAGGAAGAAAATTCTGACTCATCCAACAACATGGATGAACCCTGAGGACACTATGCTAAATGAAATAAGACAGTCACAAAGACACAGACTGTCTGATTTCACTTATATGAATTACTTAGAGTAGTCAAAATCACAGAAGCAAAAAGTAGAATTGTGGTTGCCAGGGCCTGGAAGAGGGGAAACAGAGGGATGTAGAGTTATTGCTTAATGAGTATAGTTTCAGTTTTATAAAATGAAGAGTTGTAGAGATATGTGGTGGTGATAGCTACATAGCAATATGAATATAAATACCACTGAACTGTACACTTAAAAATCGTTAAGATACTACATATTATGTTATGAATTTTGTCATTATAAACAATTTGAGGAAAAAAATTCTCAGAGACATGATAATGAACTCCATCTAGAGCTATGACTGGAAGCACAGCAAAAAACTATCAGGGTAAATAAAACCAAATACATTTTAAAATCTACTGTACCCATGGACAGTTTATATCCTGATCTCCAAAACTGGACTTGGCCACCAATGCCAGTTAACCACTTACTGCTCCCAGACAAAGCCCTAGCAGGTAAGCTCCTTGAAGGCAGGAACCACTTCTAGTTATTTTACATCTTTTCAAAGCACCTAGTTCAGGGCTCTGCTTAATCTATATATAGGTACAGAGGACCAAGCAAGAAGCCTCTAACCAGGTAGGGTGGTAAGGAGACACCTCTTGAGGACATGATTCCACTCCATCCCTCCCCCACCCCCCACAACAATGTTATTCAGGTCTGTGAAATCTGCAATGCCCAAGGATCCAGCAGCAGGAACAGGGAAGCCAAGCCACGTGCTCAGGGGACCATATGGCTACAAACAGCACAGATCAGCTAAAACGCCACAGGGAAGGCAGGGAGGGAACTGGCAGGCCACGACGGGCACAAAAGTCTCGGGCAAGCTCAGCTAATCGCTGTGAAGTGAACATGCTTCTCTGCTAACCTGGAAAGACAAGGAGAGCCCTTCCTTTGCATTTCATTCCTCAAGAAGTAAAACTGCTTAAGCAGACAAAGGGAACCAGTCTCTCAATAGGCCACATGTATCAGAGAATACTTTGTCAAGTTTCACATTTCTCAGGCTTAATAAGCCTCTTGGCACTCTGACCTACAGCTTTGCCTCAGTTCCAGAAATCAACTGTAGAGCCCCAGAGGCATCCAGTTAGAGGCCATAGGTTACCCTTTGCAGGCTTTTGAGGCTTTTAGCGGGGCCCTGTACAATTAATTCCTAAAAAACAGGGTGATTGTTGAAGAGAGAATCACTATTTGTTAAGGCTTCACAATCACATGATCTTGAAAGCAGAATCACTCAGGGAAGACTTGCAGGACTTTCAGACTATGTGAAGGTCCCAGGTATCTTAGAACTTTTTTAGGATTCCCTGAAAAAAGCTGTTTGCCACTAACAGATATTTTAAATCAGGTAAAATGATACAGAACTGCTGTTGAGTTCCAGGTTATGAAAAGTAATGCATGTATTTTTTTCCATTTTTAACTTAATGTTGCTATCCAGTGTTCTACAAGAAAGGCTGGCAAACTATGGCCCAAGGGCCATCCAGCCCACTTCATATTGTTATAAAGTTTTCCTGGAATATTGCCACAACCATTCATTTACACACTGTCCATGTCTGTTCTCCTGCTACCATGGCAGGGTTCAGTAGTTGCAACAGAGACCACATGGCCACCAAGCCTAAAATATTTACAATGTGGTCCTTTAAGAAAAAGCTGTCCAATCCCTGTTTTACAACATATTAGAAAATGAACACACTTAGTGGTATATACTGGTTAACATTTCTAAAGACATGTTTGGCAAATGTGAGCCAAATAATTTCTAAGGAAATAACTGCCAATTACTTGGAGATTTATTCCACTTTCTAAATAACGAAAAAAATTCTCAACTACATGAATATAAACCTATTAGAGACTGGTCAAAAATATTATGTTGCAGCCTACAATGAAATATTACACATCAATTAAAGAAGTAAGCTCTTTATTTTGGGTCCCTCTCTAAACACCTCTAGATAAAAGGGATCTGTAAAACGTATCTATACATAAGCCCAAAAGGAAGAAGATAATGAGAGAGAACACTGCAACAAAACCCTGGAAGCTGGAAAGCAGATGGATGAGTAGTAACTTACTCCACTGACTCACAAAAGCTAAATCCTGAGACAGTGGCGAGAAAACACAATAGGCAATCTGATTTATACCGCAGTCCCACTCTCCCTAATCTGCCAAGACTCAGAAACTGTCAAATCAAGCATCTCAATTGGGAATGAAAATGGGACCAAAAATGATGGATGGTTTCAAATCTTTGTAAGAAGCAGATGGATTTCAAGATGTATACCCTGGCCAGGCATGGTGGGTCACACCTATAATCCCTGCAACTTTGGGAGCTCAAGGTGGGAGGATCACTTGAGCCCAGGAGTTCAAGACCAGCCTGGGCAACATAGGGAGACCTCATCTCTACAAAAAATTTAAAAATTAGCCAGGTGTGTTAGCGTGCACCTGTAGTCCCAGCTATTCGGGAGGCTGAGGCACGAGGATCGCTTAAGCCCATGAGCTTGAAGCTGCAGTGAGCTGTGATGGCACCACTGCACTCCAGCCTGGGTGACAGAGCAAGACCCTGTCTCAAAAACAAACAAGCAAATATGTATACCCTAAATCCCACACTAGGGTCATTGCTTCTAAACTCAGTGTTTTAATATCTTATTCTCAAATAAGACAGAAAACCAAGACTCAGCAAATATCTGAGGAAAGCCTCTAATATGAAAAATAAGGGACCAAAATAACCCAAGAAGGGGAGAGGAGAGGCTTGAAGAACATAGTGAGTGCGCAGTAAAAATGAAACTAAAAAAAAAAAAATCAATTTCGCAGAAAGCTAAGAGATGATTTTTATCTCTGAAGTCAGTATAAAACTTTATTTTTTAAAATAGTAAAAGAGAAACATGCAGAGAACAAAAAAAGTTCTTAAAAAATAAAACAGTATCATGTCAATAAAACTACTGAAAGGTAACTATAAAGAAATCTAAAAAGAATAGAAGATGAGACAGAAAATAGGAGAAAAAAACTGGAAGATGAGCCCACAAAATCCAACAACCAAATAATAGGAGTTCTAGAAAAAAGAGAACAAAGATTCTAGATGGAAACCAACAAAAGAGTTGGGAGAAAAAGTCTCAGAACAAAACAACTAAACATTGAGGCATAATATGCTCAAATATAGATAAACAAAGTGCATCGCTATGAAATGTTGGAACACTAGGATCAAAAAGAATTTGCTAAAACCTTTCAGAAAGAAAAAAATATATAAGGATAAGAAATCAGGATGGTTTCAGATCCATAAAAAAATTAGAAATCAAAAAAGTTTCTGATAACTACTGACAGTGGAGTGATACTGATAGATACAATTCTAATGGAAAATGACTTCTAAAATAAAATTCTATATCCAGCTAAACTATCAAGTGTATGTAGAGAATGGACATGAAAGGTCTCAGAAAATTTACCTCCCAAGCATTCTTTGCCATGAAGTTAGAGAATGTATGCCACTAAAACAAAGTTGCAAATTATAAAGAGAAAGCTGTGAGATCCAGCAATCCTAGCTCCAATCCAAGAGTAAGGCAAAGAAATCCCTCAGGACAATGGTGAAGAAATCCAAAGATGACAGCTCTAAAACAGGCAAAAAGAGAAACCAGTCCAGATTGATGCAGGTTGCAAAGCTCCAAGATACTGTTAGCAGACTGAATGAATCTCCTCTTGAGAGGAGATTTAGACAGAGTTTGGAGGCTGAATTAAAATAAGTATGTAAAAAAATGTAAATTTTAAAAATTATTAACTCCAGGGAAAACAAAAAAATTTTGCAGGAAACTAGAAGTAGCCATAATATGCTATATAGCACTGTGGTGATTATCACTTAAAATAAATACTGACTATTAACTAACTTATGACATAATCATATTGGAAGAACTGGGTAAGAGCACTGTGCGCCCTCTTGAGTATGTGTGCTTATGTGAAAAAACTAAGTCCTCCTCTTCCATGGTATGAAGGAAAGGAGTTGCCCTTAAACTGAAAAATTAAGAAATAGCCATGTAAATGTTTTATTCAGGGATGAATTAGCCAAGAGTTGAAAGTGACTGCCTCAAGGAAGAGTGAAATTGAACTGGTACATTCTTTAGTAAGCCTATAAAAAATTTTTAAATTTTCTGTATTAAAAATAAAAATGTGCAAACTTAAAAATTACACACAAAAGAGTACAGATCAGTGCTATTCAAAGTGGCTGCCAGTCTGCAGTAAGATAAGGAACTTGTACTAGAACATTAATCAACTACATCACTAAGAACATTGCTGACTTTTTTTTTTTTTTTTGTAGTAAGCTTTTCTTGATGAAGGAAGTAATGCCTTGATTTACATTCTGGCCCAAGCTCCTTATGTCACTTTATCAAGGCATTTTGAGTAGGACTGGTATAGATCAGAGATCATCAAACTATTAAGTAAAAAGCCAGATAACAAATATTTTAGGCTTTGCAGGCCACGCAGTTTCTATCACAACTACTCACCTCTGCCATTATAGCACAAGAACAGACACACACAATACACAAGCGAACACATATAGCTATGTTCCAATTTATTTACGATACTGACATTTAATTTCACATAATTTTCACATGCCACGATATATTTTTTATTAACGCAAAATCCATTTTTTTCAGTGTAAAATCCACAGATCATGCAAAAACAAGTGCCCAGCCAAATTCAGCCCATGGGCCATAGTTTGCCAACCCTGAGACAGACACTATGATCAACTTTGTTAAAAAAAAAAAAAATTACAAAACAAGGCCAAGTCATAGTGTTTCATGTACTATGGGTATTTATGCTTATCTTCTTTATGTTTTTTTCCTGTTTTAAAAGCAAAACGAATGCTAAAGAATTTTTAAAAGTCAAGTTTTAAAAACTCTTTTCCCATTTCTCTCTACCCTCTAAGCGGACGTGTACCCAAACAGTCTCAATTTATGTTTCAATTTCTACAGAAGATTGGTTATTCCTCATAATTCTCCATCAGATGATTTCTAGAGGCAATCTCCTCTACTTTGGCACTGTAATGAATAAAACTTCATTGTCATGATAAAAGCCTCGCTCTCTTTTAAAGAAAAAACAGATCCTAGGATCCTAGATTTTTGAAAATGGAAAAAATTCTTCTACAGGTAGGTCTCCCTTTTCTAATTACCAACAAAGTCATATTTAAGATAAATGCAAAGCTCAATAATCTAAATCCTTTGAATTTTGTTCTTATGCAGTGCTTTAGTTAACTCCCCAACCAGCCAAGGCCCAAAACTCTTCAAAATATTCTAGGTTTTTCTACAAACTCAGTTTTAATAGAGGACAGGCTGGTAGGAACACGACAGGGTACTAAGATCCTCACATGCCTCATCTACATCACTAATGTCACAGACTCTCAAAGTGAAGATGGCGAAAAATTGAAGGCCTGCCTCCCTTTTTGGGTGAAAAATCATCCTTTCATTCTGTAGCTATGTTAACACAGCTATGCTAACTACGGGAAGCATAAGCACAACTGAGTGAGTTCCAAGTAGGCAGAGCAAGCCATGTCCAAGTGTCCACACACGTACACGCCTCACAAAGAAGGGACATTGTGGTCTGCAACAAGACCTGGAGGATGCCAGGATATCCCAACAGGTGCAAGTCCCACTCATGCCTACCAAAAGGAATGATTTTGGCTCACCTCACAGCTGCCTGGACATCACCTACAAAAAGAGGGAAAGAGGCCACTAGACCACTCTGTGACCTATTACTTTGGGCATCATAAAAAAGAGAGTGAAGAAATTTAGCCAGTTCCTCAGAGGTTGCTTAAAAGACAGACTTTCTCAGGCTCACAGTGCCACCTAGTGGCTTTCCATCCTAAACTCATGGTTAGTTGACAGGGAGACAGAACCTCTCAGTCCAAGAATTTGGCACTTAACCACTTTTAGCCCATAAAAACAAAACTTCTAGCATCTCTTGGCAAAAGTAAAAATAGGCTGGAAAACATTACAGCATTTTGGGAAGACACAGAGAGCAGGTCTACTACTCAAGTTACAAAACCATGCAACTAAGAAAAAACATTTTTATAGCACTGCTGATACCACCAAGGATAATAGCTCTAGTTCCCTTCAAAGTAGTCTATCCCAAGACATATCAATGGAAAACTCTCGGGGCGGTGGGGCGGGGAACCAAGAGCTCCAAAACAGAAAGAAGAGAAACTTGAGGTCATATATTTATAGGTGCTCCTTGATTTGCACCAGGGTTAACTCCTGATAAACCCATCATAAGCTGAAAATGCTGTAAGTTGAAAATGCATTTATCTCTCTTCAGCCAGGAAGGAAGGGAGGAAGGGAGGAAGGCAGGAAGGGAGGAAGGGAGGAAGGGAAGAAGGAAGGAAGGAAGAAAGGAAGGAAGGGAGGGAGGGAGAAAGGAAGGAAGGAAAGAAGGGCACTTAATACAACCTACCAAACATCACAGCTTGGCCTAACCTACCTTAGGTTAGGTAGCCTACTTTTGCTTAGGTTAGTTTACCTAACCTACCAAACATCATAGCTTGGCCTAACCTACCTTAAACACATTTGGAACACTTACATAAGTCTACAATTGGGCAAAATAATCTAACACAAAGCCTGTTTTATAATAAAGTGTTGAATATCTCATTTAATTAATTTACTGAATACTAGACCAAAAGTGATAAACAGAATGGCTGTATGGATACTCCAAATGTGGTTCCTACTGAGTATCTATTGCTTTCACACCACTGTAAAGTCAAAATATCTTAAGTCGACCCAGCATAAGTCAGGGACCATCTATACTTGGACATAGGAAATCTTAAGATAATGCTATTTGCTAGGCAGATAAAAAAGAAGTCCTAAACTATGAGAGATATTTCAAGCTAGTTTGAAGTTAGCTAATTTACAAAGAAATTTAAATAGTCTAATGGTTTCTAAACCCCCTACAATAAACACACACACACACACACACACACACACACACACACACACACACACTCCTACTGGCTTGCCTTGAAATTTTCAAGAGCTTCAGCATTTCTAATTGTTCAAATTCTTGTATTATTACTCGCCTGGCAATGTCCACTATGCATATCAAGATGCTGAGAATGACTCACCTTGGCAACAAACTGCTTGTCCTTTTGGTCCAAATTAGCTGTGGGAGCCACATAGTCTCTCCATATTCTCAGCCTGCGCTCTTTGGCAAACCTGGCAACAAAGCAAGGATGCAAGATCATTCAGACTCAGCAAATGGAATCCACCACTACCATGGGAGCACAGTTGGTGCAGCATCCTACTCTACCCTATAGATGTATCCAGAAGAAAGACTACCAGTCAAACCAGAACAAAGAGCGAGAGTAAATGAAAACATGCAAGATACATATATAAAATGTAAGCCCACAGCTGGGAGACTATGGTCCAGGCATACAATTTTTTGAGCCTAGATGGTTCAAGTCCACCTTCATTATTAACTCTGGTTTATCTAATATCTCCTGGGTGACTACTACAAAAAAATGGGAAGAACCCACACATCTAAACAAACATATTTCTTAAAAAGCACAGACCTGCTCAATTTCTATCTGAATTACAAAAAGGTTACCAGCTACCAAATCCTATATATAAGAAGAAAACTGTCATGACAGTGCATCTATAGAATAATTAGAAAATGAACAAAATCCTCATAAGTTCACTGACAAGAGTTTAAAAAAACCTATGTAGCCAGAAATTTATTTTGAAGTATTATGCCCAGTAGATATTTTCTGAGCCAGACTATGAGTAGGAAATGGAATATGTGCAAAGATTAAAAAAAATCAATGAACAGCTGTCTTAAACCACTTACAAATAAGTGGATACATGTGCAGTGAAAAGGAACTATTATTTCTGAAAACAGTATTGCAATCTTTTGTTTTAGAGAAGCACTAAAATGAGAAAAACACAAAGCAGGATGTAGTAGTTGTAAAATACAAGAAGTAATTCAATACAGAGGATGCAATTTTACCTACAATTCAAGTAGCTCAAATACAGCATGCAAAACAGCAGACAAGTAATCACATATTATCAAAATAGGATTTGCATTCTCTGGTCTAAGCTTGTTTTTTAATGATGAGCACTCCCCCAAAAAATCCATAAAATCTTCTACCGATGTCATATAACATGTAGATATTATTTTCATTGCATTCACTTTCTTGAAAGAAAGGCAAGATACTGGGCCAGGCACAGTGGCTCACACCTGTAATCCCAGCACTTTGGGAGGCCAAGGCGGGCGGATCACGAGGTCAGGAGATCGAGACCATCCTGGCCAACGTGGTGAAACCCAGTCTCCACTAAAATACAAAAAAAAATTAGCCAGGTGTGGTGGCATGCGCCTGTAGTCCCAGCTACTGGGGAGGCTGAGGCAGAGGAATCGCTTGAACCAGGGAGGTAGAGGTTGCAGTAAGTGGAGATCGTGCCACTGCACTCCAGCCTGGCAACAGAGCAAGACTCCGTCTCAAAAAAAAAAGGTGGGGGGGGGGAGGGGGGGCAAGAAATTAAAGAATGCAAAAAAAATCAAATTAATTTAGAATACTAATGAACATAACAGGATTCTCTGAACCAAAAAACAGAAATTGAGCATTGTAGAATAATCGGAAGTATTTGGAACACTGTACTTGATACGGTTATTATATCTTTCTAACTTAATTGTAGAACAACATAAAAAAAATTCTAAGCAATCACTGTTCTTTTCCATCAGACAATACACATGTCAGATGTGCCACATCAAATGGCCTAGATTAATATCTACTTTTATAAAAACCTGCAAATACTTCTGCTTATAGGTACTCAAGGATGAAAAAGACCTAAGAAATGGAATAAATACTATAGTTATTCATTCACGTCGTTGCACATCTCTTAGCTGTATATCTGTCACAAAAATGTAGTTATCAAGACCATTATAACTTTAAGATTCTGAAACAAGTCATACAGCAAGACTTGAGAGTGGACTACTGTCATCAGCTGTGTGTTGTCTTTGCTTAAATGTGTCATGCAAGGTGGTGATTCAGACTTTCCCGAGCATCATTTCCATTCATCTATTGTTGCTACCTGCTTTATTTTCTTCCATCTATCCCATCAAATGGAGAAAGTTCACCTACATCTACATCTACATCTACATCTACATCTACATCTACATCTACATCTACATCTGCATCTACATCTTGACGCTGACAGTTGAAATGTCGACTAATATTTGGAATTTCTACATGCAGTTTTCTAGAAACAAGTTATTCCTATATCTGCTTTAACGATAGCCAACAAGTCAAAAACACACCAATAACGTCTCAGAGTTATATTAGTGTTTATAACTGAAACACACTTTTAAATAAGTTAGGGCATAGGCCTCACAACAATATTGAATGGTCCTGGTTTAAAACCTACAGGCTCTGTCTTTCCATCATACCCCTGCTCTTGTCTGTCTGTTTGGGAGCAGCTAATAAGCAATTTCATCTTTCTCAAATAAGCTTCAAGTTTATTACATTCCAAATGTCTAAAACCCAGAACTTAAGCAAGGGGCTTGGGAAAAAAATGACCTGAAAACATTAAAAAAGCAAATCAAGTGAAGAATAATGTCTAAGTGAAAACTGTAAGTCCTTACCATCCAGCATTCAATTAGACTGAACCTGAAGACCAATATTTAAGTCACTCCTCTATAAGGAACTGCCCTACTCCTTTACTGAAGTAAAATGAACACTGACACACAGGGGTGTGAGCAAATCACCAGATTTCTTTCCCTAAAGATCCTTAACAAGATCCACAGCTGGAAGGCCTCTTGGACAGACCTTACCTCTCTGCCGCCCTCAGCTTTTCTGCGCCCCGGGTGTAAACTGCAATCGACCAGTCCACACAGCGTGCGAAACCTTCCTTCAGGAGGAGCTCTGTGATGTTGCCATTCTGAAAAACAAGGTACATGAGAGGCAGGCACGGATTAGACTCTGTTGTAAAAGAATCCATTTCTCTAGACTTCTGACACAATTAACACAGTCACAAACTAGTCTGCAGTTTGTTTGTTTGTTTGTTTACAGTAGAGTAGCTTCTCTCACTACGAAACCACTCCTAAGATGGGAGAGATGCCACTCTGAGACTCCTTTCAATAGCCTTGGCTTCGTATCCCCACAATATCCACCATAATAACTCACTTAATAGGAGTAGGATAAATGCTAGTGGCACTGAATGGAATTGACATTTCAATAGCTCTTCTTGTGGGCAGAGGAGGATGTTAATCTTTAATAGAGATTACACCTTATTCTTCCCTCCCTTAAGATCAGCACTTCCTCCCCCTTTCATAAGAGCTGAAGAACAGGCTGAGCAGGGAATAACGGAAGCTACATTTTGCCCAGTGAATTAAAATTCACACTGTACTGTAACACAGAGCCATCTGGCAGGGCACAGCCAGACAGCACTCCAGAAGAAACAGACATGACCTTGGCACACCCCAAACCAAGCCTTTCAACCTTCCACAACTGCCATCATGGAAGAATTATCTAGCCAAAGAGTAAGTAGCTTAGCTCTGTATTGGACACAGGTTAAAATAATGAAAATCCATTCAATTTCAGGTGTTAAAAAGAAGGCCATCTTACATCTAAGAATAACCCAACTATCAAAGTGCACAATAAGGTAAAACATCCAAGAATCGGAACTATAAGAACATAAAGAACCTACTCCCTGCTAAAAGCAGAGTTAGGAGGTAGCTGGATAAAGCCTGGAATACAAAACATAATTTTTCCATACCTCAGTTTCCTCATCATTGATCTACCAATACTTCAGCTAGCTGACTTCTAGACCTCATCAACCCTATTCTACAAATTTCAGTTCTACTTCTAATGAATGTAGCAACCCCTAGGACCAAACAGTTAGATAAATATGTGATCAAGTTCCTCTTCTTATGAACCCAATAACACTTGAGATTAATTTCCTAAAGGTGAGAAAATTGTCCAATTCTGTAAGACAAATGATAACTCCCTAGAAAATGCCTCAAAAATCAGCAGATATTAATAATAATCCTGCCATAATTTTTTTTTGAGACAGAGTCTTGCTCTGTTGCCCAGACTGGAGTGCAGTGGTGCAATCTCGGCTCACTGCAACCTCCGCCTCCCGGGTTCAAGCAGTTCTCCTGCCTCAGCCTCCTGAGTAGCTGGGACTATAGGTGCACGCCACCACGACAGGCTAATTTTTGTATTTTTAGTAGAAACAGGGTTTCACCATGTTGGCCAGGATGGTCTCAATCTCCTAACTTCGTGATCCACCCGCCTTGGCCTCCCAAAGTGGTGGGATTACAGGCGTGAGCCACCACAACTGGCCAATATCTTAATGGATGTTAAATACAGAGAAAGAGAAGCAAACCCCTATTCTTCAAACCCCAAATGCATCCCTAGCCCATCACCACCCAGTCTGCACAGACACACTCACTGGATGAAGGATGGTACCCAGAATGTTCTGGTTGTGGCAGCTCTCCAGAATGATCTGAACATCTCTCTGAAGCAGTCGCGACTCAGTGAAAAATTTGGCTTCTGCAGCAAAAGGCTCTGGAGTTTCACTGCCATCTGCTTCCCGTCGAAAAGTTGGGCACTAAAGCAAAGGCAAGGTAGGTGAGTAATGCAGCCTAAATGTGAGTGCTAGGCACTCTCGCCCCACACTAAGCCTTCCAAAAAACACACATGCCACGAAGCTAAACTCAGGAAGGTCTTAAATCAGTCCTTCTAATTTAAAACACACTGGTAAAAAGGGACTGGAAATATCATCATCTCAGACTTCTTGGCAAAGGTAGACAATAAAACTCACATTATCGTGAGGACAATAATTTTAATTACAGTAAAAAGTGGCCCCTTACCAAAAAAAGACTTGCCAGTGCTCAGCTTTTAATCTCTGATTTTTTAAAAACCAAAATGAATGTTTTACATTAATGCTTAATGCAAGCCATATTCAGCAAACTTCATAGCCTCTCATTGTTCCATTTCTCTAGGTTTACATACTTAACAACCCTAAGCACAGCCCATTCTAGACCCAGAATACTTTAAAAAATAAATAAATAATTTGATCCAATTAGAACTGTCGTACTACAAAGTTTAAACTAAAACAAGTATAAAGTCAATGTTAATGGCCCACATTAGGAAGAAACAGCAGATCCGAAGTCCCCAAGTAGAAGAATCCATCACTGAACATCCACACACTCTAAACCCACCACGTAGCCAAGAGTATGGTCTGACCTTGATGCCTGACAGCATGACTGTAACCAGGTAGTAATCTGGGAGGAGCAGGGCCCTGACCACACTGCCGTCCCGCACATGCTCGATGATAGCTGTGTGACAGAATAAACAGCTTAAGTCCTTAGCAAACATCCTAACAAGGATAAACACTGCCCAATCAAACTGCACTTAACACAGTTTCCTCTCCCCAAAAACCCTGAGAAAGCCTCCCTCTGAAAAGTAAGGATGCACTTGCAGATCATGAGAGTTTACATAACAGACTCTTGCATAAATGATTCCTGGAGAATGCAGATTAGACCTGCTTCTCTGTCTTCTGAACTGTCTGGGACCTCATGGCTCACACTGAAGGTTTGTTATCCATAAGCTAGGATTCTCACCTGAGTACCAGGTACCCAACAAAAAATAATTAGTAACTTAAGATTGGTAAAAATCTTATTTTACAGAGTCTGCAGTTAGCAAGGTCTCAAAACCGGGCCAAAAACTATATAGCATATAAATACACATACAGTCAGCCCTCTATATCCATAGGTTTCACATTCATGGAGTCAACCAACCACAGGTCAAAAATATTCAGAAAAAAGAAAAATTCCACAAAGTTCCAAAAAGCAAAACATGAATTTGCCACACACCAAGTATTATGTTGAGTCCACACAGATGAAGTGGTGTATAGGCACTATAATAGGTATTGTAAGTAATCTAGCAATGATTTAAAGTATATGAGAGGATGTGAGTGGGTTATAGGCAAATACTGCACCATTTTATATAAAGGACTCGAGCATCTTTGATTCTGGTATTCCCGGGAGGAAGAGCGGGATAGGGTCCTGGAACCAATCTCCAATGAAGCATGACCGTATCTGTTTAGATGTATACAGAATACATTTTGCTACCTTTAAGTTTTAGGGTTGGTATTTAAGTAGCCTTCTTTTAGAGAACAGAACACAATCAATGTGCAAAATACCAGCAATTTACTACCCTGCAACAGCACAGGACTAGCTTCTGCAGAATGTATCTGATGTGATTTACATGAACTGAGTCCAAATTCCCTTCTGAAATACTAAGGTGCTGTTTTAACCTTAAGGATTTCCCATGGATACTAAATAAGTATAAGAAAGGCTTACTAGATTTTACAAACCTCAAGAAGCAAAGAGTGCAAACAGAAAGAAATCACCCTGAGTCGTATCTGTCTGTTCCCACCAGCCTCACCATTAACAGGCTTCTGGTGGTGTGAGTCCACAAAGTGCCTTGGGTTTTCAATGGTATACTTGAGATCCCGGATAGTATGTGAACCGTTCCCCTCACTCCACATCCCTTTCTTGGCTGCCTTTGCTTGTTCTTCACATTCTGAAAGCCGGTTCTGCTCAGGACTGGGACATAAAAAATAAACAAGAGTGGTTAGTGAGTTCACAAACAGAAATACGAGGCTCTCTGATATAGGTTTTCTTCAGCATCTTCACCCCTTGAAGACAACAAAGGTCTGTTTCAGATCTATGGCTTAAGACCCAAGCCTATAACCAGAAAATCACCATGATTGCAATTTCTAGATTCCAAACTTGTCCTTTCAAACAAAAGGTTAAATAGTAAGAGTATTTAATGAGACGATCTAAAGAACACACATCTCAGTACTGCCACCATCACTGATCAGAAGAGAACAAGTTAGTGGCTCAGAGTTGCTCCAGGTGGTAGAGCTTCATTTAACCATCCCGGATTCAGGAACTGGAATCCCAGGCACAGCTCGGTAGTGCAGAGAAGCCGACTAAGAACCACTCTTTCTCTCTCTCAGTTTACAGAACAAGGCTGAGGAATGTGGAATGAACACTGCTATCACAGATAATGTTACCCCCCAACTACTTACACATTCAATAAGGCAAGCTAGACAAAAGCAGCTTGAAAATGGAAGCCTCCTCCTTCATCAGGCAAGAAACCAAACTATGTACTAGAGCAGCCAAAATATCAGTAGACAAATCAAATCAAGTTTTTTTAAAAAGGCTAGAAATGGCTCCTCTTTCTCTGTTATATCTGAGCTAAAGGCAGCATGGAACTGCATGGCTTTTGCATAATCTCAGACACTCGGTGCCATCAACGGCTGTATGCATAAACTGAATCTCTTCTCATCTTCAGCAGGAGGGACTCCTAAGCAAGGATGACCTACCAATTTCTCAAGCCAGAAGTCTTCACCTCTCTTCCCTACCCCAAAAGGCAACCACACCCTCAGGGATCCAAATTCACAGTCAAAATTAGATGAAGAAATGTAGTGTAAGAGATTGAACCAAACACAAAACTGGGAAAAAGTGACTTGAAGTCAAAACAATTTTGGAGGAAAAAGGACTGGTACTCCAGGGGAGATTTATTTGTTGAGATGGTCCAGTCCTGCTGTGAGATTTTTTTATTATTCATTCCAATTGCAAACTGAATTCCCCCAAAATACTGAAATGGTAATCAAGCCAGTAATTGTCCTTAAGATACAAATTTGGCATACGTCCAAAAACACCACCAAAACAAGTATCTTAATTCAACAAATTCCCACTGGCACACCCCAATTATAGAGTCCAGCAAATGTCTCCTTGCAGTCAGAAAGGACCACACAAGTCTATGGTGAAAGACCTGGCCCCTATGTCTGTGAAGGTAGAAAGAATGCAAAAGGCGCATTTTTGCCTTTGCTCATCCTCATCATTGGTATACCTCATGCAAATGTTTCTCTAAAGCCTTTCCTACAGCTATGACAGTCATATAAGAGAGCAGGGACTTAATGATATAAAACAGCATTATTATAGCCTCCAAATTATAGATGTAGCACTTTTCAGAGACTAAAATGTTAATGAAAACCAGCTGCAATCCATCCTACTGACAGCCAACACTAGTGAACTTGAACATGATATACATACTATAAACCTGACATACACACAACCCCTTTCTAACAGGTTCACATTGCCATTGGCTAAACAAATACATTTTACCTATTAAGCAACTACAGATACATAAACAACACAGACTTGAAAGACTTTGAAGAGATATAAATTTTTCCTGACTCTGAAAACAGAACAAGTGAGGCCTTGTCAGTTTCTCCAGATTCTAAACAACAGATTTTGCTTTGTATTCTATTTATTCACCCCCTTAATTTTGACTGCACTTATTCCTTGCACTGACTGTATATCTACTTGTTTACTGACTGTCTCCCCATTAAAACGTCAGCAGAAGCTAAGTCTATTCACACTATATTCTCAGTGCCTAGAAAACTGCCTGGCACATAGTAAGTGCTCAATAAATATTTGGGACTCGCTAGACAGACAGGTAAACACTCTGGAACTGAATATCTAGTCTAAGACTTGTTGACTCTTATGAATATGAAGAATAGAATTGCCTAGTCTCAAAGCCTGTGTTTAAAAGAGTCATATACCTCAAACACCATTAGTGAATGCTGAGTGACTTCCTAGCTCAGAATAATCCATACCTGGGCAAGAATGTCCGCGAAGGTGTGAAAGCCCCTGCAGTTACCCATGTCTGGGGGCAAGAATGAAAAATGCAGCAAAGCCAATTTACCGCTGTCAGAGAGACAGCGGAGTAATGAATACTTACTTATTAGCTCTCATGCCTTCTCTCCGGGTGGCTAAGCCCTCTGCAACCAGTGATTCTGCAATGTTTTCCCCATTGGTATCTGAGGAGGAAAAGGGGGGATTTAAAAACAAGATTCAAACCTGCCTCCAACAGCAACAGAGCCCAAATGGGACCACTTTCACACTTAGCTCCTCAAGGAGAATAATGCTGCCAGAGAAATGGACACAGCAGCAATGTAGCATTGGGTTTTTCAGAAAACCTCTTTTCCCATAATATCTAGTCTCTAGGACCCAAAGTTCTATCAATCTTCTTCTCAGGACTTTGTTTTTAATTTTCTAGTGTATCTTCCAGGCCAAACGCAATCTCAGGAACCATGGGAGACGGACAAGAAAGCAAGACACACACAGCTGGCAGCTCAAGAGAGTATAAAGTGGTGACTGGAGGAATAGAAGCCTGGAGCTGAACACAAATCCAGCTGCTTAATAGCTTCGACAAGCTCTCCCAGCATCTTAATTTACTCATCTCTAAAGTGGGGAGAGCACTTGCCTTGATGGGTTCTTGTGAGAATTAAATAGTAATGTGTGTAAATCACCAAGCACAGTGCCAAGCGCATGGCAAGAATTAGAAAAAGTTAGTCCCTTCACCGTGTACGATCAGAGAGACGGATTCATTTAGGGCTGGCTATCACACGTTATGCCAGAAAGTCCAATTCCTCTCAGGGATGTCCTATTCTCTGCTCCAAGAGGACACCAAGACAAGCTACACCATTTGACAAAGACTTTCTCTTGCTCTCATAGGGATACTGAGAGAACACAGGCTAGATTTCTCATCTCTCACAAAGCAGCCATCAGACCTAGCAAGAAAAATAAAGTTAAACATAAAATCCAATCTGATTAGGTTCTACCCAGGCACTTGAAATATTAATTGTAGTTCGAGGCTATTGAAAAAGCTTTCAGGCTCAGTGTTTTCTCTTAAATCTCTGCTTGTCGGCCAAAACCATAAAGGAAGACATCTATGAGGGAATAATCACATAAAAATCTTTAATATGGCAGAGAACAAGCTCCAAGATAATCTGAAACACAGCAGTCTAACTGATAGGTAATGTCAGCAAATAATAAAATTCTGTAAGATTTACATTCGGCACACTACACATCGACCTCTGCAAGCAGTAACAGGTACATACACCGCCCCACAAGCCCAACCTAATTGCCTCGCCATTATCATGCCCAAATTTCTGCAGGGGCAAATCTTAAGCCTCTTTTCCTACCAAGAAAAGTTGAACTGAGAAGTTTATACAAAGAAGGTTCAGGTTCCGAGGGTGAGTGTGGATCACCTGACCCTTTCTGTTGAGGTTACTGCTGAGGCCAGCCAAAGACACATTAGTAAATTTTGCATTGGTTCTTCCAAGCAACAGGAATCCCAAAGAGTGAAAAGTCAAAAGGAAGGACTCAACAATTAAGGGAAAATTGAGCAGTGAAGTGCCAGGAGATCTGGGGGTGGAAAGAACGAAGCCCAGGTACAAACAAGGTGAGTGACCATAAAATGGGCTGATCAACAGCACACCCGATAAGTCAGACATTTTCTTGGCACATAGCTTGCTGAAATGGCCCACTTCTAAAAAGTGAGTTCTGAATGCGCCTGCAAAAAGGAGAAAAGTATCTTCCCCTGGGGTGAACCCTCAACGGAGGCAACGAAATGTGGATGATAGGAAAGTGAAACAGGAATTTGTAGGCCAAGGATCTTATTCTTGCTCCTTACTTATCAAATTCTGAATTTGACCAAGTCACATCTGGAGACAGTATTCAGAGCAGGTGGGTGATTATATTGTCTTCAAAAGCCAGAAAACTAATCATCTCTTCAATAAGTTCTAGGTTAACCACAAAGTCTCAAATTTTACCATTCTCTCCCATCATAAAAAAAAGTGGGTAGCAATAAAATAAACACAAATGCTAATTATCTAAGCCACTGTTTTCTTTCATTATAATAGAATTGGCATTAAGAGTTAGTTAAAATACCTTAGTGAAAATATTAAACATTAAACTATTTCTTTATCTTTAAAATGGAAAGATTATAAGCAATTCCAACCATTCTTTAAGTACATATTTATTGATCACCTATGTGCCAGTTCTTATTCTAAACACTAATGTGTTAACATACTAAATTAAATTATATCCAGTTTGTAATGTGAGTCAGTTTAAAAAGTAAACTTTTAAAAAACAACTCTACAGATAATTTAAAATATCAGCTTCTCTTAAAATAAACAATTTGGCCATTTTGGCTGAAGACCAAGGGTATTAAAATGAACTCTTAGGGGTGCTCTACATATAGAAATATCTGTGCCCACAATTATCTGTGGTCCGGTAAGGTCTCTTGTGGGGTAACAGAAGACTGATCAGCTATTATGGAATTGAAATTTTTTAGGTAATGAAATCCTTAACAATTGCATTTTGAAGATAGTACACTTCTTTTCCTCTTACATTCTTTCTAACCAGTAACCACTCAATAATTATCTTTAAGCGTTTTGTTTCTTACTATATTATAAGAATTACGGGTAAAAAGCAAACTTATTTCCCTTTTTGAAAAGAGGCCTTAGGTTTCTATAATTTCTCATTCAAATAAGAAGCAGGTAGCCGTTTTCTGGGAGACTAAAAAGAGGTATTTCTCTACTAGGTAGGAAATCGAACAAGATGCCTCAAAGGTCATTCTCAACTCATTTTTCTGAGACCTCTATCATTAAAAACAGAGTCTTAGCAGAATACTGTTAGCACTGTCATTCTACCCTGCTTGCTTATTGCTAGCACTGACTATCCAACTCAAATAGATTATCCAAATCAACTCCGTTACATGAGCTATCTGAAAGGTTTTTAATCAAAGAATCAAAGGAAACTTAAAAAAAATTCTGCTCCACAAATAGTTCAATGAACATAACTTCATGTTCATCTGGCTGCTTTCTGGAGAACATCCTACCAATTCCTCTTTCAACATCCTATTTCTGTTCCAACTCCATTCCTCAATCTTATTCTCTTACTACCTAATCCAAAAAGCCCAGAACATCTAATATCCCATGAAGCATCTGGCCCAGCTATACAATATGCACACACACAAATATCCAGAGTGAGGTGCTTTACATATACTATTTTTTTGTTTTTTGACCAGGATCTCACTCAGTCACTCAGGCTAGAGTGCAGTGGCATGATCATGGCTCACCACAGACTTGACCTCCCAGACTCAGGTGATTCTCCCACCTCAGCCTCCCGAGTAGCTACGACTACAGGCGTGCGCCACCACGCCTGGCTAATTTTTCCATAGAAACGGGGTTTTACCATGTTGCCCCAGGCTGGTCTCGAACTCTTGTGCTTAAGAGATCCTCCTGCCTCACACTCCCAAAGTGCTGGGATTACAGGTGTGAGCCACGGTGCCTGGCCTATACTATCTCTTTCAACTCTCTCAATAACTTACAAATGAAGAAACTAGGGCTTACAGAGGTTAAGGGTTAAGTAAGGGCACATGGTAGGAAATCAGAATTCTAACCTACATCTATGCAACCCCGACATCTGTGCTCCTTCCATTCCATTAAAAACATGTAGGCTGCAAAAAACCACAGGCCCTCAACAAATCTTCCTTTCCAAAAGAGTTCCCAAGAGAAGAAAAGCCACAAGATAGATAAAAGAAATAGAAGATACAAAAGGAAATCTATAGAAATTCAATTAGCATTCTGACCTAGAAGCACAGAGCCATTGAGTTCCATGAGTGAATGGCCTAAACATGAGGAAGAATGCAACTCTATACTACATGCACCTAAACCAAAGCAGGAAAAGGGGTACACAAGGAACAGGAACACCGGGGGCATGCCTCTGTACACATATATTCCCTGTGCTCAGGGCCCAAAGCATTTGCATTTATGCCTTCAGCCAACTGTCCTAGAGCTTCCTCCACCAGAACCCACACTGGCCTTCCACCACAAGAAAACTGATCTTTAACAGAACTTTAGACTTGAGAGAAATGAGTCCTCTCCCTGCAGCTCACCTTTTCCAAGGTAGATCATGCCATACTCTCGCCCCTGGGGAGTCTTGTTTTCTATCGTGAAACAGACTTCCTTCCCAATCAGCTTCTTTCGAAGGAACTCTCGAGCTGGAAATGCCCAGGGCTGAAAGACAAAACAAATATGTCACATGAGAACTGCCTAGTTTCAGATGCCAATCAGCATTCAAGCAACTTCATACCTTCAGTAAATGTCTGAGTACCTACCATGGTCCTGGCCCTGCGCTGGACCTTGAGAATATAAAAATGAAATGCACACAATGCAGATCGCACACTTAGGGGGCTCATAAAAAAAGGAGGGTCCAGCAGTTGGTTTAACTAACACAGACACTAAAAACAGGCCTCAGAGTTTTCCAGACACTGGCAGCAGGACTTTTTCCCTATCACTGTCTGTTCAGAGTTATAGCTTACTTTGTGAATAACATTTGCCAATGCTTTTATAGCACATACCATGTGCCAGCCACTGCTCTAAATGCTGTATATATATCAACCCACTCCTTCAAATGGGAAGTCCAGGCTCCAGGAACCCACCTAGGCAGAGGGAAGTCATAAATAACAACTACCACCTCCATTTCTCCGCCTCTTTCCAGTTTCTAAAACAGTTTCACTGCCTATTAAACTAGCCTGAAACCAGTTAAAGCCATTGTTGGAGGAGGGACATGATTCTAGTGTTCTTATTTCAGAGTGAATCCCCTGCTCAAGTGAGCCTTATTTAAGTCATCTCCACTCCCCTCTTTAAAGATCAGCAATAGTAAGAAGATATCCCCCAAAATGGCTCTTCTTCTACTTCTGCTCTAGTCTGAAGCCTTTACAGGTCCCAACATCCTTGGGAGGACACCAGTAACAGCCCCTGACAAAGGATCACCTTGATAATGGTGATTCTTTCCTCTCACCGTTCCATGCACAGACACGAGGACTGAGCTACACATCCACACAGTAGAAGCAGAGTCTCCATGTCATCTCAAGATAATACACAAAGGGGTGGTTTTGCCCCTCCCCATCCTATCACTCCTGGGATGGTTCAGACAAAGGGAGATTCTCCTCTGAAGCCATTGGCACAGTGGCCACTGGCACTTGAACTTATAGTCTGGACCTGGTTTAATGTCCCAAGTTCCCTTAGTACCAAAATGGGGAGGGATGGGGTAGGTGTTCAAGGAGCGTATGATTAGTAGGAGCTCACATGCTGAAAAAAATGTGAAGTATAAAAGGGAAAAGTGATATACAATATGCATACATTGTCTATTATAATCTCTTCAAACCACAGAACTCATGCTACACACAGTAAAGGCAAAAGAGTAAACTGATGGCCTGAAAGGAAGCCTCTGTTAACCTTTTTGGTCCATGCTAATTATTCCATGAAGTCACCCAACAAGCTTTTCTAGAAGAAAAATATCCATATGACTTCTAAGAAACCAGAAACCAATCAAAAGGTGGCAGGTCCACCAAACTGTTGGGCTGGTAGTCATAAAAACAGTACTGTTACATAACATAAATCATGAGGTTCTAGAGAACTGATCCTCAGTAAGGGTTCTTAAAGATGCAAAAATGAACAGATACTTGCTCACATCATGCCCTCTCTTCAAAGCAGAGGCCAACCCAATTCACTCAATGACAATATCAAGTTCACCTTGATTTTATGTCTCATTTCTACCCCCCACCCCAATCTCCAAAAATAAAATCAGATACCAGTCACCAAAGAGTCTGATGATTGACAAATGATCCCAATTATCAACCACATCACAGAAACAGCACCGAACCAATGAACAAAGCGTCCCAAATTTTTATTACCTTAGGGATCAACTTACTCCAAAAACATACACAGCTACAGATAAGTTTAAGATGTAGTCCTGAGTATTAATATTTAAAATTCAGTAACATAGAGCTTTCCTAAATACTTGGAAAAGCTCTGATAAGACCAGTGCTCCTAAAAGAGGCCAAGACTTTGGTGAAAACACTTTTACAAAAGGTCAGTTCACAGGAAAATAACTAGCCCCTGCAGGGAAATCTCCAATTTCTACCAACCAGGCAGAACTTTTCTAAAAAACTTTTAAGGCTCGCTGAAGAAACATCTTCCCCTTAGGACCTCATGTTTTCCAGCTGGTTAGTTACCGGTCAATAAGAGAAAACCACACTGGAGGTCTTGCAAAGGACATATGCCTAACCGTGTAAGAAAAAATAACCTAGTTTCTGCAATCTTCCTTCCTAAATAAGCCTTCTCAAGTGTGTTCCGTCCAGAGTTGGGCAAATTCAATAACTGGACAAGATATTAGTTAAGAAGAGAGGCAATCAAGAGACTCAAAGAGCTATAGAGGAAAGCAACTGACCACATCACTCCTCTGAGGGCAAGAGAGTGCTCTGGGACAGAACCCTTATGGAAGTGAGGCCAGTGTTACCCATGTGTCCACACAAAGGACAGCCAGGCAGAGGACTATCTGATGGAGAAGTCTATCCTAACAGAAGCTTGCTCAAATAAGGAAATTTGCTCAAAGCATTTATTCAAATAAGGGCCAGAATGGTCTAACAGGAAGAATAACTGTGGTCTATTCAAATGATGCCCCAGAGTCCCATCTAAGAAGCAAGTGGCTTTTAAGAAGTTGAGACTCAAAATTACTCTTTCCTTTAGAATGCCCAACTGCAGGCAATCTGGCGGCCTGCTCAGAACTTCCAGACCCAAGAAAGGTTGTCATATCTACCACAATGAAACTGAGCTTTTAATTCTAATCTTCTCTTTGACCAGATAGACTCTTAAAACTACCAGGACAAGATGAAACCCCAGAATGTAAAACCTTAACTAGTTACTAGGTAAATGACCCAACATTCAATACTTTTTGTCCCTCTTTCTCTTCCAACCACCCCACCGTGCCATCTGGATATGTAACTGATAATCCTGCTCTGCCGTCTTTCCCCAGCTACCCCAGTCCTCAACAGCTCCAATGAATGCAGGATTGTGACATTCATTTCTTTTTTAAAATAATAGCAAAATATGGCCGGGCCTGTAATCCCAGCACTTTGGGAGGCTCACGGCTGTAATCCCAACACTTTGGGAGGCCAAGACTCTTGGCAGGTCACCTGAGGTCAGGTGTTCAGGACCAGCCTGGCCAACATGGTGAAACTCCATCTCTACTGAAAATACAAAAAAAAAAAAAAAAAAAAATTAGCCAGGCATGTTGGCGCACGCCTGCAATCCCAGCTACTTGGGAAGCTGAGACAGGAGAATTGCTTGAACCTGTGAGGTGGAGGTTGCAGTGAGCCAAGATTGCGCCACTGCACTCCAGCCCGGGCGACAAAGCGAGGCTCCATCTAAAAACAAACAAACAAAAACAGCAAAATATTTATTTTTTTATTTTTTACCTTCTTTTAGTTTGTTTTATTTAATTATTTATTTATTTTTGAGACGGAGTCTCGCTCTGTCGCCAGGCTGGAATGCAGTGGCATAATCTTGGTTCACTGCAACCTCCGCTTCCCGGGTTCAAGCAATTCTCCTGCCTCAGCCTCCCGAGTAGCCGGGACTACACGCACATGCCACCACGCCCGGTTAATTTTTTTTGTATTTTTAGTAGAGACAAGGTTTCACCATGTTGGCCAGGCTGGTCTCGAACTCCTGACCTCATGATCCGCCCGCCTCGGCCTCCCAAAGTGCTGGCATTACAGGCATAAGCCACTGCGCCCAGCCACTTTTATTATTTTTTAAAGATAGTATTTCTTAATTTTTTTTTTTATTTCAATAGGTTTTGGGGAATGGGTGGTGTTTAGTTAAATGAATAAGTTCTTTAGTGGTTGTGACACTCATTTCTATATTTCTCATGAAAACATAAACAACTTTACCCGCAGCAGGAGCTCAATAATTCTGTGGGAAATAAATATATAATTCCCACAGTGCCCATCAATGCAGTATCTAAGCTGCCTGGAGTAGCTAGGCAACGCTGGGGATTAGCTTGGAACAGTGAAGAGATGGCTGGGGGCATACAGTGGGGCTGCTTTCATTGCCACAGGACTTAAGAGACAGCTGAGTTTCTTTGAAAGACGATATCATGACAGAAGGCAAAGAATAATCATGTGAAGATATTTGGGACAGTGATACAAAGGGATGCAAATGAGCAATAAGGTCCTTGATTATTCCTGAATGTGAAAAAGCTAAACATGCTCCAAAGAAATAGAAAGCCAGAGAGAAAGCGTAGTGCCACATTGCACAATCTTTCAACCCCTAAAATGGAGACGCTCAGGTTCTTTTCCTCATTATTCATTTAAATGTTTATTCACTGCTTACCTGTATTGTGTCAGGTACTGACTAGGCACAAAGACACAGAGATGAGAGAAAGGCTCTCTTCTTTGGAGCTTGCAATCCAGTAGAGAAAGATATATAAACGTGTAAACATGCAATGAAATGTTGTGAATGCTATGACAGCACCAAGATGGGATGATGAAAGGAAATGTCAGGTGTGATTTCTTAAGTGGCTGAATCTTAAAAGACAGCAGGTGCTCACCAGCCACAGAGGTGGCGAAGGAACTACTGATGGAGGGGGCTGCATGAGCTGAGGGCAGAAGGCAGGACCCCAGCCTGTAGGAAGACTTAAGTTCTTCAGCATGGTGGGGGCTTGGCATCCCAGAGGGGTTTCAGTAAGAGAAGTCTAAAAGTCATATCACAAATGCGCTTGTAACCCAGGCTAAGGCATTTAGATTTGTCACAGAGGTAATGAGGAATTACTAAAGTGTCTTGGAATATGAGGAATCACTAAAGTGTCTTGGAATATGAGGAACCACTGAAGAGTCTGGGAAAAAATAAAATTATGTTTCAAAAAAATCTGAGAGCATATGGAGAAAGGATTAGAGGGAAGGAGAATGAGGGCAAAGAGACTATTATTTCAACATCTAAGCACTCTATCAGAGATGAACAAAGAATAGCAGTATTAATCAAATGTCAAGTATGGATAAGAGAGGTTTTAAGGAGGCAGAATCCCTAGGCCTTGTTAAAGGCCTGGATGTCAGCGTTGGGGTGGGGGGTGGGGGAGTCAAAATGAGAGCAGGGAAATCAGGTTTTTCAATCAATTGACATTACTGGTAACTTGTGTCGATGCAGCTTTGAGGGTACAATAGGAGGAAAACCAAATCACAGCAGGGTGAGGAGACATTGGATTATTAGGAAGGAGAAATGATGACTGTGGGCTAGGAAAAGATGAAATCTGCAGCTATCAAATATTTCATCTCACAGGGATCTCTGAAGAGTTACCAGGAGAAACAGTGAGACTGAGTTAGTCTGGGAGAGGCAAAAAGCACTAGACTGTATAAATATATGGAACTACACCAGAATGCTAGGATCAGATTACACAGTATCCTTTCACCTAGGATAGTTCTGGTAAGATTTCACCGTCCTGTTAACATGGGATACAGTTATGATATTTTAGAACAAGTTCCAACTGGCCTTGTATTTCTCTGCCCAAGATTCTCATCCACAAAACAGGAAATTAAAATCCAACCCTTCTTTCTTAGAGGCTACACTAGTTCTTCCTTCTGGGCAAATGAACTTGGTCAGCTCCAAGAAGGGTCAACACTCTTCATTTGGAAGCAATCAAGCTGTTACACAATAGGAAAAGAAACTATTCAAAATGTTGGTTCACCCATTTGTTAATGCCCAAAATGTGAAAAATGCTGAAAGATATTTAATCTTCAGTGGTTGATCTAACAGTACTAGGAGTATCTGTAGTAAGAGAAATTAGCAAGCAGTAGTAGTGATTACCACAACTAACATTTATTATTTTATAAGCATGCACTAAAGCACTTCATGTTATCTTGTTTAATCTTCATTAAACGACCCTGAGGTATATGCTAATATTCTCAATATGTGTGGTCCCTGATGGAGGACCAGTGAAAAAGAACTGATTTTAATCTACTTAAATTTATTTTAATCTATTTAGTCTGATTGCTGTTGGTAGTAGAATTATGGGAGTTTTTCTCTATCTCTATTATCTATACCATTGCTTCACTAACTTCTTAATTAAAATAAAATGTCCTTTATTATAATTTTAAAAACTAAATGCTTTACTTAAATATTAATAAAAGTTCCACATAAACTCTTGCTTTTTCTTCTTTACCTCCCTGGCAGGGAATAGCACACAAAAGCTGAGGTACCAACCTGCCCAACATGATAAAGTTGGGGCAAAGAACAAATAATTGGAATCCAGAAATTTTGCTTTTTTTTTTTTATTATTTTTTTTTAGACAGGGTCTTACACTGTCACCCAGGCTGCAGTGTAGTGGCACAATCATGATGCACTGCAGCCTTGAACTCCCAGGTTCAAGTGATCCTTCCACCTCTACCTCCCAAGTAGTTGAGACTACAGGCATGCACCACCATGCCTGGCTAATTTTTTCTTTTTTTTTTTTTTTTTGAGATGGGATCTTGCTATGTTGTCAGTTGTCAGGACTGGTCTTGAAGTCCTGGGCTCAAGCAATCATCCCCACTCAGCCTCCCAAAGTGCTTGGATTACAGGTATGAGCCACCATGGCCAGCCCAGAAATTTCATTTCTGACAGCCAAAGCACTGCTAAAGGACAGCAAAGCACTAATGTTTCAAAGTGTAGAAGCCAAAAAGACTAAACAATGCCAAATTGGTACACATAGCAGCTGCCCAAAGAGCAGAAACTTAAGGGGTCAAAGGCAGACCACAAAAGCAAGGGGGCTGGGCATTAGAGGCTGAGGGGTGTGAGGGAAGGATGGAGGAGATGATGGGACATAGGCACAGAAGGTTCTCAAATCACCATTAGGCACAGAAGGTTCTCAAATAACCATAAAACAATGGTTCTTAACTACTTTTGAGCCATAAGTTCCCTTAAGAAACTGATTTTTAAAACTCCCTCTCTAAAACAATTCACGTTTACACAAAATTTTGCAATTTCATGGGATTTATATATGCCTTCAGAGGTGCATGGATCCCAGATTAAGAATCTGGAATAGGCCAGGGGCAGTGGCTCACACCTGTAATCCCAGTACTTTAGGGCGAGGCAGAAAGATTGCTTGAATTCAGGAACTCAAGGCTGGGCAAACTAGCGAGACCTCCTTTCTACTAAAAAAAATAAAAATAAAAATTAGCCAGGTATGATAGCACATGCCTGTAGTTCCAGCTACTCCCAGGAGGCTGAGGTGGGAAGATCACTTGAGCCTGGGAGGTTGAGACTACAGTGAGCCATGATTACACCACTGCACTCCAGCCCGGGCAACAGAGACCTTGTCTCAAAACAAAACAAAAAAAATCAGTAATAAAGTATGGGCAGCCATAAAAAAATACTGAAATCACGTCCTTTGCAGCAACATGGATGGAGCTAGAGGCCAGCATCCTAAGTGAACTAACTCAGAAGCAGACAATCAAATATCACATGTTCTAACTTTTGTAAGTGGGAACTAAACAATGGGTACACATGGACATATAGATAGAAATAATAGACACTGGGGACTCCAAAAGGGGAGAAGGAGTGAGGGGGGTGAGAATTAAAAGATTATCTATTGGATACAATGTTCAATATTTTGGTGATGGATACACTAGAAGCCCAATCCCCAACATTACACAATATACCCGTGTAACAAACATGAAAATGTACCCTCTGAACCTTAAAGAAAAACAATCTTTAATAAAATAATAAAATATGGGCCTAGCATTTATAGCATGCTACGATTTATGAAAATGAGAGTGTCTGATCATACAGGTTTTAACTATCTCTGGAAGGAGACACAAGACCCTAGTAACCTCAGGTGTCTCAGGGGAAGTACTCGATTTTTCACTATATATCCTTCTGCATTCTGAACAATGTAAATGAATGAAGAATTCAAAAATAAATTAATAAAAGAGCTCTGCCATAACCAATGGTGATTTCAAATGCTTAAGGCTACCCAGGAAATGTTCCTAAACTATTCCAAGAAAAGTAGTAGTGAAAACACAACAAATCTAAGTCTATGGGAAAAGGTACAAGAAAAAGCTCTAAGACTTCAACTGCCACTAAAGGTAGTAAACATATAAACAACAGATACAAGCTGCTTGTGGGCACATCCAGAATCAGCAGTTCTATGATATAAAAATACTCAAAATACAAAGAAAGAGTACATCAAAATGGCATCAGCGACAGAAGACAGTGGGCTATTACCTAGGTCCACAGGCTCACGATGGCCTCAGGAAACACCTACCTCATCAGGGGTATCCTTTGCATCAGGTTGTGTGGCGGCTGCCCGGCGAGCAAGATTTCCAGCACGAATGTTGCTGAGGTTGATCTGCCGCTCAGGAGGAGGCCCACCACGAGGCTGACCTCGGACAATGATGGCGCACCCTGAGAGGACCTACGTAGGGGGAAGAAAGAGAAAATGAATGGTCCAGAGGCCGTATCACCATAATGCAGGTTGTGTACCACCGTATCCCCAACATTTCAAATAGCATTTGCACTTCAAAGGCATGCAAAGTCATCTGTTGAATGACTAAATAAACAGGATTGTTTTTAATTTTATAAGAGAAATACCTACATAAAGCCTGGGGCCAAATTCTGAAATGATTGACCCAGAAATCCAACAATAGAAAAGTCATAGAATAAACAGACTGGGGTAAAAAGGCATGTGAGACATACAGATTAATGACCTCTATAATTTCATCCTAGCAAGTACCACCCCTTGCATTCTTTCCAATTATTAAGAATTAATATCTCCATCAACACTTTCCATTCTCAGATTGAAGCGAACAATGAAAGGCTTAGGAAAAGGGGAAGCTGTGGCCATGCACAGTGGCTTACACCTGTAATCCCAGCACTTTGGGAGGCCAAGGCGGGTGGATCACCTGAGGTCAAGAGTTCGAGACCAGCCTGACCAACATGGAGAAACCCTGTATCTACTAAAAATACAAAATCAGCTAGGTGTGGTGGCGCATGCCTGTAGTTCCTGCTACTTAGGAGGCTGAGGCAGGAGAATCGCTTGAACCCGGGAGGCGGAGGTTGCGGTGAGCCAAGATCGCGCCATTGCATTCCAGTCTGGGCAACAAAAGTGAAACTCTGCTCAAACAAAAAAAGAAAAAAAAGGAGAAGCTGAGGGAAGTCCCTACACACCCCTGGGAGGAAATGAGCATGCCCAAGGCTAAGGTGGATGCAATACCTAGAGTGTCCCTTGTGGACAGTACAAGAGAGAAATACAGAAGTAATCTAGAAAACCCATGCCCTACATGATTAAAACGTAAGAATCTAATAAACACCTTAAGGCTCCCAAGTGCAGTCAGTGGCTCCTTTCATCTCTCTAATCAAAGATGCCAGGCATAGAACCCACTTGCAACTGTGAAAAGAGCTCTAAAGCTCACTGGCATTAACCTTAAAGTATTTGCAGGGGAGAAGAAGAAAGGATTTCAAGTGAAAGAAGGGAAGAAGACACATAAGGGAAAAACGACCCAAGCTATTCAAATTGTCTTTGCGAAGAGACTCACAATACAACAAACAGGTGGGGGCTCATGCCCTGGCTTCACTAGATCTGAAAGACTCTCAATTCCACGCTTCATAAAAAATAGCTTCGAAAGGTTAGTAGTGAGAAGGTTGGAGGGTTCTGTCAACACAGAACACTGTTTAGACAAGACCATGGAGTTCTCAGTAAAGGAATAATCCTTGTGAGGAAGTTGAATCAAAGGAAGAGAAAAAGGAGAATGAAAGGAAGCTGCTCCTTTCACTTAGAGTGCATTGCTCTCCACCTCTCTACCTTAACTAACGCTTTCAAGTGTTAAATATTGATATAAATACACAAATGAATTTAAACCCACATGTACAAATTAAAGAATAAGAAAAGTAAAACATCTGAGCAACCACCACCCAAGTTAAGAACTGAAATACTGCACATTGCCAGAACCTTGGAATCCATGTGCCCCTCTCTACTTGCAGCCCCTTCTCTCAAACCCCACCATTACCCTGACCAAGGATTTTGTACGAATATATCACAATTCATTTATCCATACTAACTTTTTATGGAAATTCTATCAAACAATATTGTACATTCCAATATACAATATTTAATTGTACATTCCAATATACAATATTTAATTGTACATTAAATTAGTACTCTGATAATGTCTCAATATCCCCAACACCTTAAGCACACAGACCCTGGCCTAAGTCACTTTAATCCCTGGTTATATACCATGGCACACACACACAAAAAGACTGTCTTCCTAATCCAGTTACAGGCACGCTTTTCGTTTTTATCCTGTTATCAGCAATTAAACCCTAAAACTTCTAGCCAAATAACCATGCTAACACCCTATCCTGAGAATTCATGTCCTAGGCATTATCCCAGGGAACTGACATTCCAAAAGATAAGCTCTCAAACCAAACAAAGCCAGGAAAGAACAGGTATACTAGAGTAGAGGCTGCTTGAAGTTCCTGAATAAGAAGGGCCAAAGAAGAAAAGGAGAGCTTCCTGACTCATTTATATTCAATTCTTTCTCACAAGTGGTAGAAACAAAACACACAGCAAGAAGAGCATAGTGCAGAATACCTGCACTTGAAATCATTCAAGCACAAATTCCAAATGAGGCTGAGGACAGCCAAACTACATACAGCACACAAACCAGAACATCTGTTTCTAGTGCTTGCTGCTCAATTTTGGTCAAGTTTTCACACACAAAAAAAGTAATAACGCATTCCCAGGGGACCTCTTGGTAAAGCCCAGTCATAAAAGCTAAGGCCTATTTACAAGAAAACTCATCCTCTCTGACGAAGGTGAACTCTGATAAGCAAGCATTGACCTAGCCTAGGAAACCATCTTTGTTTCTCAAGCCTGACAAATCAAACTGAGAAGCTCAAGAACAGAGGGACTGATGAGAAGAGCCCCTCATCTCTAAATATCAGAAAGGTATTGCCTCTCTAATGCCTCTGCCTAGTAAACCGGATCCCTGGGGACAATGGATCTACAACTATTATCCTGGCCCCATTAATGGCTTTGGCAAACAACTTGTACACAGTAATTGTGCAAAACTCCTTTGTATGCCCTCTCCTCTCCCTGAATGCTAAAGGCTGCTGTCAGAACTTCCTTGCATTGTTGCACCAAAAATGCCATTCAGTTAATGCTTGAATCAATGTTACGGAGATGATTTTTACTCTACAGGCTCTCTACACCTTTTATACCATTGAATATATGAATTCAAGCAGCTGTCACCAATTCAACTTCCTAAGCAAAAGAAATAGATTCACTGTGGCAGGTACTGCTATTCCTACTCCTCCAGGAGGAGAGGATTGGCATGTGTGCACCCTTCTTCTGAAACTCTCTTCCCCTCATTTGGCTATTGCCTTGGTGGAAAGGTAAGAAAAGACTGACTGTACACAGTTATGGAAGTAAGAGAACTATTTCTACTAGGGAAGAACTAGTTTCCCTCCTACCACTCACAGAAACTGAAATCATTCAAAACACACTACAGGCTGGGTGCAATGGCTCAAGCTTGTAATCTCAGCACTTTGGGAGGACGAGGCGAGAGGGCTGCTTGAACTTAGAAGTTCAAAACCAGCCTGGACAACACAGCAAGACCTCATCTCTACTAAAAATCAAAAAAAGTAGCTGGGTGTGGTGGTGCACATCAGTAGTCCCAGCTACTTGGGAGGCTGAGGTAGGAGAACCGCTTGAGCCTGGGAGGTCAAGGTTGCAGTGAGCCATGGTTGTGCCACTGCACTCCAGCCAGGGTGACAGAGCAAGACTCTCTCTCAAAAAAACAAAGAAACAAACAGAAACACACTACACCTCCTTTTTGCTATTTCCACTTCATCTGCCAACCACTGTTAAACTCTCCCACCTGTCTTACTCGCCAACAGTCTTTATTCAAGTTCTTCCTCAATGAAAACATTGTAATGGCCTTCTTATAGCTAACAGTCGCCACCAAATAAAACCAATGAGAAATACCTTCTGGGGGAAAAATACTTTAAATGTCTGGGTAAAATATGAAAAAGGCCAAGGGTCTATATGCTCAACAATTTATATGTCATATGGCACCAAAACAAGCCGTTTTTCTTCTCAGAAAGACCTGCCAGGTTGATTATTGTTATAATTTTATTCCTTGATTTATTCAGTTATTAATTCACTACAAACTTACTGAGTGCCTACTATGTGCCAGGCATTGTTCTAGGCAAGTGGCATGTTTCAGTGAAACAAAGCAGACAAAAATTTCTGCTCTTGGGGAGCTGACATTCTAGTAGGGGGAGACAGACAAACAATAAACATCACATGTAAGTATAATATGTTGTTTACCAGAATTTTAATTTCAGGAGAATAATGTTAAGATTGAGAAGAAACTGTCATAGGTAATTAGTCTGCCAAAGCTGTGCTGATTCATGTTGCAAACTTTCATGGATGCAGTAATTATCCTTAATTGCTAATTTATAGAGCACAGAAATCAAGTCAAATGGTTACTGCTTTATGCAATTATATTAATAAACTGACATTCTAGAAAAATGATCTTAGAACTACCTGATACAGCAGGAGGTTTGTGAAACCAGGTGTCACAATAAGTCAGTTTGATTGAGGTTATGGATTAGACATTTCTCAGTTCTGCCAATAAAGGTTGCAGAGGGACGTGGTGTGATTCAAAGGACCTGGCTTCAGGGCACAAGTCACGTGGTTACAAAGGCTGAAACAAGGCAGCTGAGAAGGAAAATTGGGGACTCAAATTGTTCAAACCCACTTATGGGTTTACTGGGAGATTTACCTACAGTGAAACACTGTATGGGCAGCCACTAAAATGTTGCCCAGCAACAGGAACACCACATTAAATCTTCACTAGATTCTGATAAATGACTTGGTTTGTTTAACTATTTAACTCCTGGGCCAATGACACAACAAGACAGAAAACTTCTTATACAAAAACCCAGCCATACTAAGGGCAAAGAAAAGGATGGTACAGAAATTTGTATGTCAATGAAGCCAATATTTTTTCCCAGCCCAAGAGCAAAAATCACTTTGGTCTGAGAATGGCATCTTACTAGCTCTGCAAAGAGGACTGGTTTAACGGGCATATCCACTAGTTAAGATAGTATAGTAGGTATACTGTAACAGCAATATCTACCTGTGTGAAGAACCAACATAAAGAACAAGGGCAGACATCTGATGACAAATATTACAAAAAGAAGGCCCAATACAAATCCATACATTTATGGCCCACTGACTTTGAACAAGGGTGCCAGGATAATTTGATGGGGAAAGAGTAGTCCTTTCAACAAAAATGTGTTGGGACAACTAGATCTCCATGTGCAAAAGAATGAAGTTGGCCCTCTACGTCATACCATATACAAAAGATAACTCAAAAAGGACCAGAGACCTAAATTTAAGAGTAAAACTATAAAAGTCTTAGAAGAAAACAAACCTGTAAATCTACATGGCCTTGCATTAGGTGATGGTTTCTTAGGTGACACCAAAAACACAAGCAACTTAAAAATAAATAAATAAATTGGACTTCATAAAAATTAAAAACAGTGTGCTTCAATGGACACTATCAAGAAAGAAAAAAATATGAGTATATGCAAATTCTGAATACTAGACTCTTATCTCATATATCTGACAAGGGTCTAGTATCCAGAATAAAGAACTATCATAATTTGATAAGAAGACAATAGCCCAATTAAAGTAAGTTGAAGAGACATTTATCCAAAAAATAAATATAAATGTCCAAAAAGCACATGAAAAGATGCTCTTCATCATTAGTCATCAGACAAATGCAAATCAAAGCTACAATGACATATCACTTTACCACCACTAGGATAGCTAAAATCAATAAGACAGGCAATAACAAGTGTTGACAAGGATGTGTAAAAACTGGACCCCTCATACATTATGGGTGGTGTAGCTGCTTTGGAAAAGAGTCTGGAGGTTTCTCAAAAGTTAAACAGTTATCATATGACCCTGTGATTTCACTCCTAGGTGTATATGTTGCGGGAAGTCAGGCACCCCGAACGGAGGGACCAGCTGAAGCCATGGCAGAAGAACGTGGATTGTGAAGATTTCATGGACATTTATTAGTTCCCAAATTAATACTTTTATAATTTCTTATGCCTGTCTTTACTGCAATCTCTAAACATAAATTGTGAAGATTCCATGAACACTTATCAATTCCCCAATCAATACCCTTGTGATTTCCTATGCCTGTCTTTACTTTAATCTCTTAATCCTGTCATCTCGTAAGCCGAGGAGGATGTATGTCGCCTCAGAACCCTGTGATGATTGCGTTAACTGTACAAACTGTAGAGCGTGTGTGTTTGAACAATATGAAATCTGGGCACCTTGAAAAAAGAACAGGATAACAGCAACGTTCAGGGAACAAGAGAGAGAACCTTAAACTCTGACCGCCGGTGAGCCGGGCGGAACAGAGCCATATTTCTCTTCTTTCAAAAGTAAATAGGAGAAATATCGCTGAATTCTTTTTCTCAGCAAGGAACATCCCTGAGAAAGAGAATGTGCCCCTGAGGGTGGGCATCTAAAATGGCCCCCTTGGGTATGGCCGTTTTCTACGGTCGAGACTGTAGGGATGAAATAAGCCCCAGTCTCCCATAGCGCTCCCAGGCTTATTAGGACGAGGAAATTCCCACCTAATAAATTTTGGTCAGACCAGTTGCTCTCAAACCCTGTCTCCATATGTTATCAATGACAATGGTGCCTGAAACTTCATTAGCAATTTTAATTTCGCCCCAGTCCTGTGGTCCTGTGATCTCGCCCTGCCTCCATTTGCCTTGTGATAGTCTATTACCTTGTGAAGTACGTGATCTCTGTGACCCACACCCTATTTGTACACTCCCTCCCCTTTTGAAAATCCCTAATAAAAACTTGCTGGTTTTACGGCTCAGGGGGCATCACGGAACCTACCGACATGTGACGTCTCCCCCGGATGCCCAGCTTTAAAATTTCTCTCTTTTGTACTCTGTCCCTTTATTTCTCAAACCAGCCGACGCTTAGGGAAAATAGAAAAGAACCTACGTGACTATCAGGGGCAGGTTCCCCGATAGTATATATCCAAGAGAAATACAAACATATGCCCACACAGAAACTTGTACACCAATGCTCATTGCAACATCATTCATAATAGCCAAAAAAAGAGAGAAAACAATAAATGTTCATCAACAGCTGTAACTGGTGATAAAATATTGTATATCCATACAATTGGAATATAATTCAGAAATAAAAAGAGATTGCGTACTGATTGATGTTACAACATGGGTGAGCCTTGAAAACATTATGTTAAGTAAAAGAAGCCAGACACAAATGGCCACATACTGAACTGTTCCCATTATATGAAATGTGCAGAAAAGGGAAATCCATAGACAGAACATAGACTAGTGGTTCCCAGGGACTGACAGAAGGGGAGAGTGGGGAATATACTAATGGATACAGATTTCTTTGGAGGTGATGAAAATATTCCAAATTAGTAGTGATTGTTACATGATTGTAGTAAAAAGCCACTGAATTATATACTTTAAAAGTGTCAACTTTATGGTATGTTAATTATATCTAAAAAAAAAATTTTAAGGTCCAACACAGAAGTACAAAAACATGGGGACATAAAATGTATATTTTACTATAGAGCCTTCCATATTCTTGCAGGAAGATTAGATGCTAGCTGAAAAACATTAACAAAAAAATTTTTTTAAATGGCAGCTGCCTGAGAAGCAAAAGTCAGGCATGGTGACTCACCCCAGAAGCGGCTATAAGTATAAACCTTCAAATCCTCTAGAAATAACTAGGTAGGAAGCCACAGGAAAAAGACAGAACTTCAGTGAAATCTACAAAGCTCTAAAAAGGATGAAAATGGCCAGAAGCAATACAAGCTTTTTCTCAGAAACAATATAGCGAGCATCCTGTGTGTCACACAGAAAGGAGAACCAGGAAAGTCATTGAGCTGAAGGGTCCATGATGCCATTCTTCAACTGTCACAACCCAAAGGCTGCACATGCAGGGACTCTACGTCAGAGTGGCAAAGAAGCAGGCCAGGGACTCCCCTCTGGACAAGGTGTTTTCTACACCTAAAAATACCATCAGGGGATGGGGAAGGAGCTACTGTAAAAAGAGGAGGCAAAGTTTGGTCCTAATGGATACCCTTTAATGAAATGAAAACATTTAAAGAAACTGAATGAAAGCAAGAGTAACTAAAAAGAAACTCAATTGGGGAATATTTCAAAATGCATATCAGGAAAAAGCTTCCTGGCAGTCAGAGCTGTTGCCTCCACAGGAAGAATCATCTCTTGAAAATTAAAAAGTCATTTAGACAAAGCAAGCAATCCCAAAACAACATAAGCTGTGTGGTCTGGGAGGCCTTTCTCTGAATACTCACCAACACAGCCAGTTTTTTGTTTGTTTTGTGTGTGTGTGCGTATGTGTTTTTGTATTGCTTTTTGGTTTTTTTCCTGGCAAGAACAAGAGGCAAACCTAAATTAGAGGGCCCAACATTCAAACCCAATGAACCGGAAGCCCAGGAGCTCATGGCAGTGCTGACTCACTGGCTCTGGATACACTTGCAGACCCAACAGGTACAAGCACAAGTTGCTGCTCCCGAGCCAACTGTGCCAAAAATCGGGCCGCAGTTTACATATACGGAGTTTAAATCTCAGGAGGACCATAACAATCATCTACAGAGAGACTTCACATAAAGACAGCATCTAATCTGGGCTATTTTATTTTACAGCTGAGAAATCTGAGAGCAAGAGAGGTAAAGTAACTTTTGCCTAAAATAACCAGGATTGACAGCAGAGCAAGGATTGGGGTTGAAGTTTCCCAATCCTGATATTCCACTATGCCACACATACAAACAAGCATTTGGGAGCTGATTTCTGTTAAAATGGTATCTGAGGTTACCTACTGATTAAATCTTTTTCTCAATTAAAATCTCTGTTTATATGTGCCAGTAGAACAGGTGTTGGAGACCAAATCACTAAGCAAGTAAAGCTTCCATGAGCTGGCTGTCCCAAATCATACCAACATTTATTAAACCGTACCATCTGCAAGGCAAGCTGACTTAGAGTCCAATATTACAAAAGAACACCCAAAAAGTAGATGCAAAGAAGAAAACTTCAAAACGATAAAATGCAGGATTGGCGAACTACAGCCTACTAGCCAAATCCAGCCTACTGCCTGTTTTTGTACAGACCATGAGCTAAAAATGGTTTTTACATTTTTAAAAGGTTGGAAAAACATCAAAAGAAGATTATGTAACATGCAAAAGAGTATGAAAGTCAAATTTCAGTGTCCATAAATAAAGTTTTATTGGAACACGTCAAGCTCATTCATTTATGTATTGTCTAGGGCTGCTTTTGCACTAGAACAGCAGAGTTGAGTAGTTGCGACAGAGACCATATGGCTGGCAAAGCCTAAAATATTTATTACCTGGCCCTTTACAGAGTAAGTTTGCCAACCCCTGATATAAAGCATTATGACAAGCGAGTGAGATGAAAACTAGTTTTATGGTCGTCTAAATAGCAAGTGCATGGCAAAAATAAATTCTGGACCAATTCAAGTTACACAAACTGCTCGTTTTTATAATCAGAGAAGGAGCTGCAGTATATGGCAATAAGAATTTAGTTTCAGAATCAAATCAATGTCAGCAGTGACCTTTGAAAGTTATTTAATTGGCTCCATTAGCCTCCATTTCATCATTTATAAAATAAATACATAAGAATATATATAAGTTGTTATGATCCAGTTTGTCAATCTGTTGCTGAAATAAAAATAAAATAAAGAGTTGTTATGAAACC
The DNA here is from genome assembly GCF_000001405.40 of Homo sapiens. Classification (NCBI taxonomy): domain Eukaryota; kingdom Metazoa; phylum Chordata; class Mammalia; order Primates; family Hominidae; genus Homo; species Homo sapiens. The sequence continues at coordinate 127,677,211 of NC_000007.14, read as the reverse complement.
TAAACAAAATAAAAGCACTTAGCACAGAGCCCAGCACAAGGACACAATAAATATAGCCAACATTGTTGTTACAAGAAATGGCTCAAAGTGTGGTCTGCTATAAAGACTGGAAGAGTATGTACAATAGAAAAAGATGGACATTCCTCTAGGGATATAGAAGAAAACATCATGGTCAGGCACAGTGGCTCACGCCTGTAATCCCAACACTTTGGGAGGCCAAGGCGGGTGGATCACCTGAGGTCAGGAGTTCGAGACCAGCCTGGCCAAGAAGGTGAAACCCCATCTCTACTAAAAATACAAAAATTAGCTGGACACGGTGGTAGGTGCTTGTAATCCCAGCTACTTGGGAGGCTGAGGCAGGAGAATCGCTTGAACCCAGGAGGCGGAGGTTGCAGTGAGCCGAGATCAGGCCATTGCACTTCAGGCTGGGCAACAAGAGTGAAACTGCGTATCAAAAATAAAGAAATAAAGAAAATATCAAAGTCACAGAAATTCTCTCACCACTGAATTCTGTCAGATTTAGACTGATAACCTGTAATCTCTAATTCCCTTGATTTATCAGTTAAGATACCCACTCACTAGGAAAGTAGATTTAAGTACCTATGTCCAAATCTCTATCCTCTGGGGTGAAAGTAGTAAGTATCATCTCTTAAGTTTGTATTGAACTTCATACTTGACAAACTGTCTTGGCAATCATAGCCTCAGATGGTGTGGCTAACGGAACAACCATGAGCTCTGAAATTATACAGCCTTGAGTTTGAACGCAAACTCAAGTGAAAATCATTCTGAACACTGTGATATTCCTTCATCTATAAGTAAAGATAATACCACTATCTCCTCTGGGTTATTTGTATTATTACATAAGATCCTTGACTCCCTGAAACCAAGAAGGTAACTCAATAAATGTTAAAGGAACATTAATCTCTCTTCCCTTCCTTCCCTGCTCTCCTCCCCTCCTCATCCTCACAACAATGCCCTGAGGAAGCAGGACAGGGACCCTTATCCTCATTTTGCAGATGAGAAAACTATGGCACAGTCAGATGGCATGAGGGCTAGAACACAGGTTTTCCCAGTGTACTTGCTAATAAACCCCAAATACTAAATCTATGATATGAGAATCATGAGCCAAAATATCGATGACTTACATAAAAGAACACAATCAAGACTGTAGCTTAGACTTCACAATCGAAAACTTTACCATGAAGGAACTCACTCAACCTCCTGGAAACCAGGGTCAGGACTGTCTCCAGGACAATGGTCCTCTGCAAAGCCAAGTCCTCACTACCTCACGCTGAGCTCTGCTGTTGCCAAGGACCTGGGAGATCAAGGCTTATTTATGCAGAAATAAGACAGAACAACTCAGGAAGAACTAACCGCACATAGCAGACAAATGTGAAGTGTCATTTAAGAGAAATCTAGCCCAGCTGTCGAAAGAAAATCTTTCAGGATAGGTAACAGTTATGTGTTAACTTATCAGAGGAGGAACCAAAAATTAACTGACTCCAGGACATAAAAAAGAGTATCACTATATAGAGGGGACCTTCTCCTCTATCAAATGGCGAGGGTCAAGTACTCAGGCTATTAAAGGTAAGGGAAAGTTACTGCAGTGATCAGTGTTCATTTTTCTCTTCCCATGTTCCCCTTCAGAAAGGAACATTTCTGAATTTTCTTAAGTGTTGCAATCTGAGAAAACAAAGCATAAAGACAGACTAGAGCACCAAACCACTCAATAAGATTAACTACTACATATTATTTTCTTGAATAACGATACTAACAGGTCAGAGAAAACAGAATTTCTGGAGCATGCATCTAAACGTATACAGCAAAAATCAAGAAGTTTGATTCTGAACAGCCACTGAGAATTTAGGTCTAACAGTTATCACAACTCATAAATATAACATTCTGATGGGAAAAAGGAATCAAACATATACTATTGGGGTAAATGTATAAACCTCTAGTGAAGAAACATGTTTTAATAAGGAAAAAAAATGAAGGGTTTTTTTGTTTTTTTGAGATGGAGTCTCACTCTGTTGCCCAGGCTGCAGTGCAATGGCACAATCTCGGCTCACTGCAATCTCCACCTTCCAGGCCCAAGCGATTCTCATGCCTCACCCTCCCAAGTGGCTAGGACCACAGGCGTGTGCCACCAAGTGCAGCTAATTTTTGTATTTTTAATAGAAATGGGATTTCACTATGTTGGCCAGACTGGTCTCAAACTCCTGACCTCAGGTGATCTGCCTGCCTTGGCCTCCCAAAGTGCTGGGATTAAGGCATGAGCCACTGCACCCGGCCAAAATAAAGTGTTTGTTTTAAACACTAAATACATCACAGAAAAACTGGAGATCATTTTTAAAAGTACTTTATTTCAATTCCAGACAAATACGAAAAGCACATTAAATTTGGAGGAAAAAAATAAACCCAGCTCAAGCCTTCCAAGAAGTTTAAAAGGAAGCTGGAAATATTTCAAAGAAAAAAATGCCTAAAAGCAAAGCATTTTTTTTCTCCAAAAACAAAAGAGATGCTAATTTTCTGCTATGATGCTAGGCAGTCCTTATTTTAAGGGTGACTAATCCTATGGCTAAATCACTTTAAGCTACCAACAGGTCAAAAAAGCTATAAACACTCCCCTTGGTCAGCGCAAGCTGGCAGGGTACTAGGACCTGAAGATTAAACCAGCATTTGCTGGCAGGTCACAGAAAGCTGAAGACTCAGTGTGAGCAGATTTGTTACCTACAGGGGAACTGAGCAAATCATACCTGGAGGATAATGAGAGCTAGGTTTCTCAGAGGAGAGTTACAGATACAGAAAGTCCAGAAAAAAAAATCCTGTTGGATTAGAAGTAAACCCTTGTTTTTTAATATATACAGATAAATATAAAAATAGAGAGATACATGTGTGTTGTTTATATATACAAATATTTCCTGACTCCATCCACTAAAGAAGAGGGCCCAAAAACTATGATACCCTAGTAGCAATGGGCACACCTAGTACCCAGATCTTGGCTAAACATTCCTGTTTCTTGGACGGAATGCAGAAATGCAAGTGGGGACGGAAGGAGGGAGGAGGGCAGGAAGGGAGGGAGGAAGGCAGGAAAGGAGAGAGCAAGGCAGGAAGGGAGAGAGGAAGGCAGGAAGACAGGAAGACAGAGACAGGGAGACAGGGAGGCAGGCAGGGAGGGAGGGAGGAGAAGGAAGGAGAAGGAAGGAAAAGGAAAGGGAAGGAAAGGGAAGGAAGGAAAACTCTTCTCTGCTAAATAGAACCAAGGCTTCTTGAAGAAACAGCTGATTCCAGGGTTGCGGCAGGGAAAGTACAATATGAGCCTGGAATACCTTGCTGTGTCAGAAGAAAGTACTCAAATAATGGGGACATAACAAAACGACATAAGAACCAGCTTACAAGAGCTCTCATTAGCCAAAACTGGGACAACTTTAAAATCAACATAATAGTAATAGATTATAATCCACTGAATAAATACATGAATAAAAAATGTGGAAGAGAAAGTTCTCTATTACAGTTGAAAAACAACTAATAAATGTTGGATGATGGAATTAGAAAATAATTGTGTGCCAACAAATCACACTAACAAGAATCATTAATAGAGGCCGGGCACAGTGGCTCACGCCTGTAATCCCAGGACTTTGGGAGGCTGAGGTGGGCCCATCACCTGAGGTCAGGAGCTGGAGATCAGCCTGGCCAACATGGCAAAACCCCGTCTCTACTAAAAATACAAAAATTAGCTGGGCATGGTGACATGTGTCTGTAGTCCCAGCTACTCGAGAGGCTAAGGCAGGAGAATTGCTTAAACCCAGGAGGCAAAGGCTGCAGTGAGCTGAGATCACATCACTGTAAGCCAGCCTGGGCGACAGAGCGAGACTCCATCTCAAAAAAATAAATAAATAAGATATTTGTACAATCTCAAAATAGCTTCTCACAAAGTACTAGTTACATATTATAATACTATATAATATAGTTATATATCATATATAACATTACATGATATCTATTATATATCATATATTATAATATATAGTATATGTTTATATATGATATATATTATATATCATATATCATATATAATAGAATATATAGTTTAGCTATCTCCTACCGAAGGATATATATTACTAAATAATGAACAGGTTAAAATATGTATTACTTATTACATAAAATACTTATTATATAAGATACTTATACCTAAAATTACACTGAGGAAACCTGACAGACACCATCTTAATCAAGTAATTACAGTTATCAACACTAGTAATGTGACAGTGACATGGTGTGCCTCACTGATATGGTGCACTGAGGAGAACTTAGCATCATTTATGTGGTATTTCTGCCAAAATTACAGTCTTAAATTCAATCATAAGGAAGCAACAGACAAACTCATGACAAGGCACATTCTATAAAGTAACTCTTGGAAAAAACATCAGGATCATGAAAATCAAGGAAAGACTGAGGAATTATTTCTGAATGAAGGAAACTAGAGACATGACAGCTAATAGGTGACCCTGGGGCAACTGGCAAAATCTGAAGGGAGTTTGCCGGTTGGATGGCAGTATTGTATCCATGTTAATTTCTTTTTCTTTCTTTTTTTTTTTTGAGATGGAGTTTTGCTCTGTCGCCCAGGCTGGAGTGCAGTGGTGCGATCTCGGCTCACTGCAACCTCTGCCTCCTGGGTTCAAGCAATTCTCCGGTCTCAGCCCCCCGAGTAGTAGCTGGGACTACAGGCACATGCCACCATGCTCAGCTAATTTTTGTATTTTTAGTAGAGACAGGATTTCGCCATGTTGAACAGGTTGGTCTCGAACTCCTGACCTCAAGTAATCTGCCTGCCTCCTGCCTCAGCCTCCCTAAGTGCTAGGATTACAGGCATGAGCCACTGCACCTGCCATAACCATGTTAATTTCTGATCTTGATGGTTTTATTGTGTTCCTATAGATGGATATCCCCGGTTTTAAGACAATAGTTAGAAGTATTAAAGTATGAAAGGGATATGGTATATGGGATACCGTATCTGCAGATTACTCTCAAATAATTCAGAAAAAAAAAATACGGAAGATCCTCACTGTTCAGATTCTGAATTTTCAAATTTGCCTACTCACTATAATATATTTGTAACCCCCAAATCAATACTCTCAGCACTGTTACTGTTATTTACAGGCATGTACACGCACAAAGTGGCAAAACTTTGAGTTGCCTATGTCCTCGTTCCCAGCAGGGAAATGCTCTGCCTTCTTGTTTCAGCTTTCACTCAGTAAACAAGTGTTCTTTATGTGGTCTATTTAATGCCACATTTTTTACATTTTAGTGCTACTGTTTATTTCACTGTTTAAAATAGCCCCAAATGGTAGTTCTGACTTGCTGTCTAGTATTCCTAGCACAAGAAAGCTGCTATGATGTACTTTACAGAGAAAACAGATATGTGACAGATAAACTTCATTCAGTCATGAGTTATAGTGCTATTGGCTTTGAGTTCAAAGTTAAAGAATCAAAAATATATATCAAATAAAGTGTCTTTAAACAGAAGTACACAAATAGCCAAGCACAGTGGTACCTGCAAATAGTTTCAGCTACTCGGGAGGCTGAGGCAGGAGAATCACTTGAAGCCAAGAGTTCAAGGCTATAGTGTACTATGATGACTCAGCCTGTGAAGAGCCACTGCACTCCAGCCCGGGCAACATAGCAAGACTCCATCTCCAAACAAACAAACAAATAAACCAGGAGCGTGCGCATAGAACAAGGTCAGGTATTGATCAGTTGATGAAAATGTGACCAGAAGTTTGAAGGGACCTAACCATCAGTACTCAATAGATTCACAGTGTTTGCAACTTTATAGAACATAACTACTGTGAATGAATAATGATTGGATGTAATAAATATAGAGAGGATGATAAGGCAGTTAGGGACTCTTGGTAAAGGGGATACAGGAGTTATCTCTATTATTCTAACTTTTCTCAAAGTTTGAAATTATTTCACAATAAGAAGTTTTTTAAAACACCTTTCAAGATGCTAAACATACTAAAGGCTGTTGTAGAGCATCAGTGATAGACAAATCACTGGAACTAGGTCTCGTTGGTGGTTCTGAAACTTTGTCTCTCCCTAGCCCAGTCCTCCCTCTCTCCATGCACATGCAACTTCTAAGAATTTGAATATCAAACTATTATTATGTTGCATGGACCATACATCTTTCTGTGTGATCCATGCACTGTTTCATTATCTTTTCCAAATGAAATAAAATGGTAGACGCTTTCAAATCACAGAATTCAAACTTTCTGAGTGTGCTGTTCAAAAAGACTACTGCTCCAAAAAAGATCTTGGGTTTTAAAGATATCCCTTTTCCTTCCTATGCCAATTATCTCATGGTTTTTTTTTTTTTTAATTGCATATAAACGTGATCTATGGCTGAGTGCAATGGCTCACGCCTATAATCCCAGCACTTTGGGAGGCCAAGGCAAGATCTCTCGGGGCCAGGATTTCAAGACCAGCTAGGTCAACAAAGTGAGACCCATTACTACAGAAAAATTAAAAATAAAAATAAATAAATAAATAAATGTGATCTAATTAGGTTTTATATTCAGACAAGCTAGAAACCTCTTAGTGTCTCAAAAGATTTGAGAAACAAGTCATGGAAGTTCAGAGTTAAAGTAACTGAGAACTTTCTATAAGAGGCAAGACCATTAAATCTGTTTTTGGTTTAAGTGAAGTTTTCCAATCTGGCCGCAAACCGTTCACTCTTGAGAGTTGGCTGTCTTTATTTTCAAAAAAGAATCGTATTATCAAAAACAATGCCTGAGAACCAGGAGCAGTGGCTCACATCTGTAATCCCAGCTACTCTGGAGGCTGAGGTAGGAGGATGGCTTGAGCCAAGGAGTTCAAGATCAGGCTGGGCAACACAGGCATCTTAAAAAAAAAAATTAAAATTAGGCCAGGCGTGGTGGCTCACGCCTGTAATCCCAGCACTTTGGGAGGCTGAGGCAGGCAGATAATCTGAGATCAGGAGTTCGAGACCAGCCTGGCCAACATGGTGAAACTGTCTCTACCACAAATACAAAAATTAGCCAGATGCAGTGGCACACGCCTGTGATCCCAGCTACTCAGGAGGGTGAGGCACAAGAATCACTTGAACCCAGGACGCAGAGGTTGCAGTAAGCCGAGATCACGCCACTGCACTCCAGCCTGGGTGAGAGACTCTGTCTCAAAAAAAAAAAAAAATTAGAATTAGTTAAATAAATACATAAATAACAATGCCTAAGTCCTCCAGTCTAAACTAGAAAAAAAAAGAAAAGATGCTTTGGGAATGCCAAGAGAAATTCTCTATGTTAATCTGCAAGGTGCTGAATTTTATTTCCTTTTTTCCTTATCAAATCCTAACACTTCCTCCTCCTGTCCCCACACCTTTGATCTTCTCTAAAATGCAGGCTGTCTGGATCAAAATGCAAAGGTAACAGGGTAATATTTTTAGCCAGCACAGTACATGGAGGGGACAGGAAGGAAATACTGTTACTCTGTCATTGCTCTCAGTGTAGGCATTCAGATGTATTTTTGTTACCATGGTATTGGATATAGGCTTTGGGGTAAATCTACTGAGAGTCTTGCCTAGGAAGCAAGAACAAATATAAGACTCGTGGACAATATAATCATAGAAGAGATGATAGAATTTGCTCGGACACCAAGCATCCCTTTGGAGGATATAGGTAGTGACTGAGGAAAGTGGGAAGACAACTGAATATTGAACAGTTAATTGAGAGATTCTCCAAAGTGGTCAGGGATATTGCATAGATTTGAGTGGTTTTGGTTGAGAACAGAGTAGGCTTGACAGCTCACAGGAAATAATCAATTGAGTGGTTAGAAATGAGTTAGGTAAAACATTACTGAAGTGGGTAACAAGGGAAATTTGATATACTGTAAAAAGGGGACCGCTGGCCAGGCACAGTGGCTCACACCTGTAATCCCAGCACTTTGGGAGGCCAAGGTGGACGGATCACCTGAGCAAGAGTTCGAGACCAGCCTGGCCAACCTGGTGAAACCCCGTCTCTACTAAAAATACAAAAATGAGCTGGTCGTGGTGTCGAGCGCCTGTAGTCCCAGCTATTCAGGAGGCTGACGCAGAAGAATCGCTTGAACCTGGAAGGCGGAGGTTGCAGTGAGCCAGGATTAAGCCACTGCACTCCAGCCTGGGCAACAGAGCAAGACTCCGTCTCAAAAAAAAAAGGGGGAGGCACTGCTGAGGGAATCTGACTGGAGCAAATGTTGTCACAGATAACATGAACTACTGAGGGGAGAATGCAGTGATGCAGAGGCAAGTTGGAGTTGCATTAAAGAGGGCAGAGGGAGAAGGTGGGACAGGGGACTGCACCATGGAAATGGGGAATCCAAATGAGGGGAGAAAGAAGTGAGGGCATGCTTGCCTAGAGATCATGCCGAGGGAGTGGAAGGCCCCAGAGACATTAGGGCCATCTCTTGTCATTTGGCAGAGAAATAGGCAAAGCAGCTGTGAGTGCAGTACATGCTCTTAGGGGTTCGGCTTTCATTCACTTGAGCAAAAATTCACTAAGCTATGAGCTGTGGTAAGGACAAGGACCATGTCTCAATTGTTGTTGTCATCTCCTGAGTCCACCACTGTACTTGATATGCAGTAGTGCCATTCATTTATTCCAAAAAAATACTTATTTTTTCCTGGTCTTGTTCTGGGCTCTGGATTTACCATGGTGAATAGGACAGACATGGTCTTTGCCCTTACAGAACATCCAGCATAGACAGGAAGACTGATACTAAACAATTATTCTCTTATGTAATACTGTCACGAGTTCTATGGGAGAGAAGTATGGTGTTCATACGGCAGGGCAATCTGATCTAGTCTAGGGTTTGGGGAGTCCTCTTTGAGGAAGGTCAAAGTTTAAGCAGAATTTGCTGGAGAACATATGTTTCTGAATGAGGAAGTTAGAGTGGGGAACAGAGGCAGGGAATTAATGGACAGCACTTCTCAGACTTTACTGTGCAAACATCAATCACCTGGGGATCTTGTAAAAATGCAGATTCTGATTCACTAGTTTTGGGGTAGGGTCTGAGGGTCTACATTTCTAACAAGTTCTCAGGTGACTACTGTTCTATAGTCTCCTTCAGAAGATTTCTGCACATGCCTCTCTTCAATTCTGCCTTTTTCTTTTGTTTCTATTGAAAGATGATGGCATTTAACTGAGTCATTTTTCTTCCCCTGAGACTGTAGCCATGTTGACTAGCAGTCATATAACTTAACTCTTCAGTGCTTTCAAAGTGTAGTTGATCAACAGCATTTTACATAATGGAAAACAATGCAGCCACTCAAAACACCAAATTCTACACTCTCTCATTTTGACATAAAGACCTATTCTAAGCACTGTATGTGCATGTCTGTAATACAGATGTGTTCTTGTGCCTGTCAAGAGTGGGATTAACAATTCCAAGGACTGTGCTTTCGGAATATTTTTCGACGCCTGATCTGTAATATTGTTTACCAAACAATGATGGACTCAGCCCTAGTCTAAAGATTTAGTTTGGGCACTACCAGAAATCCGTTAAGTCCAGCAACCCCTTCCTTTAACTTCCTTTAACTTTAACTTTCCTCCTCCCCAGTTCCAAGGCCCAGAGAAAGGAGAGAAGCACAGCAGCTGCTGTTCCTGATCCAGGGATGGGGGACAGCAGCTACTGCGTTACTAGCCATAATAACAATGGCTGCTGTCATCTCATCTCTCCTCCTCACAGCACTGCCATCACTGTGCCCCTGAGTAAAATGTACTGTACAAAATATCAAATCATAATAAAATGATAAAACGTGGTAGGGGACCTGTATACCAGATACAACTAAATGAAAGCCAACCAGAGATCTTGAAATATCTTAGAGAAATGAAAATGACTGCATTTACTCTTCTTCAGGTTTGTTCCTGTAAAGTCATGCACACTTTTCCCTAAACTTGACCTATAGAAATAGTGATGTTAAGTATAATACTCAGTATTACTCAGAGTGAATCATCTCTAAAGAATGTCTAATATACTTACTCAGATTTATATACAGAGCTGACCATAGAGCTTGAGGAAATAAGTCAGCTTCTATGATACTCATGAGAAGCATGACTTTTCCCCACTTATTTTCCAAACTCAAATAGGAAATTTTTCCTATTTGAAATACTGATAGTCAATTTTAGATGTCAAAATAAAGTGCAAATCACAGGTCTACCATAAACATTTTAAAGTCCATTATTGCTGAATTAAGGTACCATCCTAGGATTCTCCTCATTATTAAAATCCTAGGGAGATTATCATAAAGGAATAAAAACTCAAGTCCCTGATCATCTAACACAGCTGGCAATTACAAGAGAACTGGTCAGTCCTTCCCCACCACGATGCCAGTGTCCCAGGCCCTTCCCGCCCTCTGTCATCAAACACAGATCTGCACACATCAAGATATTTAACAGGCAGCTATATCAGCATGATCTGGAACTTGTTTATGATCCCGGCACTGCAAGTACTGTCCATAAAAGAGACTTCTCATCCATTTTTATTAAAAACACTCATAATATTCTACCTTCCCTATGCTATCACTAAAGCGCAGCTCTGTGATTGTCCACACCTTTTTTTTTTTGAGGGGGGCACTCTCTCCAATGAATAACAAATAATTAAACTCTTTAACATATAAAGCAGAGATTTCAAATGAAAGTTTATGACAGCTCAGACTCAGGGGCCACCTTTACTGTATGCTTAGCCTTGTGCCATCAACCACTTCCAAAAATCAATTTTCTGAGGCCCTTTTCCTCAGATAATCTGAGTCCTGAGCTTATTCTTCTCTCTACATTGCCTTTCAGCTCCTCCTGTTGATAATCAAAGGAACACATTTTCTCCTAAGAACTTTCATTAAGAGCACCAATATGGGAACTCTTAAGGATTAAATGGAAACCAAGCAGTCCGGGCTAGCAGCCCCACATCGCCTTACTTGTAATATAATGGCAAGTTATTCCTCTAGAGCTACGGTTCAGGGGCCGAATACAAGGGCAGGGCAGGCTTAGCCAGGAGCTGGACCTGTGTCCTGCTGAGAGCTTGTGGGGAGGTCTCAGGAGATTCTAAAGCCCTCACAAGAGAACAGCTTAACAAGATAACTCAGCTTTTAAGTGATAGAGGCAGCCTCCTGGCCTCTGGGCTGTGAAAGGGCTCACCTGCCAAGAGCAATAATGCAAGTAATTACCACACACAATAATAGATCATGGCGGGATTTCAGGACCCAGGTACTCGGGAGTGTCCCTCTACCTTACACACCGGGAGGAATAGAATGCACCACTTTTCTCATTAAAACCTGCGGCAGAGTCCTGATAGGCAAGCAGATAAATGTCACTTGGCACAGTGATTCTGTTTTGGGTTATTACCAAAATTTTTTTTAATGTCCTTGTATTAAAGGCTATAAAACAGTAATTCCCGCTCTCCTGGAACAGAATTCCTAAGGCTGAAAATAACATCACATTAGTTATTTCAGAGACTGGAAACAAATACCTCTAAATCGCTCCTTCCCAATGCAAGACTCCACTGCAGTGGTCCCTATACCTATCACCACAGCCCTCCTTGAATAAAGTCTGCCTTACCATCTTTAACAAGTGTCATGAATAATTTTTTCTTTAATATTGACTTTCCATTTTCAATAGTGAAATTTAAGTTGCCTTTAGAAATAAAATTATTTAAATTTTAAAAATTGTTGACTGTCGGCCGGGCGCGGTGTCTCACGCCTGTAATCCCAGCACTTCGGGAGGCCAAGGTGGGCAGATCACGAGGTCAGGAGATTGACACTATCCTGGCTAACACGGTGAAACCCCATCTCTACTAAAAATACAAAAAAATTGGCCGGGCGTGGTGGCGGGCGCCTGTAGTCCCAGCTATGCAGGAGGCTGAGGCAGGAGAATGGCGAGAACCCGGGAGACGGAGCTTGCAGTAAGCCAAGATTGTGCCACTGCACTGCAGCCTGGGCGACAGAGTGAGACTCCGTCTCAAAAAAAAAAAAAAATGTTGACTGTCAAAACGATTTCCAAAACTCAATAAAGTGGTATGTCAAAACCACTGCAGGAGTACAGAAACATGTGAAGCCTGGGAAACTTTGGGTAAACCAATACCAGGATTAGGATGAGCACTTCCCAGTATCCAGAAAGGCTGCAAACCAGATCCCCTGGTCCAGTGATATCTCCCCAAACAACTCTAAAAAACAAGTGTTCTCCGTGCCAGATATTGTCATTCCTACTACCACCTACCACCCTAAAAAGGACAAAAAAATTGTTTTTGTTTTTCTTCTACAGTCACACAAACATTTCTGACACCAAATGTGTGTGGGTTTTTTTCCACACCAAGCAATCCTCTAATTCTCTGCAGACACCAACTGGGTGTTCTACAATTCAATTCAATTCAGACACTGTCTTCCTGGAATTAGTGTCAGATCCCACAAGTCAAAAGTGCCATCCCACAATACTCCTCCCACTGAAGATGCCAAGCTCAAGCCACCCTTAATGACTGACCAGCTATAAATCAGGTGTGTGTTCTCATGAGCCTCTTCTCGGGTTTATTAATTTGCTAGAATAGCTCACAGAACTCTGGAAAACAGCCTACTTACTAGTAACTAGATTTATATAAAAGTATACAACTCAGGAACAGCCAGATGGAAGAGATACATAAGGTAATATATGGGGGGTGGAGTGCACAGCCTCCATGCCCTCTCTGGGCACACCACCCTCTCAGCACCTCCCCATTTTCCCCAACCCCAAAGCTCTCCAAACCCCATCATTTAAGGAGGTTACCTTACATTGGCATGATTTATTAAATGACTGGCCATCAGTGATTGAACTCGATCTCTAGTAACCAGGCCCCACTCACACTTAGGAGCTTCCCAGAGTCACTCATTAACTCAAGTGTGGTTCAGAGGGGCTTGTTTGCTGGGCAGAGTGGCTCACGCCTGTAATCCCAACACTTTGGGAGGTCAAGGTAGGAGGATCACTTGAGCCCAGGAGTTCAAGACCAGCCTGGGTAGCACAGAGAGACCCCGCCTCTACAAAAAATACAAAAATTAGCCAGAGGATGTCTTAAGCCTGGCAGGCTGAGGCTGCAGCGAGTTGTGGTCGCACCACTGCACTCCAGCCTGAGCAACAGAGACCTTGTCTCGAAAAAAGCAAAAAAGAAATGACTAGAGTTTTAGGAGCTCTGTGCCAAGAAGACCACGACCAGATATATTTCTTTTTACATCACAATATCACACACCACCTTCTTATCCAAGAAGAAAAAGGAAAAAGAGGAAGAGCTATGAGCCAGCAAATAGGAAAAAAGTCAGACTTCTCTCACATGATTTTGCCTCTCACCTCCACCTGTCTATCTGCACTTTAGGAAGTCAAAAATTTCCTTAGTCATGGAACTCTCCAGAACCCAGAGAAAGCAGATTAAAAACAAAGCCAAAAAGGATCTACTCCACCTGTCAGTATTAAGACCTTAAGACACCTGGGGTTGGCGGGGCCGGCAACCAATTAAGAAGTACAGTAAGGCCAGGCGTGGTGGCTCACGCCTGTAATCCCAGCACTTTGGGAGGCCGAGGTAGGCGGATCACGAGGTAAGGAGATGGAGACCATCCTGGCCAACACGGTGAAACCCCATCTCTACTAAAATACAAAAAACAAACATTAGCCAGGCATAGTGGCATGCACCTGTAGTCCCAGCTACTTGGGAGGCTGAGGCAGGGGAGTCACTTGAACCCGAGAGGTGGAGGTTTCACTGAGCCGAGATTGTGCCACTGCACACCAGCCTGGCGACAGAGCGAGACTCCATCTCAAAAAAAAAAAAAGAAGTACAGTAGGCCCTCACATCCGTGGATTCAACCAACCATGGGTCAAAAATATTCAAGAAAAAAACAGTAAGAATAACAATGCAACAATAAAAAAATTTTAAAACAATAAAATATAGCAACTATCTACATAGCATTTACACTGTATTAGGTATTATTAGTAACCTAGACATGATTTAAAGCATACAGGAGGCTGGGCACAGTGGCTCACACCTGTAATTCCAGCACTTTTGGAGGCTGAGGCAGGAGGATCATTTCAGCCCAGGAGTTCAACACCAGCCTAGGCAAGACAGGGAGACCCCGTCTCCACAAAAAATTTATTAGCCGGGTGTGGTGGCATGTACCTGTAGTCCCAGCTACTCAGCGGGCTGAGGTGGGAGGATCACCTGAGCCTGGGAGGTTGAGGCTGCAGTAAGCCATGATTGTGCCACTGTACTCTAGCCTGGGTGACAGAGAGATTCTGTCTCAAAAAAAAAAAAAAAAAAAAGATAAAAGAGGTTGTGCACGGGTTATGTGCAAATACTATCCCATGTTATACAAGGGACTTGAGCATCTCCAGATATTGGGAGGTTGGGGAAGTCTTGGAACCAAATACCAAGGGACAACAGTAATTATTTACCAAGGCCCAGGTGCTGGGCCCTGCGCTCCACAGAAAAGGCAAAGTGGCTTTCAGGAATAGTCTTATTGGGGAAATAAAACTACCAAACAAAAAAACTATTGAGTAATGAGCTACTAAGCAGTATTTTACCCTAAATTTTATCTAACATGACACCTGTAAGAAATAAACAGCTAAGGTACAAGTAAAGCACCCCAACCACCACCAAAAACAAAAAAGGTTACAAAAAAGGTACCAGTGGCTGCACTTTTAGAATCTATCTTATACAAACGCTAGCATCAGAGCACAAAGATATACAGTTCAATCAGTGCAATAGTGCTTAGAATTATGAAAAGCTAAAAACAACATATATCAACAGAAAAATAGATAATATACATCCAAACTGTGGAATACCGCTCAACCATTAAAAAAGAATGAGGTAGATCTACGACAGAAAGATAGTCATGACAATTTACTAAAAAAAGAAAATTGCCAGACACATAGAGATTGACCCTATTTCAGTTTCTTTTAAAAAGGAGGAGAGGGTGTGTATCTGCATGAAACATTTTGGAAGCAAATACACTGTTGACGTTTGCTGGGAGGATGAGAATGAATGGTAGAAAACTGAGGGGCAAGGAGGGCAGAGAGAGAGAGATTTTTTTTTTTTGAGACTGTGTCTTCCTCTGCCGCCCAGGCTGCAGTGCAGTGGCATGATCTTGGCTCACTGCAACCTCCACCTCCCAGGTTCAAGAGATTCTCATCCCTCAGCCTCTTGAGTAACCGGGATTACAGGCACGCACCACCATGCCCGGCTAATTTTTGTATTTTTAGTAGAGATGGGGTTTTGCCATGTTGGCCAGGCTGGTCTCAAACTCCTAACCTCAAGTGATCTACCCACCTCGGCTTCCCAAAGTGCTGAGATTACAGGCGTGGGCCACCATGCCCAGCTAGGGATTTTTCTTTTTTACTTCATACCTCTCTACTGCTTGAAATTTTAACAGCAAGTTGAGTATAGAAATACCAATTATTCAATTACTAACACTGGATGACATCCACCTGAACGCTCTGAAGGAATTCCAGGATAAACTGGAAAACTGTTGACCAAAATGAAAAAAGGCCATCAAGGGAACTGTAAATGTGACCCCTAATCATAAGGACTTCGTAAGACCTGAGAATTATTTTTACTTCCATATTAGACAAGCTAGTGGAATATAAAGACTAAGACCATTGAGTAGATCATTTGGGGTTTTAGTGTTGTTAAGAATGGGGCCTATGAATAAGAAACAGGAGAGATCCAAAAGGCCTAGGGATGAAGCTCCTCAGGATTGCAAGAACAGAAAGTGAGGAATTTAAAATCTTAGTTTTGTAAATGACACTAAAGACTTCCATTGAAATAATGTGCCAAGTTATTGGTGCCAAATTACAGGAAGATCCTGGGAATCTATGCAAACAGAAGGAAAAGTCGCAGATGAGTGTTAAAATGAGCATATGGCCTAAATCAGGAATATAAAACAACTTCTCAGCTGTCAGTTGTGACCTAGGAATAGGATCTGAGTCACTATAAGTGGACCCTGAGGACCCCAGCCCAATATTGAGCCACAAATTAAAAACAAAGCGTCCTGGGAACCATCAAGACAAACGCGAAGAGAAAGAAACCACTATCCTCCCCTCATAAAATTCTGGTGCACCCACCCCCACATACATACATTTCACTTATCATTTATGTCCCGCCCCTTCAACTACAAACAGTACAGGAGTTAAACAAGATCAGTGGATCTCACATGCCAGCCCCAGATCAATCCCAAACTGATTCTTTCAGAATAGCCTAGGAGTGGCTTTTTTTTGAAAATAGACCTTTCCAGGCCAGTCCCAGAGCTTCTAATTCAATGCCTGGGAAACGTCTTCTAGGTTGTCCTGATGCGATGACCTGTTTAGGAAATCACTGGGCTCCTTTCTCTCACTCTGAATCTACTCCCAGAAAGGATTTAAGAAGGCTTACCATAAAAAATAAACTCAAAAGTAAAGAAACTGTGTGAGCAACTGCCAAAAATAGATTAAAATGATTCCTATACAGGTTGAACATCCCTAATCCAAAAATCCAAAATCTGAAATGTTTTGAACACTAACATAATGCTCAAAGAAAATGCTCACTGGAGGATTTTGAATATGAGATTTCCAGGTGAATGAAGCTAAGCCCTAAGAATAATGCAAATATTCCAAAAACTGAAACACTTCTAGTCCAAGCGTTTCAGATAAGGGCTACTCAACTTGTACTTGTGCATTAAATAGAACTGAAAAAGATCTGAAAACAAAACTAAACAAAAACCAAAGTCCTGGCTCCAAGCAAGAAGAACAGAGCTCAGGACCCTATTAGCCCCCACACTCCCACCACAGTCTCCCAGTCAAGAGCAGGGCAAGAATAGACTCTCCCTATGAGCCAGAGGCTCCCTAAGTTGCCTCCTCTCTCCTTCCCTTCTCAAGTCAAGATCTGCTGCACCAGGAAAATGTCACAGTGTTCTGAAGCAGAGATAGGACTAGGTGAATAAAACCCACTAGAACCATGTTCCTCTGGGTCTCAAGCAACACTCCCACTAGTTTATCATGATACACTACTGAAAGGAAACCAAGAACTCCCCTTACTTCTATCTACCCTCTCTCCACCCCACCATTCAATCATTTAGTCTCATTCTAACTCTCTGGTCTTCCACACTGGAAAACCATATTTCCACTAATCTTCTTTCTCAAACTAAAGATTAGAAAAAAAAAAAAAAAAGAATAGGAACAGAAAACCTGCTTTATGCAAGATAAACGGCAATTCAAAGTCAAGCCGTTAAGGTATGAGATTTCTCAACTTTGTTTCAGCATGCCTAAATGAAATGTAACACAGGGTTTCTTATAAAATTACAGCCTTATGGGACTGGAAAATGCTTAGAGACAATGCATCCAGCAACCTCATGTTAGAGAAAAGGAGAGTTTGAGGTGGAATATCTTACCCAACATTACCCAAATGGCAGCACCCAGGCCAGAACTTGTGTCCCCTGACTTCTGGGCCAATGATCTCTTCTCTCTGCCATGCTGCTTTCCAGGGACAAAGTTAATAAATTAGATTACTAACTTTAAGCACAGATTCTTTAAATCTCCTTTATTCCTCTTGATATACATGAGGTTGGTGCTACAAGACCATCCCAAGCAGACTACTTGCCACATAAACAGAACTAAGAACCCAAAGAGCCTCAAAATTTGTTGAGGAATAGAGAGGAGATGGTACCTTAAGTCACACATGATAAGCACATAAGTGAAGAAAATGTGCCAAACCAGTTTATATCATAGATTACACATTTCAAAAATGGCATCTGAAAATGACATCAAAATTTTAGTTTTATTTTTCCCATAAGTTGCTTAACTTCCTAATTTTTAAAAAATGCCAACTGAAACCACTGTTCATTTTTTTCTTAAACATTAGAGTGAAGAAAAAGATCATTAATGTATTATATTGAGTCTAATGAAAGTAAGTGAAATCCCGTAACATTCCATCTATATCGAATGTTCACAACCTGTGATTCCACATAAATTTCTGCTGTAAAAGCAAAAAGCATATGTCAGTCTCCCAAGAGAGGAAGTAGCAACAGAAACCGGGTTGTGTATTCATCTCCCAGCAAGAAATATGAGGAAAAGCCAGATAAGCCCAGTAAGAGTTGAGTTCCTTCATTGCATTTGTTTTCCCTGATAATGCACAAAATTTCCTACAGTATGTAACTATGCTCTTCTTGGAGAAATGAAATAAATCCAAAGATCAGACTCTAAAGGATATCTACTATGCCCCTGTTAGAACCACACCTGTCAGATGGATAGCTAGCCTATGCTGAGAAGTGAGTGGACAACAGGCCTTAGATACCTTGTTACCTGAATTCAAAAACCTGGCCAATTTTCTCTGCTAAACCTACAAACAGAAATCACAATTTTCACTTGCTCCCCAAATTTCATCCTCCAAATAAACTGGGGCATAGACTTCACCAAATCATTTGCCCACTATTGCCAGCACTAGTCACTGGCCTCAGAAGTTCCCACTCATGTTAATGAGCCACAGGATGCGTAAGCGAGTTCTTACCTGATAATTAGTTTTGATCCCCTGAAGCATGCTACTTTGCTTTTCACTAACACAGTTCACTAAAGCTTGCTAGGCAAAAAAGTACTGCCAGAGGCCAGAGCAGCAGTAAATTCCATGTAGTAACAAAATGCTAAGAGAAATATCAACAATGGCAAGTTCTAGATGCTATTTAGCTCTTATAAAGCCTACTTTTGGCATTTTCTTTTTTAATCCATGTTTTTCCCTCCATTAGAAGAAAAATAGTGACTTTGGGAATACACAGGACTAGCTGATAGTCAGAAAATCTTAGTCTTAATCCTATTAGAAACAAGCATATGACTAAGTATTTTTTCTTATCAGTCTCTCATTCTTTTTTCTTTTGAGACACAGTCTCACTCTGTCACCCAGGCTGGAGGGCAATGGCTCGATCTCAGTTCACTGCAACCTCCACCTCCCAGGTACAAGTGATTCTCCTGCCTCAGCCTCCGGAATACCTGGGACTACAGGCGCGCGCCACCATGCCTGGCTAATTTTTTTTGTATTTTTAGTAGAGATAGGGTTTCGCCATGTTGGTTGGGCTAGTCTTGAACTCCTGACCTCAGGTGATCCACCTGCTTCGGCCTGGGATTACAGGGATGGGATTACAGTGCTGGGATTACAGGCATGAGCCACTGTGCCCAGCCTCCAATTCTTAATATTTATTCAGTGTACTTAATGTCAGCTGTTGATCTCACCAGGGTACCAGAAAAATTACCATCTCCACTGCCTCTCTTCCTTTTATCACCCTTAAACACATATATTACATAATAACTCAGGTTAAACCCAAACTATTTACATGGGATACTGAACGTGAAGGAACTGAAGAGCTACTATAAAAACTCTAAAGAATAAATCATAGGCCAAGTGCAGTGGCTCATGCCTATAAACCCAGCACTTTGGGAGGCCAGAGTGGAGAAGGTCACTTGAGTCCAGGAGTTCGAGACCAGCCTGGGCAACATAGCAAGACCCCATTTCTACAAAAAAGAATAAAAGATTAGCCAGGTGTGGTAGCACGCACCTGTAGTCCTAGCTACTCAGGAGGAGGCTGAGGCAGGAGGATCCCTTGAGCCCAGGAGTTCAAGGCTGCAATGAGCCATGATTGTGCCACTGCATTCCAGCCTGGCAACTAAGTGAAATCCTGACTGAAAAAAATAAAAAATAAAAAATAAATCATCAATGGTGGAAACCCCAGGGGCTTTGCATTTGCTGTTTCCTCGGCCAGGAACGCCCTTCCTTTATGGTTAGTTTTTGATGTCCATCAGATCTCAGCACAAATGCCATCTTCTGAGAAGTCTTTCCTAAACACAGTATCCAAAGGACCCACCCTCTCCCTTACTACAAACCACTCTGTCCCAGTCCCTTACCTGGTATCACTATCTTGTATGATCATGCTTATTTCTTGTTAACTTCTTTATTGTCTGACTCCTCCATAAGCCATAAGGATAGAAATTTGATCTACTTTTTAAATTCTGTTTCTCCAATGCCCAGAGCTTGACAGATAGCAGATGATCAATAAATATTTGTTCAAGAAAGAAAGGAAGTATGATTGCTTATGATTCTATTTCATTAGTTATTACACTGCTAACATAACTAGAGCCAGATGGATGCTTCCTTTTGACAGAAAAATGACAGAAAACCTTTAAGATACAGTAAAAACTTAGTGTTCCTTTACTTACAATCTTGATTAAAAGCTACCAGGCTTACCTGCCGGGAAATGGGCATTTTAAGACCACTGGGAAAAGCCTTCCATCCTAGCCTATCTACTTCTTCATAAATGGCCCTTCTAAAATATTGTTATTCAGCTACCTTATCCCTTGGAATAGTAGAAGGGTATTTTAAGTAGCTTAGGAAAGGTGGGTTTTGTTTGTTTGTTTTTTCCTGTATTGGGGGAACCCACCCCCAATACTTCAACATAGCCAGTCCCTCTGTTCGGGGTCCCTGACTTCCCGCAACATTCCTGCATGAGCGAAGTACACGTAAGAACGAGCAGGTCAACAAACTTCTCTGTCCCCACTGAACTTTTCAAAGACACACACTTCTTAGTTCAGAAACCTAAGATTACACCTGTAATCCCAGCACTTTGGGAGGCCGAGGTGGGCAGACAGCTTGAGGCCAGTTCAAGACCAGCCAACATGGTGAAACTATGACTCTACTAAAAGCACAAAAGTTAGCTGGGCATGCTGACACGCGCCTGTAATCCCAGCTACTCGGGAGGCTGAGGCAGGAGAATCGCTTGAACCCAAGAGGTGGAGGTTGCAGTGAGCCAAGATAGCGCCACTGCACTCCAGCCTGGGCGACAAAGCGAGACTCCATCTTAAAAAAAAAAAAAAAAGAAAGAAAGAAAAGAAAAAGAAAAAGAAAGAAACCTAAGAAACATTTAGCTATAATGAACTGAATTATAGGTGGGATTTCCTAAAGGCTGTACACTGAAGGAATCACCACTAAGCTACCCAGCAAGAAGTCTACATCTTGCTTTACAACAACCTGACAGCACAAGTCCCATTGAAGGAGAAAATTATGGCCCTTTCCTCCCTTGTGTCCCTTTGCTTTGGTCACCCAGTGAGAATCATGGTTCTTAGAATAAAACAAAAGACTGGCAGAGGCATTCCTTTCCCCTTCTGAGGCAATTAAGTGGGTGAGGGGAGGGTAAGGTGAAATGGGAACTGGGATTTGGCACTGTCCGTCCTCCCTTCAGCCTTCCACACCATAAGTAGGATAAGATATGCTGCCTCCATGGCTGCTTCTGATAAGCACAGAAGATTCAAGAATTCAAGATTCATTCTGCTGTTGCGAATGCTTGACAAGACATGTAAACATACCCAAAGAGAAAAAAAACAGAGAGTAAACCAGGTCAGTAAAACCAGAGAAAATAGCCATCTCAAAGCTAAGGGGGGTGACTCAATTTATACTAAGTACCCAACACTTCTCCCAACCTCATCTACTTAGCATCTGCTGACAATATTCTGTTGCAGTTAAAGAGTATCAAGCAAATTATTCAAAGAAACCCAGATTTTAAATCCTTCAGGGTTTCGAGAAAATAAAATCTGATTTGATAGAAGACATGTATTTATCTGGGTTATATTTTGTCCACCCACATACTTGCTAGTCTCATCCCAACTCAGAAAATACAAATCCATCTTAAGTTTTTCCATCATCCTTGCTGATTTTTTCTGTAACAGAACAACTCCAAAATATCTGTATCAACTTACTGTCCACTTCCTCCTTAAATATTCCAGAACCAACTCTGTCCCTTCACCCCAACTCTCAATAGCAGACACAGGTGTCAACATCACCCTCGTTTTTTAAAAATTGGTCAAAGTGTTTTACAACTGGATTCCCAAGTTCTTCAACCTTAAACAAAATAATGTAGGACTTAACAGGATAGCAAAGCAGAGACCAGAAGAAACTTGTGTCTTTCACGGCCCTGCAACACTTTCTTTTGCCAAAAAAGAGGAAGGACTATTCCTCTTTACAGCAGCAAACTTCAACCCTAGACGATTTCAGACCTTCAGCTCAGCCTGAGTCCAGATAAATCCAAAGAGTTAACAATGAAAAGCGTAGGTCAGTGTTCCAATTTCTACCTCTCTCCCAAAAGGCAGAAAAGTAGTGTCTCCTGTTTTCCTATTCATCAAACTATTTCTTTCTCACTTTCATCTGTCACAGAGCTCCATCTTCCTTTGTAGAGTTCTTGCAAAGCAGTTCCTAGTACCAATGGAAACTATTACTCTACAGGAAAATACAACTTTGCTTAGCAGAAGAGCTTCACACACAGCAATTTGCCAGTGGTCAATTTTTCATTCCAGACAAGGCTTCTAAACCTGGCACAAATCTGCCTGTCACTCTGCAGTTCACTCAGCTTTCCTCCCCTAATCCCTGCCTGTAACTCACCCAACCCCTGTAGTGTGGTCAGAGAAGGCAGTGCAATCTATACTCAGTACAGATGGCTCAAATCACTGAATTGTATATGCCACTACCCAGACTCAATCATCTTCCACACCATACTCCTATGTGAAGACCATAAGCACCAAATGAAGTCATTTACCATAATAGCAGCTCCCAGACAAGACAAGGAGTAACATCTAATCTTTTCTCAATTATAGACAGCTTCACTTTCCTGCAATTTGTGGTTATGCATCACTGGCCCCACCCTCCATGTTATAAATTAATACCCTGGAGTCATGAAGTCAGAGACATCATGCATGATATTGAAGAGCATGTGCCGTGGCAGACAGGCCTGGGTTCAAGTCTCAGCTCTGCCTCTTATTACCAATATAAGGTACCTGTCCTTGGGTTAACTATTCTTTCTAAACCTCAAATTACACATCTATAAAATGTGGCTGATAATCGTTATCTACTTGTTAGGTATTACAAATGAGACAATATGAGCAGAATAGTCAGCACAAGACATGACAATAAACAAGTAATTGGTGATATTCAGTATCCATGGGGGTAATTTGTGGGCAGTCACCGCACAGAATCCAGATGCCCTAAAAGCCTCCAGCATTGGCGGAAACAAAACTATGTTCAGCCTCATTCTATTCCCATTCCACAAATGAGAGAGACCTTTAAGAACAATTTAAACCTCAGCAAGGAGAAATCTCAGAAAGATCCACTCTTTCTTACTGCCAAACCCAACACCGGAGAGCCAAGAGATGTTTTTGTTCCTATGGTGAAGAGAAGATCAGTGCAAATGAAAAAGCTAACGAAAGAAGAGCCACTTTAGGATAATCCTTTCATGGGTCAGGTCAGTATTTCAGAGGAAAAATATATGCGGATCTTGGAAATTCTCTTCTCATTCAGTTTCAGATCAGTTCTGACCCTCCATTACACATAAACAAAAGGAAAAGGCAGTACTGAAAATCCCAAGAATCTTGGCTGGTGGCAGACTATTACCTTAAGAAATGAGCACATGGGAATTGGGCGAGGGGATCTTAAAATCAGCTTTACACACACATAAGCTGCAGAACATTTTAATCTTGTGAAAGATAACAGGGTAATAAAATAGAATTTTTTTTAAACTGGGTCTTGCTATGTTGCCCAGGCTGATCTCCAACTCCTGGCCTCAAGCAATCCTCCCACCTCGGCCTCCTAAGTGCTGGGATTACCACCATGAGCCACCGCACCAGGCCTAAAATAGAATTTTTCAAAACTTTCTACAACAGCAAAACTTGTGGAGCCTTGGGAGAAAGTATCACAAAAGATATTTGCTGTTGCAGATACAAATGTCAGAACTGCAGTATGAAACGACATCTAGAAGTTTACAGTCATCATAAACCAGAAAATTGGTAAAACCAAGAAATGTCAGGTTCCAAGATTTGGAAGGGTTTTGGGGAGGACAACTGGGGGCAAGTGATAAACTGAATTTATATTATCAAATTATCATGGAGCTAGGAGTAAATTGTAAAAATAAACTTTGCAGGTTCAAATTCAAAATTGAAGAATTTTCAAAAAGTTGAGGGTATATAAAATCAGGCAGAATCTATAGTGCTATGAGCACTAGACCAGGAATCCGAACACTTGGGCTCTTGCTATGGCTCCAACCCAAACCACCATGTGACCTTAAGCAAGTCACTTGCCTTCTTCAAGCCTATCTCCTTATCTTTAAGGGACGGGAGAACAATGATGATTACTAAGATTCTTGCCGGCCTAACCTTTTAGAAGTCAAAAGTACACAAAGATCAGGAGCTTTCAGGTCGACACAAGAGGTGGAGGGAAAGAGAGGAAAAGAGGGCCACAGAGTGAGAAAACTTGGGAGTCAAGTAACAGCGTTTGTGGGAACAGAAAAGTTTCATGATGGCCAAGTACTAGTAGAGAAGAGCCGATGTCAGGATCTCGAAAAACTACTAACTACTCAGCATATGTCAAAATGAACAGAAAGACGGGGGATGGGAGGACAGATATCAACGAATTGTCTCTGTTAATCAATCAGTAATCGATCTGTCCTGGTAAACAGACAGGAGATCCGAATGCCGCAACCTCGGAAATCACTGTGACCCCTGATGTCAAGGTGTCCGGGAGGCAAGGAACAAGGGGACTCCGTGTCTGCTTCCGTCTAGTGAGAGGATTCGGAGAATCGACGAAAAGTGAGGAAGGGGGCAGAGGAAAGGGGATCTGGGACATGGAGCAGGCTGGCGGAAGGTGGAGTCAATGCCTGACTCCCGCCCGAAGGCAGGCAGAGGGGTCGGTGTCCGGGGCCCGTTCTCACCATCTTGATGATGCCCCGCTGCACGGTGGGGACCGCGGGTCCCCCGGAGGAGCCGCCGCTCTGCGCGGAGGACGCCATGTGTGGAGATGCAAAGGCAACGAGTGGAGCGGCTGGCCGGACTGGAGGTGTCAATGTGGGTGTCGGTGTTGGTGAAAGGGAGTCGAGGCGAGGGGCAGGCTGGCTACCAGCTGCGGACGGTGGACGGGACGGACTCGCCGGGCGCTCACAGGAGCAGCAGCGGGACACGGAGCGAAAGAGACGCGATCTCCGCCGCCGCCACACGTTCTACTCGCCGCGCAAGCGTGCCAGAGCGCCACCGCCCTCCGCCCAATTAGCGCCCAGAGCCCGCCGGCCCTCAGGCCAATAGGCACCCTGCTCGCGGAGCCCCGCCTCTTGGTCCCCAAAACGGTGGTGAGTTCCAGGAAGCGCTGAAAGAGTTGATTTGCAAGGATGGGCTAAATATGGGGCGGGACTTCCGGGGCAGCCGGAGTAGGTAATGTCGGGAGGTGTAGTGGGAAGGAAAGGACACGTCAGCATCTGGCCGCGGGGCGCGGGGGGCCATGGGAGCCCCAGGGGCGGAGCCAGCCGCGCCCTCCCGCCTGACCTCGCCCATGACGTCCTTCCCCGCTGGCCTCAGGGGCGCACACTTGTATACCCACCTAGGTGGGCGCCGCTGTACCCGGGAATGCGGCCTGGGAGGGTGGAGCCACGCAGGCAGAGTCCTGGAGGAATCTCCGTACCCGCTCCACTCGACTTCCGACATTTTACCTTGGCTAAAAGTATGGAGAGAACTTGGAAAATCAGAGCTTTGTGGAACCTCCTACCGATGTGGGCTTTGACCTGCCACGCGGCCGCGCGCCCTTTTTGTAGTCAGAGAGTGTGCCTCGCCCTTGTTTGTGTCGCTGGGGTCTAGCACTTGTGAGGCGTTCCATTAATGTTTGTTGGTGGGAGGAATAAATGTCTCAGAGGAAGGACATGCCACGTATACAGGGGAGAGTGACCCTCGTTCTTCGGTCTCTTCCCAGCTGCTCCCGTGACGTTAGGGAAAAGGCTCGCTTCACGCTCTCACCCGACCCAGTGTGAAGCGCCTCCAGCCACCGGATACCTTCCCTAGCCCCAGTAAAAAGGTCGGGGAAGGAACGGGAAAGCCAAGGCCTACAAATATTTAAGTGACTGTTTAGCGAGAACTAATATTCGTTGAGTGCCCACTATGTGGAACCAAGGACCTTGCATGTGTTATGTCATTTAATCGTAAAACTTGGCTCTACACTGAAGACAGTACTTCCCTTGCAGTTCTTTTTGTTTCTTTGGTTTTGTGGCTTTTTTGAGACAAAGTCTCGCTCTGTCGCTCAGGCTGGAGTGCGGGGGCACGATCACGGCTCACTGCAGCCTTGACACTCCCAGGCTCAAGCGATCCTCCTGCCTCAGTCTCCGGTGTAGCTGGAGCTGGTACCACGGGTCCGCGCTACCACGCCCAGCTAATTTTTTTTTTGTAGAGCTGAGATTTCACTATGTTGCCCAGGCTGGTCTCCTGGGCTCAAGCTATACTCCTACCTCGGCCTCCTAAAGTGCTGGTATTACATGCATTAACCACAGTGCATGGCCCCTTGCTCTCTTAAAAGATTGTAAGTTTATTCTCCCACACTAAACATATCCCAGGGTTAAGTTTTGAGGTCACCTTCTTAGATCCCTAATTTGCCACCCTTTTCCAAAAAAAAAAAAAAAAAAAAAAAAAACCTCTGTGGAAGTTGGTTCCATCAGATTATACCCCTCTCTATCTCGTGGCTTTTTATCTACCGTACCCCTATTTCTACCGTGTCATTCATTGAAATTGTTAACACTTGGTGCACGGTCTTCAGCCAATAATCCTGAAATACTTCAATATCTACGAGCATGACTTATCCCATACCCTGACCTCTTTGCTCCTTGATCTCATCTTCAGTAAACTTGACCTCTGCACCAATTTAGGACGTTCTCCAGACAGATAAAACACCATAACTTCATAGGTACGATTGTAAACTCAAACACTTTGTCTTTGATCATAACTGCTGTCCTCTCTCCCTTCTCATTCAGTTAATTATCTTATATCTTGTATTAGTTACATAACAATTTGCCCCAAAACTTAAATACTAAAGAAAACAATAAGCATTTATCTCACAGTTTTTGTGGGTAAGGAATCTGGGGTGGGTGCCTGCCTTTTCCTCCAGGTCTTCTCTTATAAAGCTGCAGTCAAGGTGTCAAGGGGAGTTGGGAAGGGGACTGTGGTCTCATCTGAAGGTCCTCCTCTGACTGAAGGTAGATTGCTTCCCAAGCTCACTCATAGTTGCTGACAGAATTCAGTTCCTCAAGATGTTGGACTAAGAGCCTCAGTTTTTCAGTGGTTCAGTTTCCTTCTACATGGGTCTCTCCATAGGGCAACTCACAACATAACAGCTGGTTTCCATCAGAGCAAGTGAGAGACAACAGAGGACAAGCGTTAACTAGAATTTAAAGTCCCTGAACTCACTACCCTTGCTTTACCAGCTCCCCTCTGCCTTCTCCTGGATCCTTGGCTAGACTCCATGCACTGTCCATCATTTTAGCCCCTTTCCTACCAATATCTTCATCTGTAATTCCCATTGTCTTTCACTGGGCCCACCTGTCAAAACCTCAACTCTAGGCCCTCTATAGCTCTCTACTTTCTTCAAACCTACCACTTACCTGGAGAAAACACTCAATTCTGCAGGTTGGTGCCACAGTGAATTAATTAATGGGCCCTCACACGGTGCCTGGAATTTCTTCTCTTTATTCAGTCAGTTCAGCCTTGAACTCTATTGAGTTTGTTTTAACTGACTCCACTGTTTCCCACACTCTGAAAGTGATAAGGCCTCCTACTTGGGAGAAAAAATCATCAAGAACTCCTTCAATTTCCCACCACTGAATCTAAAATCTTATCTTCCTTCTCATTCCTCTCTTATCCCTTGTTACTGTCAACTAAAGAAAAAAAAATCAAGCTTTTAAAGAATTAAAGTTAGTTTTATCCAGAAGTCTTACTGAGGCCCAAGGACTACATATAGCCCAGGAGCGGTTGTCAGACTGCTCCTGCACAGTGTTTCAGCCCATTGCTTATATATAGGAGGTGGAGGTTCAGTACATGCAAAATCACATCAAAGCTTGGGTGTTAAGAGTACATCTGGTTATAGATCTCTAAAGTACATTTGGTTATACATGTTAGAAGCAGAACCACTAACTCTGTCAGATGTTATCTTATGTGCAGGGAAAGGCAAGGACTAAGGTCATTTATCTTTTATGGACTACATTGACTCAGGCAAGAGACACTGGGGGCCGTGTGCTTTATCCTGTTTTTTCTTCAGAGCATCTTTCAGGGTAGCGGTGTGTCATTGTCACAGTCAGGGGCTTTGTGAAATTCTGCTGAGAAGCAGAAATGAGGAAACATGGCTTCTTACATTTGCTACCTTGTCTCACATTACAAAGAAAATCTCCCTCCTACTCTTCAGGCTAAACTCTTCGTCTTAGTTCTTGATCTGCCCCCTCCACATTTCCAATCATTCCCTCTCCGGTTTTTACAGCTTCTCAGTTTATCCTAGGTTCTCCTCATTAGCATTAAAAAATTTTTTTTAATCTTAAAAAAGAGTAGAACAAGGAGTTCAATCTATAACTGGCAGCGAACAATCAGTTGATATAACACTACCTTCAGACCAGCCTCATTAGCACTTAAGTATTCTCAAATTTCTTGCTTTGTAAAATTCAATTAATTAAATAAATTTTTCCTTCATTCCACATCCATCTCCAGATATCTCTCCTCCCTTCACAGGCAAATCTTCTTGCTAAAATTCTCTTTGTTGCCTTCACATCGTCACACCATATTCAATCCTCAGCCCTCCGCATTCTGACTATTGCCCTTACCAATTTACCAAAACAGTTCTCTCCAAGGTCACTGATGACCTCCTTGTTACTACATTCAGTGGACACTTTTCAGACCTCCATTTGCTGAGATCTCCATAGCATTTGACACTGTTTGCCCTTTGAAATGCCTTTCTACTGAGATACTATACCTGTGTATCCCTCCCATCTCCTAGCTGCTCCTTCTCATCTCCATTGTGATGACTCCTTTGCCTGCCCCTTAGTATTGATGTTCCTCAGGGTTCTCCGGAAGGCATCTTCTTTTCTAATTCTAAACATTCTTAAGACATCGTATCTACTTCCATGACTGCATACCAATGACTCCCAAATATATACAACTCCTGTTAAAATCTCTTTTAAGCTCCAGACCCATCTGTCCAGCGATACTCTAAAGATCTGCTCATGGCTGGGCTGGGCGCAGTGACTCACACCTGTAATCCCAGCACTTTGGGAGGCCAAAGCAGGGGGATCAGGAGGTCAGGAGTTCGAGACCAGCCTGACCAACATGGAGAAACGCCGTCTCTACTAAAAATACAAAATTAGCCCCGGGTGTGGTGGCGCATGCCTGTAATCCCAGCTACTTGGCTGAGGCAGGAGAATCCCTTGAACCCAGGAGGCGGAGGTTGCAGTGAGCCGAGATCACACCATCGCACTCTAGCCTGGGCAAGAAGAGCGAAACTCCATCTCAGAAACAAACAAACAAAAAAATCTGCTCATGGCTATCACCTGAAGAATTCAAATTCAACATGTGTCACAAGGAACTAATTCTCTTTCCTCCCAAACCTGCTCTGCCTTAGTATGTTTCTCAGCCCATACAATGGTACCTAAAGCTACCCAGTTGCAAGCCTAAAGCCTTTGTGTTATCTGTGATTCCTCCCCCTTCCTTCTTTCCCATTCCTTAGTCAGTCTTGGAAATCTGTTGGATCTACAGCAGCACACTCAAACACACAGGCCCTGGAACCAGACTGCATGGTTCACATCCCAACACTGTATACCTTGACCAGGTTGTGTAGTATCTCTGTGCCTTAGGTTTCTTGTCTGTAGAATAAAAATGATAATAGGACCTACCTCATAGGATTGCTTTGGTTTGCAGGATCATATGAATCAGTAAATGTTAAAGACTTAGAACATTGCCTAGACCTATGCGTTAATTTTTTAATGCATGCTAGTAGAGAAGGGATTTGACACTAGCTCTTATGGCTCTAAAGCTCATGATCTTTCCCCTGTGCCTTTACAGGAAGGAAAGGGACTTTGAAATCCTTAAAGAAGACTTTTTTTGTGTGCAATGGAGAACAAACACAGAATGTAGTCTGAAGATGCACAAGATTCACTGAAACAAACAAAGCATCCTATTTCTTGAACTTCCTTGAAAATAAATTTAGGAAATATGTTCCTCTCAGTAATAATGGCCTGAATATATTGAGCACTAAACATATGCACTAAACAGACTCTGTGCTACATGCTTTTACCTACATTACATAATTTAACCCTTAAGACAATCCTATGAAGTAGATATAGTCAATCTCTTTCCACAAAGGAGGACATTAGTGCTTAGAAAAGGTGATGAACCAAATCTAGGTCAACAGCTAATAAGGATGGAGTCAAGATTTGAACCTAGAACTTTCTACCATAAATAGTCTTCTCTGAGCTATTTGACTAGCCTGCTTCCAAGATATCCAAGCATGTTCCTCTCATCCTGGGCCTGTACCTGTAGAATTCAGAAGCTGAGCAAAGAAAGAGTTTTCAACTCTCCAGTAAGTTTCCTTTGGGAAAACAGGAGAAAACTCAACACCGTGGAATAACTTTCTGCCTCCATTCTTCCCAGCCCACCTCCAGCTTCAACCCATTCCCCATACTGCCAACCTGATGTTCTTTCTAAAATGCAATTTTCAGCCGGGCACGGAGGCTCACACCTGTAATCCCAGTACTTTGGGAGGCCAAAGCAGGCAGATCACCTAAGGTCAGTTCAAGACCAGCCTAGCCAACATGGCAAAACCCCGTCTCTACTAAAAATTCAAAAATTAGTCAGGCATGGTGGCATGCGCCTGTAATCCCAGCTACTAGGGAGGCTGAGGCAGGAGAATCGCTTGTACCCGGGAGGCAGAGGTTGCAGTGAGCCAAGATTGTGCCACTGCACTCCAGCCTGGATGACAGAGCGAGACAATTTACAATCACATCAACTCCTTCCTTAAAATTGCAGTGCCTCCCCCACCCCACATAGCATAGCACCCTCACCACGTGGCCCTGACCTACTTTTCAGCTTCTCCTTTCACCCTCCTCCTTTTTTTTTTCTTTTAAGAACAACCCTATGAAGTAGATATAATCTCTTTCCACAAAGGAGGACTTTACTGCTTAGAAAAGGTGACCAGCCAACTCTAGGTCAACAACTAATAAGGATGGAGTCAAGATACACTGTATATTTTTTTAAAAGAAAAGCCTCACAAACCCAACTTGTCTAAACCAGTGCTATCTAAAAGAACTTTCTGCAATGACGAAAATGCCATATATGTGCTCTGTCCAACACAGTAGCCACCAGCTAATGAGCCCTTGAAATGTGGCTAGTGCAACTGAGGAAGTAGATTTTTAATGTTATTTGATTTTAATCAATGTAACACATATGGCTAGTGACTATTGCATAGCATCAGATTAGGTGATTAAATTTGAATATTGCTGTCATATCTGTTACCATAATCTTCTATGTAGGTTTAAAAAATATTTCTGTATGCTTTGTGTAGCCCAAACTTGGTTAAAATGAGTAATAGCATAACCCATCATTTAAAAAAAGTTTTAAGAAACAACAAAAAAGTTTAGTTTGTAACATTAAAAGTGGAATGCACACATACTGTTAAGAAAAAAGAAAAAAAATCCTATGCTTTAGGCTTAGACATTATTTCTCAAACCTCATAGTAGAAAAAAATTATTTGAACATAAGGATAATAATGCGCTCTTCCCAATTTGCCCTATCTATATAATAACTCAATGTAAAGGACTTACAAAAGTGTAATCCTCATTTATATAAGTCTATGATTGGGTAACAATTACAAAACTTTTAGTTAGTGGATCAACTTTGTACCCTGTCCTGTTGTCATTTAATGGCAAGGCCAAACTTCATTCTATTCTCCCAAATGTCATTAATCAATGCCTCTGGGTTCTCAGTAGTCTTAGATAATTGTATATTAATTCGCTCCTGCTGCAGCTGTTGGCTTTGGCCACTGTCACGTTCTATCACTCCCAACCTTGCTTGCTACACAAATTTCTAAGAAAAAAGGCATAAAAAAACTTTATGCAATTGTACCACTTTTATTATAAGGTAGCATGTTGTTCTGAGACTCTGTAAACTGAGATGATCAAGATATTATGAAGATTCCTTTCTCTCCCCAGAATCCTGAAGTCGGTCCTAAAGTCAGCAAACTCAGAGTTAAAGTTTCAGCAAGTAACAGCAAACTAGATTAACCATGGCATAAACATACAGAAGTCCCCCCTTATCTGAAAGGTATATGTTCCAAGACCCCCAGCAGATGCCTGAAACTGCAGATAGTACTGCAGTAATTGCAGATATATATTGTTTTTTTCTATGCATATATACATAACTATGTATGTTTAATTTATAAATTAGGCACAGTAAGAGATTAACAATAATAACTAATAAGAAAACAGAACAATTATACAATATACTATAATAAATGTTATATGAATGATTCTCTCTTACTCTCTGAAAATATCTCAATGTTTTTGAACCACAATTGACTGTGGGTAACTGAAACTGCAGAAAGCAAAACTGCGGATTACAGTGAGCACTACTATACATTTTTCTCTTACAGATCAAGAAGCTGGAGGTATTTGTTTAAAAGTTCAACCATCTCAGTGCAGGCATCTCAGCAATTTCCTTGGCTTTTCCTTTGTAGTTGCAAAATAGCTGCTTCAGCTCCAGACACTGGAACAAGAAGGAAAAGGAGGAGGAAGAGGAGAAGGAGGCAACAAAAAGAAGAGGGAAAAGACCAATGCCAGAAACGTCTGCTCATTTTTATCAGGAGAGCAAGTTTTCCCAGAAGTGCCCATCCTAAGGCCTAAGGCCTCTCCTTGCTGCAGGGGAGGCTGGGAAGGCATTTTGATTGACGAGAGAGGGAATCAGAAATGGGTATTAGGGTGGCCTGAACCTTGGGCCTCTTCTTTTCTTCTGGCCAATTCTGCCTTTCTAGAACTCTGGCCTATTCCCAAGCTCCATTCTCTCTCTCTCTTTATTTATTTTTTTTTTTGAGATGGAGTCTCGCTCTGTTTGTCGCCAGGCTGGAGTGCAGTGGCACGATCTTGGCTCGCTGCAACCTCCACCTCCCGGGTTCAAGCAATTCTCCTGCCTCAGCCTCCCGAGTAGCTGGGACTACAGGCACATGCCACCATGCCCAGCTAATTTTTGTATTTTTAGTAGAGACAGGGTTTCACCATGTTGGCTGGGATGGTCTCGATATCTTGACCTCATGATCTGCCCACCTCAGCCTCTCAAAGTGCTGGGATTAGAGGCGTGAGCCAACTGCATCTGGCCTCCATTCTCTCTTTCAAGACAGAATCCTGGCCCCTCATTCTCTCCAGAACCAAAAAGCCAAAAGCAGTAAGCGTGTGTTTCATGATTGCTGTCTCTGGTCCAGGGCTCCCAGTACTAAAGGCCTGCCTCGGGGAACGTGCAGGCCCGGGACCACCGGCTTCCTCCACTTCTCTGCTATCTTGTGCCTGCAGAAAGGCCTCCTGTCCACTGAAGGACATAACCCTGTGTACATTGCCCTCTCTTGCTTACTGTGGCTCCAGCAGCAATAGCCACACTAAAAATCTCACCCCAAATACACCTAGAGCTTTCTGTCCCTGGTTTTTTGCCTACACCCAATTCCCTCCACTTGGAATGCCGTTCTACGGCTCAGTTCAGACACAGCTTTTCCCATAAAGTTATCTGAGAGGCCTCCAATCAGAAGTGACTCTTCCTTCCCCTTTATCCCCAGACATTTTGGATAATGCCTTTCTGGTGGTGTGCACTGCACTCTCCTCGTGTCATAGTTGTTTGTGTAACAGTTGAACTGACCAGTAAACTTTTTGGCAATAAGCTCCTATGAATCTTGTTAACTTGTGTGTTCTCCATAGGCCTGGCACTGCCTTGTAAAGAATAAGCACTCAATAATTGTATTTTGAACTAAATTGAAGTATTCAGTCTGTTTGAATGTCTGAGATGACTTATTTACCTTCTCTTTGCATTCCTTATATCTGTTATATATCCTTTGTGATTTCTGGAAATTGAACCTAAGAGTGTCAGGTATAGTTAGGGTGAAAGTTAGGGATCTTAGTGGGGGTTACTATCATTGGATGGATCCCAACATAGTATAGTTCATGGAATCATAAATATTATTTAACTTCTGCCAACAATAGAATGTGTCTGCACCTCTTCCAGTGCCCACACATGCCTTAACTATAGCCTGCTCCTGTATATTAGATAAGGGAGGCCGGCTGTGGGAACAAAAGAACTAATTATTCAGTGACCTAGATAATACAAAGGTGTATTTCTTTCTCACACAACAGCCCAGGATGGTGACTTTCCTCACATAATCATCCAAAGACTGAGGCTGGTGGCAGCTCTCCCATCTACTAACAGGAGTTCTAATAGCAAAACAGTTCTCATTTAAAGTCAAGAGCAGGCCAGGTGCGGTGGCTCACACCTGTAATCCCAGCACTTTGGGAGGCTGAGGCAGGCAGATCACCTGAGGTCAGCAGTTCGAGACCAGCTTGACCAACATGGAGAAACCCCGTCTCTACTAAAAATACAAAATTAGCTGGGCGTGGTGGAGTATGCCTGTAATCCCAGCTACTCAGGAGGCTGAGGCAGGAGAATCGCTTGAACCCTGGAGGCGGAGGTTGCAGTGAGCCAAGATCGAGCCATTGCTCTCCAGCCTGGGCAACAAGAGCGAAATTCCATCTCAAAATAAATAAATAAATAAATAAATGAAATAAAGTCAAGAGCAAAGGAAGAGGTGTCATGTAATGATGCAGAAACATTTTGAGAAGATAGATGTTGAGATAGTCGCATTAGATGTTCTCAATCTTCTAAATAAAGTGGGAGGACTTGGGAATCAGAAGACAGGATGAATTTCTATAGAATCAGTGACCCCCAGACTGAAGATGAGGCCCTTTCCAGGGAAGGCAGGCCCTGGAATCACCAGGAGTGGATCCAGACCGAAGCCAGACCTCTGGACTGGGTGGGCATCGTCCCCACTAGGACAACTGCTGTCAGCTGTCAGAGCTTAGGGACCAGAGCAATGAAGATGAAGCAAAGAAAGAGGTTAGGATCTGGATGAATGGTAAGGGTCAGGAGTGCAGGGGAAGGCCAGAAGTGAGAGAATGGGCCCCAGGGCCTGTGAATAGAGACAGGATAACTGGAATGCTGAGGGTGGAGCTACCACCACCAAGACAGATTTGTCATTGCTGGGAGTCAGAGGATAGGGACAGGAGCTGAGGCAAGAGGCCAGGG
The DNA here is from genome assembly GCF_000001405.40 of Homo sapiens. Classification (NCBI taxonomy): domain Eukaryota; kingdom Metazoa; phylum Chordata; class Mammalia; order Primates; family Hominidae; genus Homo; species Homo sapiens. The sequence goes on along the minus strand of NC_000007.14, from coordinate 127,642,043 downwards.
TTCAGGTGGCAGCTGAAGGGGCACAGTCAACTCAGGGTGGATTTCAGGATGGTCCTTGCATTTTTTTCAGGTGCCTTTTTCTGGCTCTCCTCCATATTAATTCTCCCGAAGGATAACTATTTCAGATAGAATAATGATCTCTTTCAGCCACATTCCACACAAATACCACAGATACCAAAAAGTGGAAAATCATCTCTTTCCTCTTTACTCCAAGTCTTTGTTTCATGCATTTGAGAGTGGCATAAATTCCAATATAAAATGATTTTGTGAAACATCAAAGTATATTTGCTATTTATACCATACTCTGTTGTTCAGTGGAGAGCAGTTAATAGAGTTTGCTCTCTTAAGAGTGCTTCAGAGGATAAGATGTTGCTTTATGAGCAATTGAAACAGGCTAAACTACCAATGAGTTATGTAATGTTTACATTTTCTTTCTTTCTTTCTTTCTTTTTTTTTTTTTTTTTTTTTTTTTTTTAGAGACGGAGTCTCACTCTGTCGCCCAGGCTGGAGTGCAGTGACATGATCTCAGCTCACTACAACCTCTGCCTCCTGGGTTCAAGCAATTCTCCTGTCTCAGCCTGCTGAGTAGCTGGGACTACAGGCACTCGCTGCCATGCCTGGCTAATTTTTTTGTATTTTAGTAGAGACGGGGTTTCACCGTGTTGCCCAGGCTGGTCTTGAACTCCTGAGCTCAGGCAATCTGCCCGCCTCGGGCTCCCAAAGTGCTAGGATTACACGTGTGAGCTACCATGCCCGGCCTTTTACTTTTTTTTCTTTCTCTTTTTTTTTTTTTTTGAGATGGAGTCTTGCTCTGTTGCCCAGGCTGGAGTGCAGTGGCACGATCTCGGCTCACTGCAACCTCCACCTCCCCAGTTCAAGAGATTCTCCTGCCTCAACCTCCCAAGCAGCTGGGACTACAGGTGCCCACCACCACGCTTGGCTAATTTTTGTATTTTTAGTAGAGATAGGGTTTCACCACATTGGCCAGGCTGGTCTCGAACTGCTGACCTTGTGATCCTCCTACCTCGGCCTCCCAAAGTTCTGGGATTACAGGCATGAGCCCCCACGCCCAGCCTACTTTTTTTTTTTTTTAGCTCTCAATACAGAGCCTTTGAGCTGTTTCCCTCTGCCTGGAGCTCTGTCCCTAGAACAGGGAACAAAAATGGACAAAATCTCTGCATTCTGGGAGCTCACATTCTAATATCAGAAACTCAGGATGAGATCATTATAATGGTTAAACTTTAAATTTGAATTAGAAGTACTTGTAACCAAGGCAAAAACAAAGAAGACACATTAAGGTTATATAATTCTCACTGTCTGATCCAAGTAAACATATTATTTAATGGGAAGAGACAAACATTTCCCTTGACACTGATTTCTAGAAGACTTTCATTACATGACTCTTTATTTAAAGAACAATGAGTAATACAATGGGCAATGTTTTTTGGTTTTTTCTCAAATTTTAATTTTTATGGGTACATAATAGGTAAATGTATTTATGGGGTATGTGTGATACTTTGATAGAGGCGTACAAGTGTAGTAATCACATCAGGGTAAATGGGGTATCCATCACTTCAAACACTGATCATTTCTTTGTGTTGCAAACATTCCAATTATAATTAGTTGTTTTTAAATGTACAATAAATTCTTGTTTACTGTACTCACCCTGTTGTGCTATCAAATACTAGCTCCTATTCATTCTATCTAACTATGTTTTTGTACCCTTAACCATCCCCACCTCTTCCAATCCCCCATGCCACTACCCTTCCCAGCCTCTGGTAACTATCATTCTGTCTCTGGGAGTTCAATTTTTAGCTCCCGCAATTAAGTGAGAACATGTGAAGTTTGTCTTTCTGTGCCTGGCTATTTTACTTACCATAATGTCCTCCAGCTCCATCCATGTTGTTGCAAATGACAGGATCTCATTCTTTTTTATGGCTGAACAGTACTCCACTGTGTATATGTACCACAGTTTCTTTATCCATTCATCTATCAATGGACACTTAGGTTGCTTCCAAATCTTGGCTATTGTGAATAGTGCTGCAGTAAACATGAGAGTGCATCTATCTCTTTCATAGACTGATTTCCTTTATTTTGGGTATATATCTAGCAGCAAGATTGCTGGATCATATGGTAGCTCTATTTTAATTTTTGTTGTTGTGGTTACTGATACAGGGTCTTGCTCTATCACCCAAGCTGGAGTGCAGTGGAACAACCATGGCTCACTGCAGCCTAGAACCCTTGGGCTCAAGTGATCCTCCTGCCTTAGCCGCCCCAGTAGCTGGGACTACAGGTATGCACCACCACAATCAACTAATTTTTTAACTTAATTTTTATTTTGTAGAGATGAGGTCTCACTGTGTTGCCCAAGCTAGTCTCAAACTCCTTGACTCAGAAATGAACCTCCTTTCTCAGCCTCCCAAAGTGCTGGGATTGCAGGCGTGGGCCACCATACTCAGCCTATTTTTAATTTTTCGAGGAATCTCCATACTGTCCTCCACGGTGGTTGTACTAATTTATATTCCCATCAACAGCGTGTACAGGTTCCATTTTCTTCACATCTTTGCCAGCATTTGTTATTGCCTGTCTTTCAGATAAAAGCCATTTTAACGGGGATGAGATGATAGCTCCAATGGGCAATGTTTTTTAACAGAGGTTTGTAAGAGGTGCAGAAATGTGAAATGTGGCTATTTCTTACAAAAGTTCACATAAAACCTACAGGAATTTGCTGAATTGTGATTCAGTGAAAGATTCTGTGGTAAGAAACAGCAATCACTATAAAAGCAAAAACTCTGCTTAAAAATAAAAGGGTCAAGGCCAGGTACAGTGGCTCAAGCCTGTAATCCCAGAACTTTGGGAGGCCAAGGTGGGCAGATCACCTGAGTTCAGGAGTTCAAGACCAGCCTGGCCAACATAGCGAAATCCCCTCTCTACTGAAAATACAAAAACTAGCTGGGCATGGTGGCACATGCCTGTAATCCCAGCTATTCGGGAGACTGAGGCAGGAGAATTGCTTAAACCCGGGAGGCAGAGGTTGCAGTGAGCCATGCCACTGCACTCCAGCCTGGGCAACAGAGTGAGACTCTATCTCAAAAATAAATAAATAAAAGGGCCAAAATATCTAATTCTCTCTTACTAGGTACTGACAGTCAAACAAAACATGTAATAAAGGGAAAACAAGATCTTCTAAAATATTCTAAGAGGGTCAAATGGAGAGGGTAATATTTAGGCATTCACCAGCACACACCATCTTAGTGAGAGGGAAGTTGTACAGAGAGACCCTAAAGTTGGGTTTCCTACGCTTGACATGACTCTGAGCCTTCACATAAACCTTCCTGATGTCATTGCGAATTGGTTCAGAGTAGCTGGAGAAGAAACTGGAATATGCATAAGAGCCTTCAAAAATCGTTCAAGACTTTTGACCTGGCAATTCCACTTCGGGAACTCTAAGGCAAAAAACAAAATTACCAGGGAAGAACAGAGGAGTTCAAAGCAAGTGTTATGACATAGGGGTTGAGAGTAAGGACAATGGAATGTGTTTGTCAGGGTAAGAATTGTTTGTGACAGTTCTTTGTGAAACTTGCAGGTTACTTCATCTCTCCAAATCTCAGTTTCCTCATCTGTAAAATGGGAATAAAAATAGTGCCTGTCTCACAGGGTTGGTCTCCAATATGGATGAAATAATGAATGAAAAGTTCTACTTAGAGTGCCTGGGATCTAGGGAGTTCTTAATAAGGTTAGTGACATGATGATGATCTTGAGAATTTGAAACCACTCAAAGCCCCAAAGACATGAAAATAGCTAAGAAAACTTATGGTATATAAACACAATGAAATACTAGGTGACTATTTAAATGACATGTATGTAAGCTACATTTATGTAAATCAAGTGCAATATAAAAAGCCAGGACACAAAACAGTTTTGCATACCCATTACAACATAGTGATAGGACATGTGTACATTAGAAATAACCTAACAGAATTTTTAGAGACAGAAGCAGAGTTTAACATACTGTTGGTTTGCTGGGTAATGTTTCTAGTGTTCACAGTGAATTGCTTTTCTTTCTTTCTTTCTTTCTTTCTTTTTTATTAAGAGGGAGTTTCGCTGTTGTTGCCCAGGCTGGAGTGCAGTGGTGTGATCTCGGCTCACCGCAACCTCCGTCTCCCAGGTTCAAGCAATTCTGCCTCAGCCTCTTGAGTAGCTGGGATTACAGGCATGTGCCACCACGCCCAGCTAATTTTGTATTTTTATATATGAGAATTCTAAGTCTGCATCCTCGCCAACATTTGATATTGTCAGTCTTTTTAAATTTTAGTCATTCTGGTGGATGCGTACAGTATCTCACTGTGGTCTTAATTTGCATTTCCCTGATTTCTTTTTTTTTACTTTTTTTATTTTTTTCTGAGGCAGGGTCTTGCTCTGTCACCCACACTGGAGTGCAATGGCATGATCTTGGCTCACTGCAACCTCCCCTTCCTGGGTTCAAGCGATTCTCGCGCCTCAGCGTCCTGAGTAGCTGGGATTATAGGCGTGTGCCATCATACCCGGCTACTTTTTGTATTTTTACTAGAGACAGGGTTTCACCATATTGGCCAGGCTGCTCTTTATAACTCCTGACTTCAAGTGATCCGCCCGCCTCGGCCTCCCAAAATTAATCTCGGCTGGGATTACCGGCATGAGCCTCTGCACCTGGCCTGCATTTCCCTGATTTCTAATCAGGGTTGAGCATTTTAGAATACATGTATCTGGCATATGGTCATAAAGATATTTTCTTATATCTTCTAGGAGCTTTATTATTTTGCCTTTCACATTAATAGCAATAATTCCAAGAGATACTGTAACATCATTTTGTTTGTCTTCCCTAAAGTCATCTTCTGGGACTGTAGCCATTTATGTCCTATTCTAATCCAAAATGAGGCAGGAGAGAAAGAAAGCATCTGACCCTCAAATATTCTCCTCCTCCTAGAGCTTAGAAGTTCTTAATTACAAATCAAATGATAAAATCAAAATCCTAAGGACCTAGAAGATTCAAACTCTGTATTCTTCAAGCAGCCTAATTCGACTAAGTCATTTGGGACCCAACTTCTACAGAAGAGGTCTGAAATACTTCTGTTGTCTACTCACTACAATCTCCCCAGCCCAGACCTCTCCTCCAGACCAAGCTCCACTTGAAGCTGTGGCTCTCCACCTCTTTCTCCGTGATGGTCAAACAAATATAAACCTTCCTCACCCATCTGGCCCTTGTAGCCAGGACAAGGTGATTAAGAGGAATGCCTCTTCTGAACTCTGGATCCCTAGATTCAGGAGCAAACACAAGGATGTTCATTCATTTTAACTATAACTTTAAACATTTCCATCTTGGTATTTGAGTTCCCCTGGAAGGATTAGAATGGTTTCTCTTCCTGGGGGTTGCTACTCATGGAATTTCAAGGAAGTTAGATTTCTAGCTTGCTGTTTCCTAAGATGTGAGACCAATTTCATCTTCCTAGCCAGGACAGACAAATGGGAAAATCTGTTTAATTACCCTAATGTTTATAGGTACACAGACTCCACTAGTCATTCACTTCCCTTCTTCTTTCTCTTTTCCTCCTATTCATCTGATTTCTTGCGTATGCCTTCTCCATGTTGTTAAATGGCTTTGTCTCTTCCCCCAAACTAAAAATAAACAAATTATAACTAAACAGTACCCCACAAAAATATATTCCACCTTAATACATAATTTTCCTTAAAGATTTTCAGCCTGCATCTCATATCAATGTAAAAACTTTCTGGGACCAGGAAAAGCAAGAGAGAGAAAAGTAGTCAGAACATAGTGGGAGCATAATCAATGCTCACAAAAAAGATTGTAATTGGTTAGAAAGTAGGTGGCACTGTTGAACTTTTCCCCAAAAGGTGGCCCTGAACTGCTTGGGTGCTCACAGAGGCCCTCACGTCCCTCCCACCCCGAGCCTCCAAAGAGAGGGAGGGCATTTCTCAGGGTCAATTCCCCAGAGGGGAAGGAGGGAGTGCTGATTGTATAATGCTAGAGAAAAGCCCCAAAACTCAGTTTTAATCACTCATTTGGGGAATAGTGTCACTGCTACACTGCAGGCCTTGGTCCAACCAGCCCTGTCTACTGGCCAAAACAATCCAAAGTGCACCCTGGAAGGACAGCAAATTGCTTCTCTTCAGTGACAGCATGATTGATGGTTATACTGTTCTAGCCTCCAGATAGAATTCACCTAGGTGAGAAGAATGAATAGGCGTGAATCCCATGTGACCATAAAACAGCAGCCTAGAAAAGCAGCAAAAGACTTTTTGCTATTTGAGTTTTTTGCTTAGCCTTGTTTTGCTGTGCACTATTTCAGTGTACCTGTATAAACCCTATGCTTGTGATTTTTGATAGCTAAGAATTCTCTTGTTGCCTTCTATTGGTGCTTCAGTAAATTATAAAAACTACCATTTATTCAATCTCTACAATGGGACAGGCACATTACTAGATATTTTATATATATAATCATATTATCTCATGAAATTACTGTAACTATCTCATAGAAGACATGTTTCCATTATGAAGACAATAATACTGAGGCTCAGGAGGTCAAGATTCCAACCCACTTTATTTGACTCCTAAATTCAAGCTCATAGTCCTTCTACCAGTTAAACTATACATGAGTCATTGTTTTTGGAAGTCTCTTAGAGACCATCCACTGCACCCCCCTCAACACACACACACACACACACACACACACACACACACACACACACACACAGTAGCCTGGGGCATTGCCAAAGACCTCTTCGTTTCATAATATTCACCACATATGCCCATTTTTTCTTATCCCACAAGGCCTCTTGCCCACCCATCTTTGTTTTCTCCATCAGGCTGGATGAGTCATTGCTTCAAGTCACTGTGGCAATTCTCTATGTTCCTCCTACGGAAACTTTTATTCAGCACCTTGGGTAAATTTTTTCCCTTTTATCCAACTTGTTTGTCCTTTATCTTCCAAGAAAATTTCTGTTCCTACAATTTAGAGATTAGAGGGAGTCCAGTCTACTCTAACCTTCTTCTTGGGTTAAGATAGAGATGACAATATCTGAGAAATTTCAGAAGCCCTATGAATGCTTTTTAAGAAGGGGATTTGCTTTCATAGTCCTTGATTGTCTCAACCCTATACTCATTATCAGAGCCTTTGCCCCCTTTTAGAGGTCTCTTCCCTCTAGGTCAAATGCTAGAGGCCAAATGCTGCCCTCGGGCTGCCCAGCAGAAGCCTTGCTGGCATGCATACCCAGTGCTCTGGCCTCTTCCTCTACCCCATACATCCTGGTCCTATGGTCAGGTATCTTCAGGAGGCAGGAAGTAACTTGAAGACTGTGTTGGTCAGATAGACTCTGAACAGCTCCTGGTCTTCTCCTCACCTTGAGGCCTAGAACTTTCAGGGAAAGAGGATGAATCTAAACTGAAATCTAAAAGCACCACCAAGAATATGATGACTGTAGAAAGTGGTGTTGACCCCATGTCTGCCCCATGGAGCAGCCCCCAAATAAGTGCTTGTGGTGAGGGTGAAAGGATAAATGGCATGTTGGTGAGAACCAGGAGAATTATTGCCTTGCTGGGCACTCACTCTACAGTCCTTGCCTAGGAAACAGGGTAGGACCTCATCTTTGGGACCAGGAAGGAAAGAACAGAACAGAAGATGCTTGGTTCTTGGGGATGTGGTTTAGAAGGGGCCTGGCAATCTCTCTCCGGGCCTCAGTGCTAAGGGATTACTGTAAGAGAGGTGCTAATTAAAACAATGGAATCATTTCTGTTATGGGTTAAATTGTGTCTTCCCAAAATTCACATGTTGAAGTCCTCACCTCACAGTACTTCATAATGTAACTGTATTTGGAGATAGGGTCATTGCAGGTGTAATTAGTTAAGATGAGGGCATACTGGCATAGGATGAGACCTAATCCAACATGACTGGTGATATGGTTTGGCTGTGTCCCCACCCAAATCTCATTTTGAATTGTAGCTCCCATAATTCCCACGTGCTTGTGAGAGGGACCCAGTGGGAGACAACTGAATGATGGGGGCGGTTTTTCCCACACTGTTCCTGTGGTAGGGAATAAGTACCATGAAATCTGATGGTTTTATAAGGGGAAACCCCTTTCACTTGGCTCTCATTCTCTCTTGTCTGCAGCCATGTAAGACGTGCCTTTTGTCTTCTGCCATGATTGTGAAGCTTCCCCAGCCATGTGGAACTGTGAGTCCATTAAGCCTCTTTTTCTTCATAAATTACCCAGTCTCAGGTATGTCTTTATCAGCAGCATGAAAACAGAGTAATACAATTGGTGTCCTTAGGAAAAGAATGCAGAGACACAGTGAAGAGATACACACACACACACACACACACACACACACACACGCGATGATTTCAGTTATGCTGACGCAAGCCAAGGAACTACCAGAAGCTAGTAGAAAGGCCTGGAGCAGATCCTTCCCTGGTGCCTTCAGAGGAAGCATGGCCCTGCCAACATCTGGATCTCAGGCTTTTAGCCCCCAGAACTGTGAGGCAATATAAATTTATGTAGTCTAAGTCACTCAGTTTGTAGTACTTTGTTAGGCAGCTGTATAGCAAAAGAACACAATTCCCTTTGATGAAAAGAAAAGGATGAACTAGGGTTAGTTTATTCATGGAAAGCTAAGGTTTCACAGCAAAAAGAAGCAGCGGAGTTTGGCCTAACTCTCAGTTTCTCTGGGCAATGTCCTTCCCTCCACACACTTGACAATGGTGTCTTCCCACTCTCTCTGGATAGGCAGGACAGAAGAAGCCAGAAGTCCAGAAAAGGGAGTTTCCTGTGCTTTCTTTTTCTCCCTTCCCCTCCCACATGCTCCTTCTTCCTACTTCAAACTTTCTCCCTTTGTCTCCTACTCCATGAATTTTTAAGATTACAGCTGTAATGTCTTCTAAAAAATGAGACTGGATTGGGAGAGAAAGAACTAGGAGGCAGGACTCACTCTGGGACCTTAATTCCTCTATTTTGCCGCTAACTATTGCCTCGCTAACCAGATCAGAGCTCAGGGAGTCTCACTCTTCAGTTCAGAGAAATCCAAGCATCTGAGTTGCTGGGTCCCCTAGTTACCCCCACTTTCTTTCTGTGTCCAGACCAAAAATCACAGAGTGCCTTGACTACTCTGTGATCCAGCGAGCTACAGGTTTTCCCCAGCAGGCTTGAACCCAGCCTGGGGCCTTGAACATTCCCAGGTACTAATAAAGGTATCTAGGTTGTTGCCCAAAACACTGAAAGAAACCGGCCCCAGCCCTGAGCCAAATTCCTCATATAGACTCCATACCCTGACACCCTCGCTGTGGACATACCTAGGTAGACCTTCCCTTTTCTCTCACTGTCCACCGCAAGCATTGCTGCAGGCCACTCTGTATATAAGTTCCCCCTAATAGCTGCGTTGGACTCATCATCCTGGCATTTAGTGCTTCTTTCTTTGGAATCCCAACCAGCCCCATCTCAGGATGGCTTGGGCTCTCCCTTGTGGGAATTCTCCTCTGTGATGCTTGGGGCAACTCCAGCCCAGTTTTGGCCAGAAGAAACATGGGGAGAGAGGCAAGCTGCCATTTCTTGTTTGAGTTGTTTGGTATTTCTGTGGGTTGATAAATTTCTCTTGCCATGTCTTCTCTCTCATGTGGGGCTCTGCCAGAACTCAAGATATGTAAACTCTGGCTGGATGTGATGACTCGTGCCTGTAATCCCAGCACTTCAGGAGGCTGAGGTGGGAGAATCGCTTGAGTTCAGAAGTTTGAGACCAACCTGTGCAACATAGTGAGACCTCATCTTTACTAAAAATCAAAATATTAGCCTGGTGTGGTGATGCATGCCTGTAGTCCCAGCTAAGTAGGGTAAAGCAGGAGGATCGCTTGAGTCCAGAAGATTAAGGCTGCAGTCAGCCAAGATCATGCCATTGCACTCCAGCCTGTGTAACAAAGCAAGACCCTGCCTCAAAGTTAAAAAAAAAAAAAAAGACCGGGCGCAGTGGCTCACACCTGTAATCCCAGCACTTTGGGAGGCCGAAGCAGGCAGATCAAGAGGTCAGGAGATCGAGACCATCCTGGCTAACACAGTGAAAATCCCATCACTACTAAAAATATAAAAATTAGCCGGGCATAGCCGGGCATGGTGGTGGGCGCCTGTAATCCCAGCTACTCAAGAGGCTGAGGCGGGAGAATGGCGTGAACCCAGGAGGCGGAGCTTGCAGTGAGCCGAGACTGCATCACTGCACTCCAGTCTGGGCAACAGAGCGAGACTCTGTCTCAAAAAAAAAAAAAAAAAAAAGATACGTAAACTCTAAGGGAGTCTGTTCTTCATAGACTGACAACTTTGCACACTTGTTTTATCTTTACCGTTCATCTTCATAGACTGACATCTTCATTATTGCCCAAGGCTCTACCAATAGCTCCAAAAGTATCTTCCATTTTGTTTTTGTTTTTGTTTTTTTGAGATGGAGTCTTGCTCTTTCGCCAGGCTGGAGTGCAGTGGCGTGATTTCGGCTCACCGCAACCTCCACCTCCTAGGTTCAAGCGATTCTTCTGCCTCAGCCTCCCAAGTAGCTGGGACTACAGGCATGTGCCATCATGCCCTGCTAAGTTTTGTATTTTTAGTAGAGACGGGGTTTCACCATGTTGGCCAGGATGGTCTTGATCTCTTGACCTCGTGATCTGCCCACCTCGGCCTCCCAAAGTGTTGGGATTACAGGCATGAGCCACTGTGCCTGGCCAAGCTTTCATTTTTAACTGAGGCAAGGGCGATAAGGAGGAGGGAAGAGAAAGCATGCATAAGAAATCTATTCTCACGGACATCACGTGAAGTGAAATAAGCCTCACACAAAAGGACAAATATTGTATGGTTCATGCATATGTGGTACCTAGAATAGGCAAATTCACATAGACAGAGAGTAGAATAGAGTTTACAAAGGGCTGAGTGGAGGAAGGGTTGGGGAGTTACTATTCAATGGGTACAGAGTGTCTGCTTGGAATGATGAAAAACTTCTAGAGATGGATGGTGGTGATGGTTGTACAACATTGTGAATGCACTTAAAGCAATGAATTGTACATGTAAAAAATGGTTAAAGAGGCAAGTTTTATGTTATGTATATTTTACCACAATTAAAAAGAAGAGAGGGGCCGGGCATGGTGGCTCACGCCTGTAGTCCCAGCACTTTGGGAGGCCGAGGTGGGCGGATCAAGAGGTCAGGAGTTCAAGACCAGCCTGGCCAACATGGTGAAACCCTATCACTACTAAAAATATAAAAATTAGCCGGGCATAGCCGGGCATGGTGGTGGGCGCCTGTAATCCCAGCTACTCGGGAGGCTGAGGCAGGAGAGTCGCTTGAGCCCAGGAGGCGGAGGTTGCAGTGAGCCGAGATCGCACCATTGCACTCCAGCCTGGGTGACAGAGCAAGACTCTGCCTCAAAAAAAAAAAAAAAAAAGACAAGAAAATTCCAGAAATAAAATTATTGTTATTATTATTGTTATTATTTTGACACAGGGTCTCATTCTGTCACCCAGGCTGGAGCGCAGTGATGCCATCCCAGCTCACTGCAGCTTTGACCTCCCGGGCTCTGGTGATTCTCCTACCTCAGCCTCCCAAGTAGCTTGTACTACAGGTGTGTAGTACCAACACTCTCAGCCTATTTTTTGTTTTTAGTTTTTTGTTGTTGTTGTTGTTTCTTTTTTTTCTTGGCTTTTTGTGTGTGTGTGTGTGTACAGATGGGTCTGCCTAGGTTGCTAAGGCTGGTCTCAAACTCCTGGGCTCAAGTGAAAATTAGCATTCTTTGCTACTGATCCAATATAATTGTTATTCCGAGTTACTAAGATTAGCAACTTTGGGCCGGGCACGGTGGCTCATGCCTGTAATCCCAGCACTTTGGGAGGCTGAGGCGGGTGAATCACTTGAGGTCAGGAGTTCAAGACCAGCCTGGCCAACATGGTGAAACCCCGTCTCTACTAAAAATACAAAACAATTAGCCAGGTGTGGTGGTGCATGCCTATAGTCCCACCTACTCAGGAGGCTGAGGCAGGAGAATTGCTTGAACCTGGGAGGCGGAGGTTGCAGTGAGCTGAGATTTCACCAGTGCACTCCAGGGGACAGAGAGAGTTCCATCTCAAAAAAAAAAAAAAAAAAAAAAAAAAGATTAGCACCTTTGGACAATCATGTTAGATAATTTGATTGATCTTTTCATCAGTTGTTTTAAAATAAATTCCTCATTTTTTCAAGAGAAGAAGCATTCCATTCTCAGACCCAGCTTCCTCCAACACCCAGAGAATCTAACCATGTTGGGTTCCAGAGCCTATCTTTTCAGTTCCATCCGTAAAGAAAGTCAGGCACACAGTGCAGGGTGGGGGTGTCCGGAGATCCAGTGCCGGAGGGGAACTGGGATTTCAGAGCACTCGCTGCAGCCATCCCTTTCCCAAGTCTGCACATCCTCTTGCCCTTCTAGTGCTGTTTCCCCTTCCTGTCACACTGCTGAGGCTCTCCGGGAGAAGTGGCAATGAAGGGAGCCTGGGTTGCTGACAATTACTCTCAGGCTGTGTCCCTGCAAATGCAGAGCACTGGGTAGGCTGCAGGGGGAGCCCTGGTGCTGACCTGGTGGGTATCTGCCAGGACCCCAGGTGACTTATCCAGGTAAGGTCAAGCAGCTCTACAGAGCTTTCTTTCCAAGCACTGGTTGAGACAATTATAATTATGTATTCAATTATAAAAATAGAATGCTGAAGAGAAACCAGCATAGGAGGTAAAGAAAGGGTTGCCATGAAAGGTCTAAATGCTGGAGAGTGCGGAGACAATAAAATCAGAGAGTAAAAAGTTTCCTGTAAACATTAGTGTTGGGCTGTCTTCCAGAAAAAAAAGAGAAATGTGGAGCAGGCCAGGGAGGGCTAACATCATTTATTTCAGGTAGTGGAGACTTCAGAGAGTAAGAGCTGTTTTGATCCAGAACCAAGAAGTGGACCTGAGGATCAGTGAAGAGGAATTGGATGAGCGAGGATTAGCAGTGGAGGAGATGCCAGCTAGACTGATAATGAAACCTGGGACAATGGTTCCTTTCAAGTGTGGTTATTGCATTCAATGATGCCAAGCTGAAAATAGTGATAAGACTTAATTTATAATCACCTATCTTTACATAGCTTGTTCTCTGGTTAGTGTAATGCTTTTGTTGGGCTGAGCAGGTGTTGCTTTGGGGGCCTTTGTGGGCACAGCAAAGCTGAAGAGCTCTGGATTCCTGGCAGAGAGGTAGGATCCTTATCCTTAGGGAGTAAATTTTCTTTCCCGTTTCCTCTGGGTCTTGCTAAGCAGTGGAAAGTTACCCAAGCTGGAATGCAGAGTTTTCCTATGTGGGGCTTGACACAGCCTGATTTTCAGTGATGGCTAGAGAAAATACAGCGCCCCCTGCCACTCTAACCTAGGCCAGGCCAAGACTCCACAACCTTCAGAAAGTGCACAGGCAAAGACCTGGACTATTAGTGGCTTACGCTCCCTATCCCCCTCCCTTTAAAAAATGCAAAAGTTTGGGTATTTTTCTTTTCTTTTTATTTTTTTAGAGACAGGATCTCACTCTGTCATCCAGGCTAGAGTTCAGTGGTGCAAGCATTGCTCACTGTAGCCTCGACTTCCCAGGCCCAAGGAATCCTACCTCCTCAGCCTCCACTATGTTGTTGCCCAGGCTGGTCTTGTACTCCTGGGCTCAAGTGATCCTCTGGCTTCAGCCTCCTAAAGTGCTGGGATTGCAGGCATGAGCCACTGCACCCAGCCATTTTTAAGAAAGCTTTACTGCAAGTAGACTGGCAAGGAGACAGGAGGCTAATGCTTAAATCTGTCTTCCTGATCTGGGGATGGGTCAAGCTTTTATGGCATTTCTAATTAGTCCAGGGTGATGCCAATGCAGCCGGTCTGCCAGGCTGCTGGTATTACAATTATCAGGGGTTTTTTGTTGTGTTTCTTTTTCCTTCTTTTCTTTTCTTCCTTTCTTTCTTTCTTTCTTTCTTTCTTTCTTTCTTTCTTTCTTTCTTTCTTTCTTTCTTTCTCTCTCTCTCTCTCTCTCTTTCTTTCTTTCTTCTTTCTTTTTCTTCCTTTCCTTTCCTTTCCTTTCCTTTCCTTTCCTTTCTCTCTTTCTCTTTCTCTCTCTCTCTCTTTTGAGATGGGGATCTCTACCAAAAAACTATGTTGTCCAGGCTGGTCTCAAACTCCTGCCCTCAAACAATCCTTCTGCCACAGCCTCTTCAAATGCTGGGATTATGGGAATGAGCCACCACGCCTGGCAAAGTTTTGGTAGTTTTCAAAAGCAGCAGAAAGATAGCCACCCAACTATCTCCTAGGCAAGATAAATCTAGGCCAGAGAAGGAGTTTCATATAATAGGCTAGTGATCCCAAAGATAAAAAAGGCCAACTGAAGAAGCAGAGAGACAGAAATAATGGGAGCACAGAGTTACAGCAGGGAGGATGGCCTGGGAATCTCCTAGACTATAACTACTGAACTCAGTCAATAGATAATAATATTAACTGTTAGTGCACAATAGTAGTGTTAATAGTAATAATATAAAACACTTATATAGAATGTTCTACATTTGTTAATTTATATAATAGTCACAACAATCCTATGATGTAGCTACTATTGATATTTTTATTTTATACATGCAGAAAAATGAAGCACAGAAGGTTTTAAAATGTAAGCTTAAAAAAGGATGCAGGCTCCAAGAGGGCAGAGAATTCTGCCCTTTTTATTCACTGCAGTTATCCCAGTGCCTGGCACATGTTCAATAATTATTTGTTGAATTAACAGTTAACTGATCCAAGATCATGCAGATGGCATGACAGGCCTGGGATAGGAACTGAGGTTTGATGCCTCTACAATTCCCACTGTTAATTACTGAGCCATACTGTCCTAGATGCTGTTATAGGAGATGAACTTCATGTGTCTCTCAGCCTGAGTTACGTCTGCTTGATAAATCCTCACCCTCAAAGCTGGCTAGCTGAGGAAACACTTCCTAACTTGTTTTATGAGGCCAATGTCACCCTTATACCAAGAGATAAAGACATTGCAAGAAAGGAAAACATAGACCAACATTGCTCATGAACCTAGATGCAAAAATTCTCAACAAAATATTAGCGTATCAAATCCAACACTGTATAAAAAGAATTATACACCATGACCAAGTGGGATTTATTTCAGGTTTGCAAAGCTAGTTCCACATTAAAAACCATTCAGTGTAATTCACCACATCAACAAGCTAAAGAAGAAAAAAATCATGTAATCATATCAGCTGACTTAAAAAAAGCATTTAACAAAATCCAATACCCACTCACGATAAAAATGCTCAGCAAACCAGGAATGGAGGAGAACTTCCTCAATTTGATAAAGAAATCTACAAAAATTGCACAGCTTAGGTTCATCAGTTATAACAAATGTACCACTCTACCCTGGTTGGGGATATCGATAACAGGGGGAGCTATGCATGTGTGGGACAAAGGTATATGGGAAATCTCTGCACCTTGTGTTTAATTTTGTTGTGAACCTAAAACTGCTCTAAAAAGTAAAGTCTATTAAAAAATACATATTGCCTTGGACAGGAAGACTTGATATTGTGAAGACAACATTTCTCTCTAAATTAATATTATACATCCAATTTTTTTTTTTTTTTTTTTTTTTTTTTTTTGAGACAGAGTCTCATCCTGTTGCCCAGGCTGGAGTGCAGTGGCATGATGATGGCTCACTGCAGCCTCAACCTCTGGGGCTCAAGTGATCTTCCCACCTCAGCCTCCTGAGTAGCTGGGACTACAGGCAGGCTCCACCACGCCCGGCTATTTTTTTTTCTTTTTTTGTAGAGATGGGGTTTGCCATGTTGCCCAGGCTGGTCTTTAACTCCTGGGCTCAAGTGATCCACCTACCTTGGCCTCCCAAATTGCTAGGATTACAGGTGTGAGTCACTGCACCTGGCTCAAAATTTTTAATTTGACAAAATGATACTATTGCTCAACTGAAAAATAAACTTGAGCGGACGAATAAGAAAAGTTCTGAATAAAGAGTAATGAAAAGGGTACTAGCTCTTCCAGCTATTATATTAAAGTGCATTATAAGCAGGGTGTAGTGGCTTAGGCCTGTAATCTCAACACTTTGGGAGGTTGATGCAGGAAGATCACTTGAGGCCAGCAGTTCGAGGCAAGCCTGATCAATATAGTGAGACCCCCATCTCTACAAAAAATAAAAAAGAAATAAAAAAAAATAAAAAACCAAAAAAGATGAATAATTGAAAAATAAAAAACAGAAATAGGCAAAATAAAAATAAAGTAAATAAGAGAAAGAATAAAGAATAAAATGCATTATAGCACAATTATAAGTTTGAAATAAGCAATGAGCAGAATAAAATTTCCAGAAGATAAAAAAAAAACTAAACTAAAGCTAGCATCATACTTGATGGTGAGTAACTGGACATTTACCCAAGATTGAGAACAAGGAAAAGATGTTCTCTCTCACCACTCCTATTCAACATCATACTGGAAGTCCCAGCTGGTGCAATAAGACAAGAAAGGGAAATGAAAGATACATAGATTGGGAAGGAAGAAATACAACTGTCTTTGTTGACAGAAGACATGATTGTTTATATGTAAAATTCCAAAGAACCAACCAACCAAACAAAAACCTCCAGGAATTAATTAATAGTACTTCTCAGGATACAAGGATAATTCATAAAAGCCAGTTGCTTTCCTTTATACCAGCAATAAACAAGTGGAATTAGAATTTTTTAAATGATAGCATTTACCAAAATGAAGCACCAAAAAAGTAAAATACTTAGATATAAATCTAACAAAATATATACAGGATCTTTATGGGGAAAACTATAAAACTCTGATGAAATAAAAGAAGATCTAAATAAATGAAGAGATAGTTCATGTTCATGGATTGGAAAACTCAATATTATTAAAATGTCAATTCCTCCCAACTTGATCTATAGACTCAATGAAATCTCTATCAAAATCCCAGCAAACTAATTTATAGATCTTGACAAATTGATTCTAAAGTTTATATGAAAAGGCAAGGACACAGATTCCAATACAATGTGGAAGAAGAATAAAGTTAGAGGACTCACTTTACCCAATTTCAGGACTTACTATAAAGCTATGTAATCAAGACAGTATGGTGTTGGTGAAAGAACAGACACATAGATCAAAGGAACAGAATAGAGAGACCAGAAATTGATCCACACAAATACAGCCAGTTAATCTTTGATAAAGGTGCAAAGGCAATTCAATGGAGAAAGGGTGGTCTTTTCAACAAATGTTCAACAATTGGAAATATGCTAAAAAATGAACTTAGACGCAGATCTTACACATTTCATAAAATTAACTCAAAATGGTTTATAAATCTAGATGTAAACTGCAAAACTTTAAAACTTCTAGAAGGGAACACAGAAGAAAATATAGATGACCTCAGATTTGGTGATGAGTTTTTAGATGTAAACCGAAAGCATGATCATGGAAATAATTGATAAACTGGATTTTATTAAAATTAAAATTTTCTGCTCTGCAAAAAACATTGTTAAGAAAATCAAAAGACAAACCACAGACTTGGAGAAAATATTTGCAAAACATATATCTGATAAAGGACTTGTATCCAAAATATACAAAGAACTCTTAAAACTCAACAATAAAAAAAATCCAATTAAAAAGTGAGCAGGCAGGGCGTGGTGGCTCATGCCTGTAATCCCAGCACTTTGGGAGGCCAAGGCAGGCGGATCACGATGTCAGGAGATCGAGACCGTTCTGGCTAACATGGTGAAACCCGGTTTGTACTAAAAATACAAAAAATTAGCTGGGCGTGGTGGTGGACACCTGTAGTCCCAGCTACTCGGGAGACTGAGGCAAAAGAATGGCGTGAACCCAGGAGGTGGAGCTTGCAGTGAGCGAAGATCGCACCACTGCACTCCAGCCTGGGCGACAGAGTGAGACTCCATCTAAAAAAAAAAAAAAAAAGTGGGCAAAGCTGGGCACAGTGGAGTATGTATGCTTGTAATCCCAGCTACCTGCGAGGCTGAGGTGGGAGGATCACTTGAGCCCAGAAGTTTGAATCCAACCTGGACAACATAGTAAGACTCCATCTCTTAAAAACAAACAAACAAAAATGGGTTAAATGTCTGAACTGAAACTTCAGCAGAGAATGTGTACAAATGGCAAATAAGCATACGGAAAGATGCCCAAAATCATTTTTTGTTAGAGAATTACAAATTAAAACAACAATGAAATTCCATTATATCTTTTAGGATAGCTGAAATACAAAAAACTGGCAAAACCAATTGCTGGCAAGGATGCAAAGTGACAGGAACTATCATCCATGTTGCTAAGAATGCAAAATGATGCAGTCACTTTGCAAAACAGTTTGGCAGTTTTTTTTTTTTTTTTAACAAAGCTAAACATAGTCTTACCATACAACCCATTGTGCTCCTTTGTATTTAATTGAATGGGTTGAAAATTTATGTTCACACAAAAACTTGCACACTTGCACATAAATGTTTATAGTAGCCTTATTTATAATTGCCAGAACTTGGAAGCAACCAAGGCGTCCTTCAATAGGTGAGTGGATAAACTGTGGTACGTCCATACAATAAAACATTACTCAGTACTAAAAAGAAATGAGCTCTCAAGCCATGAGTAGACATGGATAAAACTTAAACACATATTGCTAAGTGAAAGAAGCCAGTCTGGAAATGCTATATGCTCTCTAATTCCATTATATGACATCCTGGAAAAGGCAAAAAAAACCCCCAAAAAACAAAAAAATCAGCAATGGTAAAAAGATCAATGGTTACCAGGTGAAGCATCAGGGTTTCTTACAATGGTGAAACTATTCTGTTACGATACTGTAGCAGTGGATACATAACATTATGCATTTGTCAAAAACTATAGAACTTTACAGCACAAAGGGTTTACCTTAATGTATGCAAATTTTTAAAAGTCATGTCGAAGGTGAGGGGATCCTAAAATAGAATGCAGAATGTGACAAAATAATCTAACTGTATTACAGGTATATGAAACCACCTAATTGAAGGGAGTGGGGGTAAATTTACTGATTTAAGTAACTTTGGGAATGAACAGAGTCTGTAAATTTAAGGTAAAATAAATTGTACAAAAGCATTGTACTCCAGTTGATAAAGTTGTTTCATTTTTCTGTATGGTTTGTGTTAACAATTCAGATGCCGCAATAATAGATGCTGGAATTGGGCACTTAAGTAATAGATGGTGGATTATGGGAGCCAGGTGTCTCACTGTTGGAGTGAGAGCTTAAAGATAAGCAGGGTGGAAACCGGAATGATCCATGTAATAATGGATTAGAGTTGGAGACATCAGTATGAACTCATGAATAGTTTAATTTAGATACAAGTGGTTACATATAGAAATATTAAAGATACGTGTATATACATGGGTCAGTATACACACATATATTTCTTTGCTCGGTCAACTGAGAGAACAGAGAAGCACTAAAATCCCAGTAGCAACAAGCATATCTAGGGTCCAGATCTTGGTTTCTCATACCATTCTTCAATAGAAGGAACCAGGGCTCCTTGGAGAAATGGTTGATTCTAGGACTGGGTCAGGGAATATACAAGATAACCTGGAGCATCTTGCAGTTGCAGAAAGTAAAGAAGTACAAAAAAAAATCCCCAAAAGACCCCAAACTCAAGAAACAAAAAAATCCAAACCCTACAATAATGGGGGCATGCCAAAGGACACAGGAGTCAACTGAAAGGGTTCCCAATTGTCAAAGGTGGAATAATTTGATCAACAAAATAATGTATTGTATTATAACACCCCAAAATAAAACACATTTCTTTAGAATAAAATAAGTCCATATTGATATAAATAAATGGGAGAAAAAAAAAGAGATTGCTCCAGCGGAAAAAATCCAAATGATTTATGCAGACACTCCACTCTCAAGTAAGTGGAGCATAACTCCTCACTCATTAAGTTGTGCACAATGACTTCCTTCAGAAAAGTACCATTAGGAAAGGGAGGCATTGTAATGTTAGTGGACAGATCTGAAAAACACTACCTTAGCCAGGTGCTCAAGGTCACCATCAACAGTGATAGATACACCATGTTGACAGTATATACCCTTAACATGATTTGACGACTCAGGAGTTGACCCCAAAGCCCAGGTATGATGTGATGAAAATGGTACTTTACCTCTTTAGTCTTCTTCTTCCAAATCCATAACCCCAGCCTAATCATGAGAAAAGCATATATCCCCGTTGAGGGACATTCCACAAAATACCTAACTTCTCAAAACTGTCCAAGTCATCAAAAACAAGCAAAGTCTGAGAAACTGTCACAGCCAAGAGGAGCCACAGACATGATGGTTAATGGAAAGTGGGCTCCTGGATGGGATCCTGCAATAGAAAAAGACCATTCAGGTAAAACTGAGAAAATCTGAAGATAGTATGGGCTTTAGGTAATAATAACATATTTACCATTATTAGTTATAATAAATGTACCATACCAATGTAAGACATTAATAATGAAGGGAATGCAGTGTGGGTCATATGGGAACTGTCTGTACTATGTTTGAAGTGTCTCTGTAAATCTAAAACTGTCCTAAAAAATAAGATTCATTGAAATAATGTTTACTTAAAAACAAACATCCCGGAGTCAAACCATAGAGGTCTTTAAAAAAAAAAAAAAAAGAAAAGAAAAGAAAAGAAAAAGAAGAAAGAAAGAAAATGAAAGAAAAACAAACTGCAGCTGCCTCCCCAGATCTTCCACCCCATGCGAAGTGGGGCCCAGTGGGGTGAGGAAAGCTTCTGGGAGCGCAGAGCTGGCAGATC
Organism: Homo sapiens; assembly: GCF_000001405.40. Lineage (NCBI taxonomy): Eukaryota > Metazoa > Chordata > Mammalia > Primates > Hominidae > Homo > Homo sapiens. The sequence goes on along the minus strand of NC_000007.14, from coordinate 127,621,196 downwards.
TCATGGAAAAGACGAACTTCAGGTTTCCAGTTTCCAGTTATCAGCGTGGGTGTGAACACCGCAGCCCTGAAGCAGCACCTTCCCCACAGTGGCAGGTTTGGTGCACAGGCAGACCCGAGGAGGAACTCTCCAAGGGCTGGCAGAGGCTTGCCTTTCACATCCCCCACAGGCTTCCTCCTGGTCGCCTTAGGCCCTAGGCTCTAGCCCCTGAACAACCCAGCTCTGTTGGGAGTTAGTCTGGGGAAGTGCAGACTCAACATCCCGCCTCATCTACCCTACCCCTGAGAGAAATATGAGGCAAGGTTGAGCTCAGAGGTTAGAAGCTCATGGTGAAAAAGAGGGGAAAAGGGAGGGCTCTTCCGTGCCCCCAGTTCAAAGTCACAGTTGGGAGGGTGTGCGCCTTCCTCCCTCCCTGGGGCGTTCAGAGGGAGGGATCCGGGTGCCAGCGTCCCAGAAGCTGAGCAGGAGACTGCAGGGATTTGCAGGGAGGGGGTTTTGGTGTCAGAGCAGGGGCTGGGCTGGGAGAGTAGGGTAACTGCATAAAGCTTTGCGGGGGTAGCGCAACTTTGGCGTGAGGGTCTCAAGTTCAGAATTTTCAGGGAACTCGAATAGCCTCCGTGTTTTTGTAGCAAGGAAATCACTTTGACTTTAAAGTGGGAGGCACAGGCCGCCAGAGAACGGTTTTGGACAGGTGGCGCGTGCGCTCTGGAAAGCTGAGGGCTGGCAGGAGATGGGGCTTTCCGGAGAAAGAGAAGAAGGGGCCCAGGACCCCACAGCCTACGAAAATGCACCATAGGGAGGGGTGGAAACAGCCTAGAGCTGGTGTTACCTCCCACAGCAGGTGTCAAGAGCCCAAGACGAGGTGTCAGACCAACGCCAGCGGGTCTCTGCGCTGGCCGCGCCCAGTCCTCTCCAGCTTTACGCACGGGCTTGGCTCGCCCTCTGGTCCCTTGAGGAAGGCAGGGGAACTCCAGCCGCCTTTCCTGAGGACAAGACTTCCCTACAGACACGGGCCTTTCTACCAGGGACTCCTAAGGGCAGAAGAAGCCGGAGATCAGGGCTCTACATCAGGGCGAGGGACAGGCTGGAATGGCCATGGCTGGCCCCGGAGAGGGGCGCACAGCTTGTTGGCGGGTGGCAAGACCTTTGAGTTAATGTATAATTGTGAGCAGATGGCGGGGGCTGGCGGCAGCCCGGGGCCTGGGCCCAGCTAATGAGGGACAATTAGCCCCAAACCCGGTGGGGGTGGCTGAGAGAGTCAGACAGTGAAGGCAGATATTTGCTCCTCAAACAGTCTAGCGCGCTGGGCAGAGGGCTGAGTGGCAGAGCCTTTGGGCTCTCTAGGCCCCCCTGCCAGGGCCCTTTACCACTTTTCCCTCCCCCATCACCTCTGGGTCGAAAGCCTCTGTTTGTTCAGACCCAAGAGCGCGTCATAAAGGCGGAGGGAGAGGGTAGTTTATGGGGTAAATCGCTGCCACCACCATCTGCTAGGGCTTGTCCCTGCTCCCCCTGATACCCCTATCTCCACCCTCATGCAGCTGTCTATAGGAATAGCTGGTCAGGACATAAGCCTTGAGCCCCTAGACGCAGGGGCAGATCTAGCGGGGAGGGATGAGGCAGGAATGGGGGACTAGGAGCAGGGCTACCACAGGCCTTACTGGGGACCTCCTCCCACCCAAGCATGGCTAAGTAGAGTGACCAGCAGTCCCCAGCTGCCCCGGGGATGGAATGGGCTGTAAGGACACTTGGGCAAATGCTATCCTGCCCGAGGTCCTGAAATCACCCTCTGCAGTCTCCCCTGTACCCCAAGACCAGTCTGAGGATGCTGGAGGAGGGTGGAAGAGGAAGAGAGTATGTATCAGGGTAAAGTGGAAAACTCACTTATGTGATATTTGGCCTTTGAGAGCAAGAGTTCCCAACCCTAGGATCAAGCTGAATGCACAACAACCACTTTCACCCCCAAAACCTCAAAACATTTACCAATGACATACGTCTTCCATTCTCTGATTTCTGGGACTAGTCTTATTGCCCTACACCCTGCTTACTTCCAGTCTAACTTTTGCAATGGTTTCACAGACTCTGAGGTGTGGAATGGACCCAAAGACCATCTGCCCAAGACCCTGATGACTGGCAACAAAATTTACATGCACTAGAGGCTGTGTTTCACTTTCAGCATCCCACTCCACAGGCACCACCTGCCCAGCTACTGATACCTCTGACCTCGCCAATGACCCAGATAACCTGTGGTGTCTTTTGTGGAAACAGCAGTGCCATTACTAACTTAGAGTCTAAAAGCATCAAATCCCTAACAGAATGGAGCCTGCTAACATCTAAAGATGGAAGAAGGAAAATCCTGCTGCAAGCCTCCTTATAAACACCCACATGCATCTCTGACTATCCTGAGGCTCATTTCCACCACCACTACCATTGTCAGTGTTCTGAAGTCCAGGATCCTTCCATTTCCAGGCAAGAATTCACCCTTGGTGTCACCTCAGTCAAGGAGTCAATTGGAGAATTGGTTAGGACACTCTCTGGGGACAGCTGGTGCTAGGTGACACACACTCTTCACACTCTTCTCCATTCACTCTCATTATCTCAGAGTGCTAGGAGCCAACTCAGTCAGTATTTAGGCAACAGTCTGTATACTCATTTATCTTTTATAGCAACACACACGACTCAGGAGTTGACCCCAAAGCCCATGTATGTGCATTCTGGCTGGGAAGCTGTGTTGGTGGTTCGGGAAGGCATCTTTTTGCTTCTGTGTATTCAAAGCCTTAAGAACACAACCTGAAGTTCCCCATCTTCCATGCTCAGCATGCCCTTCAGGAGTACTGGTGCTTGTGTGGGTACACTTTTGCCTGTCTGAGAATGGCTCTGTCCCTGCTTCCGGGTGGTAGGTGGACACAAAGTGGGCTCTGAGGATTCCCCATGGAAGGACACAGTGGGTCATTGGCTGTGGTTTGCCCTGCCTCAGGGCTGGTGTCAGTCAGCCCATGCACACCTCCCTCCTCCTCTCTCCTCTGCTCATGGCCTGTGACATCACTGGCTACTCCCAGAAGGCTGCCCTCTGCTCTTGAGCACGGGCTCTCTATAGCTCTGGACCCCCTGGCAGGACTGAAGCAGGAGCAGAGTGGAGGCTGTTACCAAGACCAGATCATCACCACCCCTGGAGCCTGCAGGGGTCTCAGAAGCTGAGACCTCCCACTGAAGCTCCCACCTCATTTCCTCCACACAGGTAGCTCACCTGCAGGCTCATTGTCTGCCCTGCCTCTCATGCTGTCTCCATGCCTCTGTGTGGCCAAACCCAACTTCTCTCCCACTCTGCCTTTGCAGCTACAACCCTCCTGCCCCTTCCACCCCCTTTCCTGTTTTTCCATCTTGCAAGCACCAGTTATTTTTTCAGACATGTTAATATGAATGTTGGGAATGTGTGTTGTGGCTATTGGGAATGGGGTTTCTGTTTGTGAGTTGGGGCATAATGATTTAGGTTTGGAGATTATTTAGGTTTGGATACTGAACCTGCATCCCTACTGCTCTTTTGAATTCTGGTCACTTAGGAGAACTGAGTCCCATCAAGGATTTAGGGTTTGGCTGATATTTTGAGCTCCTTCACCCTGTCTTGGCACAGCCCTTTACAGTCCCTGCTTGATTCTCCTCTCTCCATTGTTTTTGTGGCAATTACACAAACATGAAACAGGGGTGGGAGCAGAGAAAGAGAGCCCAGGATTAGGAGCCAGAAATTGTAGCTTCTGATGAGGAACTGGCTTCTAAACCTTGAATTTTACTCTCTGGACAGCCCCTGACTTGTGGCAATGCCAATCTGTGCCTCAGTTTTCTCTTTGGAAAACCTCTGCCTTCTTTCCCGACTTTTTGGAAAGATGAGAATTTGAAGGGGTCTGTGCCTCTACCTACCTAGAAACAAGTGAGTAAAAGCCAATTTAGCGACTGAACTTAATAAGTAGACTCTGGATTCCAAACTCTTTGTAATTCTTTGTTTCACTGGTGCTAGTCTCTTTTCTCCAGTTGCTCTGTAATGTGTTGGAGAGCAAAGACTTTACCCTTTTCTGTTTACTGCCTTCATCCTGAACAACCAGCAATGTGCTCATGCTTAATATCTTATTCAGCATACAACTGCAGATGAATTAACTAAGCCCAGATGGCACGCTTATTATAAGAAAGTTCTGTGCATAAGCTGTTCCTTGGGGTGATCTCCAGCACTACCAGGGTTCCAGGCATGAAAGGAGGCATCTTCAACTCCCATTGATTACTAATGAAAGTAGAAGAGGTATGGTGGCCTGTGGGACCTGTGTCCCTTGCTGCTCAGAGACTCGCTTGGGCTCATGACGGTTTCTATGTTGCTCAGCGGACAGTCTTCTCCTGCTTCTCATTCCCTTCAATATGCCTTTGATAAATGTTAGTTGAATGAATGAGTGTCTGATACCAGAAACATCGTCTCTGAAATTGAAGCTTCACTGTGAGATCTAGAACTCTTCAGAGAATGAACAGAATGAACAATCTCAGCAGGTTAGAGATGCTAAGAGATGCGTCTCCTAGGAGAAGCCGGCTCTTCAGGCGTGTTCATCTCTATGCCCAGTGTGTAGGACCAGAGCCTCAATGCCTGGTGGGTTAGAGCTGAGTCCCAGTTTCCCTAGAGCTTCCTGGAGAGTATAAAAAAACAGGAGCAAGCCTTTCTGAAGTGCAGCATTTGGGTGGCAGTTTGGAGAGCCCAACCGAGGACTGCCTAATAGTGAAGGTGGACCCCTGAACTTGAGGACCCCAGAATCTCTGGCTCGGGTGTGTCTTCCAGGGCTGAGAAGGCTTAGGAGCAGCTGGAGACAACAGCTGTCCATTTGGAAAGGGGAAAGCTTGAGCATTTGAAAGCATTATCCCTTTCTACCTCCCCAAACTTTTCTAATGAATGTGTAGGAAAGGAGAACCCTCTCAATCCTCCCAGCCCCTTATCAGGACTTCAAGAAAGATCCAGTCCTCAGCCAACCTGCAGTGTTTTAGTTTTTATCACACAAAGGTTTAAATAAAAGGAATTAGAATTTTCTGATTTTAGCCAACCCACTGGCAAATTTTAGGAACCTGACCCTCTATCACAAAACACTACCTCCCAGGACCATTTCAAGCAAAAGACCTCACCCAAATAACCCCCCATTATTGCAGAGCCAGCCCCCAAGCTGGAAAAGGAGCTCCTAGAAGGAACTTCCCTTCCCAGCCTTCCCAGCTGGAGTCTCATCCTTCTGAGGAGGGTCAGCCTGGAGCATGCATCAGGACGGTGAGGAGCCTGGGGGAAGTGGGAAGACAGGGAGGACAACAGAGACAGGGGAAGACCTCAGGGCTTTGCTTCCATCAACTGTTTCATCTGCTATTGGCCAATGTTCTGGGGAAGCTTTTTCCAGTCCCTCCCTTCCTGCCCTGTCCTGCTTCCCTTAGATCAGGAGAGTTGGCGGGTATGGGCAAGGAACAAAGACTCACCCGTGAGCCAGCTCTCAAAGAAAGCAGCTTGCGTTGACAGCCTGGGGGCAGCAAGGATGCAGTCTCCCAGGAGAGGATGCACTCGGTGGTGGGAAGCCAGGCTGGAGGGGCCTGAGTGACCCTCTCCACAGGCGGGCAGGGCAGTGGGAGAGGTGGTGTGTGGATACCTCTGTCTCACGCCCAGGGATCAGCAGCATGAACCAGCTTGGGGGGCTCTTTGTGAATGGCCGGCCCCTGCCTCTGGATACCCGGCAGCAGATTGTGCGGCTAGCAGTCAGTGGAATGCGGCCCTGTGACATCTCACGGATCCTTAAGGTAATGGGCCAGCACCTTTACCCAGTGATGGGGACAGGAAGCAGGGAGAAAGGGCTCCTCTGAAGGCAAGAGCCTGGGGCTGTTGCAGGCTCTGAGGGCTTCTGGGACTTGGGTCACTTCCTGGGAGATCCTCTCGGAGGTTGAAAAGGGGAGCCTCAGGCCCTCAAAGGTGAGGCTGGACTCCCGACTTCATGGCCTGGTCCAGTAAGTCTTGGCTTTGTCTTATAGCCTCCTCCTGTCCCAGGGACACTCTCCTTCCTTCTGCCCATCATGCCTCACCTGTCCCTGCTTCTCACCTGACTCAGGTATCTAATGGCTGTGTGAGCAAGATCCTAGGGCGTTACTACCGCACAGGTGTCTTGGAGCCAAAGGGCATTGGGGGAAGCAAGCCACGGCTGGCTACACCCCCTGTGGTGGCTCGAATTGCCCAGCTGAAGGGTGAGTGTCCAGCCCTCTTTGCCTGGGAAATCCAACGCCAGCTTTGTGCTGAAGGGCTTTGCACCCAGGACAAGACTCCCAGTGTAAGTACCCTTCCCTCCCCACACTGGGGCTGGAAAAGAGGCTTTCTGGGGGAGACAAAGAACCTTTCTTATTTGGCAATGTGGGCATCCCAAGCTGGTGACAGGGCTCCTGGGCAATTCTGACCCATAAGTTTTTCTTTTGAAAAGTGGTGGTAATAAGAGGATTGGGAAGGAGAAAGCATAGAGAGAGAGAGAGGAGGCTGCCCTTGGGAACAATGTGTAGGTGGAGACAGATGGGAAAAAGGATATTAAGGGCAACATCCTCAGGGTATAGCCCTGAGTCTGAGCACCATCTCTCCACTCAACACCCTGACACTCCCAGGTCTCCTCCATCAACCGAGTCCTGCGGGCATTACAGGAGGACCAGGGACTACCGTGCACACGGCTCAGGTCACCAGGTGGGTCTTGGAGTTGTCCCCAGGGCTAATCACAGCCAAATCTCTAGCATTTTATAGTTCTCAAAGCCCTTTCTCGTTCTTTCTTGGATCACCCTCACAACAACCCAATAAGGAGGACTGGGCAGGGAGTCTCATTCTCTCCCAGCAGAAGAAAATTGAGGTCCAGAAAAGTGAAGTGACTTACCCAAGGTCACCACCTAGTTGATGGCAGGCCCTGGAACAGAACACAGGTCCCCTAGCCCCTGGGTTCACAGGATCTATTGAAGAAGAGGCAGGACTGCATCTCATACCCTCCCTCTGCCCCATGCATAGCTTCTTAGAGCATCATTCATGTTCTTTGGGATAACACACCCCTGGACCAAGCCTACTGCTTGTCCCTCCAAACTCTTGCACATTAAGCATGCACCCCACCATGGTATTGAGCACCCTTTCCACCAAGTGACCCTGCAGTGACCTCTAATAACTATGAATGCCCCACCAGCTTGGCTCTGCTCTTCTACCCATGGTGTCTCCCGGCTGCAGCCCCAGAGACTCAGGGACCCCATCTGACCAGAGGAATCACCATCACAAACCACCACAAACTGTTATCTTCCTTTTCAGCTGTTTTGGCTCCAGCTGTCCTCACTCCCCATAGTGGCTCTGAGACTCCCCGGGGTACCCACCCAGGGACCGGCCACCGGAATCGGACTATCTTCTCCCCAAGCCAAGCAGAGGCACTGGAGAAAGGTGCTGGGCTGGGACAGATGGAGGGTCAGAGAGTCCTCAGTGTGACACAGGGACAGTGGCCCTGAGGCCTGTGGGCAAAGGCTGAGAGGTGCAGGTGTGAGTGGCCCTGCCTTGAGGAGGAAGGTAGTTTGGGGTTGTAGCAGGTGGGGAGTGTTGCCTAAGGGGAGACCCATGCCTTGCTCCTCTCCCGGTGCCCTTACTTTGTGAGACTCGATCTCCGCAGAGTTCCAGCGTGGGCAGTATCCTGATTCAGTGGCCCGTGGAAAGCTGGCTACTGCCACCTCTCTGCCTGAGGACACGGTGAGGGTGAGTGAGCTCTGCAACACTGTACAAACCACAAGGAGGAAGAGTCTGGGCCGGCCAGGGCTTTGGGTTCCAATGAGGTGGAGAGGGGAGGTGAGAAATTGGAAGCAAATTTGTTTGGAGCAACAATCAGAGATGAGATCCTCCTTGTTCACCTTCTGCTGACTGCTCTCCTCTCTTCCCCAACCCAAACCTTTGAGTTGAGGAAGGGGCCAGAGAGCAAAAGCTAGAGCAGGGAGGGAGGATGTCAGGCCCAAGGAAGGGTCAACATTCTGAGTTCAGGCTAGGAACATGTGGTGAGATCAGCAGGTGACAGGCAGCATAAAGTACAGCCAGCTGCATTGTCCCTGTCCTCGCTCAGGTCTGGTTTTCCAACAGAAGAGCCAAATGGCGTCGGCAAGAGAAGCTCAAGTGGGAAATGCAGCTGCCAGGTGATTTCTCTGCACCATCATCCATCTGCCCGCTCAGTCATCTATCCATCCATCCATCCATCCATCCATCCATCCATCCATCCATCCTCCATTCGTCCATCCATTTATCCATCCACCCATGTATCCATCCATCCATTCATCCATTCATCTATCCATCCATCCATTCATCCATTCATCATCCACCCACCACACCCACCCATCCACCCAGCTACCCATTTATCCACCCATCTATCCATGCATCAATCCATCCATCCTCCATTCATCCATCCATTTATCCATCCACCCATGTATCCATCCATCCATTCATCCATTCATCTATCCATCCATCCATTCATCCAGGCATCATCCACCCACCACACCCACCCATCCACCCAGCTACCCATTTATCCACCCATCTATCCATGCATCCATCTCTCCATCCATCCATTTATCCATCCACCCATCTATCCATCCATCCAGCCAGCCAGTCACCCACCCATCTGCTCACCCACCTATCTACCTATCCATTTATCCATCCATCCATCCATCCATCCATCCATCCATCCATCCATCCACCCATTCATTCATGCATCCATCCATGCATCTGCTCATGCATTCATCCATCCATCCACCCATGCATCCGCCCATGCATCCATCCAGCCACCCATGCACCCATGCATCCATCCATCCATCCATCTTTCCATTAATCTGTGCATCCATCCACCCATCCATCCAATATTTACTCAGCATCTCCCCAGTGCCAGACCCTGTGCTAGATGCTGGGCACACACAGTCCCGGATCTTAAGGCTGCACTGTCCCCAGTACCATCACTGGAATTTAATCATTCTTCTCCAGTTTCCCAAGGACCTGTCTTGGGGAAGAGGACAGTTTTGGGTTAAAATATCCATCTCTTCACACCCCTGCAAGAAGTGGCTGACTTTCCTAGAACCTCTTTGTATCCAACCTTCCTGCCTCTCACCACACTCCTCCCGTCCCTAACCCCAATTCCTCCTTCTGAGTGGATTCACTCTCATTTTATAGGTGCTTCCCAGGGGCTGACTGTACCAAGGGTTGCCCCAGGAATCATCTCTGCACAGGTACTCGGGAGGAGAGGGGAGTCTGTGCCCTGGGAAGACTGAAGGGCTCATGGGCTCTTCCATTTCTGGCCTGAGCCAGGATCTCCGGCTCTCCAGGGCCCCACAGTGTTCATGTCAAGAAAGTACTAACCCAAAGTCTACTATGTGAATGGTGCCCTCTGGAGTTGTGCAGGATACTACTTGGGTGGCAGGCAGCTCTGGGGTCCCGGCGTTCTCTACAGGAGGCATCACTGGAAGCTAAGGTTCTTCTCTTGCTTTTTTTTTTTAGCAGTCCCCTGGCAGTGTGCCCACAGCAGCCCTGCCTGCCCTGGAACCACTGGGTCCCTCCTGCTATCAGCTGTGCTGGGCAACAGCACCAGAAAGGTGTCTGAGTGACACCCCACCTAAAGCCTGTCTCAAGCCCTGCTGGGGTAAGAATTCAGGCCAGGCCTCAGTCCTGCAGGATGTAGGGAGGGTCGACTGACTCAACCTCCAGGAGGGCATGGATCTCCATTGGGGGTCATCAAAGGAATCTCAATACAGCTTTCCTCATTCTTTGCATGGTCCACAAAATTACGGAGACTAGTAACCCCTGAGTCTATGGTATCACTGACAGCCATAGCAGGTAAAGGATGTGAGACTGGGATTCAAGTGTGTATATGCAGGGTGGGAAACTGATGTCTCAGCCTCTCTCCCATAGTGACTTTGAGAGGTGGGGTGGGAGCAATAACCCCAAGCTCTCTCTATTTGTCCCCACAGGCCACTTGCCCCCACAGCCGAATTCCCTGGACTCAGGACTGCTTTGCCTTCCTTGCCCTTCCTCCCACTGTCACCTGGCCAGTCTTAGTGGCTCTCAGGCCCTGCTCTGGCCTGGCTGCCCACTACTGTATGGCTTGGAATGAGGCAGGAGTGGGAAGGAGATGGCATAGAGAAGATCTAATACCATCCTGCCCATTGTCCTTACCGTCCTGCCCATACAGACTGTGGCTCCTTCCTCCTTCCTGTGATTGCTCCCTCCTGTGTGGACGTTGCCTGGCCCTGCCTCGATGCCTCTCTGGCGCATCACCTGATTGGAGGGGCTGGTAAAGCAACACCCACCCACTTCTCACACTAGCCTTAAGAGGCCTCCACTCAGCAGTAATAAAAGCTGTTTTTATTAGCAGTAGTTCTGTTGTCCATCATGTTTTCCCTATGAGCACCCCTATGCCCACTCTAATATTCAACAATTATAGACAATTTGCCCTATCATTTATTTACATCTATGTATCTACCATCTAATCTATGCATGTATGTAGGCAATACATGTATCTAAACAATGTATTTGTCAATGCATCAATTTACCTACTCTATGTATGCATCTATATGTGTATTATGTATGCGTGCATGCGTGCGCGCACACACACACACACACACACACACTGACATTATATCATGGCATTTTATTCCTAAATCTTCCAGCATGCATCCCCAAAAAACAAGAAACTTGTCTTACATAATCACAATAATATATCCACATCTAAGAAAATTTACTGTAACTTCTTAATCTAAGAAAATTATGTATTTTTGTCATATGTATTTTGTCATATGTATTTTGTATTTGCATATGTATTTTGTATTTGCATATGTATTTTTGTCATAGCAGCAAACAGAGTGAAATGCCATTTTTCATATTCTGCTTTCCATTTATATGTGCTTTATTTATACATGCTCCAGGGGCATGTTTGCTTGGTCCTTTTGGCAGTAAGTTCCAAACCTTCTCAATTCTGTCCCTTCAAATAAAGGTCTAGGCCCTTCCTGAGAAGTCTCAGGATGTGGAGAAAGGGAGGAATATGGGGGAAAGGCGGTGAAGAATCGGATATTCAGCAAGGAGGATAGGCTCATCCTTCCAAATTCTTTCCCTTTTGAAAGTCAGGCGATGGATAATGATGGTGCAATGCTGGTCGGCGGGCGGGGAGGTGGGGGCATTGTTTACTCCTATCTGGGATAGGTACTGATCCAGAAGACGTCATTCAAGAGGCCTCTTCATTATCAAATACTGTGCTGTGCTGAACTGTGCTGTTAAATAAGTAGCCACCAACCACATGTGACTATTTAAATGTAATTCACATTAAAAAAAAAAGAAGAATGCAGTTCTTCACTCACATTAGCCACATTTCAAATGCTCAGTAGTTACATGTGGCTTGTAAGGACTATCGAGCATTTCAGTCATTGCAGAAAGTTCTATGGGACTGCACAGCTCTAGAATGAAATTTCAAGGGTAATAGAGCACATCTTGCCCCTGCCTTGCCTTCTATACTTTCAAGCTGGAGGTCCTGCTAGGCAGAACAGAAAGGAGCTGTCTCAGCTGAGGCCTCATGGTTGTGGTGGTAGTGGCAACCCATCTTGAGCTGCTGCTGTGAAGATGCTGGCTGCAGATGGGGAGGCATGGCTGGGGTTGTGTGCTCTGCAAGGACAGCGGGAACCCGGAACAGGCAGGAGCCACGCCCCCAACAGAGTTGGCAGGGTGGGAGCGCGGTGCTCCTGGACACAGCTGCAGCTGCCTAGCTGTGGCTCCAGACCCAGGCATCCCTGCACTCTCAGGGGCACAGGAAGCCCCTGCCCCACAGGCTTAGAAGTGCCTGCTCCCACTCCCTGGCTTCTCCTTGCCCCCAGAGTCCACTCGGTTGTGGAATAAAGTTGTGGCTGCACCTGGGCACTGTCATGACCTGGCTGGGTGTGTGCATGCTCTGGGTGGCACTGACACACCAGCCCCCCTACCACCTTGGCCCCCTCCAGACTTTGGGTGCCAACAAGTGCAGGAGAAAGGCCAGAGGGAGGGGACTGAGGGCATCTTAGTGTGGGTCTGCAGGCACCCCTCAGCACAAACAGCCTGGGTGCCATGGATAGCATGTTGATAGTGGGAGGCAGACAGGTTCCTGGGCGGAAAGGGGCAATTCTGCAGAGAAACCCCACCTTTAAGCCAAGAATGGCCTGAAGCCTGGGGGCCAGGCTGCCAGTTCTGGGTGAAGTAGGAGGCCCAGAGTGAGGACTTCATTGTTGACCCTTTGGCCAATCGGATGGTGCTTTTTCCAGACCTACCCATGGCCACTTATGGACCAGTTAGCACACACTCCTCCCTTCTGAGCCCATAAAAACCCCAGGACTCAGCCAGAGTCACACAGACATTGGGACTACCAGCTAAGGGAAGGAGCTACCCACCTCAGGTGTCCTCGACTAGTTGAAATGACCTGCCGGCAGAAAGGACCTACCTACTTCCGGTCTTCTGAGAGCTGTTCTGTTGCTCAATGAAGCTCCTCTCTGCCTTGCTCACCCTGCAGTTGTCCACATACCTCATTCTTCCTGGACATGGGACAAAAACTCCAGATCCACCAAATGGTGGGACTGAAAGAGCTGTAACACCAACAGAACTGAAACACTCGCACACACACACTCACCATGTTGTGGGTGATGAGAAAGAGAGAAGAGCTGTGGCCGTTCAGGGACCCCAGACATAGGGGTTCCCCGAGCCAGGGCTGTGATACCCTCTTTGGGGCCCTGTGGTTCCTGGCATCTCCAAATTTCCAGGCACCACTTCATTCCCCAGCACCTGCAGTGGAAGCTTCTTGTGGTCCTGCTGAAGCCTTGCACAGAGCCGGCATCTGTACCAGCACCTGGAGCTGCCTGCCCCCCACAGCCGGCATGCCTGGCTGTGCACAGTGGCTAGACCCCCCGCTTGTTCACACACCCCTCACTGCTCCACTCCTGGCTCACTCTTGGCAGGTGATCCAGGACAGTAGCACGAGCTGAGTGCAGGCTGCTAGGCCGAGTGTGTGGAATGAGCCCAGCAGCCTGAGCAAAACTCAGGCAAAGGCACCACTAGCCACAGAAGTTTCCGGCTGGAAAAGCAACCCCTCAAGGATCCCGTGACAGTTGGCCATGTGGGGAACAGGGCATAAGATTGTGTGTGTGTGTGTCTGTGTGTGTGTCTGTGTGTGTGTACATGTGTGCATGCATGTGCGTACACACATGCATGCCCATGCACCTGAGTGTGTGCAGTATTCCCCGCTTTGTCCATGGTTTTGCTTTTTGGGTTTCAGTTACTTGTGATTAACTGCAACCTGAAGATATTAAATGGAAAATTCCAGAAATAAGCAACTCATTGATTTTAAATTGCATGCTGAGTAGCTTGAGAAATCTTGCATCTCCATATTGTCTATGCTACCTGCTCACTAGTCAGTAGTAGTCTTGATTATCAGATAACTGTCTTGGCATTGCAGTGCTTGTGTTCAAGTAACCCTTATTTTACTTAATAATGGCCCCAAAGTGCAAGAGTAGCGATAGCGGCATTTGTAATAATCATTCTATTTTACTATTAGTATTGTTTACTTCTCACTGTGCCTAATTTATAAATTAAACTTTACCCTAGGTGTGTATGCATAGGAAAAAAGAGTATATGTATGATATTGTACTATCTGTGGTTTCAGGTATCTGCTGGAAGTCTTAAATGCATCCCCTGCAGGTAGCTGGGGGATTAGAATACTGAGGGAGAGATTCGGCATTAAATGACCTCCAAGGTCCTATCTCTCTGAAGAGCATATCCCACTGCACATATGTGGATATAAAATTTCAAGGTTAATAGAGCAATATCTTTTTTTTTTTTGAAACACGTTATTTCTCTGTTGCCCAGGCTGGAGTGCAGTGGTGCAACCTCAGCTCACTGCAGCCTCGACCTCCAGGCTCAAGCAATCCTTCTGCTTCAGCCTCCCAAGTAGCTGGGAGTACAGGTGCACACCACCATGCCCAGCTAATTGTTTTGTATTTTTAGTAGAGACAAAGTCTCACTGTGTTGCCCAGGCTGGTCTCAAATTCCTGGGCTCTAGTGATCCTCCTGCCTCGGCCTCCCGAGGAATACAGGCGTGAGCCACTGCACCCAGCAAGTGGCCTATTCTTAATGCTTTCTAGGAAAGGAGATGCCCTCACCTCCAGTGTTCTCACTTTTCACTTACCTCACCTATTACTGGACTGAAATTTTTTAAAAATTATTTTATATCTCCTGAGGGGTGATATACTTACAAAAAATAAAGTCATTTTCCTCTATCCAAACTGAATCTCTCTTATGTTCCAGTTTCAGCCTTCTCTTGTCAACAGATTTAAAAATCAGACATTCATTATGGTATGGGGCAAATTTTCCAAAGTGGGGAATAGGCAGCACTGTTGGTATTTAAGAATGTTTTAGGAAGCGTGTGTATGTTGATTCAAATAATATTGAGTCAGAAGTGAGAAAATTATTCCCTTTTCAACTCCCTTTCAATTCTGATTGTATCAAGGAGAAAGTTTCATTTTGGTCCTAGTCTTTGGTGCCACTTTAATAGTTGTTGGCCGGGTGCGGTGGCTCATACCTGTAATCCCAACACTTTGGGAGGCTGAGGCGGCCAATCACTTGAGGTCAGGAATTTGAGACCAGCCAGGCCAACATGGCGAAACCCTGTGTCTACTAAAAATACAAAAATTAGCCGGGCGTGGTGGCAGGAGCCTGTGGTCCCAGCTACTCGGGAGGCTGAGACAGAAGAATTGCTTGAATCTGGGAGGTGAAGGTTGTAGTGAGCCCAGATCATGCCACAGCACTCCAGCCTGGGCAGTAGAGCAAGACTCTGTCTAAAAAAAAAAAAAAAAAAAAAAAAAAAAGTTGTTCATCTCCTTTATTAGTAAAGGGAAAAGGAACCTCAGGCTCTGAGCCTTGGGCAGGGAAGAAAAGTTTAACTAGGATTTTATATCATCACTTTATTTTCATTATCCAGGTGCACCTCATTTTAGTGCACTTTGACTTTGCTTTAGTGCATTTCACAGATACTGCTTTTTTTTTTAAACAAATTGAAGGTTTGTGGCAAGTCTGTTGGTACCACTTTTCTAAGAGCACGTGCTCACTTTCTGTCTCTGTGTCACATTTTGGTAATTTGGTAATTCTTGCAGTATTTCAAACTTTTTCATTGTTATCTGTTATGGTAACCTGTGATTAATGGTCTTTGATGTTACTATTGTAATTGTTTTGGGGCGCTGCAACTCACACCCATATAAAATGGTAAACTTGGCTGGGCTTGGTGGTTCACGCCTGTAATCCTAGCATTTTGGGAGGCCGAGGCAGGTAGATCACTTGAGGTCCGGAGTTTGAGACCAACCTGACCAACATGGTGAAACTCTGTCTCTACTAAAAATACAAAAATTACCTGGGTGTGGCGGCACTTGCCTATAATCCCAGCTACTTGGGATGCTGAGGCAGGAGAATCCATTGAACCCGGGAGGCGGAGGTTGCAGTGAGCTGAGATTGCACCACTATACTCCAGTCTGGGTGACAGAGCGAGACTTTGTCTAAAATAAAATAAAATAAAATGGTGAACTTAATTGATAAATGTGATGTGTGTTCTGACTGCTCCACGGACTGGCCTTTCCCACTTCTCTCTCCCTCTCCTCAGGCCTCCCTAATCCCTAAGACAACAATATTGAAATTAGGCCAATGAATAACCCTACAATTCCCTCTTAGTGTTCAAGAAAGGACAGTCACACATCTCTCACTTTAAAGCAAAAGCTAGAAATGATGAAGCTTAGTAAGGAAGACCTGTTGAGAGCTGAGATAGGTGGAAAGTGAGGCCTCTTTTGCCAAACAGTTATTAGCAAATTGTGAATGCAAAAGAAAAGTTCTTGAAGGAAATTAAAAGGGCTACTCCAGTGAACCTACAAATGATAAGAAAGTAAAATAGTGTTATTGCTGACAGGAGAAAGTTTTAGTTGCCTGGATAGATCAAACCAGCCATAACACTCTCTTAAGCCAAAGCCTAATCCAGAGCAAGGCCCTAACTCTCTTCAATTCTATGAAGCTGAGAGAAATGAGGAAGCTGCAGAAGAAAAGTTTGAAGCTAACAGAGGTTTGTTCATGAGGCTTAAGGGAAGAAGCCATCTCCATAACATAAAAGTGCAAAGTGAAGCAGCAAGTGCTGATGTATTATAGAAGCTGCAGCAAGATCTAGAAGATCCAGCTAAGATCACCGATGAAGGTGGCTATACGAAACAACAGATTTCAATATAGATAAAACAGGCTTCTATTAGAGGATTCCATCTAGACTTTTATAACTACACAGGAGAAGTCAATGCCTGATTTCAAAGTTTCAACAGACAGTCATTGACTCTCTTGTGAGGAGCTACTGCATCTGGTGACTTTAAGTGGAAGCCAGTGCTCATTTATCATTCTGAAAATCCTAGGGCCCTGAAGAATAATGCTAAATCTACTCTGCCTGTGCTCTGTAAATGGAACAACAAATCTTGGATGACAGCACATCTGTTCATGGCGTGGTTTATGGAATATTTTAAGCCCACTATTGAGACCTACTGCTCAGAAAAAAATATTGATTTTAAAATATTACTGCTCATTGACAATGCCTTAATTGAGAGGTAACCCAAGAGCTCTGATGGTGATGTGTAAGGAGATTCATGTTGTTTTCATGCCTGCTAACCTAACATCCATTCTGCAGCCTGCAGATCAAGGAGTAATTTTGACTTTCAAGTCTTAGTATTTAAGAAATACATTTTATAAGGCTATACCTGTCTTACATTAGTGATTCCTCTGATGGATCCAAGCAAAGTAAATTGAAAACCTTCTGAAATGAATTCACCACTCTAGATGCCCATTAAGAACATTCATGATTCATGGGAGAAGGTCAAAATATTAATAGTAACAGGAGTTTGGAAGAAGTTTATTCCAACTCTCATGGATGAGTTTGAAGAATTTAACACTTCATTGGAGGAAACCACTGTAGATGTGGTGAAATAGCAAGAGAACTAGAATTAGAAGTGGAGCCTGAAGATGAGACTGAATTACTATAATCTTGTGATAAAACTTGAACTGGTGAAGAGTTGTTTCTTATGGAAGAGCAAATAAAGTGTTTTTTTTTTGTTTTTTGTTTTTTGTTTTTGTTTTCTTTTTTAGACAGAGTCTTGCTCTGTTGCCCAGGCTGGAGTGCAGTGGTGTGATCTTGGCTCACTGCAAGCTCTGCCTCCCGGGTTCACGCCATTCTCCTGCCTCAGCCTCCCGAGTAGCTGGGACTACAAGCGCCCACCACCATGCCTGGCTAATTTTTTGTATTTTTAGTAGAGACAGGGTTTCACTGTGTTAGCCAGGATGGTCTTGATCTCCTGATCTCATGATCCGCCCGCCTTGGCCTCCTAAAGTGCTAGGATTACAGGCCTGAGCCACCGCGCCGGGCCAGAAAGTGGTTTCTTGAGATGGAATCTACTCCTACTGAAAATGCTGTGAACATTTCTGAAATGACAATGGAAGATTTAGAACATTACATAAACTTAATTGATAAAATAGCAACAGGGTTTGAGAGAATTGATTCCAACTTTTTAAGAAGTTCTGCTGTGGGTCAAAAGCTATCAAACAGCATCACACACCACAGAGAAATCATCTGTGAAAGAAAGAATCAATCAGTGCAGCAAACTTTATTGTCGTATTTTAAGAAATCGCCACAGCTACCCCAACCTTCAGCAACTATCACCTTGATCAGTTAGCAGCCATCAACATTGAGGCAAGATCCTCCACTGGCAAAAAGATTATGACTCACTGAAGGTTCAAATGATCATTAGCATATATATGTATATTTTTGAGATGGAGTCTTGCTCTTTTGCCCAGGTTGGAGTGCAGTGGCGCCATCTCAGCTCACTGGAACCTCCGCCTCCTGGGTTCAAGTGAGTCTCTTACCTCAGCCTCCCGAGTAGCTGGGATTACAGGCATCTGCCACCACACCCGGCTAATTTTTTGTATTTTTAGTAGAGATGGGGTTTCAAACATGCTGGCCAGGCTGGTTTTAAACTCCTGACCTTAAGTGATCTGCCTGCCTAGGCCTCCCTAATGCCCAACGCTAGGATTACAGGTGTGAGCCACTGCCCCCGGCCGATCATTAGCATTTTTTAGCAATAAAGTATTTTAAAATTAAGGTATGTACATTGTTTTTAAGACATAATGCTATTGCATACTTCATAGTATACTGTAAGCATAATTTTTATATGTCTGGGGAAACCAAAAAATTTGTGTGACTTATTTTATTGCCATATTTGCTTTATCACAGTGGTCTGGAACTGAACCCACAATATCTCTGAGGTATACCTGTATTTATTTTTATAGTCATTTTCCACTTATGGTAAGTGATACTGGTTTTCCATTTTATGATAGTGAAAAAATATTCCTTTCTAAATAAATGTATTTAAGAGTCTATGTCAATAAAAACATTAATAGGGCAGATGGTAGGTAGATAAAGGCCAAAATCACAAAAACAGTGTAAGAATGACAGACATTTTGGAAATCCTGCTTTGACTGAAAGAATGGTGGACATTAGAGTTGGATTTGAGTCAGAAGCCTAGCTGTGTTGTGATTAGTCATGAGATCTTGGGCAAATCACTTTTGCTGTCTGTGAAAGGTAAGAAGTCTGCCGGTCACGGTGGCTCACACCTGTAATCCCAGCACTTTGGGAGGCCGAGGCGGGTGGATCACCTGAGTTCAGGAGTTCGAGACCAGGCTGGCCAACATGATGAAACCCCGTCTCTACTAAAAATACAAAAAAAAAAAAAGTAGCTGGGGTGGTGGCGGGCGCCTGTAATCCCAGCTACTTGGGAGACTGAGGCAGGAGAATTGCTTGAACCCGGGAGGCGGAGGTTGCAGTGGGCCAAGATCACACCACTGCCACTGCACTTCAGCCTGGGTGACTGAGCAAGACTCTGTCAAAAAAAAAAAAAAAAAAAAAGGTAAGAAGTGGTGGAGGAAGTACCCACTTCACTGGAAAAAAGGTAATGATGGGTGGGGAAGTTAAATAAATCGTGGTAGGAGGAGGTAAAGTGGCCTATACAGGCATAAGGTGTTATTACCATTATCCTGTGCTCACGAGATTAACAATCTTTCCTTTTTTCTAAACCAAAAAGATATTTAAAGTCATAACTGGATTCTAAACCCTTCAGGGCAATGCTGGCTGCTCATGGGTTCACTGGAAAAAGTCTAGCAGTTCTGGATGGGGACGGGGAAGATCAGTGGAAGAACTGCTTGCCATTTGGTCTCTCCTGTATAGAACTTAGAGCAGCCTGGGGTGTCTGTTTCAACCCTCATCCAGACCCCTATTCTATATTGAGTCAGATGCACACAAGGATCTTGGGGGTGGCCTGTTGTGATGTATTGTTGCATAAAACAGGTGTTTTGCTAAACTGGGTAGGAAAAGTTGTAACAGATGTTCTTCTCTTGGATCTTGACTCTGAGGTTCCTGGTCCATTTAGTGTAGTAGTTTTTCCTGGAGGATTTGGATTTTGGTAGGTGACATCCCATTGACCTGGAGAGGAAAGAGGAAATATAAATGGTCAGCAATCAAGTCAGTCATTTGCTGATCTCTGGCTTTTAGAATACTGGGTCAGATCCTGTGGGAGAAAAAGAATATAGTGATTTATCCTATTCTTGATGAGGGATCCACCCTAGACACATGTGAAGTTAACTTAAAGGAAGAAGCTTAATAGCTCTTGATTCCAGGTCTGTGTGATGTAAAAAACAAAGCACTTTGCACAATAAGTCAGGAAAGTGAGGTCCATTAGGAAGGGACAGGACAAAGAGCAACAAGGTGCCCTGAAGAGTGTGAACAGGGAATGATGGAAGGGAAGCGCCACGTTATAAAAGCAAACTGTGGAGATGAGATTGGATGTCGGAGATGAGATTGGATGGACAGATCTGGCAGCAGGAAATGCTTTCGGGGAGCCCTAGAAGCAGTGCTTCTGGAGAAAAGCCTGGAGCCAAGTGGTGGCAATGGTAATTAAGAAGGAGCAAGCACACAAGAGGCATTGTTAAAGAAGTAGCCAAGTATTTGCAGGGTTTGATGAAGGAAGTGAAAGAAAGGGTGGAGAGATCATGCTGAGCTCTTGAGCCTGAGCATTTGGGAGGAGGGAATGCCCAAGATGGCCCTGGGGAAGGCAGGAAAACAGGATCACCTTAGGAAGGGAAGATGAGCAGGCTGATATCAGCTATGTTGATTTTTAGGAACTGGCAGGACGAAGTCAAGTCAACTGTCTATCAGGAGGTTGGAGAGACATGACATTAGAGGTCAGGAGAAGGGTTGGGGCTGAGGAAAATATTCAAGAGACCCAGGGGTCCAAGAGGTAGGGATAGAAGGTGCAAAGGATAGAAAGCACATCTTTTTTTTCACCTACACACATGATCAAAGTCATCCGTTTTCCCTAAAAATAGAGTGAAATTCTGCATCTTAATGGAGATAGAAATGTACAAGAACACCTCACCCTGTCCCCTCCAAGCGTGCTTCCAAGCCCACCTGTCAGTGTGGCATAGCAGTGGGAAACTGTCTCCCCTTTCTAGCAAGCCCAGGTTTGTAAGCTCTAAAGAAATGGCACAGATTAGGAATAAATGTCTGGAGTTGATCAAATTATGGGACAGAAGTCAGCCTGGGAGTGCATTTTGGTCTTCCCATCACATGCCTCCCCACCCACCTCCCTTCTCCTCTTGCCCCATGGCTTCTGCTCCCCTAGCCCCTTACCTGTTCCTCTCCCTTACCTAAAATTCCCAGATACACTCTCTGGTAATGTCTTCACTGTCTGCCAACAGGGTGCCACTTTGGTCGGCTCGCATGTAGAAGCCATTGGGGGCCAGTACAGTGAGTAAGTTGCTCCCCTGAAGCTCGATACAGAAGTTGAGGGCAAACTTGCCCCAAGGGCGAAAGGTGCCAAAGGATGTTATTGACCAGAAGGATCCCCCCTGTGCTGGAGAAGGAAGAGCTCAGGTTGGTGGGCCATTCACAGGGGAGTCCTCCAGCGATCTGGCCTTGGAGGGACTCTGTGGAGGCATGCCACCCTCCCCTAGCTGCCCCATCCTGCCTGCATTGGCGGGTCCTTCTATGGAAATGCAGGAGCGCCAATAGGGATTCCACTGTTTTCTGTTCTGCCAACCCACCCTGGGGCTTTGAAGTGTGAAAACAACAGAGGTCCTGTTTTTCCTTTTTTTTTTTTTTGGAAACGGAGTCTCGGTGTGTCGCCCAGGCTGGAGTGCTGTGGCGTGATCTTGGCTCACTGCAAGCTCCGCCTCCTGGGTTCACGCCATTCTCCTGCCTCAGCCTCCCAAGTAGCTGAGACTACAGGCACCCGCCACCACGCCCGGCTAATTTTTTGTATTTTTAGTAGAGACGGGGTTTCACCGTGTTAGCCAGGATGGTCTCCATCTCCTGACCTCGTGATCTGCCCGCCTCAGCCTCCCAAAGTGCTGGGATTACAGGCATGAGCCACTGCGCCTGGCCTGTTTTTCCTTTTATAATGAGCAAGCCCTGAGTGGCAGGCCCTGAAGTCTGAGCTGGGGCTAAGGCAGGGACTAGACTGTGAACCCTTGGGCAGGGAAGAGGAGCCACTCACCCTGGAAGTGGTAGATACCCGGTCGGCAGGGTAGTAGATGAATGCGGTCGGGCTGATCCTGGTTGCACTGTATGAGGTCATGGCCCGATGAGGAGCCCACATAGCCATAACGACCTCGCAATACAAGGAAGGAGCGATTGGCAAATAAAATCCCAAATTCCTCATTTGGGCCTGAAGGAAATAGGAAGGAGTTATCTGGATGGGCTGCCTTTAGGTGTTTTCCCAAGTGGAAGCAGGAGGGGGGACGCTAATTGCAGAAGGGTGTGGTCAATATTTTAACAGTGAATGAACACCTACTATGTGTCAGGTCTTATGCTAGGTGCTTGTGAAATGTTTGTGAGAGTACCTAGCACATGCGAAACCCAAGAAGCTTTAATATTCTTCCTTCCTTTGAGATGTGTTGATGTGTTTAATCCTCATGACAACTCTGTGAGGCTGCAGAGTTGTAGACAATGAAATGTTCATTTTTATAGACGACAAAACTGAGGCTCAAGGAGGTGCTTTGCTCAAGTGATGACAAAAATTCAGTGACTGAACAAGTACAGACCCAAATCTTCCGACCCCAACTCCAGTACTTTTTTTTTTTTTTTTGGAGATAGAGTCTCGCTCTGTCGCCCAGGCTGCAATGCAGTGGCACGATCTTGGCTCACTGCAACCTCCAAGTCCCAGGTTCAAGCAATTCTCCTGCCTTAGCCTCCTAAGTAGCTGGGATTACAGGCCCGCACCACCATGTCTGGTTAATTTTTGTATCTTTAGTAGAGATGGGGTTTCACGTGGTCAGGCTGGTCTCAAACTCCTAACCTCGTGATCCACCCACCTCAGCCTCCCAAAGTGCTGGGATTACAGGCATGAGCCACCACGCCCGGCCTTCAGTGCTCTTTTTAACAATCATATTCCACCTCCCTCTAAAGTTCTCCCTGACTTGGAATCATCTGGCAGGAAGGCTGCTCCACTCACCTGGAAGGATGACATTGGCCATCAGCAGGCTGTTGGGTGCAATGCCCAGGAAGCGCCCCCTGCAGGACTGCAGGATGATCCTGCCACAGTTCCAGTGCATTCGGAAGAACGTGTCAGACTCCAGGGGGTGCCCATCAGCCATTACTGCCCTGTGGCGCCTCTGGAAAGAATGTCAGAAACAGAGATGAGGAGTAAGGACTGACAATCTCAGCTTTCTTCCCATCAGTTTTATTCCTAGACCCTCTTCCCACATCCCACTCATCAGCCTTTTTCATGCTCCCAGAGTTGATGCTTTCAGAACCTTTTTGGAAGATGTGCTGTGGCCTCAGCTCTTCCCCTTCCCCCAGTCTGTGCTGTATCCCAGAGCACAGCATAAAAACTACGCCAGGATATCATAGGGAGAGAAATAAACCTCAGTCTTGACTCCAAAATCATTTTAAAGTAGATCATAGGCATAAAAGTGAAAGTTAAACTATGAAACATCTAGAAGAAAACATAAGAGAAGTTCTTTGCAACTTTGGGGTAGGCAATGATTTCTTGGGACAAGAAAAGCAGTAACCATTTAAAAAAATTGATAAACTGAACTTCACTGAAATTAAAAACTTGCTTCTCAAAAGATCCATTAAACAAATAAAAAGGTAAGCCCCAGGTTTGGAGAAAACTTTTGCAATACATATATTTGGCAAAGGACTTGGATTTAGAACACATGAAGACCACTTACAACGCATTAATAAGACAAACAACCCAGTAACAAATGGCAAAGCATCTGAATAGATATGTCACAGAGAAGATATACAAATGTCCAATGAGCACATGAAAACGGGCACGGTGGCTCATGCCTGTAATCCCAGCACTTTGGGAGGCTGACACGGGCAGATCATGGGGTCAGGAGTTCGAGACCAGCCTGGCCAATGTAGTGAAACCCCATCTCTACTAAAAATACAAAAAATTAGCTGGGCATGGTGGCGCATGCCTGTAGTCCCAGCTACTTGGGAGGTTGAGGTAGGAGAATCTCTTGAACCCAGGAAGCGGAGGTTGTGGTGAGCCGAGACTGAGCCACTGCCCTCCAGCCCAGGCAACAGAGCAAGACTTCATCTCAAAAAAAAAAAAAAAATTCTAAACCTTACTAATTATAAGGTAAATGTGAATTAAATCCATAAATTACACACCCACTAGAGTGGCTAAAATAAAAAAGACAATCCAAAAGCCAGCTTTACTATTGGTGAGGATATGGAATTCTTAGAACCCTCATACGTTATTGACAAGAATGTAAAATAGTATAATCACTTTAGAAAACTGACACTTTCTTCCAAAGTTAAGCACATATCTATTATACAACCTAGTAATTCCACTCCTACATATTTACCCAAGATAAATGAAAATGTATGTTCACAAAAAGACTTGTACATGAATGCTTATAGCAACTTTATTCATAATAGCCCAGACTAGAAACAAGCCAAGTGTTCATCAACAAGTGAATAGATAAACAAATCATGTTTATGAGCAGCATTATAGAATACCACTCGGCAATAAAAAGGAATGAACTACTGACACACGAACATTATGTGAACGAACCTTAAAAACATTGTGCCAAGCACAAGAAATGTATGTACCATACATACTGTATGTTTCCATTGATCAGAAACGCTAAAGTAGGTAGGCAAATCTAATTCACGGAGACAGAACACAGATCAGTGGTAGCTGGGAGAGGGAGGCAAGGGTGGAGGGAAACTGACTGCAAAGAAGCAGGAGGAAAGTTTGTGGTGTTGGAAATATTTTCTCACTTGTGATATGCTTACGGCATGGTTGCATGGATGGATACATTTGTCAAAACTTACTGAATTTTATACTTAATAGGTGCATTTTATTTATAAAACATACATAATATACTTATTTGTAAATAATATACATAATTTATACATATGTGTATTATATAATTTACAAACTTTCAAATTATACCTTAATAAAGTTGATTTTTGTTTTTTTTTTTTAAAGGAGCCCCCATTGGGTGAAAATGAATGTTTATCAACAAGTGCCTCCACAGCCCACATCATCCTCTCATCATTTGCCTTGAAAAAGGAGAAGGAAGTCTAGGGAGGGAGAGCTCAGAGCTTAAGGTTTCTCTTGCTCAGGAAGCCAAGGTCTCACCTGGGATAGGTAGTAGCCATTGGCTGAACGAAGCTGCACAGTGGGGCTCTCACTGTCACATTCAAACTGGAACAAGGACATTCGGTTTAAGCGCTCAGAAGCAGCACGCACCTCACCATCTGCAGAGGAAGCGCATGTCAGTAAAAGCCTCCCCTCAGTCTCGGCCCCTCCTCCATGTTTTATGACCGGGGCTTCTGTCCCTCCCTCCTCAAACTTCATCACTTTCTGTTGGACCATGGTAGGTCTGGAGAAGACCTAGGCAACTTTCCCCTAAATCCCATACCCATGCTTTTCTGTCCTTCTCGATGGCACAAAAGATCCCCTTGGGTCCCCAGGATCTTCCTTATTAGCAGACTCAAAAATCTGTGCTGATCCCAAACACATTTTCCTCTTTTTAACAGCCAGCCCTCTCTCCCTCCATCTGTGTTGGGTCCAGCACTTGCCGTAGATGACTGAGATGAACCGCCCAGTCTTTGACCTGAGGCTGACCCAGGTTGGGCAGTGCTGTAGGATGAACCACTCCTCACCCCTCATGGGGTTGCAGCCCATGCCCAAGAGCAGATGCGTGCCCTGTGGATATAACATGCCTCCTTCTCCATCACACAGTGCCACAAGCCCTCCAGGCCGCACTTGCATGTGAAAAGCTGTCTGTGATGAGGGTTGGGAGAACAGCCGGTCTACATGGGACAAGAAGTGGTGTGTAGAGGTCTCCAGGTGGTAGCATCCATCTCGGAAATGCAACAGGAAGCCACACTCCTCCAGGCAGGGAACTGCTGCGTCCACCCAGATGCGGCCCATAGTGGGGTCAGCCCGGGCATAGCAGCGGTGGATGGGGCTGTAGAGGATCACGTGGACATGGAGGGCTGGTCGGGGGGTCCACATGTGGTAAGCTGAGAGGACGTGGGAAGTGCAAAACACGTCCTTGCCATTGGACTCCAAATAACGACCAGAGATTAGGCACTGGAGGGTCCACTTGCTGTTCCGGTGGAAACGCAGTAGAAAGCACCCATGGTGGCTGGTCCTTGGGCGGCCATAACACACGGTGCCATCACACTCACACAGCAGGTAGAGGCCCTGCACGCTCTTTAGTCGCACCACGGCCTGTGTCTCATGCTCATTGCTCACCAAGATCTCCCAGGTCTGGAGGCATCAGGAGGGAGAAGAGGGAAATCAGTATCACGAAGTTACCAGACCAAGGAGCCCTGCAACTGTCATGGCTGGTATCACCCTGGCACCTTCATCAGCACCAGCCACCTCCTCTTCCACATCAGCCCTGGTATCTCCTTGCTGTCAGCTCTTCCACTTTCCCACTATCCCCTCATCAAGAGATCTCTGGGCCCTTCCACCCCTGCAGCCAGATGGCACTATCCAAAGAGAAGTTCTAGATGTCTACCTCCTTCAGCTAACAGAAGGTAAACCCTCCCTCCTTTCTTAATCCCACTCTTCAATACCTAATTTTTAAAGAAACGCTTTGGTGTAAGTCTTACTTTTTTCTTCCTCACTGTTGTCCGCAGAGAGCACACTTAGCCAATACCTCCATCCCCAAAGGTTGCCTTCCAGCATGGCAAGACAGAAGCAAAAGCTCTTATAGGCAGGCCCTGGCTCCAGGGATGAAGATGGGAGCATGAACAGTTCAGATGCAACTGCCTGGTTCAGCTGTGATCAACCTTGTTATAAGAGGAAGAACTTTGCCCCTGCCTCAGTCTGGCACCCATCCCAGAGGTGCCTACATTCCTCTCTAGAATGAAGACCGACACTGCTAGGGCTTCTGGAGTTCCCCATTCTCAAACCACAACCAGAACAGAAACATAGGCTTTGCAATAACTCCACTGGTCCAACTTCCCCTGGATGCCCACAATTCTGCTTTCCCACCTGGGCTCTCCACTTCTCCTCTTTCTGACACAACCACCCTGTGCTCTCCACTTCTCTTCTTTCTGACACAACCACCCTGTGCTGGGATGGGGAATAGGGACAGTTAGAGCAGGACAAGGCAGCAAGGGCAAGGCTGAGGCTTCACCTTGCGGAATAAATTGAGAGGTGGGAGATGGGGCAATAGGGTCTGTGAACAAAAGCCTAGAGTAGAAAAGTCTCAGGCCTGGCACTGGCAGAACCTAGGAAAGTGATTAGGTTGAGAGTACACCCTGCTTTCATATACAGGCAAGTGCGCACACACACACACACACACACACACACACACAGCTTGGCCACTCAGAAAACTGGTTCCAGTATACTTTCATATACAGGCAAGTACACACACACACACACACACACACACACACACACACAGCTTGGCCACTCAGAAAACCGGTTCCAGTATACTTTCATATACAGGCAAGTACATACACACACACACACACATACACTCACGCACACACACGCGCGCGCGCACACACACACACACAGCTTGGCCACTCAGAAAACTGGTGCCAGCATGGGTTTGCTTTGTCACCTGTCTCCTGCCCAAACTCTTCGCAGTTGCAGTGACTGTATTCTTGCATGCCTCAAAGGTGAGGTAGGTTCCTGCCCAGCTGATGAGCCCAACCCTTAGGTCCTCAGCCTTGGGATGTCTGTGTATCCACTCTGTCTCATCCATGGGGCTGACACCACAGGTGATGTCTCCGTCTGGCCCAGCCCTCCCCCCCGTGGTGAGGTTCCACAGGCCATAGGGCCTGGAATAGGGCCTGTAGTACCCACCAGATGTTCCCAGAGAGAACTTCCCAGGCAGAGGCTGGCCTGGGGCCCAGCACCTCTGTGACCCGGGAGCATTGTGACTGTGAGGGCAGCCTCTTATCACACCACAGTGGGGAAAGGGCCCTGGCGCAGCAGCATTAATCCATGGCCTAGAGGAGGCGGGTGCAGAGCCTCCGGTGTTTGCCTTCCTATTCCCCTTTGGGCACCAAAGTAGGCTGAGCTGAGACCAGGATCCGGAACTTCAACCTGTGAATTTAGGCAAGTTTTTTCCTTTCTTTACCTCCGTTTCTCATTCTGGTAACAGGATAGAAAGCAACCTCCTTTCTCCCAAGGAAGTGAGTTCTGCCTGGCTCCCTTGCAACTCAAGTATTTTGTTAAGTTCAAGATAACCAAGAAAAATCTATCAGCTTTTATGGCCCTTAGGAGGATGAGGTCAAAATGTTCCAGATGCTATTTTGCAGGGAGTATGAGGAAACCCTAGTTAATCAGTTGACATCAAATTACTCATATTCATCAGGAAGGCTGGCTCAGGACCTGGGTAAGGAGAAGGGCCTAGGTGGAGAGAGCACCAAGCACCCCTCCTCAACCCCAGCTGCTCTGCCAGTGGGTAGGACATCTGGCTGGGCAGATAGAGCTCCTGCAAGGGTATCTTTCCCCTCCAAAGAATCTCTGAGTTATAGTCTCTTGGACTCACTTCCTGCAAAGCTTGAGGAGAAAACCCAGCTCAGAACCTGGAAAAGTGACATGAAAGAAAAACAAAGGCAAAAACAAGTGATGATGAGTTCTGCCTAAGCCTGGCTAGGATCCAAGGGAAAATGGGCAGTCGATCACACTTGGGGAATAAGCCACACCCCTGGTTCCTTTTTCTGAGTCAGGGTCTTGCTCTGCTAGCCAGGTTGGAGTGCATCTCAGTTGACTGCAGCCTTGATCTCCCAAGCTCAAGCGATCCTCCCGCCTCAGCCTCCTGAGGTGCTGGGACCACAGGTGTCCATCTCCATGCCCAGGTAATTTTTTATTTTTGTTTTTTGTAGAGATGGGGTCTTGCCATGTTGCCCAGGCTGGTCTTTAACTTCTGGGCTCAAGCAATCCTCCTACCTCAGCCTCCCAAAGTGCTAGGATTACAGGCATGAGCCACAGTGCCCAGCCACCCGTGGTTCCTTATACCTGCTTTCCTATTCCCCATAGGAGGGGTCTTCCCAAGTAGCAAGAGTCTCAGTGGTGTGCAGCAAGGAACTACAAGCCCCAGACCCCACCGATGTTTTATAAAATAAGGGTAATAGACTATTAGTGGCAGAATTCCCTGGGTAATTTTATTTATTTATTTAATTTATTTATTTATTTTGAGACGGAGTCTCACCCTGTCACCCAGGCTGGAGTGCAGTGGCACGATCTCAGCTCACTGCAAGCTCCGCCTCCCAGGTTCACACCATTCTCCTGCCTCAGCCTCCTGAGTAGCTGGGGCTACAGGTGCCTGCCACCACGCCTGGATAATTTTTTGTATTTTTTTTTTTCTAGTAGAGATGGGGTTTCACCGTGGTCTCGATCTTCTGACCTCGTGATCCGCCTGCCTCAGCCTCCCAGAGTGCTGGGATTACAAGCGTGAGCCACTGCGCCCGGCCTCCTCTGGGTAATTTTAAAGATGCATATTGTTGGGCATCAGACTAGTCCTGATGAATCACATTTTCTGAAATGTACCTCAGGATTCGTATTATTAACGCACATTCTCTCCCCCTCTAATTTTAATGTGTAAGGCAAACATTAAGAACGGCTCTAAGTAGCTACGAGAATGATGGGAAACAATTACGTGGTTCATGGAACTATGAAGGGAGATCCTGTAATCTTCAGCAAAGGCTCCTTGGAGCTGGGAAGGAATGAGATTTGCACCACTGTAAACCCTACAGTATTTCCAGCCCAAGAATAAGGAGGGAGAAGCTGAGCTGAGGGTATGTGTGGGTGGGGTTGCCCTGCAGCCTTAGCTGCTTTGATCCTCTCCCACGTTGTCTCTTGGTACCCAGTAACCTAGCCTCTCCTTTGCAGGCTACAGACAACACCGTGTACAAACCACAGCAAATTTATTACTCAAGATCCAGTGCCACATTATAGCACCACCCGAAGCCCTCACCTTCCCCCTCCCAACCTGGCCCCTAGAGTACACCCAAAACAGAAAAAAAAAAGGAAACCCAGATCCCTGCTCCTCCTCTGGAAGAGGGGGCCTTGGCCAGGAAGCCCCTTCCATAGGTCCCAGCAGGCAGGAGAGTGGACCCCTCTGTGCCCAGAGAGCAAGGCTCCAGGCTCCAACAACAGAGAGAACATGCAGGCAGGAGCAGGAGCAGAGGCCTGTGGCTATGGGGGAGGAAAAGTGGGAGGAAAGGGCACTGCCTGAGGAGTCCGGGAGTCTGGTCATCCCGGGGATGCACGCAGGAGCTTCCGGGCATCAGGGGCCTGCCCCTGGCTGGTTAGCGCTTTGACAGCTCGTGGGACAGCCAGTCCAGACCATCGTACAGACCTGTGCCTTGGGTGGCACAGGTGGCCTGGACATACCACTGTGGGGAAAAGGAAAGAAAGAGGTCAGCAACCAGGAACAAAAGGAATGCCTTTATATCTCTGTCCCAGCCTGCAGCTTCCCTCAAGAGGCAGGATTCAGCACCAGGTGGGCAGGACCCCTACCGTGCGGCTGCGTAAGTGCTGTAGCCCCAGCTTGTCAGTCAGCTCGCTCACGGGCATGGCGTTGGGCATGTCCTGCTTGTTGGCAAATACCAGCAGCACTGCATCCCGCAGCTCGTCCTCCTGCAGCTGAGAGAGGAGAAGAGAAGGTGGGACCCAGGCTGCGTCTCCTCTACTGTGTTGGGGAATTCCCTTTCTACCTCCTAGCATCTTGATTGGAAAAAAAAAGTATTGTGCAGTCTGCCGTTGAAGACAAGACATAGTTGTAAATGAGCTTGAGGTGACCTGAGCCCATAAGTCCAGAAAAGAAAGACCTTTTCCTAATTTGAGTACTTGCCTAGGCAAAATGACAACATTTCCAAATGGAAAAGGCAGGAATGTAAAATGTTTCTCTTTGCCACATATAAGTCCCATCTCTCCCACAACTTCTCAGACTCAGATGTAAAGACATGAGAATGCGGCCGGGCGCAGTGGCTCACTCCTGTAATCCCAGCACTTTGGGAGACCAAGACGGGTGGATCACCTGAGGTTGGGGGTTCAAGACCAGCCTGGCCAACATGGTGAAACCCCGTCTCTACTAAAAATACAAAAATTAACTGGGCATGGCAGCGGGCGCCTGTAATCCCAGCTACTTGGGAGGCTGAGGCAGGAGAATTGCTTGAACCCGGGAGACGGAGGTTGCAGTGAGCCGAGATTGCACCATTGCACTCCAGCCTGGGCAACAACAGCAAAACTCCCATTTCAAAAAAAAAAAAAGACAAGACAATGCACAGAAAAAGTGAAAAAGTCACTCCCATCCAAAACAGGGTGAGATACACAATGTGTCTGTCCACAAAGAAAAACTTATATTCCTGGTCTTCAATGCCTGTTGGGGGCTCCCTGACTTCTATACCACTACAGAGATCACTCTGTCCCCAAGCTGAGGGCTCAGTTCCCAGGGCTCTGGGTACTCACCATCTTCTGGAGTTCATCAGCAGATTCTTGGACCCGCTCCCGGTCATTACTGTCCACCACAAAGATGAGGCCCTGGGCAGGAAGGAAGGAAGAAAGGAGAAGCAATCACTTCTGCCTGGGACATACCGTAGTGTGGCCCTTTCTGTTTTCTTCCCATTTGTAATTGTGTCAATCCTTCTCATCTAGTAAACTCTACAGAAGTTTACAGAACTCTATAGAAGCTCTACAGGAGTCATGGCACAAACTAGAGACCCCACTGCAAAGAGGAAGTAGTTTATCCAAAGATGTGCAAGGAAATAAAGACATGTTATGAGGGCTAAATCAGGCAGCCTGGTCCCAGAATCCTGCTTCTAAAGAGAAGTCCAAGCTGGGGAAGACTAAGGTGAGTTCTGAAGAGTGAGTAGGGGATAGCCAAACAGAAGGGGTAGAAGTGGGGAAGGGTTTTTTCCTTGGCCTGGGGGCCCAGCCTAGGCCAACAATTCTGTTCTCCCAGCCCTAACACCTTTTCCCGTGGGGTTAGAAAGTCCCCTCCCAACACTCCACCTGAGTGTTCTGGAAGTAGTGCCGCCACAGAGGCCGAATCTTGTCCTGGCCTCCCACGTCCCAGACTGTGAAACAGATGTTCTTATATTCCACTGTTTCTACATTGAAGCCTGCAGATAATTGGAAAAAAAAGATGAGAAAACTCCTGAAAGAAAGGAACTCACTAAAACTACTTAGATTTCAGCAGGGACACAAAACCAGAAGGCAATGATCAAGGCCCAGGGGAACAGAACCCCAGAACTGGCGGTCAACAGGGCGGGGCTAGGTCACATCCACCCTGCCTCCGGTATCCACGTAGAGATACCCTGACCCACTTCTCAAATAGCTGTATCTGGTGTCAGGGTCAGCTCCAGAAAAGTGGCAGAACTGGGAGCAGACCCCGCGAGGGCCCGCCGCGGCGCTCCCGCTCCCTGCTTCGTCCCCGGGCTCACCTATGGTTGGGATGGTGGTGACAATCTCCCCCAACTTCAGTTTGTACAGGATTGTGGTCTTGCCAGCCGCATCCAAGCCAACTGCAACGGAAAGGGGCACAGGGATGGAGATGGGAGCGAGGGAGCCCCCTAGAGACCAGGGAAAGGGAGAGGCCACAACAGCTGATGGTGACTGGGGCGGAGAGCGGGAGCGCCTCCAGGTGCGCGTCGTTATCTACCTTTGAGGCCTGGAGGGCAGTCGGGTGGCGTGAGCCAACTCCAAAGAGGGCGCGGAGCGGGAGAGGACTGGGAGGCAAGGGGCACGGGAGGTAGGCCGCGCTCGTTTTAAAAGTCGTCTCCAAGGGCGGAATCCTCCCTTCTTACCAGCCGGGCTGGGGCGGAGGGAGCTTCACCCCACCCAGGCCCGCAGCTCCGGGTGTCAGGCCCCGGGGTCGGCGATGCAGACCGGGACCCGCCCGAGAGCAGAGGCCCCGGGGCGTTATGAGGTGGGTGACTCGGGGCCAGAGACCCAGGTGAGCGGGGCTGGAGGGACGCGGGGGCGGAAGGGCTGCGCCGGGGCCGGCGCCCCGGTCCGGGCCGCGCGCTCGATCTGCCTCACCCATGAGAATCCGCATCTGCTTCTTCCCGAAGATCCGCGAAAAGAGCGCGGACACGGTGAGGCCCATGGCGGGGCCCGGGGAGGGGCGCGGGCACCGACGCGGGGTGCGGGCTGGAACTGGCCGGCCGCGGGGGGATGGGGCGCAGCAGCAGCAGGAGGAGGCTCCGCCGCCGCCTCCGCGCGTCGCTGCCCTCCCGACGTCACCGCGGGCCCGCCCCCGTCCGGGCCCCGCCCCCGGCTCTCGGCCCCGCCTCCCCCGGCTCTGGCTCCTAGGGGAGCTGAAGCTCCGCGAGTTGCCGCTGCTGGCCTGGGTCCCGTGCGGCCCTTACTTGGGAACGGGTCTAGGTCTCTAACGCGCCTGCCAGGCCTGTGGCCGCCGAACCGGCAGCCCGAGCGCGGCTGAGGAAAGGATTCATCGCTCCGCAGCGGCCCCTGCCCCCATTTTCAGTGGCCGGCCGCTGGGCTTTGGTTTGTTGCGTCCAGGCCCCTAGGGGCTCCGGTTTTAGCCCTTGGGAACCAGTAGCACTGAACGTGTGCACCACTCTCCTTTGGGGAGTGGAAGCTGCGATTAGGGGTCTTGGTCCTCCCTTTACTGCCTCATCTTCCACCGAGGGACTTGCGCGTAGTAGGTGGTCGTGTGAAGAGTGCGCGGGAGGTAGGGGAAGGTGCCCGAGTGCTAGCTAGCTTCCATGGTTCCTCAAAACGCCTACTTCCTAATTCCCAATCCGCAGAACCAGTGTAAGATTCCCGGCCTTGGGCGGCGGGGTCACAGACCCACTCCTGGGCTGTTGGAGAAGTCCACCTTCGTTTGGATCGCCCTGCGGGCCCCGCCTCTCAGTCCAGGCGCTGGCCGCTTTGCCGAAGTTCCTCACTTTGCCACAGACTTGTGGACCTGGCTTATTCTTGCACATCCATTCAGGATTTTGTGAAGATCTTGACTCCGTAGACCCAAAGAGCTTCACATGTCATTTCCCTGCCTCATTTTAACATCTGAGAGGAGAATAGCAAAATAGGAATGAAATTCTTCTGCGGTGGAGACTGGCTCATTGCCAGGCATTATTAGGCCTAACAAATGCTTGTTCAGTTGAACTGGACTGATAGATTCTCAATGGAGCGAGGGTAGGTGTTATGTCTACTCTGGATTCCCAGTGGGCTTCTAGGATCAATTGTTTATGGACTCGAGGTAAACTGAGCTGGGAATAAAAAAACCTTCACTCATTCATTTGCTTTTTCAGCAGATATTTACTGAGCACCCACCACTTGCCAGCACGTGATTTCAGGCTTTAGTTCAAATCTTAATTCTGCCATTTCTTGAGGATTTGGCTTCAGCACTCCTCATAACTCTTCCGTTATTTCATCATCTATAAAATGAGACTTGTTCTAACTTAAGGGGTTATGGTGAATCTTAAAATGATTTGATAATGTGACTGAATGTTATGTATAATACAGCTTGATGTTATTTGGGCCACTGAGAAACGGGGTCTGAACAGACCTCCAGGGCCTGCCCCATCCTGATCTGCAAAGTCTGTAACAAGGACAGACTTTGGGAAACAGGTATGAGTGAGTGAATGACTTTCCTTTTCTCTTCAGTCATAGACTTGCATCCCTAAGAAGGCTTTTACGAGGCTGAAGAGTACATTTTAGAGAGTTCCAATATAATAACAGAACTAGTGTTCACCAAGTTAGGTCAATTCTACATTTAGCTCTTTTATCAGCCTCTTTGCTTCCATCTCTGTTGTCACTACCTTCTGTTCCCCATGACTGAAAGTCTCCTCACAGGTTTCCTGCCCCTTGTTCCCTCCAACATGTCATACAAGTCTTGATGACATCCCACTTTTCAGATTAAAATCCATTAGGGCCTTACTATAACCCAAGATAAAATTTAAATGCCATAAGTTGGGTCCCTACCTATTGTGCCAGCCCCTCTGTTGTCACCTCCTTCACATACCCTAAGCTACTGAATGCTTTCTGGGTGAGTCAAACTCCGATACCCTACAGGTCTTTGCATTTTTTTCCACCTGCCTGGAATGCTAGTTTCCCTGATCTCTGGTTAGGTGGACAATCACGACTCATCCTTCAAATCCCAAAGTATTATTCCCAAGAGCCTTCCATGCCTCACCTAGACAGGCCTCTTTCCTCTTAACTTTCATACCACTTTGAATATACCCAGACATACTGGTGTGATAGCAGGACATATTTGTATGTCTGGTTCCTCACTAGATTGCGAGCTCCCTGAGGGCAAGGTCGTGTCTCTTAATGGTGTTACCATCTGGCACAGCACGTGATACGTTGAGAATCAGACTGATTAGAACTCCTAAACTTACTAGCTGTGTGACCTTGGGCATGTTACGTATAACCTTTCTGCCTCATGTTTTCATATCTGTAAAATAGTGCTAATGAGTATAGTGCTTACAAGAATTACTGTAAAGACTAAATAGCAAAACTCTTGTGAGCTCCTGGTATATAGCTGGCACTCAGGATAGACATGGCTATAGAGTGCCCTCCGTAAATATTTGTGGAATCAACTCAGCAGAACTAAGGAAGGGTACTATTAGGCTGTATGCCTACTAGGTACCAAGCACTGTGCTATAGAGGACTGCAGTTTTCGTGGTCTAAATGGGAGTCTTAATTGTTGCCTTTTAGGGACCATGGGTCCTGAGCTCCCAAATCGTTGGATGCGTCGTTCACCTGGGTGTTTGGTAAGAATGCAGTGCGACGTTGCTCTGTCGCTCGCTGAGCGTAGCCCGAGGTCAAGCTTGGGCGCTCTCACAAAACCGGTGCCACTCTGGTGTCTTCGACTTTGCTGGCTTCGCCTTTCCCAAGCCTGTTTTTTGCCGCTCGCGGCCCCACTGCGTTCTCAACAGGCCGCGCCCACCCACCGGCCGACTTGGCCCCGCCTACCTTGGGCCCACTGGGGGCGGAGCCTGCGGCGCCTCGCTGACGTCACTTCCAGCGGACACGGAAGCGCCGTTGTCGGCAGGCAGCTTTAGTTAGGATGTCGTGATGGGACCGAGCTCAGCGTAACCCTCTGGCCGACGTGGGCCGAGGGGGCCGGCCCGGGCTGCTGTGGCCCAGACGAGCGGAGAGTGCGGAGCGGCTTCTGGGCCAGCGCTAACGAGCCCTGGCAGTGCGCACCTCTGGTGCCAGTGTCGCCCCGCCTCCGGGGTAGAATCCGCCCCAGCCCTCCGGGCCTGGGACCGGGCGGCCGCTTTCGCCAGTCCGTCCGGCCGTTCCGCATTAGGTCCGGGATAACTAGGTGGAGTAGGTGTGCGGCCCGCCGCCGGACAGCCCGCTCGCTGTTTCTTTAAGCCCCCGCCTGCGTCTTCACGGCCCTCTCCCGTTCTGCTGGAAAGCTGACGTGGGGCAATCCGTTCAGACCCTCCATGGAGAAGTTTGGGATGAATTTCGGGGGCGGCCCGAGCAAGAAGGACTTGCTGGAGACTATAGAGACCCAGAAGAAGCAGCTTCTCCAGTACCAGGCACGGCTCAAGGATGTGGTCCGTGCCTATAAAAGCCTGCTGAAGGAGAAAGAGGCATTAGAGGCCAGCATCAAGGTGCTGTCGGTATCCCACGAGGCAGATGTGGGCCTCGCAGGTGTCCAGCTTCCAGGCCTCACCTTTCCTGACTCTGTGGATGACCGGTGCTCCACTCACAGCGAGGATAGCACTGGGACCGCCACTAGCTTGGATACTGCGGCCAGTCTCACCAGCACCAAGGGTGAGTTTGGGGTAGAAGATGACAGACCGGCCCGTGGACCACCACCTCCAAAGTCCGAAGAGGCCAGTTGGTCCGAGAGTGGCGTTAGCAGTAGCAGTGGGGATGGGCCATTTGCAGGTGGGGAGGTGGACAAAAGACTGCACCAGCTGAAGACTCAGTTGGCTACTTTGACCAGTTCTTTGGCTACAGTCACTCAGGAGAAGTCCCGCATGGAGGCTTCTTACTTGGCTGACAAGAAAAAGATGAAACAGGACTTAGAGGATGCCAGTAACAAGGCGGAGGAGGAGAGGGCCCGCCTGGAGGGAGAATTGAAGGGGCTGCAGGAGCAAATAGCAGAAACCAAAGCCCGGCTTATCACGCAGCAGCATGATCGGGCCCAAGAGCAGAGTGACCATGCCTTGATGCTGCGTGAGCTCCAGAAGCTGCTGCAGGAGGAGAGGACCCAGCGCCAGGACTTGGAGCTTAGGTTAGAAGAGACCCGAGAAGCCTTGGCAGGACGAGCATATGCAGCTGAACAGATGGAAGGATTTGAACTGCAGACCAAGCAGCTGACCCGTGAGGTGGAGGAGCTGAAAAGTGAACTGCAGGCCATTCGAGATGAGAAGAATCAGCCAGATCCCCGGCTGCAAGAACTTCAGGAAGAGGCTGCCCGCCTTAAGAGCCATTTCCAGGCTCAGTTACAGCAGGAAATGAGAAAGGTAATTATCCATATCTCTTTCAAACATCAGCCATTGACCTGAAGTGAGAAATATTAGGGTTTTTTTCCTCCTTTGCTAGTTAGAGCTAAGTGTCTATACTGTCATTTTTGATGCCACCTGAGAAGTTCCACTAGTGAACCTGGGAAGTCCTGTTCTATGCGGTGTTGACATATGTGCTTCCAGGAGGATGTGGAGCTTCTCAGTGTAGGCTGGGTTGAAGCCAGACAGCTCTGCACTTCTGGGCATTGGCATCTTACCAGCTGTGCTCTATGAAGCAGTATAGTGGCAGCTGTATAGTAAAAGGTAGCGTGTCTTCTGTTGGTATGTGCCTCTAGGAAGAGTGGCCGAAGGCAAAGGGGATTTTCTCAGAAGTAACCTCTTGTCATTGCCTTTACTCAAGATGTGCCTGTTCTGGAGAAGTGCTATTTTCCAGAACAGGTATTGAAAGGGTGCCTCCTTTCAATGTGGAGAGGGAGATCCAGCGCAGTTTTGAACTTCCAGGAATATTGGATAAGGAAAAGAATGCTGTATGATTTCTTAATAGGATTTGAGGAAGCACCTGAGAAACAACAGTAACACACATTATATGTGGTTAGGTGGAAAGCAGAACAATAGCAGATGTACCAAGGTGCTTCATATTGTTCAGTATAATATGTGTCTTGCAGAATCCAAGCAGGTAATAGGAACTTTTGTTAGCTCCTGAATCAACCGAAAAATCCCTAGTTAGCATTCTTGCCAGGCCATCCCAAACCTGTGACCCTTTTGCTCCCCTCTCCTGCTTTCTCAGAGTTTGCTGTGGGGCTTTTGTGGATGCATTTTTGTCTGTTCCCTTGTTTTGCAGACAGCTCTTGCAGAGGATCAACTCCGTCAGCAATCTCAGGTAGAAGAACAGAGGGTGGCAGCCCTGGAGAATCAAATATCCGAGGTGTCTGAGCTGCTAGGCACCTACGAGAAAGCCAAGCAGAAGGACCAGCTGGCCATTCAGAAGCTGAAGGAGCGCATTCTGCAGCTGGACCTGGAGAACAAGACACTGGCTCTAGCAGCCTCCAGCAGGTCCCCTTTAGACAGCCATGGAGAGGAGTCCAGTCTGGATGTCAATGTCCTGAAAGATAAGATGGAGAAGCTGAAGAGGCTGCTGCAGGTTGCGGCCAGGAAAAGCCAGGTGACCCTGGATGTGGAGAAGCTCTGTGACCTGGAGATAATGCCCAGCTCGGAGGCTGCTGATGGGGAGAAGGCTACTGCACTCTATTACCAACAGGAGCTGAAACAGCTGAAGGAAGAGTTTGAGAGGTACAAGATGAGAGCCCAGGTTGTCCTCAAAAGCAAGAATACCAAAGATGGTAACCTGGGAAAGGAGCTGGAGGCAGCCCAGGAACAGCTTGCAGAGCTGAAGGAGAAGTATATTTCCCTGCGGCTCTCCTGCGAGGAGCTGGAGCACCAACACCAGCAGGAGGCTGATGACTGGAAGCAGGAGCTGGCCCGGCTGCAGCAGCTCCACCGGCAGGAGCTGGAGCGGTGCCAGCTGGACTTCAGGGACCGCACACTGAAACTGGAGGAGGAGCTGCACAAGCAGCGGGATCGTGCCCTAGCTGTGCTCACCGAGAAGGACTTGGAACTGGAGCAACTGCGTTCTGTGGCCTTGGCCTCTGGGCTGCCAGGACGCAGAAGTCCTGTGGGTGGTGGCGGTCCTGGGGACCCAGCTGACACATCATCCTCTGATAGCCTGACCCAAGCATTACAACTTGCAGCGGCCAATGAGCCCACTTTCTTTCTGTACGCTGAGCAACTGGCCCGCAAGGAGGTGGAGATCACATCACTGAGGAAGCAGAAGCACAGGCTGGAGGTCGAGGTGCATCAGCTGCAGGATCGGCTGCTGGAGGAGGGCGAACGGCATCGTGAGGAGGTTGCAGCCCTGCAGAGCCACATCGAAAAGAACATCAGGGACCAGAGCAGGGAGGGAGCCAATCTGGAGTACCTCAAAAACATCATCTACCGCTTCCTGACCTTACCTGACTCCCTGGGCCGCCAGCAGACTCTCACAGCCATACTGACTATCTTGCACTTCAGTCCAGAGGAGAAACAAGTGATAATGCGACTCCCAACCAGTGCCAGCTGGTGGCCTTCTGGCAAGAGATGATGCCATTTTCATGAATTCCTGGAATTTCTGTGCCTCTTTTATGTGGGAAAGGGCAGGCTCTGGTTTCTGCTGCCTCTTCTCTTACATTGTCATTTATTTCTTCACTGTGTTGAGCTGGGAGGAGTCTTCAATGTGGGAAGGGATTTTCTGCCAAATGCCATTAATGCTGCTTTATCCTTAGGCCCTAGAGATACTGAAAGTCCTGGGGCAGTATCTTCTGATGGTGTGCATGTGAGGAGAAGATGAGGTTAGGACTGAGAAGTGCAGAAGTTGGAACAGTGGTAAGGCTGTTTTAAAATAAGATGTTTTGTTTTAATAATATGCTCCTGGCACAAAGCTAGGAGTAAATGTGACTCCAAAGGGAGTTCAGTTAATCTCTGAAATGCACAAAACCTAGCTATTTTCTCCCTCTCATCACAGTCTGAGTCTGGTCCATTGCTACCCCAATTCTCTGGGGACATAAAACCAGGCTGGAAAGGGACCAGGAAGTTTGAAATAGTGACATATCATCCACTAGTCCCAAGGGCTAAGGAATAGTGAGTTTATTCTGGAAGGAACTGGGAAGCTTAGTCTAATTAGTGCCTGGGGATGACCTATGCAATCACACCGCTTATGACCATCCTAGAGAGGGCCCTGAGCACCAGCTTGATCTTAGGGATTTCCAAAGTAACCTGCTTTTTGCCTGGATAGGGTTAAAATAGACCTTTCTTGCCTATCCTTGCCTTAACCTATCTGCCTGAGGTTGGCCTGAGATTGTGAGTCAACGACTTTGCTATCTTTTCCTCAGTGTTGAACTTTCATTAAGAAATAAAGTCCTAGCTTCTTACAGAGAGGGGTCCAAATGGTGAATGCTCATCCTGCCTGGATTCAAGGAATTAGCTCAGAGATTGGCCCCTAGCTTTTCTGCCTTTGTAGGGACAGCAAAAGGGGAAAATTTGCTGCAGAAAATTCCAAAAGATTGCTGTAGCTCTCACAGGGAAGTGGTAAAGATCAGCTAAACCTGGGTTGGGGTGCTTTCTGCCCAGTGGGTCTTGGCATAAGTAGATTAATCCTGCTCTTTTAAGAAAAGGCAACTTATTCAGGCAGTCTGGAAAGGGGGTTCTCAGAAAACTCAGTTTCTTTATTCCTTCTTTTCTCCCAACTACTGTTACTGGTTATAGAGGTCTTTGGACTCTAAAGACCAATGTTTGGCCACTAACTGGACTAATATGTATCTTTCTGTGATTTCATCATAGAGGTCTGTTTTGTGAGGGTTTGGGGTGCAGAAAACTTTGATTAAATCTTAATGGGAGGCTGGGTGACCTGGATTATCTACAGTGAGCAGACTTAAATGGAACAGAAGTTTATGTGTCCAAATGATGGAATCATTAAACCTGAGTGACTTGACCTGTGTGGTTCCTTAATAGTATCTATATATCTAGACAAAAATAGATTGTGAATGTAAATGGTGAATGAAAAGGATGGAAATAATGTTTTCATATGTTAATCCATGAGCTTGAATCCAGGGAGGAATACCTCGGTGCTTTAACCACCTTAGTTATAACACATTTCTTAGCCTGGAATTGTGTGTGTATATGTTTGTGTGTGGCCACCTATGCTGGAAAATGCTTTCTTATGGGTTTAGTGGGCAGGCTTAAAACTTCCATAATTACACTTCAACCTCTATAAGTAATCTGTTTATGAATGCTTTATTATCCTTAAAATCAGGATTCATAGTATCCCGAAAAAGTGTCTCAGGACATCAAGCCAAACTAAAAAATAGTAATAAACTTGCTTAATTTTCTTACCTTGTTCTCTCTAAATGTAGGATGTCTTGTAATTGTTATTTCTAGGTAGCTGTGGACAGAGTAGAAAGATCCATAGTCACAGTTGCTTTCCTAGGACTAATAATCCCTGTGCTTTTGACTTTTGAGAAGATACCAAATAGGAAAAGAAGCAAGTCAATTTCTGATTAATAATTTTAAAAATTGGGAGATACATAAAGCTGTGAAGACTCCCAACTGAAACTAAAAGACTTACTCCCTTCCTACCCTTGACACAGTCTAGAAACAGACAAAATCAATGCAGACATGCTAAATTCAAAATTCCTTATCTCCCACACCCTTCCCTGAAACAAGTTTTCCAGTTATTTGGCTGGTTTGCCTGTGACAGATACTGTAAGGAAGGAAAGGGAGAATGAGGGTGAAAGAATTGAGATCAGAATTAGAGAAAAACACATTTTCCTTCGGCCCTGGTCCCAGAATATCAGACGGTATATGAGATGTGTTAGTAAGGTAATGAGGCTGAGCCTTACGTGATTAACCATTACCACGCAAGTTAGAGGAGGATTGCTATGAAGAAGAGATGGACGGAGAATGTGGAGGGAAGGCATTCTGACCCCTTCTTGGGCACCTCCCATCTGGGGAATAAACCTGTCCTTGTATCATGCCCTGGCTGTTGTTAAATCCCTGTCTGTTACCTAGAATTCAAGCTCTCAACCTTGTTTTGTGAAGCTACTACTACTAAGGATCATTTTTGCTCATTCTTGTAGAATGTCCTGGTGTCATGTTGAGCCATTTACACCCATTTTTATCATTTACTCCTCCCAGGGGCTATTACCCCCATCTTAACAGATGTTAAATTTGTGGAAGATCATGTAACTAGTAAATGTTTGTGTCAGGTCTGATTAGCCACAAAGCCTGCTTAATCTGGGTATGCTCCTGCCTCCTCAGCCCTTGGGAGGGTCAGAGCCTCTCCCTAGATTTCTAGGGATGGGGAGACTGCTCTCTAGGCTGGACTGGACTGGCTCAAATGGAGAGAACGTCTCCAGCTATCAATTGCAGCCAAGCAAAGTTGCTACGCTATAGGGTTGAGCAGGCAACAGTGGTTCTTCATAAGAGCCCTAAAGCTGCTCTGTCCCCAGTTTCCAGATGATTGCTAGCTTTAGAACTTGGGTAATTCTAACACAATAAAAGAGTACTGGGTACTAGCTGGTGTTAATAGTATGTTCCAACTATCACCTCTGGAAAAACTGG
This sequence comes from Homo sapiens, assembly GCF_000001405.40. Taxonomy (NCBI): domain Eukaryota; kingdom Metazoa; phylum Chordata; class Mammalia; order Primates; family Hominidae; genus Homo; species Homo sapiens. The sequence goes on along the minus strand of NC_000007.14, from coordinate 127,578,999 downwards.
GGAAACAGTTTTGGGAATTGGAAATAGAATCCTAATGAATGAGTCACTTTACTCTCCTCTCCCCCCTCATCCCCCTTTTCCCCCAGGCAGTCTGGTGACCTCAGATGGATGGTTTTTGGAGCAAAAAACCCCCTAATTATATAAATAGCCAGCGTAGTATCTGAAACAAGGTAGGTGCTAAAACACTCTTTATCTCCACCAGGAATGTTAAGTAGCAGAATTAGAAATCGGACTGAGGCCTTCTGGATTTAAATCTAGTGTTTCTTTGTCACAAGTATGGCTGTAAACAAAAGGAAAAATGACGACTGTCTTTTATCCAAGTGTCTGCTATGAGGGAGACTACTAACATTTCCCCTACCTTGTTTAAATCACACAACAATCAGAAGCATATCTGTTTTGCAGATGAGTGAGTGGAGACTTGGCAAGATGGGATGAACTGGCCAAGGGCCAGAGCTAGTCATGGCAGAATCAGGAATCAGACATGTTTATATGGACCAAAAGGCTCAGGCCCTTTCTGATGTCTGTGCTGTCTCCCAGCAGAGGGCAACGTGGAACACTGAAGAAGTGTTGCTCACTAAGAAATTTAGGGGGCTCAGTTGCTGGCACGGGCTAAGGAAGAAGGGGTCCTTGTTCAGGTGGTCCTCTCTTCAGTGCCAAATGACTGCCTCCTAATTTCTCGGAAACGTGCTTTCCTAGCAGCAGAGCTGTTACACACTGAAATTTATGAAATGGACTCTTGTTACAAGTCAGTTTTATGAGAGTTTGAGTAGTGACAGACTGTTTTTCCTGGGACCCAGATCTCCTGGATAACCTAAATATTGAAGGTGCTGACAGACTCACACTGCAGGGAGCCCATAAAAGCAAAGGATGCCTGGAGAAAATGACCCTCCTAAGAAGAAATGCCCCGTCCCTTGACTTTAGCAAGGAAAGCATCTCTGGTTCAGTATAACTTCATCTATTGCCATGATCTCCTTCCATATCTCACAGAAGGAATCTGAATCCTGATACCACTTTACATGAATAAGTTTTTAAATGTAGGTTTACACATACATTTCATACTTTTTTTTTTGAGTCTCCCTCTGTTGCCCATGCAATCTCAGCTCTTAGCTCACTGCAACCTCCGCCTCCCATGTTCAAATGATTCTCCTGCCTCAGCCTCCCGAGTAGCTGGGATTACAGGCATGCACCACCACACTTGGCTAATTTTTGTATTTTTAGTAGAGACAGGGTTTCACCATGTTGGCCTGGCTGTTCTTGAACTCCTGACCCCAAATGATCTGCCTGCCTTGGCCTCCCAAAATGTAGGGATTACAGGCGTGAACCACCACACCTGGCCCATACATTTTATATTAACTGAGGCTGTGCTGTCCACAGTCAAAATATATGAAGGGGTAGTATTTAGATTAGAGTCCATTGTCTTTCCCTTAGTTCAACAGCTACCAGGCTTTTGAGCATGAGGGAAGCCTCAGTCTAGGCAATTTCACAGGCCCCTTGGGGGCATTCTGCCCTGGTATCACGTTTACTCCACTCCACTGGAATAGCTGTCCAAAATGGAGGCTGAGCCAGCTGAGATGAGATTTGAGATAAGTCTGGAGGCCAGGCTTCTTTGGTTTGGTGTTTTTGAGTGCCTGCATTGTATTACTTGGCAAGTTTAAATTTTTCACATCTAGAATCCTCAGGCACACTGCTCTCTGCCTTCAAAGTCCTTCCCCACCCCTATCCCAAACCTCTGTAGTATCCCAGACCTTATCCTTGAAGACTCAACTGAAATGTCACTTCCTCCATCCTGACTTTTCTGATACCCAGGGACTTCATCCTCTGAGGTTCTCCAGTACTTTGCTCAGTGCTTAGACACAGAAGTGATTTCTTGTACTTTCATTATTCAAGTTACTTCTCTGTCTCCTGGACTGCCCTATAAATCCCTGAAGGTCACTCCCATGCCCCATTCATCTTTGTGCTCTCAGGACTTTTCATATCCTGGCACATAGTAAGTGTTCAATAAACAGCTGAATGAATCAAGAAGAGACTGAAAAATACTAATCTTGTACCTTCAGAATGAGCGATTTAATTTTTGTTAGTATTGCTTTCTCCCACCGGTCTGCTTTCCTGCTCGTTTTTTCTTTAGCCATATTAGTGAATGTGACTAGAATTGACTCTGGGAATATGTCTATAATTGATGTTAAGTAAAATAGTTTCCTTTCGTTGTTAGAGGACTTGGGGAGCTAGTCCTGGTCCCATCAAGGAATTCTCTTCAGAGCTAATTGGAAGATCGCTGAGCAAAGGAGAAAATAAGATGTGGCAAGGACTCTAGGCTCAGGCATATAGCCAAACTTTGGGTCTCAGGTCTTATTATTTTTTAAATTTTTATTTTTTACCCCCATACCTAGAGGATGATTTTTTTTTTTTTTTTCCTGAGGCAGGGTCTTGCTCTGTTGCCTAGGCTGGAATGCGGTGGCATGACCATAGCTCACTGCAGCCTTGAACTCTTGGGTTCGTGTGATCCCCCTGCCTCAGCCTCCTAGGCAACTGGGACTTCAGGTGTGCACCACCAAGGGTGGCTAAATTTTTTTTTTTTTTTTTGAGACGGAGTCTCCCTCTGTCCCCTAGGCTGGAGTGCAGTGGTGCTATCTCGGCTCACTGCAACCTCTGCCTGCCAAGTTCAAGCAGTTCTTCTGCCTTAGTCTCCTGAGTAACTGGGTTACAGGTGTGCGCCACCACACCAGGCTAATTTTTGTATTTTTAGTAGAGACAGGGTTTTGCCACGTTGGCCAGACTGGTGTCGAACTCCTGACCTCAAGTGATCCGCCTGCCTCAGCCTCCCAGAGTGCTGAGATTACAGGTATGAGCCACCACACCTGGCCCTTGCCTGGCTAATTTTACTTTTTACAGATGGCATCCTGCTATGTTGCCCAGGCTGGTCTAGAACTCCCGGGCTCAAGCAGTCTTCCCACCTTGGCCTCCCAAAGTGTTGCCATTACAAGTGTGAGCCACTGTGCCTGGCCTCTCAGGTCTTACCCTTGATGAAGACTCCAACAATAAGCTTCCCTGATGGGGAACCTGTATATCAGAGGCCCCTGGACTTGAGGGCTGTGTAGAATAAGCGCCTTCATTACTTGATCTCAAGGGGATTATGGATTGTCCTTTTTTGTCTTTCTATGGCTGTGACAAACTCTTGATAAATGGAATTTTGTTCTCTCTCTGATGCCCAGGCTCAGTCACAGACAAAAAAAGTTGGTATTTTTCTGTGAGCTGACATTTGCTCCTTCAGACCAGCACCCAACTTCTGGAGAGGGACTAGGCGAGATATGCTTGCCTGGCATGAGGTAAGAGTCAACCGTGGTGTGCTCTTTCTCTTCTAAGTCTTACCAGAACACTTTCTGGGAGCGCTTCTAGTGTCTTGGTTAGTATTTGTAAATGGTTGGTGGTCAGTGAGTCCTCTGGGTACAGATGGACATGGTATTTCCAGTGGTTAGTGAACCATACTTTTGAGACACCTGGGGCCTAAATCACTCAAGTCAGCAGCCCCTGCTCATTCAGCCCTGAGGATGACTCTGGCTGTATCTGGATGTATCTTTCAAGTTGTGGTGGCTGACTTGGCCAACAGGCCCAGAGAATCAGAGCCTGATTTCCCAGCCAGAGGAGATTCGCTAACCCAGTATGAGTGATGCTGCTGTACCCGTCTCTCCTCCTCCCTCCATTTCAGCCCTTTTGCTTCTCCAATATAAATCATAATTCCTTCCCTGAAGTTGTTTACAGTCTATCAAGGGTCACAGTATGTGCATCTAGACTGCAATCCCAGGAGGCCTCTGTATGCTGAGAGTGGTTGATCAATGGATCGTATGAGGGTGAGGAGGCAGGGAGTGATCCAGTGCAATGAAGAAAGGCTTCAGGATATGAACCTGTCTGTGAGTGATGATCTGACCTGCATAATATGGCTTAGATAGGGAAGTGCATCCACCGCAGCAGAAAAGCATGGACCAAAGGCCCAGACTGTGCAAGCCCATTGTATTAATAGATTGGATATTGAGGGAGAATAACATTTGTGGAATCACGGGATGTTAGATCTGAAAGGGATATTACAGCATGTTCGGTCATGCCCCTCTCTTAATAAAACAGGAAACCAAGACCCACACAGGACAAATTGGCTCTATCACCAGTCTGGCTTAGGAGTAGAGTAGAAACTCTTGTCCAGAGTGATGGGTCATGGCTGGATGGCTAGCACAGTAGGATGCCAGGTTCACTGGGGGTTTGGGCACTGTCAGCCTGGGTGAGCAGAGTAGCAGTAGGCACAGAGGGAGGGGGACAGCAAGGCAGCAGCTCCATTGATGTGCCAGCCTTCCCTTTCCTCCCCTGCCACAGCTCCTGGGACTGTTAAAGAGATACAAGAAGAGAGGCCAGGCATGGTGGCTCACGCCTGTAATACCAGCACTTAGGGAGGTAGAGCCGGGTGGATCACCTGAGGCCAGGCATTTGAGACCAGCCTGGCCAACATGGTGAAACCTCGTCTCTACTAAAACTACAAAATTTAGCTGGGCGCGGTGGCATGCACCTGTAGTTTCAGCTACTTGGGTGGCTGAGGCAGGAGAATCACTTGAACTGGGGAAGCGGTGTGAGCCAAGATCGTGCCACTGCACTCCAGCCTGGGTGACAGAACGAGACTCCGTCTCAAAAAAAAAAAACAGAAGAGAAAGGGGAGACACCAGAAGGATGATGCTATTGATTTGGCCAACTAAGGGTAACCTACCCAGGAACTCCCACCTGTGAGGGCTAGTGTTTATGGGCCAAAATTTTAACCCTATAGGTGGAGCCTGGAACATTTAGGTTATATAGTCATGTGTTGCTGAATGACTGGAATGTGTTCTGAGAAAGGTGTTGTTAGGCAATTTTGTCATTGTGTGAACATCATAGAGTGTACTTACACAGCCTAGATGGTATAGGCTACTGCACACCTAGACTATATGGACAACCTGGTGCTCCTAGGCTGTAAGCCTACATGGCATGTTACTGTACTGGATACTATAGGCAATTGTAACACAATTCTAAGTATTGTATATCTAAACTTAAGAAACTTTAAAAAGGTACAGTAAAAAAATAAATTTTTTAAGATAAAAATGGTACATGTGTATTGGGCACTCACCATGAATGGAGCTTATGGGACTGGAAGTTGCTCTGGGTGAGTGAGTGAGTGAGTGAGTGAGTGAATATGAAGGCCTAGGAATTATTGTACACTACTGTAGACTTTATAAACACTGTATACTTAGGCTACTCTTAATTTATAAAAATTATTATTATATATATTTTTTGAGATGGTGTCTCCCTTTGTGGCCCAGGTTGGAGTGCAGTGGCATGATCTCAGCTCACTGCAACCTCTGCCTCCTGGGTTCAAGTGATTCTCCCACCTCAGCTTCCTGAGTAGCTGGGATTACAGATGTGTGTCACCATGTCCGGCTAATTTTTGTATTTTTAGTAGAGACGGGATTTCATCATGTTGACCAGGCTGGTCTTGAACTCCTGACCTCAAGTGATCTGCTCGCCTCAGCCTCCCAAAATGCTGGGATTACAGGCATGAGCCACCGTGCCTAGCCTATTCTTTCTTTAATAATAAATTAACCTTAGTTTACTGTAACTTTTTTACTTTATGAACTTTTACATTTTAAAAACTTTTTGACTCTTTTATAATAATACTTAGCTTAAAACACAAACCCATTGTAGAGGTGTACAAAAACATTTTATTTATTTTTAGAGACAGGGTCTTGCTATGTTGCACAGGCTGGACTCAAATTCCTGGGCTCAAGCAATCCTTCCAAGTAGCTAGGACTACAGGTGTGTACCGCTACACCTGGCCTTTTATTTCTTTATATCCTTATTCTAAGAGCTTTTTTCTATGTTAAAAATTATTTATTGTTTTTAGTTTTTAAATGTTCTTGTTTAAAACTAAGACACAGGTCGGGTGCTGTGGCTTATGCCTGTAGTCTCAGCACTTTGGGAGGCTGAAGCAGGCAGATCACTTGAGGTCAGGTGTTTGAGACCAGCCTGGCAACATGGTGAAACCCTGTCTCTGCTAACAATACAAAAATTAGCCAGGCATGGTGATGGGTGCTTGTAATCCCAGCTACTCGGGAGGCTGAGCCAGGAGAATAGCCTGAACCTGGGAGGCGGAGGTTGCAGTGAGCTGAGATCGCGCCACTGTATTCCAGCCTGGGTGACAGAGTGAGACTGTGTCTTAAAAAAAAAAAAAAGACACAAACACACACATTAGCCTAGGCCTATACAGGGTCAGGATCGTCAAGATCACTGTCTCCCATCTCTGCATCTTTTCCCACTAGAAGGTCTTTGGAGCAATAACACGCATGGAGCTGTCATCTATGATAACAATGCCTTCTTCTGGAATACTACTTAAAGAACTGCTGGTGGCTGTTTTACAGTTAACTTAAAAAAATATAAGTAGAAGGGGTATACTCTAAAATAATGATAAAAAGTGTAGCATAATAAATACATAAACCAGTAACATAGTCATTTATTATTGTTATCCAGTGCTATGTACTGTACATAATTGTGTGTGCTGTACTTTTATATGACTGGCAGCACAGTGAGTTTGTTTATACCAGCATCACCACGAACATACATGGTGGTTTGGCATTGCAATGGCAGTGACATCACTGGGCAACAGGAGTTTTTCAGCTCCATTGTAATCTTATGGGACCACTGTTGTATAAGTGGTCTGTGGTTGACTGAAATTTCCTTATGTGGCACATGACTGTGTTACTGCTTATTCATCCTATTCTATCCCAGGCACTATTCTAGTCACTAGAAATGCATCCTGTCAATGTTTAGCCCAGGATATAGTCTCAAAGAGTAAGGATGACAATTCAATGTGGCAAATGCTATAATGGAGGAATAGAAAGAAGGGACAGGACATGAAATTCAGTCAGCAAGGAATCAAGAAACTCAAGTGACAGTGACACTTCACTTTGCAAGTTTTGTAAGACTAGGCCCAACTGGCATTAGCCACATGGACAGGCAGAGGTGGTGACAATGGGCAGGGGGGAATGTAGCAGATGGAGTAGATTAGCTCTTCCATTTGTTCCAGTGTCCTTGTGGTTCTGTTTTCCTGGATTGCAGAGACTAGCACATCAAAAACAATGTCAGTTGCTCTTGCAACTAGGATTCCCGAGGTAATTGAAGCTACATTGGAGATTAGAATCAAGAACTGATTCGAGTGGGAGAGAGTGGGTCACAAGTGAGGCTTCCATTTTTCTGGTGTGGCTCCAGTGTCTTCCTGTTCCCCAGATTGTGGCAAAGGGAGTGCAGCTCTCTTTGAGGAACCCAAGCAGCTGGGAGGAGAATGGTGCCCATTTCATAGAAGAAAGAAGATGCCTTTAGGATGTGGGTATGTTTCACCCAGGGCACATTTGGGTGGAGATGTCTAGAAGTGAGTTGAAAATAGAGTTTGGGAATTCAAGAGCACAGGTTGGAGTAGAGATAAAGATTGTCGTAGTGTGTGATGTAGGCATTAATGTGGGTGAGATTACTTGAGGAATGTGTAGCATCTGGAGACAAGAGGGCCAAGAGTGGCACCTGCCCCCTTCGAGAAAAACTTTTTGGAAGTAATTTCACATTGACTGCAAAGTTTCAAAATACTGCAAAGAACACTCACATATTCTTTACTCAGATTCATCTATTGTTAAAATTTTGTTCCATTTGCTTTATCATTTGCTCCCTCTGTGCACATGTGTATATTTTTCTGAACCATTTGATAGTAAATTATATATGTCATGGCTCTCTGCCCTTTAAATCTTCAGTGAGTATTTCCTGAGAACAAGGATATTCTCTTACATAACCACAGTGTAGTTATCAACTGCAGTAAATTTAATATTTACAATGGTATTGTAGCAGGACGAGCCGCTGACAAGAACCCCTCAGACACCAAGTTGTAGAAGGAAAGGGCTTTATTCAGCTGGGAGCATCGGCAGACTCACGTCTCCAAAAACTGAGCTCCCCGAGTGAGCAATTCCTGTCCCTTTTAAGGGCTTATGAGGGGGTCTGCGTAAAGGGCTGTGATGGATTGAGCAAGCAGGGGGTACGTGACTGGGGGCTGCATGCACCGGTAATCAGAACAGACCAGAACAGGACAGGGATTTTCACGATGCTTTTCCATACAATGTCTGAAATCTATAGATAACACAAGAAGTTAGGTCAGGGGTTGATTTTTTAACTACCAGGCCCAGGACACGGTGCTGGGCTATCTGCCTGTGGATTCCATTTCTGCCTTTTAGTTTTTACTTATTTCTTTGGAGGCAGAAATTGGGCATAAGACAATATGAGGGGTGGTATCCTCTCTTATTCATATGATCTAATCTACTATCTGCATTCTAATTTGTTAATTAACCCAATAATGTCCTTTGCAGGATTATTTCCCTCTCTAGTACAGAATCCTGTCTAGGATTACATATTGCTTTTAGTTGTCATGTCTCTTTAGTTGCATTTAATGTGGAATAGTTTCTCACTTTTTCACTGTCTTTTATGATATTGACATTTTAAAAATAATACAGCTTCCCACTCCCTTTTAATAGAAGGTTCTTGATTTTGAGTTTGTCAGATGTTTCCTCATGATTAGATTCAGGTTATGTATTCCCTGCCAGAGACGTTGTGATCTTCTTAAGGTATCACATCCAGAGGCAAAGTATATTCATCTGCTCCTCATTGGTGATATTAATTTTGATCAGTTGAACAAGATGTCTGATTTCTTCACTGTAGTTAATATATTCTGTTTTGCTACTAATAAGTAATCTGTGGGGAGACACTGAAGTCCATGCAAATATTCTGCTCCTCATCAAAGTTCCCCCCGCCAAATTTAGCATCTACTGATGATAATCCAATCTTTGCTATGATGGTTGCAAAATGATGATTTTTCATCTTTAGCATTGCACTGCATTGACCTTTTAGTCCTTGACATCCTCTAAGCAAGAACTCTGCGCTCTCTACCATCTATCCATCCATCCATCCATCTATCCATCCATCCATCCATCCATCCATCCATCCATTCATTTATCATAAGTATGGACTAATAGTTTCTCAATGGTTTGCAGTTCGTTATTTTACGTAATTATTTTGTGCTCAAAATTCCCTTTCGAATTGGATTTGGAGAACAAGAGTCCCTTCAAACTCTTGTGTTCTTGTGATATACCTCCGTTATTTTTTGGAGTACTGTCTTACTTTCTTGCATAAAAACATGTTTCTGGGGCCAGGTGTGGTGGCTCACTCCTGTAATCCCAGCACTTGGGGAGAGAGAGACAGATGGATCACCTGAGGTCAGGAGTTCGAGACCAGCCTGGCCAATATGGTGAAACCCCATCTCTACTAAAAAATATAAAAAATTAGCCAGGCGTGGTGGCGGGTACCTGTAATCCCAGCTACTCAGGATGCTGAGGCAGGATAATTTCTTGAACCCGGGAGGCAGAGGTTGCAGTGAGCCGAGATCATGCCATTGTACTCCAGCCTGGGCAAAACTCCATCAAAAAAAAAAAAAAAAAAATCTCAAACAAACAAAAACGTGTTTCTGGCTCATCTTACACCTTCTGTGTCCCAGCCCTGGAATCAGCTCCTTGACCACAGATTTCTGGTTCCTTTTAGTGGTGACTAGTATTAGAGACCAATATCTGGATGGTTATGTGAGCTCATGGCTACTGGGGTGTCTTGTTCCTACGTTCCTATAGCAGACAGAGGTAGGAAATGTCTGTGTGTATTGTATATAAGTATATAATACATATGTACACATGTAACTCTACATATACACATACACATACACATTTTAGAAATCATGAATTTTTACCAATATCTCTAATTCCAGTTCATGTTCACAGGGTTTTTCCTTACCACCCCTCATTCCATATTTGTATTTCTTTTCTTCTATTGCAAGAACTCTGGGATGGAGCTTTTTCAATCTTTTATTAGTGTTAAATGTCTCATTAAAATTTAAAAAGTAGGCAGTGAGAAGAGCACACAGAGACAGACAAGAAACAACAAGGCCCAACCAGAAAAGGAAGAGAAAATCAGAAGAAGGATATTAAAGAAGTCCAGGGAGAAATGCATTTCAGCCCTATCAAATTTTATTTCGACTAAAATAAGGGACAGAGGAAAAAGGACACATTTTGGGGGAAGATTTTGGCCATATTGAGATCAATTTTGGATGTATCGAGTTTGAGTACACTGAATTTAAGACCACTGTGGGGATCCAGGTGAAGTTGTCTAGAAATAATGCTCAAGGATAGATTTGAACTCAGAAGAGATCTCATGGCCATGAATGGAAATTTTGGAGCCTTCATTTATTCTTTTCTTTTTTCTTTTTTTGAAAGAAAAAAGGTGTTTTATTCACTTTGAATTTTGAATAACTTCTTTAAGTGTAATTTGTTTTTTGTTTGTTTGTTTTATTATTATTATACTTTAAGTTTTAGGGTACATGTGCACAATGTGCAGGTTAGTTACATATGTATACATGTGCCATGCTGGTGTGCTGCACCCATTGACTCGTCATTTAGCATTAGATATATCTCCTAATGCTATCCCTCCCCCCTCCCCCCACCCCACAACAGTCCCCAGAGTGTGATGTTTCCCTTCCTGTGTCCATGTGTTCTCATTGTTCAATTCTCACCTATGAGTGAGAATATGTGGTGTTTGGTTTTTTGTTCCTGTGATAGTTTACTGAGAATGATGATTTCCAATTTCATCCATGTCCCTACAAAGGACATGAACTCATCATTTTTTATGGCTGCATAGTATTCCATGGTGTACGTGTGCCACATTTTCTTAATCCAGTCTATCATTGTTGGACATTTGGGTTGGTTCCAAGTCTTTGCTATTGTGAATAGTGCCGCAATAAACATACGTGTGCATGTGTCTTTATAGCAGCATGATTTATAGTCCTTTGGGTATACACCCAGTAATGGGATGGCTGGGTCAAATGGTATTTCTAGTTCTAGATCCCTGAGGAATCGCCACACTGACTTCCACAATGGTTGAACTAGTTTACAGTCCCACCAACAGTATAAAAGTGTTCCTATTTCTCCACATCCTCTCCAGCACCTGTTGTTTCCTGACTTTTTAATGATTGCCATTCTAACTGGTGTGAGATGGTATCTCATTGTGGTTTTGATTTGCATTTCTCTGACGGCCAGTGATGGTGAGCATTTTTTCATGTGTTTTTTGGCTGCATAAATGTCTTCTTTTGAGAAGTGTCTGCTCATGTCCTTCACCCACTTTTTGATGGGGTTGTTTGTTTTTTTCTTGTAAATTTGTTTGAGTTCATTGTAGATTCTGGATATTAGCCCTTTGTCAGATGAGTAGGTTGCGAAAATTTTCTCCCATTTTGTAGGTTACCTGTTCACTCTGATGGTAGTTTCTTTTGCTGTGCAGAATCTCTTTAGTTTAATTAGATCCCATTTGTCAATTTTGGCTTTTGTTGCCATTGCTTTTGGTGTTTTAGACATGAAGTCCTTGCCCATGCCTATGTCCTGAATGGTAATGCCTAGGTTTTCTTCTAGGGTTTTTTTGAGATAGAGTCTTGCTCTGTCAACCAGGCTGGAGTGCAATGGCACAATCACGGCTCACCGAAGCCTCAATTTCCTGGGCTCAAGCAATCCTCCCATCTCAGCCTCCCAAGTAGCTGGGACGTCAGGCAAAATCATCACACCTGGCTAATTTTTAAGTTTTTTGTAAAGACATGGTCTCACTATGTTGCTCAGGCTGGTTTCAAACTCCTGCCTGGAACAGGAACAGGCCTCAAGTGATCCTTCTGTCTTGGCCTTCCAAAGTGCTAGGATTACAGGCATGAGCTACCATTCCCAGCCTTTGTTCCTTCATTGGTCAAATATTTATTAAACATTCACTCTGAAGCCGCTGTGCTGGACCTTCGTGACACGTCGAGTGGTAAATAAGGCAAAGACACTGGCTGTCATGGAGTTAATCTATCGCAAGGGATGGTCGTGGGACGGGCAGGGAAACAGACCATAAATGTATAGATAAATATGTGAGATGTAACTTCAGACAGTGATACTTGCTGTGAAGAAAATAAAAAAGAACGTTTAGTAAGGGATAAATTAGGGATAAATGGGAGGATTGGGTTTTTTCTTCACTTGGTTAAGGATAAATTGTTTTTTGAAAAAATTTTTTATTTTTTACTGCTTTGTGTCCTGCCGTGTGTGTGTGTGTGTGCGTGTGTGTGTGTGTGTGTGTGTGTGTGTGTGTTAGTACCATAGTTATTGAAAAAAATACTATCTACCCTGTGCCAAAACGGTGCTGGACACTGGGCATATAGCAGTGAAAAAAGGAGACAGAGTCTCTCTCAAGTTGACCGTACAGTGTTATGGGAGGCACATATATTAAACAAATTATACATAAGTGTATAATTATCATAGTGCTATTAAAGAGGACAAGTTGTTATGCAAACATTTAGTTAAGAAATTTCCTCCAGCCTGGGTGACAGAGCGAGACTCCATCTCAAAAAAAAAAAAGAAATTCCTTGTGGACATTTGTTGTTTGCCTCTCCAGGATTTATCCTCAGACTTCCTGTAATTCCAGTTGGGGTTTGGCAACCTCACCCCACACATAATCTATCTGTCAGCGTCAGGGAAGACCCAGTCCTGTTTGGTCAATCAGATCATTGCTTTTCCACAGCACCAATGGTTGGTTCTAAAACAGGACTATGCCCAGAGTCAAGTCACCCAAGCTAGTAAGAATAAGCTATGGCGCTTTTTTTGGAACACTTTTGGAGAAATAAATCCATTCTTCATGTTAGATTTGAATGTGAAGGAGAAAGCTGGAGACATGGAAGTCATCTTACCACTATGGAGGGTGAGCTTCTCTGAGGATGGAGCCAACATGGAGGAAATGGGGCCAAGAGATGGAGAGATGAGTAGTCCTGGTAACACTTCTTGAGGCCTGGATCAAGCCAGAAGCTAACTCTGGACTTTACAGTTACCTGAACCAGTTTGAGCTCTCACTTGTGAACAAGGCAATTTGGAACATAAATGAGTCAGGGAAGGTTTCCCTAGGGAAGGCATGTATAATCTGAGACCTGAGGGATGAGTAGGAATTAAGCTGTTCTGGAGAGTGAGCAGAGAATCAAAGCAGAGGAAACAGTACCACATGCCCAACGGGCATGAGCAGGTGAAGCAGCAGAAAGTAAGAAGAGCAAAGAGAGAGCCTGAGTGCAGGGAGGGGATGGATCCCTTAGAAGCCTTTTTATACAGAAAACTTCAAATGTATTTAAAATAAAGAGAACAGAATAATGAACAGCCTCATATCCATCATCCATCATTGACCATTATTATATCAGGGCCGCATGTTGTTTCATTTACACCTGCATCTCTTACCCCTCCCTGATTCTGGATGGATTATTTTTAAGTAAAATGGAAGGTATTTTTGAGAACATGACAACTGAATTAAAATGTAAATATTTGATGAGAAGGAAGCAGCCCTTTGAAGATTTTTCAGGAAGGAAAGATTTCCAGGCAGAAGAAAAAGTAGGTACAAAACCCTTGATATTAGAACAGACTTGATTTTTTTGTTGTTGTTGAGACAGATCTTGCCTTGTCACCCAGACTGGAGTGCAGTGGTGTGAACATGGCTCACTGCAGCCTGGACCTCCTGGGCTCAAGAAATCCTCTAACCTCAGCCTCCTGAGTAGCTTGGATTACAGGTATGTGCCACCACACCAGGCTAATTTTTGTATTTTTTGTAGAGATGGGGTTTCACCATGTTGCCCAGGCTGGTCTGGAGCTCCTGAGCTCAAGGTATCCATCCACCTCGGCCTCCCAAAGTGCCAGGATTACAAGCGTGAGCCACTGTGCCTGGCCAAATTTTTTGAGAGACACAAAATTGGACCAGACTGGCCATAGTGGAAGGAAAGAGGAGGAAGGGAATAAGAGATGAGTCATACAAGTAGACTGTGTCAGATCATGGAGGCCTTGGGGTCATGGTAAGGAGTTTGGATTTTATTCAAATTACTGTATGAAGCCATTTAAAACAGAGGAGGCTGTATTCTGGTTTATCCTTTGAGAAGTACTCTCTGGCTACTATTTGGAGGATTAAGTGGAAGGAGTCCAACAGTGGAAGAAGGGTGGCCAATCAAGACACTATTGTAGCAGTCATGGGAGGAGTTGATGATGGTTTGAAATGGGGTTTTAGCAATGGAAGTCATGAGACTTGGGATGTATTTTGGAGGGAGCCTGTATGATTGACTGAATGTTTGGATGTCAACTGTGAGGGAGAGAGAGAGAAAACAATAATGACTCCCAAGGTTTTGGCCTGAGTAAGTAGGTGATGGTGGTACTATTTACAGAGATGGAGAAAACCAAGGAAAAAAAGTAGGTTTGAGGATGGAGGTGAATGTAGGGGGCAGCAAACCAAGAGTTTTGAGTTGTCAGAAGTTAAGTTCGAGATGTTCTTAGATAGGCCAAGTTGGGGAGTTGGGTTAAAGGTTGGTTGTAGGAGTTTGACCTCAGGGGACAGGTCAAGACCAGAGACAGATTTGGGAGTTGTGCTGTGTGTCTTCAATTTGCCCTTCAGAACCACTCTCCACTCTTTTTTTACCCTGCACTGAACTCTAATAATCTGACCTGTATTGACTCAACAGCCTATCTTGTCCTGTGGCTTCCCATTGTGTTTGGCCAATAAAGAGCCCTGGAAGAAGATCTGGGGGAAGGGAGCAAGGAGAGTGAGGTCGGGCTATTTATTCCTCTAGCCCTCTGTTTATGTAGTATCACTTAGGGCTGACTGTGTCGTTCAACTGAAGATCACAGCTCCTGTCTCCAAGTTTCAGGAACTACTCCCTCCATTCCCCATCAAGCCTAGGGGTGATAATGTATCTCACTGTTATTAGCCCAGTAGGGCTGAACTGTCCTTTGTGGTTTCCCTAAATCCTGCCTTTTATTAAACTTGTCTCATGACCCAGGGAGGGTTCCATACACTTCTTGCTAGGATCCTGACTTATGCTGGAGCCATTGGCATATACCTGATAGTAAAGCTGTAGGCCTGAATGAAAGCCACTAAGGAGATCAGAGGACAGAGCTTGAGGCATATCAGCTTTTAGAGGTGGGCAGGGAAGGAGGAGCTGGCATAGGAGATATGGGGGGGAAGCCCATTAAGTAGGGATTAAACCAGGTGAGCATGGAGTCACCAAAGCCCAAACAAGAAAGCACATCAAGAAGCAGGGGTTGCCGTGTGAAAAGCTACCTGCCGAGGGGTCAGGGGTTGTGGAAACAGAGAACCCACCATCAGATTTGGCCACCAGTGAACTTTAATGTGAACGGTATAGACTTTGTGGAGCTCAGCTGCTTAAATTTGTGAATCCCACACCTTCAATAGGATTTATGGGTTCTTGTGTGGTTGGCCCTTAGTTTAGTCCTCCGGCCTCTCCTCCTCCAACTCCCTGCCAATCACACTGCTGCTCAGCCCCTCAAAGTCTCTGCTCTGGCTGAGACCTCCAGGGCTTTGCTCTTGCTGTATCTTCTACCTGGGACACTCTTTCCCCCATCTGTCACTTCTGGCTCACTCCTACCTCAGGTCTCTTAGAACCCTCCTGACCCTTGAGTCTGGAGGAAGTGACCTCCTAAGTATAGTTGATTCTCATTATCCACAGTAGTTACATTCTAGAAAGTTGCCATGAGCACTGCATTAGCGAATACTGAGCCATGGTTCCTAGAGGTAATATAGAGTTAGGTTCCTGTAAGCTTCTGGTCAACGCATTGTCATCAACTGATTAAAGCATAATCTGTTCTATGTGTGTTTCTGTTTAAAGGCATAATCTTGTTCTGTGTGTATTTCTTTTTTAATATGTTGTCGATTCATTAACATTGAACCCATAGCCAACAGCACTATGAGTCACACCTGAATGAAGCTTATGCAAACACCTGTTTTGCTCCACAGGGCACATCACAGTTTTCTCATGCTTAGGAACACTAGACAGTGCTTCAGCACTAAGTTGGGGGCCATTATAAACAGTGAAATCACCAAATAAAAGCATAAGGATACAAAAAAATGTGGCACTAAATGGACCTTGGAAAGGACACTTGTTTATAGAGTGAGAATGGAAATAAAAAGGCAAAATGTCACCTCGTTCAGTCTCATTGGGAACATGCACATGGGGTGACTCACATTTTTATTGCCACTTTATGCGTGTTTGTGAATGACCTTGACAGCATTGGGAGTATGGACTTGGGGGTTACAAATACATGTTAGCAAGTAGGAGAATTTGCAAATACAGTATCCGTGGATGAGGATAGGCTAGTCTCAGTGCATCTGTTAATTACCTCACTAAGACCCTTTCTACACTATAATAGCAAAAGATTCGTCACTTACTAGCTGTGTGACTTTGGGCTAGTTCACCTCTCTGTGCCTCAACAGTATCATCAATAGTATGACAGTAATAATAACACTTAGCTCTTAGAGTTGTTGCAAGAATTAAATTAGTAAGGCTGGGTGCAGTGGCTCATGCCTGTAATCCTAGCAGTTTGGGAGGCCAAGGTGGGAGGATGACTTGAGGCCAGGAGTTTGAGATTGGCCTGGGTAACAGAGTGAGACCCTGTTTCTACAAAAAATTTAAATATGATCTGGGCATGGTGGTGCACACCTGTAGTCCCAGCTGCTTGGGAGGCTGAGGTGGGAGGATCACTTGAGCCCAGGAGTTTGAGGCTATAGTGAGCTATGATTGTGCTACTTCACTCCGGCCAGGGCAACAGAGTGAGACCCTATCCCTCTTAAAAAAGAAAAGAGAAGAATTAAATGAGTGAATTCCTATGAATAACTTAATAAGTGTGTCACACATAGTAAGCACTTAGTGTTAGGTGTTACTATTACTGTCATATGTTTGTCTCTCTCATTGGATTATAAGCCCTGTGATGTGTTCCAAGACATTGCTCTTTTGCTAGTTGCTGGGAATGATAACACTAAAAGCTCATGCTATATGTCAGGCACTGCTCTAAGTGTTTTACATTTATTACTTCAGTTAGTATTTATGAGAGCCTTTAGTGGTGGTAGTTTCTATTTGTGATGGTGAATATTAGGTGTCAACTTGATTGGATCGAAGGATGCCTAGATAGCTGGTAAAGTATTGTTTCTGGGTGTGAGGATGTTGCCAGAGGAGGTTAACATTTGAGTCGGTGGACTGGGAGAGGAAGACCCACCCTCCGTGTGGGTGGGCGCCATCCAATCAGCTGCCAGTATGGCTAGAACAAAGCAGGTGCAAGAAGGTGGGTTAAGCTGGCTTGCTGAGCCTTCTGGCTTTCATTTTTCTCCCATGCTGGATGCCTCCATCTGTTTCTCCTGCCCCTGGACATCAGACTCGAGATTCTTCAGCCTTTGGACTGTAGGACTTATGCTAGTGGTTTACCGGGGGCTCTTGGGCCTTCGGCCACAGACTGAAGGCTGTACTGTCAGCTCCCCTTCCTATTGAGGCTTTTGGACTCAGACTGAGTCAGTATTGGCTTCTTTCTTCCTCAGCTTGCAGGTGGCCTATCATGGGACTTCACCTTGTGACTGTATGAGCCAGTTCTCCTTAATAAACTCCCTTTCATATATACATACATCCTATTAGTTCTGTCCCACTGGAGAATCCTGACTAATACACTATTCTTATCTTCAAGAAGAGGAAGCTGAAGCACAGAGAGGTAAGTTACTTGCCAAAGGCCACACAGATATGCAGCCGTAGAGTGGAGATTTGCACTCAGGCTTTCTAACTTCAGAATAAAGAGCAACTGGTTCTTGCCCACACAGAGCATCAACAGACTCCAATTCCTCAGCCTATGCTTGCATTCTTTTCATGAACACACTTCTTTACTTAAAAAAAAAAAGCTATTTAAGCCACTTTACAACAGTATTGTAAAAAGCTTTTAAACATTTCCCCATATTCCTGGCATCTAATTCAGTGACTGTTTTCACTTCGATGTTCCCTTCTGATGTCTGTCCATAGAATATTTTTCTTGATGCTAATTGTAGCATTATGCATTATAACTGGTGTTTTGCTTTTTACCTGAGATTATCTTGTAACACGTGTTCATTTTCCACTTGTCTGTGTCCCTTTCATTCTGGCCTGATTTAATGGCTTTACTGATTAAAGAGAGGGAAGAGGCCTTCTTCTTCCTGCTTCTTATGGCCTCACTAGCTACTCATTCCTTTGCCCCTTGCGTCTGCTCGCTCCCTCACCACCCTGCTGAAAAGCCAGTGATGAACATTTATATAGTGTTTGCTAATATTAAAACATGGAGTTGCTGATGTCGCTGTCAATTACTGACAACAGCAATTTCATATGATTTTCAATCCAATATATGTCAGGTACTGCATTTACATGTATTAACTAAATCATCAAAAACATCTAAAGTGTTGAGTGTTATTATCATCATCCCCATTTACATATGAAGAAACTGAGGCAAAGAGAAGTTAAATAACTTGCCCAGGATCACATAGCTAGCAAGTGATAGATTCAGGATTTGGGCCCAGGAAGTCTGGCTTTGGAGACTGGGTCCTTTAACCACTGCCTCTCTGGAATGGCATCACTGAGCTCAAAATAACCAAATCCAATGTTGTTAAGGAAGTGGGAGCCAGCCTCCCTGCCAAGTGAGTGCCAGTGCCCGGTGCTTCTCCCTTTTTAGAAAGTATTGTTTTATATATATGTGCATTCAATAGCTGTATGGCCCAGAGGCCAGGGAGTGGGCCTGTTCCTTACCACAACATCCCTAATTCACGTACAGTGCATAAAATAAATATGCTCCTCAATATTTATTGACAGAAGAAAGGAAAGAGGGAAAGTGGAAGGTGGAAGGGGGAAGGTAGGGGATTGAGGACTGAGAAGGCAGGTGAGATAAATTATATTATAGAATGTGTCTGTTTGACTTGTATGGGAATTAGGCTTTGAGGGGCCACAAACAGGGTGTATTTTCTATTTCAGGGGTCCAGAGTAGGATGGACTACAGGGATGAGTTTAAGCCAGACATGCTGCTTTTTTTTTTTTGAGACAGAGTCTTGCTCTGCAACCTCCACCTCCTGGGTTCAAGTGATTCTCTTGCTTCAGCCTCCCAAGTAGCTGGTATTACAGGTGACCGTCGCCATGCCTGGCTAATTTTTGTATTTTTAGTAGAGACGGGGTTTCGCCATGTTGGCCATGCTGGTCTCAAATTCCTGATCTCGGGTGACCCACCTGCCTCTGCCTCCCAAAGTGCTGGAATTACCCTTCCTGACTTCAAGCCAGAGATTCTTGATGTCAGTCAAATGGTGAAGCTCCTGCCTACAGGGCTGGGACCAGAGTTCAGAAGAAGGTGGAGGCTGGGTGGAAGGAGTGGGAGAGTGAGGAGTGAATCCCTGCAGGAGAGAGTCTTTGGGTCTGACAGTTCCCTTCTGCCCTGGGAAGCACGTGTGGTGCAAATCTGTCTGGAATATGTAAGCCCTGCCTTTCTACCTGATTCCAGGCCATTGTCTAGAAGCCAGATGGTTAATACTTCATGTTAATTTGATGTCTTGGAACTCTTTCCCTAAGTGCCAGAGATGGTGGCAGAATACCTACAAATATACAGGTATCCTCAGGAAGGTGGTTTTTTTGTTTCTTGTGCTCTGGGACCCAAGTTCTTTGAAAGAGTAAGATATAAAAGGCTAAGACAAGTCCTGAAAGAGATAAAAACAAGGTGCTGATTCTGTCATCACCTGTCTCAGGGACCTTCTTTGTGACTCATTGTTTTCTGCCTGTCAAAATGGGAAGCAATGTGTCTACGCAGCTTCTCAAAGTTATTGTCGTGATTGAATGAAACAATATGTTGAAAGTCCTTGGGAAAGTGTAGAATATCATAAAATGCAATTATTATTAATGCCTGATATAATACACATTAGATAACATAATACAATTAACTATGTCGGTGAACTGTCACCTAACCCCCACCTCCACCCCTGACTCCCCCATCTCACCGTCTCTCTAAGAAGTAGGTTTCACACTTTCAAAATGAAATGGGAAAAACTTTATTAGTATATGTATTAATTTTCTATTGCTGCCATAACAAATTATCACAAACAGTGGTTTTAAAACAAGATAAATTTATTATCTTACAGTTCTGGAGGAAAGAAGCACGAAAGGGGTCTGATTGGGCTAAAATCAAGGTGTTGACAGGGCTGTATTCCATTCTGGAGGCCCCTTGCCTTTTCCAGCATCCAGAGACCACCTGCATTTCTTTCCTCATGGTTCCCTTTCTCCATCTTCAAAGCCAGCCATGTGACATTGCTCTGTGCCTTTCTTCTGTAGTCACATCTTCCCCTCTATTCTGCCTCTCTCTTCCAGTCTTAAGGACCCTTGTGATTACATTAGTGTATTAGTCTGTTTGCATGCTCCTAATAAAGACATACTTGAGACTGGGCAATTTATAAAGGAAAGAGGTTTAATGGACTCACAGTTCTACATGGCTGGGGAGGCCTCACAATCATGGAGAAAGGCAAAGGAGAAGCAAAGGTACCTCTTACTTGGCAGCAGACAAGAGGGCTTGTGCAGTGAAACTTCCATTCATAAAACCATCAGATCTCATGAGACTTACTCACTATCACGAGAACAGTATTGGAAAGACTTTCCCCCATGATTCAATTACTTCCCATTGGGTCTCTCCCATGACATACGTGGGAATTATGGGAGCTACAATTCATGCTGAGATTTGGGTGGGGACATAGCCAAACCATATCAATTAGGCTCACCCAGATCATCCAGCATAATCTCCCTATTTTAAAATCAGCCAATTAGCAACTTTAATTCCCCTTTGCCCAGTAACCTAACATAGTCATAGGTTCTTGGGATTAGGACATGGACATCTATAGCGGGCCATTAGTTTAACTACCCCAATATATATTTTGTGCACTTTCTATCTGGAAAGAACTTTGGCAAAAGCACAATGGAAAGCCAAAATTCTTCCTAATTTGCTTCAGGTACTGCTGAATAAATCCTAACAATATCCTTTTCATGGGTAACCAGCAACACCTAGTGTCTCTCCAAATAAATTTCAACAGCAAGTTTATTTACAGTGTCCTATAATTAAGCTCAGTGACTGATGGTGGAGAAAGGAAATTCTCACTATTCAAAGAGAGAGAAGGCTAGCAATTCTCTTTTCTGTATGTCTTTTTGATTTATTTTGAGCCCCCACATCCGTGCATCTATCCAGAAGCATTGAAATTAATTCTGTTTGGGGCATGGCACCATACTGGGCTCTGTGGAAGATGTGGAAAGATAAAAATGTAATCCCTGTCCTCAAATTGCTTCCAGTCTTATTGGGCAGATGAGACACACTCTAGTGATTAAAGCATATGTACTCATTTACAAAGCACTGAATACTTAAGGGCACTGAATACTTAAGTGTGCTAGTTATAATTAGGTTCAGTTGTACATACAGCAACTATACAACAGCAAAACCCCAAAGAATAGTGAATTAAACAGCAGAAAAATTTATTTCTTGCTCTTGTGAAAGAACTGGTGCAGCTACTTTGGAAAACAGTTTGGCAGTTCCTCAAAAAGTTAAATATAGAGTTACTATGTGACCCAGCAATTCTACTCCTAGGTATATATCCAAGAGAATTGAAAATGTATGTCCACACAAAAACTTGTACATGAATGTTCATAGTAGAATTATTCATAAAATCCAAAAAGTAGAAACAACCCAAATGCCCATCAACTGATCAATGGATAAGCAAAATGTGGTATATCCATACAATAAAATATTATTCAACCATAAAAAGTAATAAAGTATTGATACATGGTACAACATGGATGAAAGTTGAAAACACTATACTAAGTGAAAAAAGTCAGTCATTAAAGGCCACATATTATATGATTCAATTTGTATGAAATGTCCAGAATAGGCAAAACCATAGAGATAGAAAGCAGATTAATGGATACTAGGGCCTGGGAATTGGGGAAGGGAGAATTGGGAATAACTGCTAATGGGTACAGGGTTTATTTTGGGGGTGATGACAAAGTTCTGATATTAGATGGTGGTTGTTGTTAGTCTGTTCTCACGTTGCTAATAAAGACATACCCAAGACTGGGTAATTTATAAAGAAAAAGAGGTTTAATGGACTCACAGTTCTACATGGCTGGGGAGGCCTCACAATCATGGTGGAAGGCAAAGGAGGAGCAAAAGCACATCTTACATGGTGGCAGGCCAGAGAGCATGTGGAGGGAAACTCCCCTTTATAAAATCATCAGATCTCAAGAAACTTATTCACTATCATGAGAACAGCATGGGAAAGACCCGTCCCCATGATTCAGTTACCTCCCACTGAATTCCTCCCATGACACATGGGAAATATGGGAGCTACAATTCAAGATGAGATTTGGGTGGGGACACAGTCAAACCATATCAGTGGTGATGATTGCACAACTTTGTAGATGTAATAGGAACCCTAAATATCTACAATTAAATGGTTTTTAATTTAATTGTACACTTTAAATGGGTGAATTGTTTTGTATGTGAATTATATCTCCATGAAATTACTAAAAAATACCAAAAGGATCAGGGAGACAAAAATAGTGATAAGTAATTAGAGGACATGAAGGAGAGATTAGAAAAGTGTCTCCGATTAGTTTTTTGCTCCTTGGGTTCTTTCTTCAGATCTCAGAGTGGTCCCTTTTTTTCCCATGTATTTCTTTCCCTCTCCTACACCCCTACTACAATCAGCAGAATGTTTACTATGTGAAACTGACTCTGACCCCAGACAAGGAGAGAGTTGGCAGTTCTATTCCTTATGCAGAGAAAATGGAGAATGTGCTGATGAAAATAGAGAATGGAATAGGATTCATGCCCCTTACTCTTAAGGGCGTTCCCACATGAGAGGCATCTCTGGACCTGGGGAGCAAATGCCCTTGGGATGCCAGGCCCCGTGAGCTTGCCACACAGTTTACGCATCTGTTTGGAGGGTGAGGAATCTTGGGGCGGGGAATGCTCAAAGCTAACTGTGTTCCTAATCTCCACAGTGGAGAGCTAGTAGTGTCTGTCCTTGTTCCCTGGCTGGCCTGCACCCAGGGCCCTCCAACTGTCTGCCTTCTCTCTGTCCCCTTTGATAGAGCAGTTCCTCATTAACACATATTCTGATGTCTCCTTCCCAGCCGTGTGGCTTTTTCTTGATATGTTTCCTGTTTCTCATCTTGTGCTGTAGAAACCAAAGTACTATTTCTTACAGGACAAGATACGACTCTTAACACCATTGTAAAATTTATTTCACTAGTTCTAGGAGGCCTTTAGAAACTGTAGTTTGGATCAGGCTCCATGCATCACCCTGAGTGACTTATTTTCCTCTATGACCTTCCTCCCTGTGCTCATGGGTTCCTGGGGTCTAGGTGGTGTGGAGATGCATGGAGGTTGAGTCTGAGATGGCAGAGACATTGTAAAAGATAGTGTCCCAACTGTTCCAGCTAAGAGAGGCCCAAGGAGACGTGATGACTAAACGTATTATAGTATCAGAGGACAGAAAAAGGACATTGGGTAAAAACTAATGATATTTCAGGGCTGGATATTTATATGAGTAAAGTATGGACTTCAATTAATAATAATGTTATCAACATTAGTTGTGACAATGTGCTATACTATTGTAAGACGTTCATCATGAGGAAAGCTGGGCTTGGGTATATGGGCACTGTGTGCATTGTCTTTGAGTTTTTCCTGTAAATCTAAAATTATTCTAAAATATAAAATAAGAACTTCATTAACTCCCTTGTCCTCAACAAAAAGAATGTCCTCACCCATATCGTAGCATTCATCTCTGCCCTGGCTGGACTGTTTAAAAGATGAGTGTCATTCAATATAACTTTCTTGACGGGTGATAATCAGACATCACTTGTATCGTCAGTGCTTTCTGGAGAGATTATATTTATCTGTCCAGAAAGAATAGAGTTTTAAAGTCCTGGGTGGGTGGCTAGAAAGATGGAAGTGATGGAGCAGAAGTGCACATTCTGGTTCTAGAGTGAGTGAAGCCCTTAAGGACACTGAATGGCAATGAGTGAGCCTGCAGTCAACCTGGCCCACGTCCACATAGCTGTTAGGGAATGATTGATCCATGAAGACATCATCTCAGAAAGTCGAGGTAAGTTTTGCATCCAGAACACACAGCCAAATGTTAGGAACTGAAGGTGTACCCACACTACTGTCAAATATGAGAGTTAGTCTGAAAATGAGCAGGAGCTAAGGCTATACAAGCCAGAGCAACTGAGTCAATCAGGAGTGAATTCTGGGGCCCTGAGTCCCAGGACTGTGATTCTGAGCACAATGGGTAGCACACTTCCCATGACACACTGTTAAAGACAGGCAGCCAGGCCGAACAAGATGCTTCTGGAACTATTCCCTGGCCTAACAGGGGGCATTGATGAGAAAAAAGAGGGATTGAAGAGGTGGAAGGAGATGACTTGGCAGCCAGTCCTACTCTTCAAGCTGTGACTGGTTTTCCCAGGAGGTGCTTACACATTCAGTCTAGTAGGTTGAATCGTGTCCCCCAACATTCGTGTCTACCAAGACCTCAGAATGTGACCTTTTTTGGAATTAGGGTCTTGCAGATATAATTAGTTAAGATGAGGTCATACTGGATCAGAATGGACCTTAATCCAATGACTGCTGTCCTTATAAGAGGAGAGGACATGGACATTGACAGGGAAGAAAGCCATGTGAAGACAGAGGTAGACGTTGGAGTGATGCAGAGGTTAGAGTTATGCAGCTATGAGTCAAGGAACATCAAGGATAGCTGGGAGCTACCAGTGCTAGGAAGAAGCCTCCCTATGCCTTTAGAGGGAGCATGGCTCTGCCAACTTCTTGATCTTGGATTTCTAACCTCCAGAATTTTGTGAGAATGAATTTCTGTTGTTTTAAGACACCTATTTCTGGTACTTTGTTGTGGCAGCCCTGGGAAACTAATACATTTGATGAGGACAATGCTGGAAGGGTATGGGGTACTTAGCTATATATGTCCTTTTGAGAGCCAGGGGTTATGGGCATTCCCATTCCCTGGAAGATCTAAGGCCTAGAGCTTGTGCCTCATACTTGTGGGTGCTGATATGGTCCAAAAATCAATGAGTAATTAGTATAGGTAATAAAATAGGTTACTCCTTCCTTCCTTCCACTTCCTACAGTGAAGGCTCTCCCAAGGGGAATTTCTTTGTGAAACCCTTGTGCTGTTATCTGAAGGAACTAAAAGGTATAGATTCCTCCAGCAAAGACTGCCTCATGGTTCCATGGTTTGTGTCCACTTTTTCTTCTCTAGAGTTACCTCTCCTGCACCTCCACACAGAAGCACCTCTCCTTCAGATTCTTGACCCATTGGATCCCCATGGCCTCTGACACTATTAACAAGTCCTTCTGGAAACTTTTCTTATAGGCAGCAATACCTTTTTCTTCTTTCTCCTGTAACTTCTCCTCTTATGTGTATGACTTAATTGCCTCTTCTTCCTCGACCTTGCTAAGAAACGTGTGTTTGCCTGAGTTCTGTCTTTGGTCTTCTTTTGACAGCTCTCTTGGGTAAGCGTCCATTGTCCTTGCTTTAATTGCCATCCACCACATGACTCCCAAATCTCTGCTCCAGTTCAGATCTTTTAAGCTTCATTTTCATGGAGTCAATGCAATGTCTCCATCTAGGAGTGCCAGGCACTTCAGACTCAGTGTGTTCCAAGCCATTTACCAATTTTACTCTTCCCTTGGCTGGAATTATAGACTCCCCTCTTTCAGAATGAATTCATGCACAGTTTTTAATTAAGATTAAAAAGATGGATATTGGGCAGTTTTGGAGAAAGTAAAAAAGAACAAAACCCCCAAACCACACAAAGAATTATGGTTGGTGGCAGTGCAGGAATTACCCAATTAATAGACTATCAAAGCTTATCTGTACAAACTTTCTTTTTTTTAATTTTTATCATTATACTTCAAGTTCTAGGGTACCTGTGCACAACGTGCAGGTTTGTTACATATGTATACATGTGCCATGTTGGTGTGCTGCACCCGTTAACTCGTCATTTACATTAGGTATATCTCCTAATGCTATCCCTCCCCCCTCCCGCCATCCCACAGCAGGCCCCAGTGTGTGACGTTCCCCACCATGTGTCCAAATGTTCTCATTGTTCAATTCCTACCTATGAGTGAGAACCTGTGGTGTTTGGTTTTCTGTCCTTGCGATAGTTTGCTGAGAATGATGGTTTCCAGCTTCATCCATGTCCCTAAAAAGGACATGAACTCATCCTTTTTTATGGCTGCATAGTATTCCATGGTGTGTATGTGCCACATTTTCTTAATCCAGTCTATCATTGATGGACATTTGGGTTGGTTCCAAGTCTTTGTTATTGTGAATAGTGCCACAATAAACATACGTGTGCATGTGTCTTTATAGCAGCATGATTTATAATCCTTTGGGTATATGCCCAGTAATGGGATAGCTAGGTCAAATGGTATTTCTAGTTCTAGGTCCTTGAGGAATCGCCACACTGTCTTCCACAATGGTTGATCTAGTTTTCTGTATAGACTTTCGATATGATACAAGGGGATTTTAGGACACAAAATATACACAGTTGAGGAAATTGAGGTCAAAGTGTAACACATTTCACAGCTCCTTCCAGATCCTTTCATCACTCTCCTTTTTGATTCTCAGACCTGAAGTAGGAGCCACTCTTTTTGGCCACCTTGTTTCACCCTCAGGCCAGGCTGAGCCCTTTGAAGTCCTCTGATGAAAAAGCAGTCTTTTCCTGTCCCCTCCTCAACCGTGCAGCTAGGTTCTGCCCGTCCTGTCTGTAATGACACATTCCTAGCCTTGCTTTTGGTACATACCAGCAGGTGGATGAACCTAGAACATCTTATCTGATCCATTATCCTGAGTCCTGTGCCTCAAGGCCACCACATTTCTCTCTCCACCCTCTTGCATCAGAGTCCAGACCAGCAAACACATTCAGGAAATCATAAGAAAGATAAAAAGCCTACAATGCTCCAAGGACGAGTTTTTCTTTTTTCTGTTTTTTTGAGATGGAGTCTTGCTCTGTCACCCAGGCTGGATGGAGTGCAGTGGTATGATCTCGGGTCACTGCAAGCTCCGCCTCCTGGGTTCACACCATTCTCCTGCCTCAGCCCCCCGAGTAGCTGGGACTACAGGCGCCCGCCACCACACCCGGCTAATTTTTTGTATTTTTAGTAGAGATGGGGTTTCACCGTGTTAGCCAGGATGATCTTGATCTCCTGACCTCGTGATCCACCCGCCTTGGCCTCCCAAAGTGCTGGGATTACAGGCATGAGCCACCGCGCCCAGCCCAGTTGTTCTTTTTTAGAGTGTTTATGGATCCAGAATTGAGCTGGAGAGTTGAGTGGTGGGATCATTAGGGAAGCAAGAGCCTAGGAGAGCCAGAGTGACAAGATTTTAAGTTCAGGGTCATCTTGAAACTAGCAAGACACATTCCTTGCCAGTCATCACCAATGGTCCTAAGATGTTTATAGTTGAGAAAACCTACAAGGACACATTCCTACAACAGAAAGTCCAGATGTCCTAATACCCATAACAATATATGCTTTCAAGATAATTATATTTATGCTTTGATGTACTCACCCAGTGAAATGTCAAAGATAGTTTTCTTTAAATCAGTGTAATAATACATTTTGTTATGCTCTCTGCTCACCTGCATGTAGTCACAGCTTAGTTTAGTCTGTACATAGACAAGACCCCCATATAAGAAAAACTTAAAACAGAGATGATGTGTTCCTTGGCCTGCTTTCTGGAGATGCCCTACTCTGCAATGGAGTAGTTTCTAATAAATTTGCTTCTTTCACTGTGCTCTGAAACTCGCCTTGAATTTCTTCCTGTGTGAGATCCAAGAACCCTCTCTTAGAGTCTGGATCAAGACCCCTTTTTCCTGTAACTGGATGGAAACCCACATAATACAATTTATTTCCATATATGGTGTAAAGTTATCTAATTCCAGCATTTCATTGCTAAATATGTTGAGGTTCTGACATTAGAGGCTCAGGAATGTACTGATGAAGATAGTCAGATGGATAACACTGGCTATTTCCCCTGGTATATTAAGCACAGTTTGTTTCTGAGGTATCCAGTAATGATTTGAAGTGTGCCCATGAGCAGCTTTGGGCTCAATTCTGGCATTCATGTCTTAATTAGGTGGGTTTTGACTCATCATGATTTAGTTACCCATTTTTCTTTAACAGAGCGCCTTATTTATTTTATGCAATTAGAAGGGAAATGACAGAGAAGACCATTAACTCTACCTTACTGTACAAATCCCAGAAGTAATTAGGGACTTACATAAACAGTGCATCTTAAATTATTTATTTGACAATCTCTAATAACAATGCCAGCAGTGTCATATACTTTATTCTTCATTAAAGCAAAAGTGATTATCCTGCTATATAACCTAATCATCTGAAAAATTTAATTCCCATAACAACATTTGTTATTACTGTTTTGTTTTGTAGAAGGGCAGATGAAAGACAGAATTTTGACACATCAAATTGGACTGCAGCACAAAAGCCAAAATAAGTGTTTCTTCCACTAGAGGGCTGGTGCTTGGTCTGTTTTGGAAAGTCCTTCCCCCGGATGGTAGCAGGTGATGGAGTTGGGCAGAATCTAATTTTCAGCAAGTTTTAATTTTTTCACTGCCTGGATGAATTCTAGAAATAAATGTTGCATAAGCTAATTTTGGTGGGGTTGGAGGGTGGTCCTAGAAAGATGATTGATTTGATAAGATAATTTGAGGGGATTTTTAAACTTCCATTGAGCAAACAATTCAACATTTACTGGAACCCTCAGATCTGTGAGGATGTGGGATAGATGACAGATACCAAGTTAATAAGACATTGTTTCTGGCCTCAATGAGCCTGGGCTACTAGTCATCAATGTTTCCAGTTCTCCTTGGGCACTTGGTCACCTGCCTGAAGTTAGGCATGGTTATATCTTTTGCTTTGACTTATAGGAACTGTTATGGACTGAATGTTTGTGTTTCCCCACCTTAAATTCATACGTTGAAATCCTAACACTCAATATGATGGTATGAGGAGGTAGAGCCTTTAGGAGGTAATTAGGTCATGAGGGTGGAGCCTTCATGAATGGGAGTAGTGCCCTTATAAGAAGAGTCACAAGACATCTGGCTTCTTCAACCCCCCCACCTTTTTCCC
Organism: Homo sapiens; assembly: GCF_000001405.40. NCBI lineage: Eukaryota > Metazoa > Chordata > Mammalia > Primates > Hominidae > Homo > Homo sapiens. The sequence goes on along the minus strand of NC_000007.14, from coordinate 127,549,843 downwards.
TGCTGTGTGGGGATACAACAAGAAGTCAGCCATCTCTAAACCAGGAAGAGAGCCCTCACCAGACATTAGATCTGCTGGCACCTTGATCTTGGTCTTCTAGCTTCCAGAATTGTGAGCAATACTTGTTTGTTGTTTAAGCCACCTAGGCTATGGTATTCTGTTATTGCAGCCTAAACTAAGACAGGGACCCTGGGGAAGATTCCCCTTCCTTCTTATCTCTCTCCTAACAAGTAACCAGTGAGTTTTCTTTTTACTGCATCAAATCTAGCCCATCCTACTTATCACAGAAAGTAAGATAGACTTCCCATCAAACCTGGTGATGGACAATCAGTGATGGACAGATGCAAAGCACAATGATCAGCATGTAACAGGTCTCAGCAAAGGGTATTTTTCTTCCCACTTTCATTTAAAAAAACTAATGAATTTTTAAAAAAGCTGAATCTGTGTGTATTTTTCCTACAGCAATGTCTAGAAATGTTTACACGAGAGAGTTCTTCATTTTAGGATTGGGTAACAGCCAGTATAATTTTACAATTACAATATGTGATAGAGTCTGCTAATTATTTCCCAGTATTTATTCACCTCTTCTCCCTTAGCAATAGCATCTCAGGATTTAAGTGGGCATACTGCTGCCTCAAGCCAGAAGGCATTTGCCATGCTCCTTTGCATTACCAAGTGACTACTAGACAATGAGATATTGCAACAAAGTGTTGTATGGGATTTCTGTGAAGCCTCTTTTTAAGGGAGGGGGTACCTCTGTTTTTTCTTTTGCTCTCTTCTCTTGCCTGGGATGTAGATGCAGTGGCTGAAGCTCTAGTAGCTGTTTTGGACCATGAGGATGAGGGCCCCATATGAGGGATGGTGGAGAGTCAGCTGGAAGGTTCCTGGGTCCTTGGTCACTTAGTGGAGTGCCTTACAAGTCATGGACTGTCTACTTGTGGATTTCTTTGATGTAAGATAAATAAATTTCTAATTTGTTTCAGCCACTGTTTTTTAATTAAAATTTTTAATTTTATTAAATTTATTTTTTGTAGTAAAAATAATATAAAATTTACCATCTTAACCATTTTAAGTATACAGTTCAGCAGTGTTAACTATATTCATATAAGCTACTGTAGTTTTTTTAATTATATGGAACCAAAACTAATGCTAACTAAAACACAGTGGTTTTTTTTTTTTTAACTGATCTTCAATAAACTAGTTAAATTAACAGACTCTCCATCTCCTTAGTAAAGTGTGCTAATCATGGCCATCACATGCATACTCCCAGCTATTAAACTGTTCTCTAGGACAGTGGATCTCGATTTACATGTGCATCAGAATTACCTCGAGATTTTCTGATTCTGTGAGTCTGGAGTGGGGCCTGAGAACTTGACATTTCTGATAAGTTCTCAGGACTTTGATGCTGCTGGTCTGGGGACATACTTGGGGAACTACTGATCTAGGACACCATAGCCTTTGGTTTTTATCAGCAGAGCTGAATGTTAATAGGAAGCAATTGTATTTGTTCTTACACTGATTATGTGTATTGTATTTCTGATTGTCATTGTGTAATTTAACTAAATACTACATTCATCTATGAGAATTTAGTTGAAAAAATATTTGTTTCTATGAAAACTAAATCAAATACTTTGTAACAACTTAATGTAGGTATTCATTAAAATAAAGCTACCAAGTGAGATTGGTAGGGCCACTGTTAAATATCAGAATAAATATCTATCTATCTATCTAGATATATCTATATATCTATATCTAAAGCAATTATACACTCAAGTTGCTTTAAAAAGAGACTTTAATTTATTGTTTTACTTTAAATAAATTAAGTCTATAAATTGTAAATGATGTGTTAATGCTGGAATGAGTTAAAACTTTGGTGGACTGTTGAGAAGGCATGATTGATTTTTGAAATGTGAAATGGAGATGAGATTTGGGAGGGGCCAGGGGCAGAATGATATGATTTAGTCAATAAAGACAATATAGAACTTTAATCAGTGGATCCAATCTTTAAAAAAACCCCTTTGGAAAGTTGGCAAATGAGTGCATACTTAAACATTTTAAATTAACATTCTAAGTTAAAATAAAATGTTTAAATTAAAATATGCCTGGTGTGTTCTTTGCTTCCTTACTTTTTCAGTTAACTGATTGCTTAGCCTGGGTTACTATAATAAAAATGCAGAGCATATGAAAATGGCTTATGTGCTATTACTTTAATGAGGAATGCTATTTAAACAGAATGAAGAAAAGGGGAGGGAGAGCTAACATGAGAATGCTGAATTGCTCTGGACTGCACTTAGATTCACATGACTGATTTACTGATCTTGTACAACTGTTTCTGATGTGGTTTGGCTCTGTCTCCCCAGCCAAATCTCATCTTGAATGTAATCTGAATTATAATCCCCAGGTGTAGAGGGAGGAACCTGGTGGGAGGTGATGGGATCATGAGGGTGGTTTTCCCCATACTGTTCTCATAACAGTGAGTTCTCATGAGATCTGATGGTTTTATAAGTGTTTGGAAGTTCCTCCTTCATTGCTGTCTCTCCTGCCCCCTTGTGAAGAAGGTGCCTGCTTCCCCTTCTGCCATGATTGTAAGTTTCCTGAGGCCTCCCCAGCCATGTGGAATTGTGAGTCAATTAAACCTCTTTCCTTTATAAATCACCCAGTCTCAGGGAAGTTCTTTATAGCAGTGTGAAAACAGACTAATACAGTAAATTGGTATGTCAGAGAGTGGGGTACTGCTATAAAGATACTTGAAAATGTGGAAGAGACTTTGGACTGGGTAACAGGCAGATGCTGGAACAGCTTGGAGGGCTTAGAAGAAGACGGGAAAATGTGGGAGAGTTTGGAGCTTCCTAGAGACTTGTTGATCATTTTGACCAAAATGCTGATAGTATATGGACAATGAAGTCCAGGCTGAGATGGTCTCAGATGGAGATGAGGAACTTCTTGGGAGCTAGAGCAAAGGTCAGTCTTGCTATGCTTTCACAAAGAGACTGGTGGCATTTTGCCCTTGCCCTAGAGATCTGTGGAACTTTGAACTTGAGAGAGATGATCTGAAACTGGAGCTTATATTTAAAAGGGAAGCAGAGCATAAAAGTTTGGAAAATTTTCAGCCTGATGATACAATAGAAAAGAAAAACCCATTTTCTGGGGAGAAATTCAAGCTGGCTGCGTAAATTTGTATAAGTAAGAAGGAAACAAATGTTAATAACCAAGATAATGGGGAAAATTTCTCCAGGGCATGTCAAAAATCTTGGCAGCAGCCCCTCCCATCACAGACCCAGAGGCCTAGGAGGAAAAAATGGTTTCATGGGCTAGGCCCAGGGCCCTGCCACTGTGTGTATCTTCAGTACTTGGTGCCCTGTGTTCCAGATGCTCCAGCTCCAGATGTGGTTAAAAGGGGCCAAGATACAGCTCAGGCCATTGCATCAGAAGGTGCAAGCCCCAAGCCATGGTGGCTTCCATGTGGCATTGGGCCTACAGGTGCACAGAAGTCAAGAATTGAGGATTGGAAATCTCTACCTAGATTTCAGAGGATGTATGGAAATGCCTGGATGTCCAGGAAGTCTGCTTCAGGGGCAGAGCCATCATGAAGAACCTCTGCTAGGGCATTGTTGAAGGAAAATGTGGGTTTGAAGCCCCACACTGAGTCCCCACTGGGGCACTGCCTAGTGGAGCTGTGAGAAGAGGGCCACCATCCTCAGATCCCAGAATGGTAGATCCATGGACAGCTTGCACCATGCACCTGGAAAAGCTGCAGGCACTCGATGCCATCCTGTGAGAACAGCTGCAGGAGCTGAACCCTGAAAAGTCACAGGAAGCAACAGGGGTGGAGCTGTCCAAGGCTGTGGGAATCCACCCTTTGAATCAGCATGTCCTGGATGTGAGATATGGAGTCAAAGGAGATTATTTTGGAGCTTTAAGATTTAATGACTGCCCCACTGATTTTGTACTCGCATGGGGCCTGTAGCCCCTTTGTTTTGGCCAATTTCTCCCACTTAGAATGGGAGCATTTATCCAATTCCTGTACCCCCATTGTATCTTGGAAGTAACTAACTTGCTTTTGATTTTACAGGCTCATAGGTCGAAGGGACTTGCCTTGTCTCAGATGAGACTTTGGACTTGGAGTTTTGGGTTAATGCTGGAATGAGTTATAACTTTGGAGGACTGTTGGGAAGGCATGATTGATTTTTGAAATGTGAAATGGAGGTGAGATTTGGGAGGGGACAGGGGCAGAATGAGATGGTTTGGCTCTGTGTCCCCACCCAAATCTCATCTTGAATTGTAATCCAAATTGTAATCTCCAGGTGTAGAGAGAGGGAACTGGTGGGAGGTAATTGGATCATGGAGGCAGTTTTCCCCATACTGTTCTTGTGATAGTGAGTTCTTACAAGATCTGATGGTTTTATAAGTGTTTGGAAGTTCCTCCTTTGTTGCTGTCCTTCCTGCTGCCCTGTGAAGAAGGTGCCTGCTTCCCCTTCCACCATGATTGTAAGTTTCCTGAGGCCTTTTCATCTATGTGGAAATTTAAGTCAATTAAACCTCTTTCCTTTATAAATTACTGAGTCTAAAGGAAGTTCTTTACAGCAGTGTGAAAATGGACTAATACAGTTTCCAAGAGGCTACGTAAATGAGTGCTTCTTAGGATGGTACATACAGTAAGAACAAAGAAGCATTTACTTGCAGACATCCATCTCCCGTTGGTTAAAAGTTTGCTCCATGGGGCATTAATTCCCTTACACTCACAGTTGGGCATGCATGAGGACCAGTGCCAGCTTCATGGGTGCTGGCCTGTGCAGTCATATGGGGCCCTGGGATCAGAAGAGGTCCCACTCTTGGGGTTTAATGCTTTGCAGTCACTGTTTTGAAATTCTTAATAATTTTATCTCTGAATTTGTGTTTTGTAAGTGAAGTCTGAGGGAGAAGAAAGTATGCGCTGGTGGGTTGGAGCCTGGGCTCACAGGTATTCCTGTCTCCCCCGCTTCTCCCTGCCTTTCAGGAGGGTGTGTTCTCAGCAGCCTGCTCCCTTACTCCTACTGCGTCAGCCCTCTTCCTCTGTGGGGATGAGGACTCCAGCATTGGGAGGGCTGTGTTGTGTATGCTCAGTCATGGGGAGGGTTCCTTGACTCCTGGGAGTGTTTGCACTCATCCTGTGCTCCAGAGAGTGCAACACTAAATAGAAAATAAAATAGACCACGAGAGGTCAAGAGAGACACTGTGGAAGAAAGGCAAAAACTTTTTCCTGCTTTTTGAACAAATGACTTCACATTTTTAGTTTGTACTAGGACCTGAAAGTCATGCAGCTGGCTCTAATGGGCACTAAGTGGGTCTGTTTGTATCATATCTTGGTGTCAATAGGAATGCACTGAGGCAAGTGGTAGGAGTGTGCAGCACAGGCATGGGGCAAGATATTACCAGGTTTTCTTTGACTGAAGTCGGTCAGAGGCCACACAGAGGTCATTACAGTTGCAGCTATGTCTGAAACAAGCGGCCAAAGGCCCAGGGGTGAGGGAAGGCCAAGATCTGAACTGGCACATAAGAGATACTGATAAAATTCTCCCCTTGCATCACTCAAATCAGCTCTGCCCCCCCCCCATTATATCTGGCTTTCACACTATAATATGTGGCCTTTATTTTTGTGATGTGAAGATGTCTTTATGTCTTCCCTGAGAAATGAGGTACAAGGTCAATAATTCAGAGTCATCTTCAAAAGTGTGGCCAGCTGCAGTTTCTGAAAAGATTTTTAGTGAGAGAGCAAAATGAACTACAGCCCCATCATCTCTCTCCTCTACCACTTATTCCAGATTTCCCTCTTCCTTGGCTAATACTTTGACCAGTCTGAGTTTCTTTGCTGGTGGAGTGACCCAGACCATCCTTGAGGGGCTTCATCCTTAGTTGCCTTAGCTTGGTCAGGCACTGGTTGTTCAATGGTCTATTTACTGATATCACTGGACATGGAAGCACCAGAAAATGCCCCAGTGAGTCCCCTGGGGTTTCTGACATACTCCTTCTTGATCCCATTGTGTAGCATCACCTAGCTTTTCATGATAATTAGAAATAAACTCATGCATCTGCCTGTTGATCTACTGGAAGAGATGAAAATGAGCAAGGAGGAGTTGAGGCTTCAAGGCAGTAGAAATCTTACTCTGTTCCCTGATGGAAGTATCCCCACCCAGGACGAGGCCCCCTAGTGCAAGCAGAGCCTAAAGCTTAGGGAATGGGAAGCAAACATTATGTGAATCACTGGGAATTATGATGAAAAGGGTTAATCCTTCTTCTACCCACTGGTTCTTGGACTTGGATATTCTAGTTATTGGAGACACAGAACCATGTACTATGCTTGCTGGTTCAATGCCTAGATCACAAAGCACAGTAAGTTTGCAGAGTGTTATTCTAGCACATTAGATGAGTCCTAACAGGTTATTACACTGTCTTATTAGCCTGGATGTTTCAGGGCGATGAAGTGTGTGGTAAGACAGTGGAGCTCATGGTCAAATGTCCATTGTCACCTTCCTTTGATGTAAAATGGGTCCCTTGCACCAGGCAATATTATGTGTGATACAATGTCAACAGAATAGGCACATGTAAACCTTGGATGGCTTGGATGGTGGAGGCATTATGTAGAGGAAAGGCAAACCCAATCTAAAGCAGGTATCAAACCTGAAAAGATCTCTTTTTTTTTTTTTGAGACGGCGTCTTGCTCTGTCGTCCAGGCTGGAGTGCAATGGTGTGATCTCGGCTCACTGCAGCCTCCACCTCCCGGATTCAAGCGATTCTCCTGCCTCAGCCTCCTGAGTACCTGGGACTACAGGCACCTGCCACCATGCCCAGCTAATTTTTATACTTTTAATAGAGATGGGGTTTCACCATGTTGGCCAGGATGGTCTCGATCTCTTGACCTCATGATCCTCCCACCTCAGCCTCCCAAAGTGCTGGGATTACAGGTGTGAGCCACCGCGCCCAGCCTCTATCTGAGGCAGAAGGTGATGTAAGTATAATTCCTTGAGGAGTGGTGCCATATCAATATCTCAGGGTCAGTCTCTGCTATTGGAAGGTTGGACACTCAGCAGTGGTATTAGCTATGCTGACCTTAGTGAGGAGCAATTTATGCTATTGGGTGCATCCTTGGCATGGCAACATGGATGGAGGCTATGTATGAGCCAAATGGCATGGGTCTATTGCACCAGCACTGTGGTGACCAAAAATGTTCATAAGACAAGTCACCCTGTTCATCCAGATGGTGAGAGCCTTGTCTAGGAGGGATGCTCTCTGGTGGGACACAAAGATCTAGGCACTTAGTACCTATATCCATATGTCCAGCCACATGCCTCTTCCCCAGACCTCCTTATTTCCAACTTTCTAATCTTGTTTTTTTCAGGACCCTGACCAAATAATTAAACCATTTTTTTTTTTGCCACTTCCTAGGAATCAATATATATCTTTACTTCAGACCATTCCATATAGAGTGAATCATCAAGTATACTGCTTACAGCTATGCCTACAGGTAGAATTTTCCTTGTCACTGTCCTTTAGGCCTGCTCCTGGATAATGCGGCTGCAGCATAGTTTATTTTATTTTACCACCAATGTATTGTATTGACCCATCTATTATATGAATCATGGCTCTTTCCTTCCTCTGTTAATTGGTATTAAGAAATCCTTTACAAGGCTGTGAGAGTGAGTTGAGGAAGAGGTGTTAGTGCAATGGAGTTAGGTGAATGGGAATCTGGGTTACCTATTCATGTGATTTATTCATTACTTCTGGACTTGCTCAGGTCCAATCCTGAATATACCATTTTCATCGTACAGTGAATTGCTGCTGTGCTTGCCTGAACTCATGATTCTGTGAGTCTGCTCATATCTGGCTTGATGGGCAATTTCAGTTGCATAGTCATTTGGTGCCCCAAGGTCACGTGCTCAGTCTCTACTAGGTCTCAGTGGTATACCAGCGGCTGTTTTACAAATGGAAAATAGCTCTTGGCCACAGAAGCTGTAGCCTTGCTTTAGAACCCTAGCTAACCCTCCTATTGAGGATTTCCAGATGCTTCATGAATTATTCTTATCCACCACAGATACCAGATATTTCCAGCACCAGCAGATCTGCTAAGTGATAAGGTGGCAGAGCAGCTTGCACCCCTGAGTGGATTGCTGCCTTTTGAATGCAATCGCGGGGAGAAGGGTGAGGGAAAAGTGGGAGTGAGGAGGGAGAAGAGAATGAGAAAAGACAAATATGTTATTATTCAACTGGTCACCACTTGTATTTGAGAATGACAGACTTCTCAATCTTGTGGGATCATTTTTTTTTTTTCAGGGCAGTACATATGGAGGTAGAAGGGAGAAGAATTTATTTGTCAGCTGCCATCATACCTCAAAGATGCACACCACAGGGCATGAATTTCCTTGTACTTCCCAAATGTAACTAGGTGGGGGCTGAGCAGGGCTACCTTAGCAGGAGGTCTTTGGTATATTAATAGGGAGGATCCCTGGAAAACTTGGATGTTGGATGTGACAGATGTGGGATAAGGGCACAAAGGTAAGTGCTGTTGGGTTGGCAGCTGGGTACAAAGCAAGTGACCAAACTCCCTGGATTCAAGTGAGACTGACAGCCCTGAAGTAGCACAGAAGAGATGTCTGGCTTATCAATCAACTACAGGTCCTAGGTGAATTGGATCAGAGGGTTTCTGTGGCATTTATCTTCAAGATGAAGTGTCTTAATTAGAATTGACTGTGAGAATCATTCACCCTATCCTAATGATGCACAAATCTCATCTGCAACCCTGACTTGTCCCTGAAACTCCAAACTCATGTGTCCAACTGCCTACTTAATCTCTCTCCATGGACATTTAATAGGACATCTCAAACTTAACATGGCCATAATGGAACTCATTATTCCTCCCATTGCATCAGGCTTGCTTCTTCCCCATTGAGTTGCTCAATTCCAACATCTACAAGTTAACACTTGTTCTTCCCTTTCCCTTGGTATCCTCCCTCCCCCCACTCACTTACCCCCATTACTCCAGTAACAACTCTTCCAAGATATATCTTGACTCCGTTTGCTTTTCTCCATCTTTATGACTGCTTCCCAGACAAAGCCACATTCCTTTACTTGTACTATTGCAGTAACTTCCCAATACTTCTCCTTCCCTCTACACTTGCTCTGCCTAGAATCCATTCTTCACATAGCAGCAGGAGTAATGTTCTAAAAATGTGAAGTAGGCCGGGCGCGGTGGCTTCTGCCTGTAATCCCAGCACTTTGGGAGGCTGAGGTGGGTGGATCACGAGGTCAGGAGATCGTGACCATCCTGGCTAACACGGTGAAACCCTGTTTCCACTAAAAATACAAAAAAAAAAAATTAGCCGGGTGTGGTGGCGGGCGCCTGTAGTCCCAGCTACTCGGGAGGCTGAGGCAGGAGAATGGCGTGAACCTGGGAGGCGGAGCTTGCAGTGAGCCGAGATGGCGCCACTGCACTCCAGCCTGGGCGACAGAGCCAGACTCTGTCTCAAAAACAAACAAACAAACAAACAAATAAAAAACAACTGAAGTAGATTATGTCACTGTCCTGCTTAAAACTCTCTAATATACTCCGTCCTGTAGTTAGCAGAAAATTGAGTGATGGACAGGGTCTGATTCCTGCTTTCCTCTCTAGCCACACTGGATTTCTGTCTTTTTGTTTGTTTGTTTGTTTGTTTGTTTGTTTTAGGACTTTGTGAAGTGGCGTCATTGTCTGGGGTAAATACGTAAATACCCGGAGTTTGTCATCTTGTGCCAAGAAGATTAAGGACACGGACACACAGAAGGAGTGAATTTAGGAGCAGAGGTTTAATAGGCAAAGAAAGAGAAGGGAGAACAGCTCTCTCTCTTGCAAGAGAGAGGAGTGCCCGAAAGGGAAATCTGGCCCGAGGCAGTTGCGCACCAGATTTTATAGGCAGGCTTGAGGAGACGGTGTCTGATTTATGTCGGGCCCACAGATTGGTTGGACCAGGTGTGATGTTTACATAGCATGAAGGAAGGCTGGCCATCCCACCCTAATCTTATTATGCAAATGGACTTTCCACTTGGTCAGTGCCATCTTATCTGCTCCTTACTGTACATGTGGCTGGCAAAGAGAAGGGAACATGGAGCTGCCATTTTGAAGATGCCTAGTCCCAGGTGGCCTTTTCCTGTTGGCACAAATGCCGGCATTCATCCATGCAGGCTTCCAGCTTGCTTGTCTATGTCTGCAGTTCAATTTTACAGGCTGCTCTTTGTTAGAAAAGACAGTGATTTTGGGGCTGCTTTTTGTTAAAAGGAAAACCTTACCGAGGACTCCTATACCCTCACTATCTGCCCAAATAATTTCCTTTTAAATCTTATATCATTTGCACTAGCTGTTCCCTCTGCCCAGAATGCTCTTCTCCCCGATGTGTGCATGACTGGTTCTTGTGATGCGTAGCTTAGCCTAAAGGTCATCTCAAAGAGTCCATCCGGTATCTATCACATCTCCCTATCTCTAATTTTATCTTTGCTTGTTTATTTTCTTTGCCTCGCCCCCATTACAGCGTGAGCTCCGTGATAGCAGAGAACTTGTCATTCTTTTTTGCTCTTGTATTTACTTACCTATAAATATAAGAAGAGTGCTTGGCACAAACTAGGCACTCAATAATAAATATTTATTGGCAGGGCGTGGTAACTTACGCCACCCAGCACTTTGGGAGGCCAGGGTGGGTGAATCACCTGACATCAGGAGTTCGAGACCAGCCTGGCCGACATGGTGAAACTCCATCTCTACTAAAAATACAAAAATTAGCCAGGCATGGTGGCACGCACCTGTAATCCCAGCTACTCGGGAGCCTGAGACAAGAGGATAGCTTGAACCCAGGAGGCGGAGGTCACAGTGAGCCAAGACTGCACCATTGCACTCCAGCCTGGGTGACAAGAGTGAAACTCCATCTCAAAAATAAATAAATGAATAAATAAATAAATATTTCTTGAATAAGTTCATGGATACTGATACTGGTAATGGAAGTATTTATAACTAAAGACTTCTTTATAAATACAAAATGTCCAAGAGATGTATTTGTCAAATAATTTTTTTTAATGGCATCCTGTTTTCCCATTTGACAGAAGAAGACATAAAGGCTGTTTCCAGAGGACTAACAGTTGGAGGCTGGTGGCCTTGATAGGTAATGCAGGATTTCCTAAGGAGGATTTGGATTTTGGGTCAGTTGGTTCAGTTAGTCGTGACTAACATGGCTGAAGATTTTAAATTGACCACATTCAAGTTAATTCATTTGTGTAGCATAGAGAGGACTGGAGCCTCTAAGAGGCTAAGAGAAAACCTTCAAATCTCCATACTGTGCCAGGAAGGTGCTTCTGTTATGTAGAAAGCACACAAAACAAGAAGCATATTCTAGAACCATTATATTACAATTATATGCACTCTCCAGAGGAATGCCCTCATCATTCTTTGACGTTATGTTTGGGGCTGCCCTTGGAAATCATCTAGTTTAGCTTTCTCATTTTATAGATGAGGAAAGTAAGGACTAGAGAGATAAAGTGACTAGTTCAAGGTCATTCTGTTACTTAGAGGCAGAGCCAGGACTAGAATTCAGAGCTCCTAAGAAGACTTTTACAATATACCATGGCATCCTTTCTCTTATTCTCGCATTCCCATGGGGGGAAAAAAAAACCCGCTTAGATTTGTCTTAAACAATGTTCTTCTGAGTGCTGGTGGAATCACCTTGGTCTCTGAAGCCTGCGTTGGTGGTAATGAGGAAGGCGCTGATCTTCCTTTCTCATTTTGCTTAGAATATTCTTGACTCATCATCAAACAAATATTTATCATCAAAAGGAAGTCATTGTATTTTCATCTAGGGCTCCAGTGAGACTTAAAAAGTCACAGCAAACATTCTCATTCCTACCAGTTAACACTCTATTGAAACTCACTAGAAATAAATTCCTTGGAGTGTATTTTCTCACAGTGACATAGTTTGTCTCCTAAGGAATCAACACATGTGGTTGCCTTTCTACCTTTCCTTGACAGGTTTAGGTTTGCAGAATTTCAGAAAGTTTATACAGCTCTCAAAAAACCAGAACTCTTTTTCTTTGTACTGTATTGCTGTAATTAATAGTTAGGACTATCAGGACTGCAAATAATTTAGAAGATTTGGGGAAAACTGAATATTTTCCATCACTGAAAACAATTCAATTCCATATTCTCTTTCCTGTGTATGTGCTCACCACTGACTTCTTTCCCTGCCTTCCTGACTCCAGGGGTGGAGGTGGGGTAACATTTTCAGTTTGCAGAGTTTTGCATCCATATTTGTTTTCTCTAGATAATTCTCAAGATGGTTAGAAGGATTTGGTGGCTGGGGGTGGTGAACACCTATGTGCAATTTGAATATCTTATTAGCTCTGTCAATTTCTAGCTAAGCATGTGACCAAGAAGTTTGGATCAGGGTATTCAGATTGGAGCCCCTTGTAATAGCACCCTTTCTAAACATTTTGTGTGATGATTAGAGCAGCATCATGGTCTTTTGTTTCCAGAGTGGGTTTGGGGAGCAGCAGACAGCCCAGGATTTTGAGTTCATTTCTTCTGGTGCAAAAGATTGAGCCCAAAAAACTGGCAAAAATCATCCCTGGTTGCTCATTCCTGCAGATGACTTTCATATTTGCTGGAGCTGCCTATTTTCAGTGCTTTCTGGGTCCTGCTCAGTCCCTGAAGAGGCAGTTGCACATCTTGCTGCACATGCCCTGTAGCCCTACCTTTGTGCAGCCGTTCCCTCCTCAGTAAAATGTTCTCAGCACACAAAAGTAGCCGTTGAAGGGTACAGCTTCGGTGCAGCATGCCGGCTGCAGCGCGCCGCTGCACCATCTTCAGTGGTGACAGACGCTGCAAACCCTGCCTAGGAAACTAATGGAGAGTCCCTAAGAAATCCAAACTCCAGCTTGGCTCACCCCAACCTTCTCCCCCACCTTCAGACCCCCAGGTGAGACTAAAACAAACAGCACACCACGCGACCAGCAGACAGCCCGGTCAGCGTTCCTGTAAGAACCTGGGCTTGCAGCAGGCGGATCATCGCGGAATTCGACCTGAATCCTAGCATGTTTTGTTTTGCTGAAAGAAATGGTGTCATCATTGTTTTCCAGCAATTTATTTTCTTGTGGTAACGTAAAACATTTCCTCTGGGATGGGCTGAGAAAAGTCAGATAGACATTTTTACAAGTGTAAAGTACTTTGGCTTGATTCAGAGTGTGAGATTTCAGAAATGCCTCCTACTAACCAGGTTACCCAGGCAGGGCTTCAAGCTGCCCCTGAGAATGGTGGCTGAAAGCCAATGGCTGAAAGCAAATGGGATGCTGCAATTTGTGGGGATCTGTTTCAGCATTTATATTTAAATACATTTCCCTCGAAGAATTCTTAATTGGAGATTTCGCCTTGAGATGCTCAAATAAATCAGGGAGCCAAACCTAGTTATTTCGCTTCGTAACCAAGCTTTATTTCAGGACTTTCTTTCCCCTGCGGTTCTTGCCCCAAAGCGATCTGTAAAGCGAACCCACTCTGATACAGTTTGAAAAGTGCATTTTGTACTTGGCTCTTTCTTTGATCGAATTAATCTGGGCTTTTTTGTAGTTCTAAATGAGGCCTATGGGCTGACAATGTAGCTGTTTAAAGGGGATTTTAGGGGATAATAGTCAATGCAAATAGTGCCATGAGAATGGCAACTTGCTTTTGCACTTTCAATCACATAATAACAGCAAAGAAAGCTTTTAAAATGAATTGAAATTTTGTGGTGTGCCATCTGGGATTATTTGGGGAAACAGTTCTGAATACTGCAGTTGGGCAAAAGAATGGAGGTATGGTCTGCTCTTAAGCTGACATGTTTCAGATGGCAACCTTATGCTAACTGGTGCAAAGTTGGCTAGCATTTTTTTTTTTATTTTCTTTCTCTTGGATTATCTGCAAAAATTCTCTTTGATTGCTGGTATTTGGGTCTGAAAAACTTTTCTATTGTTGAAGAATTCAATTCAACTCCTTGCAGCTGCTGATCCCCTTATTGTTCTACTCGTTATGTGTACGCGTCTCAGATGAATGTAGCCAAGCCTTTTAGTGCCTTAATAGGTGTCTACATAAAGGTCATTTATTCTGTCCTACTTGTTTCAACAAAAGTTTATACACAAACAACAACCACAGCTAAAACATTCACATTAATCAATTTCCTCCTGATGCAGAATGCAAAAACCGCCTCAAGCCATGTCTAGGCAAGAAAAATGTTTTCCGTATATGATGTTGTAAAGCAGCAAATAGTTTAACCAATTTCATCAAGAGCAAAGCATAATTGTTTCAGCACAGTTTCTACCTGAGAGAGCCCATTCTGGTGCTTCTGTGTCTCTGCCACCACACTCAGGTTAGGATTGAGGGCAGAGAGGGACTTAGGATGAAGTTTGTTGAGGTTTTAGCTCTTTCCTCAATGTTTACCCTAGTTTGGGGGCTGTTCTCTATAAACTTGTGGTGGGCATAAGCTATTGTCTCTGCAGGAAGGGATGCATAGATAATACTAGAATCTAGAGAAAATTGCATAAAGGAGTACAATCAGGTATCTAGAATTTGCAAAAAATAAATTATTTCCTTGCAGGTATAAGTGCCCCTGATGTACAAAATGACCACAGCCATCCCTTTTCATCGTCAAACTCCAGCAATGGCTGCTTTTAGAAAGAAGTAAGTGATGAAAATAATAAGCTCCCAATCGTAAACACTGGTGAGGATGCTGACATGCTAACTAAAATGCTGGACGGGACAGAGACAAGCAAAGGTTTCTAAGGGGCCTTGTGCTGTGAGGGGACTGCCCAGCACAGTGGACGTCATGTGGGAATTACAAAACTCTGGCCACGTGGGGGAGGGAGCAAGGAGGCCCACCCACCCTGCCTCCCACAGCAACTCCAGGGAGCTTGCCTCTGCTGCCGGGTAATTCAGAGACACTGCCACATTCTCCAGTCCATCTCAGGATGATACTTAGCCCTGTCATCACCCAAATCCTTCAGGAAATTAAAAACACATGACACGGCATCTGCAGGTTCTTCTTCTCTGCTGCATCCATTTGCTTGCTCATGAATCTTCCAAGCTCAAGGCTTAGACTTGAAAGGTTAAGGATTCAAGTCCTAAGATGCCTCACGGGATTTTGTGAAGGCCAATAATGCTGTGATTTGACCTCTGTGTATGGCTCCACCCCTTTCTCTTTCCCCGACCTCATTGAGGGTCTCTTTCCTTCACAGGCTTGGTTGGGGCGAGGGATGCGGGGTCATTGCTCTTCCAGGACAGCTACCTGATTCTCTCCCATGATCACTTCTCAGTCATTTGGTTTGGATGGGTGCTTCCCAAATTTTAGTGAGCATGTGGATGACTGGGGTTCTTATTAAAATAGATTCTAATTCAGTTGGTCTGGAATGGGGCCTGACAATCTGCATTTCTAGCCAGCTCCCTGGTGAGGCTGATGCCACCAGGGGCTCTGGATTCTAACTCACCTGGAGACGAGGTGCACTCTCACTGTCCCAGAGCCAAATATCCATTTGTAACATGATGGGAATAAAAATGCCCATTGATGCAATGAGGAATTTCTTGACTTTTCAACTCCAGTAGCTTTTCTGGGAGATTAGGAAGGGTGTGGGGACAGTCTAGTTTTAGGTAGGCTTATCTTACAGTTTATCTTGCACCTGATTTGATTCTTCGGTTTCAAGCAGCAGAGACAAAGTAAGTGGTATTTGGTCCCAGTCTTTGATCATTTCTGTATTATTCACTCATTTAAAAAATTACCAAATATATATCAGAGGCCTACTACAGGTGGGCACTGTACCAGGTGCTGTGGGTACAGTGGTAGCAGACAGATCTCATCCCTGCTCCCCCTCGGTTTACACTCCTAGAGCCTGGAGCAGGGAGGCTCAACCCTAGCCACACACTGGAATCACTTGAGGATTTTTTACAATTGATAAATGCCTGGGCCCCACTCCCAGGGAATCAAATTTAATTGGTTGGAGAGGAAGCCCAGTCATGAGCATTTTTGCAGAGCTGCTTAGGGGATTCTGGTGTGCAGCCAGGATAGAGGACCCTGGCTCAAAGGATTGAACTACATGGGGGAGGATGTGGGTGGGAATTGGGAGAAGAGCTGTCCCAGGTCCAGACTCCAGAATGGGGGGCGCAGGATCTAAGGGATGAGCATGTAAGTGAAGCTCTCTGTTTCCCTGCCAGCCCACCTTTCTAGAGCATCAAGCCCATTATAGTAAAGGAGGAAATGGCAAAGTTACCATTGCACATGGCATAACCTTGCAGCGTCACAATGTACTCATGTATAGTGATCTCATGTACTGGTTCTAAGTCACAGTATATGCTGTCTTCCTGTTCCTAAAAGTGAACTAGCCCCTTCACTGTTGCTTTGGTGCAAAAGAGGGGCAGGTTCTAGTTTGGGTGATCATCATGGTTTCTCTGGAACTGAAGGGTTTCCCAGAATGTGAAACTTTCAGTGCTAAAGTCAGGAAAGTCCTGGGGAAACCTGGATGAATAGCTCACCCTACTTCTAGTGTGATGACTGTTACTGTGGGGTTCTAAATTTGACATCAAAAGCATAATTCATAAAAGGGAAAATTGATCAATTGGATCTTAAAAACTTTTGCTTTGAGAAAGTCTATGTCAAGGAGATGAAAAGATAAGCTAGAGACTGGGAGAAAATATTTTCAAACCACATATCTGATAAAGGACCAGTATTTAGAATATATAAAGAATTTTCAAAACATAGCAATAAAAACCAAATAATTCAATTAGAAAATGGGCAAAAGGCAAGAAAAAGTATTCACTGAAGAAACTACACAGATGTCAAATCAGCACATGAGAAGATGTTCAACATAACAAGGCATTAGAGGTATGCAAAGTAAAAACCACAATGAGATATCTCTACATGCCTATCAGAATGGCTAAAATGAAAAATAACAGTGATGAATGCTGGTGAGGATATGGACAAAATGAATCACTCATATATTGCTAGTGGCAATGTAAAATAGTAAAGCCTCCCTCCCTCCCTCCCTCTCTCCCTCCTTCCTTTCCCTTCCCTCCCCTCCCCTCCCTTCCCCTTCCCTTTCCCCTTCTCTTTCCTTCCTTCCTTCCTTCCTTCCTTCCTTCCTTCCTTCCTTCCTTCCTTAGTCTTGTTCTGTTGTTCATAGCTCACTGCAGCCTTGAACTCCTGGGCTCAAGTGATCCTCCTGTCTCAGCCCACTGAGTAGCTAGGACTACAGGTGTGCATCATCACACTTAGCTAATTTAAAAAAAAAATTTTATGTTTGTATAGACAGGGTCTTGTTATGTTGCTCAGACTGGTCTTGAGCTCCTGGCCTCAAGTAATACTTCTGCCTTGGCCTCCCAAAGCACTGGGATTACAGGCATGAGCCCCTGGCACCCAGCCAAGTTGTTATCTTTCTATGCATGCCTGTATCTCTATAATATGGTGATAACTGTATTAGTCTGTTCTGGCATTGCTATAAAGAACTACCTGAGACTGGGTAATTTATAAAGAAAAAAGGTTTAATTGGCTCACTCTTCCACAGGCTGTACAGGAAGCATGGCAGGGGAGGTCTCAGGAAACTTACAATTATGACGGAAGGCAAAGAGGAAGGAGGCACGTCTTATGTGCCAGAGCAGGAGGAAGAAAGAGAAGAGGGAGGTGCCATACACTTTTAAACAACCAGATCTCGTGAGAACTCACTCACTATCATGAGAACAGCAAGGGGGAAATCTGTCCCCATGAACCAATCACCTGCTACCAGGCCCCTCCTCTAACACTGGGGTCTACAATCTGTCATGAGATTTGGGCAGGGACACAAATCCAAACCATATCAATAACTAATGCTCATAACAACAGTTCTGAAATATTATTGAATCTTGAAGTGCTTTTCAATTATCGAAAATGTTTTATAAGTGTTATTATCGGTAGACTCTACTGTATCACTCTTTTCTGCAAAGTGGTATCCATAGATGGGCTCCTAATGGTGTCTCTTCATTAATTACTAGCTGCTGATCCAGAGCATGCTCTCCTCCGGCACCTGGATGTTTAGGGTTGAAGGCATTTGGAGGAGAGAACTCCAAACTCATTATGTTGCTAATAGAAGGGCTCATCTGTTAGCTTAGGTCATTAGCCCAGTTGGATCTTTGGGTTCAGGAATCCTGAAGTGCCAAACCAAGGGACTTGTTTGTATTGGTCATGCTAAAATGGCACCTTACTGGAGCTCCTACCTCTAGTACCTGAGAAGTAAAAACAGCTGATTCCCATATAGTATTTACTATGTGCCAGACACCATTCTAAGTGTTTTACACATGTTAGCTCACTTTTAGTTCTCCTTACAACCCTATGATATGTACTACTCCTATCCCCACTTTACTAATGAAAAAACTGAGTCACAGAGAAGTTAAATTCTCCAGTGTCAAAGCTTAGTAGAACTTAGTTCATCTGGCTCTGGGGTCCAGTCCCTTTCAAAAAGTATACAAATATGTAGGCTTTATAACAGGTCATCTATTTGAATGCCAAATATTTTAACATGCCCTGAATTTTCTGGAATTTGTCTTGGTTCCCGTTTTCTAAATCAATTTATTCATTAAGTGTCTACAACACAAAGCCTTTGGACCTACATACAATATTCCAGTTTGACAAAATAGTAAAGTTACAGCAGGATGCATTAATTGTAGAGTCTTGCAGATGGCAAAACAGTATCAAGATAGAGTAATATGATTCTAAATGTCATTGTGCATGTTATCTGTTTTGAGAAATCCTGCATAATTTACTGGTACTATGGAATATATGTATTTTTCAACTTTTATTTTAGATTCAGGGGTACATATGCAGGTTTGTTGCCTGGATATATTGCATGATGCTGAAGTTTTGGGTAAGAATGATCCTGTCACCCAGGTACTGAACATGGTACCCAACAGTTAGTTTTTCAACCCTTGTCCCCCTCTTTCCCTTCCTGCTCCAGTAGTCCCCAGTGTCTATATTGTTGTCATCTTTATGTTCATGAGTACCCAATGTTTAACTCCTATTTATAAGTGAGAACATGTGGTATTTGGTTTTCTATTCCTATGTTAATTTGCTTAGGGAAATGGCCTCCAGCTGCATCCATATTGCTGCAAATCACATACTTTCATTCTTCTGTATGGCTATGTAGTATTCTATGGTGTGTATATACTACATTTTCTTTATCCAATCCACCACTGAGGGGCACCTGTGTTGATTCCCTGTCTTTGCTATTGTGAATAGTGCTGCGATGAACATGCAAGTACATGTGTCCTTTTGGTAGAATGATTTGTTTTCCTTTGGGTATATACCCAATAATGGGATTGCTGCAAATGGAATTTCTGTTTTAAGTTCTTTGAGAAATCTCTAAACTGCTTTCCATGGTGACTTAATTAATTTGCATTCCCATCAACAGTGTGTAAGCATTCCCTTTTCTCCACAACCTTGCCAACATCTGTTGTTTTTCTGACATTAATAATAGCTGCTCTGACTGGTGTGAGATGATATCTCATTGTGGTTTGGATTTGCATTTCTCTGATGATTACTAATGTGGAGCATTTTTCATGTTTGTTGCTGGCTTGTATGTCTTCTTTTGAGAAGTGTCTGTTCGTATTCTTTGCCCATTTTTAAATAGGGTTTTCTGTGTTTTCCTTGTTGAATTAAATTCCTTATGGATTCTGGATAGTAGCCCTTTGTTAGATGCATAGTTTGCAAATATTTTCTCCTATTCTGTAGGTTGTCTTTTTATTCTGTTAATAGTTTTTTTTGCTCTGCAGAAGCTCTTTAGTTTAATTAGGTCCCACTTGTCATAATTTTTTTGTGATTGCTTTTGAGGACTTAGTCATAAATTCTTTCCCGAAGTCAATGTCCAGAATGGTGTTTCCTAGGTTTTCTTCTAGGAGTCTTATAGTTTGAGGTCTTACATTTAAATCTTTAATTCATTTTGAGTTAATTTTTTATATGATGGAGGTGAAAGTCCAGTTTCATTCTTCTGCATATGGCTAACCAGTTATCCCAGTATCATTTATTCAATAGGCAGTCTTTTCCTCATTGCTTATTTTTGTCAACTTTGTCAAAGATCAGATGGCTATAGGTGTATGGCTTTACTTTTTGATTCTCTCTTCTGTTCCACTGGTCTATGTGTCTGTTTTTGTACCAGTACCATGCTGTTTTGTTTACTGTAGCCTTATAGTATAGTTTGAAGGTAGGTAATGTGATGCCTCTGGCTTTGTTCTTTTTGCTTGAAATTGCTTTGGCTATCTGGGCTCTTTTGGTTCTGTATAAATTTTAGCATAGTTTTTTTTCCCAATTCTGTGAAAATTGACATTGGTAGTCTCATAGGAATAGCTTTGAATCTGTAGATTGTTTTGGGCAGTTGGCCATTTTAATAATATTGATTCTCCCAATTCACGAGCAGGGAATGTCTTTCCATTTGTTTGTATCATCTGTGATTTCTTTTAGCAGAGTTTTGTAGTTCTCCTTGTTGAGTTCTTTCACTTCCTTGGCTAGATGTGTTCCTAGGTATTTGTGTGTGTGTGTGTGTGTGTGTGTGTGTCAGCAGGGGTACTATTGTAATTGGGTTTGCACTGTGGCTATTGTAAATGGGTTTGCATTCTTGATTTGATTCTCGGCTTGAACATTATTGGTGTATAGAAATGCTATTGTTTTTTGTACATTAATTTTATATCCTGAAACCTTACTAAAATGATCAGTTCTAATAGCCTTTTGGCAGGGTCCTTAGGGTTTTCTAAGTATAGAATTATATCATCAGTGAAGAGAGATAATTTGACTTTTTATTTTCCTATTTGGATCCCTTTTATTTCTTTCTCTTGCCCAGTTGCTCTCGCCAGCAATTCCATTACTATGTTGAATACAAGTGGTGAGAGTGGGCATCCTTGTCTTGTTCCAGTTCTCATGGGAAATGATTCTAGTTTTTGCCAATTTGGTGTGATGTTGGCTGTGAGTTTGTCAATAGATGGCTCTTATTATTTTGAGGTATGTTCTTTGATGCCTAGTTTCTTGAGAGTTTTTGTCATGAAGGGATGTGGGATTTATCAAAAGCTTTTTCTGCATCTATTGAGATGATTTTATGGTTTTTGTTTTTAACTCTGTTTATGTGGTCAATCACATGTATTGATTTGCATATGTTGAACTAACCTTGCATCCCAGGAAACAAGCCTACTTGATCATGGTGAATTAACTTTTTGATGTGTTTTTGAATTCAGTATTTTGTTGAGGCTTTTTGTGTCTATGTTCATCAGGAATATTGGCCTGTAGTTTTCTTTTTTCATTGTGTCTTTGCCAGATTTTGGTATCAGGGTGATGCTGGCTTTGTGGAATGAGTTAGGGAGCAGTCCCTCCTATTTGTTTTTTTGGAATAGTTTCAGTAGAATTGGTACCAGCTCTTCTTTGTACATCTGGTAGAATTCAGCAGTGAATCTGTCTGGTCCAGGGCTTTTTATGATTGGTAAGTTTTTTATACTGATTCAATTTTGGAACTCGACATTAGTTTGTTCAGTGTTTCAATTTCTTCCTTATTCAATCTTGGGACATTATGTGTTTTCAGAAATTTATTTTCTCTAGATTTTCTAGTTTGTGTGCATAGAGGTGTTCATAATAGTCTCTGAGGATCTTTTGTATTTCTGAGGGATGAGTTGTAATGTCACTTTTGTCATTTCTGATAGTGCTTGATTGGACCTTCTCTCTTTTTTTCTTTGTTAATCTAGCTAGTGGTCTGTCAATCCTGTTTATACTTTCGTAGAACCAACTTTTGGTTTTGTTTATTCTTTTTACGGATTTTCGGGTCTCGATTTTTCGAGTCTCGATTTCATTCACCTCAGCTCTGATTTTAGTTATTTCTTTTATCCTGCTAGCTTTCAGATTAGTTTGTGCTTGTTTTTTGCCAAGGAGAAACTGCAGCTGTAGTAGCCTCTTCCTGCCCCAGGCTTGTGACTGGAGAGAGCCCAATTCTAGCCCTACTGCTGAGGCACTTTCGACAGTTCTGGCTGTTGAGGCCCCTTCCATAGTTCAGAGTAGGTGCTTGAGACTAAAATGCCTGCGTGGCCATGCTGCCGGGCTGCCTAAGAGTGGCTGATTGGTATGTGCTTGGATTAAGAATGGCATCCTGCTCTCAGTCCTGGGTCTAGAAAAATGTCTGCAGCTTTTCCTGGTGTCTTTCCCTCACAGCATCTCCAAGCCTCTCCCCAACTTAGCTCCAGGGCTTGGGAGAAACAAAGTGGTCTCCCTCGGCCTGGGTTGCTCAGAGCCCCAGTGGAAAGGTGAGTCACAGAGAAGGGGGTCTCTGCCTCTGTGACTGTTCTCTGTCTTCCCTAGTTAGCAAATTCACTACAGATGTGCTTACCTATGAATACCAGAATGTTTTTTATTTTATGGTATGTTTGTAGGCTTGGAGAGATTTGAATGGCTCTAGATCTAACCACAAGCTGCTGTTTCTTCATGTGGCATGTATTTACTTAAAAATAAAATGAGGCTTCATTATCTCATGACTAAGTCTAAGGGTTTTTTTTTGCAGGAATTGTTATTGTTGACATTATTATTATTAATGAAATTAATAGTAATTTCTCCTTTAGTCATTTCTGTTTCTCTATTTTCTGAGAAAAATTATTGGCTGCACTGGGGGTAAGTTACATGATTTTCCTCTTTTTTCACTCTTAATTTAGACTACTGGGCTAGGTCCATGTGGGAACTAATGATCGGTAACTAACTTTTTGGTAAATTACCACTTGAAGAAAAGGGGAGACACCTTGAGAACGAGAAGTCAGTCTGTCAAAACAGTAAATAGAGACATCCCTGTAATTTTGTAATTTTTCAAATTATGCCAGTAATGTTTGCTTGATGATGTAAGAAATAGCATCTCAAGCACACAGGCATCAAAATTAGCTGGAAAAAAACCTGCTAGGCCATCATCAAAGAGTCTTCTGTCTGACTCGGAACATAAAGGGCAGAGACAACAGTGTCTGTTGCTGTGACTTGCCACAGACTAACATGTGCACATCCACCAATTTTGTGACCCACAGGAGCAATAAGAGAGTCGTGGCCAGAATTTAGCTGCATTATAGAAAGAAAATGTTTGTGTATTCAGGGACAACTGAACTACACCTCAAATCTTATTAGGCATTCTTTCTCATCTGAGAAATCTGGCAACTGGCAAAAGATGGAAAAAAGTACCGAGTACACACTGTCGTAATGGAAGTGTTTGTGCAAAATGATCAGAAGACTTCTTCCACATTTCCTTATTAAGTTCTGCATTATGTCATCATAAGCTATTATTCTACGTTGATTACTATTTTTGTAATATATATGACTTAAATATAATTCTATTTGACGTCTCAGAACATTTTAGAACTGGAAGGGGCCTCTGAGATAATGGCTATAATTACAGAGTGTTCACCCCCTGTCAAGACCCCAATTAGTGCTCTGTAGATTGTTTCATTCTCTACAATGTGTGAGGTGGGTATAATTATCCGTCACTTTACAGTGAGCATAAGTGAGGCTGGCAAGGTTAAATAACATGACCAGAGTCTCCCAGCTGGATGAGCTGAGATTAAAATAGTAGCCCTGCTGAGTCCATTGTGTGTGCTTAATATCTAGGTTACGACTCCCCTGGGTGAATACTTCAGAAAAGAAAACTGAGGTCAGAAGAAGTTAATTTACCTAAAGTAACATCAACACAGCGCTGATTTTTTGAATTAAAAAGAGAAAGAGAGGGGAAGGCCAGAGTCAAGAACCTGGTGCCCTGAGAGGAATGAAATTCTAACCCCTCCAGGGGTTAGGAGCCCCACTCCCATCTCTTTCTGGAGACTCCTTCACTGATTAGAACACAATCCTCTTCCTATCGACAAGCATTTGCAGAGAAATAACAGCTTTTTTGAGATAATATTGACATACTATAATGTTCAAACTTTTAAAGTATACAATCCAGTTGTTTTTAATATATTCATGGAGTTGTGCAACCATCACTGATTTCTAATTCCAGAGTATTTTAATTGCTCCAAAAAGAAACTCCACACCCATTAGCAGTCAGTTTCCATTACCCGGCTTCCCTATCCCCTGGCAACTACTTTCTGTCTCTATGAATTTGTCTATTCTGGACATTTTGTGTAAATGGAATCACATAATATGCAGGTTCTTTCGTGTCTGGCTTCTTTCACTTAGCATATTTTCAAGGTTTACCTATGTTGCAGCACGAATCATTTGCTTTTTAAAGCTGAATAATATTCCATTGAATATACCACATTTTATTTATGTATTTATCAATCAATGGACATTTTTGGGTTATTTCCACTTTTTAGCTATTGTGAATAGTGCTGCTATGAACATTCATGTACAAGTTTTTGTGTGGATGTGTGTTTTCAATTTTTTTTGTATATATATCTATATATCTAGGATTGGAATAGCTGGGTAATATGTAACTCTGTGTTTAGCTTTTGAAGAGCTTTCAAAGTGTTTTCCACAGTGGCTGCACCATTTTACATTCCCACCAGCAACGTATGAAGGTTCCAATTTTTCTGTATCCTTGCCAACACTTGTTATCATCTATCTTTTTTATTGTAACCATCCTACTGGATGTGAAGTGGTATCTCATAAACGTTTTTATTTGTATTTTCCTTTTATTAGGAAAATACAGTTTATGTTGAGTGTATTTTCTTGTGCTTATTGCTATTTGTATATAATCTTTGGAGCTATATCTATTCAAATCATTTGCCCATTGTTAATTGGGTTCACTTCTGAGAGTTCTTTATATATTCTGGATACTAGAGCCTTACCAGTTACATGATTTGCAAATATTTCTCCCATTCCGTGGGTTGTCTTTTCACTTTCTTGATAGTGTCCTTTAAAGCACAAAGTTTTTAATATTGATGAGATCCAATTTATCTATATTTTTCTTTTGTCATTTGCACTTTTAAAGTAATGTCCAAGAAAATATTACCTAAAGTCACAAATATTTATTCTTGTGTTTTCTTCTAAGAGTTTTGTAGTTTTAATTCTTACATTTAGGTCTATAATCCATTTTGAGCTAGTTTTTGCATATGATATGAGGTAATGAGCATTTTCTCTATTCACACTTTTTTTTTTTTTTTGAGACAGAGTCTCATTCTGTTGCCCAGGCTGGAGTGCAGTGGCGTGATCTCTTTTCACTGCAACCTCCACCTCCCAGGTTCAAGCGATTCTCCTGCCTCAGCCTCTCAAGTAGCTGGGATTACAGGCGCATGCCACAGCGCCAGCTAATTTTTGTATTTTTAGTAGAGACGGGGTTTTGCCATCTTGGCCAGGCTGATCTCAAACTCCTGACCTCAGGCAATCCTCCTGCCTTGGCCTCCCAAAGTGCTGGGATTACAGGCGTGAGCCACCGTGCCCAGCACCTCTATGCAAATTTATGGGAGTTAATCATGCTGGCAGATATCACTTTGATTACTAAACTGATGTATATTAAACAATATAGTCAATTACTTGCAATTATGTTAATCTATTAATCTGATGTTCAAAAGATAGAATTTTGACTCCAAATTTATGATTGATCCTAGCTTTGTCTTTTTTAACTGTAATTTTTCTAAAGCCAATAATAGTAAATGTTCTGATTCTTTGATTCACTTCTATTAAACCGTTATGTTGGGGTGGGAAATAATTTCTATCAAGGAGCTTTTGCTAATTCACAGGGAAGAAAAAAGAAATTCAGAAGCCACAGAAATAAAATGTAACTTTATCATTTTATTATGTTTTCCTACAAAAGACTCATTTTTTTCAAATTATTTTATTTTATTTTTTCAACTTTTATTTTTGGTTCAGGGTGTACATGGGCAGGTTTGTTACATGAATAAATTGTTGCCGAGGTTTGGTATATGAATGATCCCGTTACCCTCATAGTGAGCAGAGCACCCAATAGATAGTTTTTCAACACTCAGCCCCCTCCCCTCTCCCCCCTCCAGTAGTCCCCAGTGTGTATTGTTGCCATCTTTATGTCTGTGTGTACTCAATGTTTAGCTCCCACTTATAAATGAGAACATGTGGTATTTGTTCTTCTGTTTCTGTATTAATTGGCTTAGGATAATGGCCTCCAGGTGCATCCATGTTGCTGCAAAGGACATGCTTTTATTCTTTTTTATGGCTATGTAGTAGTCCATGGTACATATGGACCACATTTTCTTTATCCACTCCACCATTGATGGGCAAGTCAGAATGGCCATTAAAAAGTGAAAAAAAAAACAGCTGTTGATGAGGTTGCAGAGAAAAGGGAATGCTTATACACTGTTGGTGGGAATGTAAATTAGTTCAGCTACTATAGAAAGCAGTTTGGAAATTTCTCAAAGAGCTTGAAACAGAACATCCATTTGACCCAGTAATTCCATTACTGGATATATACCCAAAGGAAAATAAATTGTCCTACCAAAAAGACACACAAACTCGTATATTCATTGCAGCACTACTCACAATAGCAGAGATATGGAATCAACCTAATTATCATTTAAAATAAGATAAGATTGAAAAAAGAAAGAGTCCACCAATCTAGTTCTTGCATTAGGAACAGGCAATTTAAATAACTGAGTACTTAAGTATTAAGTACTTTATTATTATTCTTTTAACTTTTATGTTAGGTTCAGGGGTACACTTGCAGGTTTGTCGTATAGGTAAACTTGTGTCACAGGGGCTTATGGTACAGATTATCTCGTCACCCAGGTACTAAGCCTCATAACCAATAGTTGTTTTTCCTGTTCCTCTCCCTCCTCCCACCCTCCACCCTCAAGTAGGCCCCAGTGTCTGTTGTTTCTCTCATTTATCCATGTATTTTCATCATTTAGCTCCCACTTATAAATGAGAGCATGTGGTATTTGGTTTTCTGTTCCTGTGTTAGTTTGCTAAGGATGATGGCCTCCAGCTCCATGTTCCATGTTCCTGAAAGGACATGATCTCATTATTTTTTATGGCTATGTAGTATTCCAGAGTATATATGTACGTTTTCTTTATCCAGTCTGCCATTGATGGGCATTTAGGTTGATTCCATGTCTTTGCTATTGTGAATAGTGCTGCAAAGAACATATGCGTGGATGTGTCTTTATGACAGAATCACTTATATACCTTTGGTATATACCCAGTAATGGGATTGCTGGGTCGAATGGTAGCTCCGTTTTTAGCTCTTTGAGAAACCACAACACTGCTTTCCACAATGGTTGAACTAATTTACATTTCCACCAATAGAATGTAAGTGTTCCCTTTCTCTGCAACCTTGCCAGCATCTGTTATTTTTTGACTTTTTATTAATAGTTATTCTGCCTGGTATGAGATGGTATCTCATTGTGGTTTTGATTTACATTTCTCTAATGACAAGTGATACTGAAATTTTTTTCATATGCTTTTTAGTTGAATGTGTTCTTTTGAAAAGTGTCTGTTCATGTTCTTTGCACACTTTTTAATGGGGTTGTTTATTTTTATCTTGTAAATTTGTTTAAGTTCCTTATAGATGCTGGATATTAGACCTTTGTCAGATGTATAGTTTGTGAATATTTTCTCCCATTCTGTAGGCTGTCTGTTTACTCTGTTGATAGTTTCTTTTTTTTTTTTTTTTTAATTATACTTTAAGTTCTGGGATACATGTGCAGAAGGTGCAGGTTTATTACATAGGTATACACGTGCCATGGTGGTTTGCTGCACCCATCAACCTGTCATCTACATTAGGTATTTCTCCTAATGCTATCCCTCCCCTAGCCCCCCACCCCTCTGACAGGCCCTGGTGTGTGATGTTCCCCTGCCTGTGTCCATGTGTTCTCATTGTTCAACTCCTACTTACGAGTGAGAACATGTGGTGTTTGGTTTCCTGTTCCTGTGTTAGTTTGCTGAGAATGACACTTTCCAGCTTCATCCATGTCCCTGCAAAGGACATGAACTCACTCTTTTTTATGGCTGCATAGTATTCCATGCTGTATATGTGCCACATTTTCTTTATCCAGTGTATAATTGATGGGCATTTGGGTTGGCTCCAAGTCTTTGCTATTGTGAATAGTGCTGCAATAAACATATGTGTGCATGTGTCAGAATAGTAGAATGATTTATAAATCCTTTGGGTATATACCCAGGAATAAAACTTACAAGGGATGTGAAGGACCTCTTCAAGGAGAATTACACACCACTGCTCAAGGAAATAAGAGAGGACACAAACAAATGGAAAAACATTCTGTGCTCATGGATAGGAAGAATTAATATCGTGAAAGTGGCCATACTGCCCAAAGTAATTTATAGATCCAATGCTATCCCCATCAAGCTACCATTGATTTTCTTCACCAAATTAGAAAAAACTACTTTAAATTTCACATGGAATAAAAGAAGAGCTCATACAGCCAAGACAATTTTAAGCAAAAAGAGCAAAGCTGGGGGCATCATGCTACCTGACTTCAAACTATGCTACCAGGCTACAGTAACCAAAACAGCATGGTACTGGTACCAAAACAGACATATAGACCAATGGAACAGAACAGAGGCCTCAGAAATAATGCCACACATCTACACCATCTGATCTTTGACAAACCTGACAAAAACAAGCAATGGGGAAAGGATTCCATATTTAATAAGTGGTATTGGGAAAACTGGCTAGCCATATGCAGAAAACTGAAACTGGACCCCTTCCTTACACCTTATACAAAAATTAACTCAAGATGGATTAATGACTTAAATGTAAGACCTAAAACCATAAAAACCCAAGAAGGAAACCTAGGCAATACCATTCAGGACATAGGCATGGGCAAAGACTTCATGACTAAAACACCAAAAGCAATGGCAACAAAAGCCAAAATTGACAAATGGGATCTAATTAAACTAAAGAGCTTCTGCACAGCAAAAGAAACTATCATCAGAGTGAACAGGCAACCTACAGAATGGGAGAAAATGTTTGCAATCTATCCATCTGACGAAGGGCTAATATCCAGAATCTACAAGGAATTTAAACAAATTTACAAGAAAAAAAAACCCCATCAAAAAGTGGGCGAAGGATATGAACAGACACTTCTCAAAAGAAGACATTTATGTGGCCAACAAACATATGAAAAAAAGCTCATCATCACTGGTCATTAGAGGAATGCAAATCAAATCCACAATGAGATACCATCTCACGCCAGTTAGAATGGCGATCATTAAAAAGTCAGGAAACAATAGATGCTGGAGAGGATGTGGAGAAATAGGAACACTTTCACACTGTTGGGAGTGTAAATTAGTTCAACCATTGTGGAAGACAGTGTGGCCATTCCTCAAGGATCTAGAACCAGAAATACCATATGACCCAGCAATCCCATTACTGGGTATATACCCAAAGGATAGTTTCTTTTTCTGTGCAGAAGCTCTTAAGGTTAATTAGATCTTACTTGTCAATTTTTGCTTTTGTTGTGATTGCTTTTGGCATCTTTGTCAAGAAATCATTACCAGTTCCTAAGTCCAGGATGTATTGCCTAGTTTGTCTTCCAGAGTTTTAATAGTTTTGGGTTTTACATTTAAGTCATTAACCCATCTTGAGTTGATTTTTGCATCTGGTGCAAGGAAGGGGTCCAGTTTCAATCTTCTGCATATGGCTAGTCAGTTGTCCCAGCACAGGAGTCTTTTCCCCATTGCTTGTTTTTGTCAGCTTTGTTGAAGATCAGATGGCTGTAGATGTGCGGCCTTATTTCTGGGCTCTCTATTCCGTTCTTTTGGTCTATTTGTCTGTTTTTGTAGCAGTACCATGCTGCTTTGGTGACTGTGGCCCTGTAGTGTAGTTTGAAGTCAGGTAACATGATTCCTGCAGCTTTGTTCTTTTTGCTTAGGATTGCTTTGGATATTTGGGCTCTTTTTTGGTTCCATCTAAAATTTTTTTTTTTTTTTTTTTTTTTTTTTTTTTTTTGATATGGAGTCTCGCTCTTTTGCCCAGGCCGGAGTGCAGTGGCGCTATCTCGGCTCACTGCAAGCTCCGCCTCCTGGGTTCATGCCATTCTCCTGCCTCAGCCTCCCGAGTAGCTGGTACTACAGGCGCCCGCCACCGCTCCTGGCTAATTTTTTGTATTTTTAGTAGAGACGGGGTTTCACCGTGTTAGCCAGGATGGTCTCGATCTCCTGACCTCCTGATCTGCCCGCCTCCGCCTCCCAAAGTGCTGGGATTACAGTCGTGAGCCACCACGCCCAGCTGGTTCCATCTAAATTTTAAAATAATTTTTTTCTAGTTCTGTGAAGAATGTCGTTGGTAGTTTGATAGGAATAGCATTGAATCTGTAAATTGCTTTGGGCAGTATGGCCATTTTAATGATATTGATTCTTTCTATCCATGAGCATGGAGTGTTTTTCCATGCGTTTGTGTCATCTCTGATTTCTTTGAGCAGTAAGTTTGGTAGCTCTTCTTGTAGAGATCTTTCACCTCCCTGCTTAGCTGTATTCCTAGGTTGTGGCAATTGTGAATGGGATTGTAATTTGGCTCTCGGCTTGGCTGTTGTTGGTGTACAGGAATGCTAGTGATTTTTGTACATAGATTTTTGTATCCTGCACCTTTACTGAAGTTGTTTGTCAGCTGAAGGAGCTTTTGGGCTTAGACCATGGTGTTTTCTAGATATAGAATAATGTCATCTGCAAACAGGGGTAGTTTGATTTCTTCTCTTCCTATTTGGATGCCCTTTAGTGAAGTGCTGTAGTTCTATATTTTGACCAACTGCTGAGAAAAAAAAAGGATAGAAGGGATTGGGAGGGAAGGATGAGGTAAAATGAAAAAGAAGAGAAATGGATAGTCATTCCTGTCATGCAGATGGCAGTGCACATGGTTTGGGAGGCAACAAGGGGGTGAGCAATAGGGAGTGGGGGACTGTGGGCCCATCCTGGTGAGTGGCACTCGATGACAAACATGTAAACATTCCTGTGCTGTTGAAAATACAAAGGTAGACAATACAAGAGGAAAGACAGAGACTGGAATAAACATAGGAATTATACACAGTGGTGAAAAGAAAACCAAGTTTCATGAGTAATTAGCATTTTGGCATTTTAAAGGAGGGTTCCCTTTATACAGTCAAAAGCATAGTTACAGATATCCTATTTGGGTCCTGCCACCATGGGTAGAATGATACTAAGAGCCAGGTCCAGCTCCATACCATGCCTTTATCCTGGAAAGGTCTCTCTCTTGCATGACAGCTAGACCACAGTGCAGAGGATAGAATTTCTTCTAGCTTTTAGGCATTATAGTTGTACATTATTCTGCTTATTTAATATATTTCATGCAGCCTTAGCACATGAGGCACTTAGGCTCTTATATAAATAACCCCCCCCCATCCATTTTTTTTTTTTTGGTTTCAAGAAACTCACAGTCATAATGCAGGTCAGTAGGCAAAAGATTCTAGGTCTTCAATACATGTACAGCTGTAAACATGTAATATTACCATTGCAAACACTAATTCAGATTGTAAACTTACTAGAATTCAGTTGTACTGAATTGGTTTGGACTACAAGCTCTGCGATTTGATAAAGGGTTTGAAATGATTAAAACAAAATGTTGATAAATAACCAACAATCTGAGACTCTATCAGTGTGTGACAAGTTTTTAATTTAAGAACATTACATTCTTTTGTATCAAGTCCTTAGACAATATTAATTTTCAAGAACATTAAATTCTGTCTAGTGTAGTGAAGCTGATAATTATAATGCATAAAAATAGCTGAATAACCAGGGTAGTGCCAATTATTCTGTCACTCATGAGTAATCAATTATTTTTGTGCAGTACAATATAGATAATGCCTGCACACAAAGTAATAATGTACAGCACATAAATGAAAAATAATTTTTCAAAAACAGGGTGAGGCATGCCTGAAAGCTTTAACAAATTTACTTGAGAGCTAGGTTACATCTCTTTGAGGAGGGCTAAATTGAATAGTTTGAAGACATTTTGGTCCTGGGCTGGCCTGTGTGTCGACATCCCAGGAATGTGGGGTGCACAGCTTCTGTTTGGTTAAGATGACCCATAACCATTGGGAAGACCAAATGTCAGACACTGGTGTATAGAGTTGTGTGACGAGTGGAGCACAGGGACTGGGTGGATGGCAGTGGTGATGATGATGGCGGTATTAGGAATAGGTCTCACACTACCAGGATTTCCTTGCTGCCCCAGCAGCTACCCTACAAAGACGGATGCATCTTCTCTGAGGCTGATCCCAGGTGCCTCTTCTTCAGCTGTTTTCTGGCATACTCTTACCTTGGGAAGCCCTAGGCAGTGAGCCTTTCAGATGTCTCAAGTGCAGCCCCCTTCCTCAGTGACCAGCTCTTTCAAGAAAGCAATCCCGGGAAAAGGCAGATAAAATTCAGGCCAGAAGGAAGACCATTTTACAGGGTTGTTGTTGGAATTAAATGAGATGTTTTTGAGTATTTACTATGTGCTAGACACTGATTTAATAGACATTCAATTACTATTATTAATTGTCATTAATATTAATTATTATTAACTGTTAATAATAATTATACGGTATACCTAATTGCTTATTTCATGCTCTAACAATCGATTTCACCTTTGTGGAAAACTACATAGCCACAAAGGAGATAATAGAAAGATCCCTTTCTTTGTAAATACTGTGTTTCATTTTATATTTATGTATAATTTCCACTAAAATCCCTCACATTGAAGTATTTTAAGAAAAGGTACTCCAGAAGATGCCAGA
Organism: Homo sapiens; assembly: GCF_000001405.40. Taxonomy (NCBI): domain Eukaryota; kingdom Metazoa; phylum Chordata; class Mammalia; order Primates; family Hominidae; genus Homo; species Homo sapiens. The sequence continues at coordinate 127,517,157 of NC_000007.14, read as the reverse complement.
TAGAATAGTACACAAAGCAAAGTATTGGATTCAGTGGGTGACATTTATTGAGCATTCACAGAAGAGCTCTGTAAAGAGTGAACCTTGATGCTTTCCTCCGTGAGTGTGTAATACAGTGAGGGAGGAAAGAACACACACCAGGCACAAAGGACTTATCTTAAATGTAAGGAGAAGCCTAGGACAAGGTACATAAGGCAATGGGATAACTCAGTGTTAGAATAATCAGTTTTGGATGAAGTCAGGGAAAAATTTATGGGCCTTGATAGGAAGGAATGAGAGGGGGCGGGATGTGAGGGAATCACCAGCAACTGGGAGTAGAAGGAGGGCTCGAGTCAACCCGCCATGAATGTGTGTGTGTGTGCATGTGTGTGCGTGTGTGTGTCTGTTGGGGTAAGAGATAGGGAGAGAAACATTAGGTAGTAAAATCCAAGAGTGGAGGGTACGAGCTAGGGAGTAATTGGGAAGAAAGATCCTGGTTATTTTTATTGCGTATTAGCCTCTGTGCTGCATGATGGGGGTACACTGTGAACAAGGCAGATCCAGCCTCTGCCTTCCTAGAATTTACAGTCTAGAGGAGGACATAGATAAGGACCAAAGGCACAGAGATCAACTGGGACCACCTGCAATTGTCTGGGGGAGAATGATAGTGGCCTGAACTAGGTAGTGTCAGAGTGCTGTAGGCACTGTAACAGGTAAGCCCAACTTTCTCCATGGCTTGACATGATAAAGTTTGTTTTATGCTGTGTCACAGCCCAACATGGGTATTCCCTATAGATGGCCTTCTAAGTACTCAGTCACAGACCCAGGCTTCTTCTATTTCATGGCCCTGTGGTCCTCTGAGACTTGAGAGTCTGCTCCATTCAGCTGGTAGATGAAGAAACAGCCTGAGGAAGGCCCATCTGCTTCTTTAGTGCTAAATAGTACAAGTAACATCAGCTACACTCCATGAGCAAGAACTACTCATATGCTCCCTTCTCCACCCCAGACACTAGTGGTTTCCATGTAACAATTCCATACTACAGAAGAGGAGCACAAATCTTGGATGGTCAGACAGCAGTCTCTGCCACAGTTGGGTTGGTGAGCCATGAATGAAATAAAGTTACTCAGGAGCCAGAATCAACAGGCACATTAAACTTCTGTGATTGATTGGATATGATATCTGAAGGACAGGCAGGAGTTGTGGATGACTCCCAGGTTTCCAGCTTGGATAATAAATCACTGGTCCTTCCATTTACAGAGATAAAGAATGGGGGAGGTGTGGGGGGTAGGGAGGCAGGTGTGGAGGGGAAAGGGGAGAATAGAAATTTGATTCTGCATATGTAGAATTTCAAATATCCTGAAGTTATCCAAGAGAGGATGACCAATAACTGTTTGGATTATGTAGGTCTGACGGTTAGGTGAGAGGTCTGGGGTGGAGATGGGGATTTGGGAGTCATCAGTACATCGTGATTGGTTTCTTGAAAGAAGATAAGCACTCCATTATTTCTGTCTAGGTGAAAAGCAGTGGGATTTGAGATTAGAACTCTTACTGTAGGAAGGGGTACAGGGGAAGAGAGGAGCCAGCCTCAGTATCCATGACAAGGCTGGGAAGGTTATGCTGCATTTGATGAAATAGGGGAGTTGGAAAGGGGCGATGATTCAGTAGGGAGACAATTCTTAATTTTTAGCCGTTGAAGCAATAGATATTGATAGGGTATAAAATTATCGCATCAAAGAAGGGACTGTGAAGGCAATCCTCCTATTCTAAGCCATTGAATCATCAGGAGATATTGACTAGGAGAGAGAAGGGAAGGTCAGGACTGCAGGTATTGATTTGTGCATTCAGATTATATTGCGAATTAAACCATATGCTTAGACGCAGTCTTCTAGATACTAAGTGTTGGAAGGGAACCTCTGAAGGGCTGGACAGGGGGTTTTTCAGCATCCCCAGAGTTAGTAGGCAGAGGAAAAAAAGGAGTGTAAGATCACAGAGAGGAGAACACTTCGTGGAGGATGGGGTAAAGATAGGAGAATTAGAGGAGAGCCAAGGAGGAGAAAGTAGTCAGTAGCATGAATGGCAGGAAGTATTTACATGGGAACATGTGATGTTTCAAAAAACATGTGTGTGTAATCTTTCTCATAGGTTACCTTTTATAATTCTATCAGTAAAATGACAGTTCTCATTTGTGTAGCTTGTGCCTGAGTTAATGGGGCTGTTGCATATATGGGTGTTTGATTTTGGTTTAGAAAATAATTAACATGGCATAAAATCTTATTTCCTAAGAGAGTGAAAGGCTAACATGAGAAACCATGAATATGAGTTTGTAATCTTTTAGGAATGAAGGACATAACACACATTAAATGGTTTAGGGTCAGTAGGAGATTTGATTTAGAAGGAGCTATGAAAGCTGCAGAGAAAGAAGGGACAGGACACAAGAAGGATTCAGTACACTTGTAGCCAACAGATGTCAGTGTTGTGATACAATACACAGCAGGGTTTGGGAGTCTCCTCTCATGCCATACTTTAGGCTCTGATTTAATGTATGAATTTTGTCAGCTACCTCTCCCCCTTAAAAAGTGTCAACACAAGTTCATTATAATGAAAGCTTTTCTGTATACAGAGAATAGCTTCTTACACTCTGGAAATTTCATCTGATCATGAGAATGGAGGAGAGTTGATGCCATTTCAGTACATCTTTTTGCAACAAACTGCAGCATGATAGCAGTTGGGTGAAATTGTCTGATAATGAATGTCTTGGAATGGACCAGGGTTTTGTGCAGGGAGGGGCTAGTTAATGGTAAAGAATAAATTGGCTAAATGTTAGCAAATATATTTTTTTTTGGAGACAGTCACTGGCTCTTAAGAATGCCATATTTACCCTTTCATCAGGCTCCATTGTGTCCTTTGAAAATTTATGCTGACTTAAGAGATGCAATAGATCTGTGATATGTTCCATTCTTCTTGCCTCATGCCTAGGTGTTACAGGTCCTTGGGCCCAGTGGTTTTGTGGGATTTGTGCAGCTCTGAGAGTACCAAGAGTAGGATAAGCAGTTGATTTCTTTCATTGTGACTGCCTGATACTGTGACCAAAAGCACATGTTGTTAGAGGCTGATCTACATGTATCACTAGGCTGCTGTTCTTTAGACCATTATACAAAGTGGCGACCTGGATATTAAACTTTTTTTTTTTCTAAGATGGAGTCTCACTCTGTCACCCAGGCTGGAGTGCAATGGTGCGATCTTGGCTCACTTCTACCTCTGCCTCCTGGGTTCAAGCGATTCTCCTGCCTCAGCCTCCCGAGTAGCTGGGATTACAGGCACATGCCACTATGCCCGGCTAACTTTTGTATTTTTAGTAGAGACGGGGTTTCACCATGTTGGCCAGGCTGGTCTCAAACTCCTGACCTTGTGATCTGCCTGCCTCGGCCTCCCAAAGTGCTGGGATTACAGGAGTGAGCCACCGCGCCCCGCGGATATTAAACTTTTAACTGAATGACGATAAGCTTGCAGACAGAATTATTTTTGGCTAAGTCCAGTTTCCTTTAGGCTTTGTTCCTGTGGCTATTGTTGACAGCATAAGAAACTGTCTGGTGAAAGTGCAGGAAAGAATTCAAGGATGAGCTGGTACTGCTAGCAACTTTTATTGAAGCAGCAGTGTGCGGCGGCGGCGGCGGCGGCAGCAGCAGCGGTACTGTTCTTTGCACAACAGGGCTACCCCACAGTCAGTGTGCCCAGAGTAGCAGTTCAGAGGCAGTTCTGCACTCATTTATACCCACTTTTAATTTTTAATTTTTTAATTTTTTCTCTGTTCCCTGTAACTTTATTATAATAAATAATCCAGCACCCTCACCCCTCACGTGGGAGAACTCTGAGTCATGTTCTTCACTGTCTCCCAGAGGCCCCCAGTGGGATTGAGCCCCAGTTGCTCACACTCATAAACTGCTCATTTTTCCTTTCTTGTCTCCCTTCCCCTATTCCCCTACTTGTTCTTTCTTTCTTTTTTTTTTTTTTTAATTACACTTTAAGTTCTGGGGTACATGTGCAGAACATTCAGGTTTGTTACATAGGTATACACGTGCCATGGTGGTTTGCTGCACCCATCAACCTGTCATCTACATTAGGTATTTCTCCTAATGCTATCGCTCCCCTAGTCCCCCACCCAATGACAGGCCCTGGTGTGTTATGTTCCCCTCCCTGTGTCCATGTGTTCTCATTGTTCAACTCCCACTTACGAATGAGAACATGCTGCGTTTATACCCGCTTTTTAGAATATGTAAATTAAAGGGCAGATTATGCAGAAATTTCTAGGAAAGGGGTGGTAACCTCTGGGTTGTCAGGTCATTGTCATGGAAAGGGGTGGTAACTCCCAGGTGTTGCCGTGGCAATGGTAAACTGACATGGCACTGTGGTAGGCGTGTGTCTTATGGTAAGCTGCTTCCACCCTGTCCCTGTTTTAGCTAGTCCTCAATTTGATCCAAGCCCTGCCTAGAGTTGAGTCCCACCTCCTACTTCATTTTGGCCAACATTCTTCCAACTTCTGGTTGGAAGAAGTTCTACTCTCTGCTTTTGTGAGTTCATGTTTTTTAGATTCCACATATAGGTGAGATCATGCCATATCTGTGTCTGGCTTATTTCACTTAACACAATGTCTTCCAGGTTAATCTAGGTTGTTGCAAATGACAGGACTTCCTTTTTAATAAATGTCTCTTTTAATTGAAATTTTGAGATAATTATAAATTCACATACATTTGTAAGAAATAATATAGAGAAATCCCATTTACCCTTTATTGAGTTTTCTCCAATGGTAGCATCCTGCAAAACTATAGTACAATGTCACAACCAAGACACTGACATTGATAAAACCTACCTTTTTAAATTTTAATTTTTGATTTTTTTTTTTTAAGAGACAAAGTTTTACTAGGTCACTCTGGCTGGAGTGCGGTGTTGCAATCACAGGTCACTGTAGCCGCAAGCTCCCAGACTCAAGCAATCTTGCCTCAGTATCCTGAGTATCCTGCCTCAGTATCCTGAGTAGCCAGGACTATAGGCATGTACCATGACACCTGGCTAATTAAAAAAAATTTTTTTTTTGTAGAGATGGGGTCTCACTATGTTGTCCAGGCTGGTCTCAAACTCCTGGCCTTAAATGATCCTCCCACACTGATATCTCAAAGCACTGGGGTTATAGGTGCAAGCCATTGTGCTTGGCCCTTCCTTTCTTTTTCAGATTTCTCAAGTTTTATTTGTACTTGTGTAAGTGTGTATTTTGTTCTCTATGATTTTATCACGTGTTGGTTCACACACCCACCACTGCAGTCAAGATCCTGAACAATTCCATCACTGCAAGGATCCTTCATGTTGATCTTTTATAACCACACCAACTTTTCTCCCTCCTGCCATACCTTCTATTCCTAATCTGTTATCCATTTCTATAATTTTGTAATTTCAAGAATGACAAATGGAATTATACAGTCTGTAAGCTTTTGGGATTGGCCTTTTTCATCAGCATAATTTTCTTGAGGTTCATTCAAATTGCTGCATGTATCAATAGTTCATTCCTTTTTATAGCTGAGTAATATTCTCAGCAATAAAAGGTATGTAGGTATGATATATGTATGCACTACTGTTTGTTTAACCCACCTGTTAAATGACATCTGGACTGTTTGCAGCTTTGACTATTACAAAAAAGGCTGCTGTAACAATTTGTGCAAACATAAGTTTTTTTCATTTCTCTGGGATAAACGCCCAAGAGTACACTTACTGTGCTGTATGGGAGTTGTATATTTAGTTTTATAAGAACCTGCCTGTATTAGTTTCCCATTGTTGCTGCAAACTTGATGGCTTAAAGAAAACACAAATTTGTTCTCTTGAAGGTCTAGAGGTCAGAAGTCTGCAATGAGCCTTACAGGGTCAGCAGGGGCTAATTTTTCTTCTGGAGGCTCCAGGGGAGAATCTATTCCTTGCCTCCTTTAGCTTCTAGAGGCTGTTTGTGGTTCCTTTCTCCATGTGTAAAGCCAGGTTTGTAGCGTCTCCTCCTCTCTCTGACCTCCTGCCTTCCTCTTAGAAGGACTCTTGTGATTATATTGCACCTATATATCTACCTAGATAATTCAGAAGAATCCTGTCATCTCAAGATTTTAACTTAATTACATCTACAAAGTCTCTTTGGCCATATAAGGAAACATTTTCAAAGGTATAGGAGATTAGGACATGGACATCTTTGCGGGGGAACGATTCAGCCTCCCACACTGCCAAACTGTTTTCCAGAGTAACCAAACCATTCTACATTTCCACCAGCAATGTACGAGTGATTTTTTTTCCTGCATTTTCACTAGCATTATTTGATGTTGCCACCATTTTTCACTGTAGCCATTCTGATTAGGTGTGTAGTGATATCACATTGTGGTTGGCTCTTATTTGCATTTTCCTGATGGCTAATAACATCAAACATTTTTTCATGCTCTTATTTACCACTGTGTGTCCTTTTCATTGAAATATCCATTCATGGGTTTTGCCCATTTTCTAACAGATTTTTAAAAAACAGAATTTGGAGAATTCTTTACAATTTTAAATACTAGCCTTTTGTCAGGTATGTGATTTGCGAATATTTTCTCCCAGACTGTAGCCTACTTTTAATCCTCTTCACATTATCTTTTGAAAGCAAAAGTTCTTAACTGGATAAAGTTCAATTTATCACATTTTCCTTATATATATCATGCTTTTTTTGTGTCAAGTCTGAGAACTTTTTGCCTAGCGCTAGACCTGAAGTTTTTCTTCAATGTTCGTGTTTCTAAAGTTTTATAGTTTTATGTTTACATGGAAGTCCATAATCAATTTTGAGCTAATCTTTTTAGAAGAAATAGATATTTTTAATAGAAAAAATTAGGTGATATGTGCCGATTTTAATATCTTTTGGGTCCTGAAGACTGTATTGATGATGACACTAGTTTAGTAAGACTGTTAGTTGGTTCCAATGTAGCTATGTACTTTGCAGATAAACTGTGCCTGATGGCAGGTTTTTTTTGTTTTTTTGTTTTTTTTTTTAATGGAGTCCCACTCTGTCACCCAGGCTGGAGTGCAGTGGCACGATCTCGGCTTATTGCAACCTCTGCCCCCCAGCTTCAAGCAATTCTCTGCCTCAGCCTCCCGAGTAGCTGGGACTACAGGTGCACGCCACCATGCCTGGCTAATTTTTGTATTTTTAGTAGAGACGGAGTGTCACCATATTGGCCAAGCTGGTCTCGAACTCCTGACCTTGTGATCTGCCTGCCTTGGCCTCCCAAAGTGCTAATGGCAGGTTTTGACAGCAGAAAGAAATCCAAAATGTTCCTGATTACCCTGGGCATAGTCCTGGGCCCTTTTTCATGTGTACCTGTAACTTTGTAGTTCCTTTCTGAAGAAAACTAATGAAAAAGATTCTGTGACATTTTGAATCTATGACATCCTACTCAATTTGTTTTGCTATGGGCTTGAGTATTTTAACTGATGTCTCATGAGAAAGCTCTGTGAACTGGTTTAATTTTCTTGGTACTGGTTGTTTCAGTACCCAATTCTTCTGGTTTTGAAAGAGGGAAGCGCCCTTTTCAGTGGTTAAGCATCTAAGTTCCATGTCATATTGTTGGACTATGGCTAGAAGGTATTGCTGAGGCATGTGATAGAATGAATTTTGGAAAGGGATCAGGAAGAGATTGTAAAAGCTTAAAGATATTATCTTGAAGGATAAGACAAAAACATAAGGTTTACATATATTAATGCATATCAATATTAATGCTGAATGGTAATAACAGACTGGTAGAGGGAACAATCCGATGCCTTTGACTCCATCCCAGGTTACATAATAAAGAAGTAAACATAAACTTGTATCTTCCTCTGAAATATTCAGGAGCATTCACTGTCATCAATTCAGACAAATTCTTTTTCTGGTTATTTTATATTACAGATTTCATGATGGATTTTACATTCTGCATATGGGAGAAACAAATCCGATAGAATACAATGTATGTACTCTGAGTTTCAAAAAGCCAGTGTGGAAAGTGGAGTGGCTTTTGTAATAAATATAGCAACTGTATTGGTAAAGATAATTATAGAGCAATTCTACCCTTAGCCCTTGAAGATAGATTCCACTGAAATCAATGGAATTACATGCATGGATCAAAGATTAGAATGTTGATTAATTTTCACAGGTCAAATTAAATCAGCCCACAAACTAGAAGCTACATGTGCTGGAAGAGCTGTTTTAAAATACTGTATAGAATCATATCTTTATATTTTTGCAAAAATTATTAGTTTTAAAGAGAATATTTTATACATGTTATTTTGTTGTCAAAAATATGATAAAATAGTATGAATATTATTGCACACATATCTTGAAAACTATGAACGCATAATTTCAAGAACCTGAGTGATGTATCTATTCTCCATAATTGTAGCTTGATTGTAGATCACCAAACAGGAATAAGCCTCCAAAAGTAAAGAAGATACTATTATAGTTAGCATTTTCCTTCAAAGCAAAGAGGGGAATGAAGGCAGAAAACCTCGGTGTTCTTGAGCTAACAGTGAAGTTTCCTCCTTTCACTTGGTCTCAACTTAATGTGCTAGTCGTTCCTCATTCTCAGTCTTAGAGAGAGCACAGAAATATTATATGACATGCAGACTCCTTCATTAGATGGCAGCTCCCTAACACTATGTGTCCAGATTAGGTGGGACCAGATCACACCTTCTAAATATCCTACTTAAGATGTGAATCTAGAGCTAAAGAACCCCAAATAAAATATCCTGTGTGATGTTAATGACTCCACCAGGGTCTCTGCTTTTGTCTTTTTGGATAACTTTATCATATTTTCTGAACTTGCCTCACCATCTTTTGCTTGTAGACATTTCCATGATAGACATACCCTTATAATTTTATTTTTGTATAGTTTCTGCAAGCAGAGTTTGTATGAATGAAGTGGGACTGTGTCCCTGCCCAATGATTGAGTGTGACAAATGTTCACGTTAGCCTTAAAGGGCCCTTCCTATGGCTTTGTGTGGCCATTTGGTTGAGGGCAATGTTTGACTTCCCCGGTCCCTCCTTGCAAATTAGTAGCTCCCTTCTGTGAATTTCCTCAGCACTTTGATTCTCTCTTAGAGATTTTCTGAAGTTACCTTGATATAATAGCCATGTATACACCAGTCATCTTTCTTAGTAGACTGGAAGCTTCTGAAGGGCTCATGCCTTGTCACAGTTACTTTTGCATCCTCACATGGCACCTGATTGGTGCCTAGAGCAGATTGGGCACAGGATAACTGTGGACAGGTCGTGTGTATGTTTTCCGCATATTCTGAAGTCTGAGTGAGGCATGTATGCTACTTAGCTGAGCTGTGTATGTTGTAACATTTTAATGATAAGAATTTTATTAGTCTAGATTATGGCTTTTAGATCAGTGTGTCTGCTATCCTTTTGACTAAATTCTCTGCATTTATGCCTTCGAAAAGAGAAATTCCTATCTTCTGTCTTTGCTCTCTTGTTTTTATTTCTTAGGATACAAAACATGCTAATTGGTGCACTTCTTGCTAATCATTACTTTGTAACTAATCATCAGAGACCTTAAATTGAGAAGAAAATGTGTAAAATTCATGCCCTGAATTTGTTTTGAGGAGGTCACTCGGGTATTTTCCTAAAAACAGAAAATTGCAGTCTTAATCCTTTTATCATTAATATTAGATGGTCCTTAGGATCAACATATTATATAGTGAGCATGAAGAAACAGCATAATATTCCTACAGAGAAATTATCTTACAAAAAAGAGTGCCTCCAGTTTTCATGCACAAGTGTTGTATAAATCCAAAGTATGATTATTATTATTTTATGTTTTTAATTATTATTAAAAATGGGTCTATAAAGCCAGGAAGTTTTATGTTTTCCAGGAAAACAGGAAACAAATCTGGTTTTACTAATCATACCTAGTAGAAAGCTACTAATTTTCTTCCAAAAATAAAATAGAATTGCAAGTGGGTATTTAAAAAATGCATTAAAATGGCAATGTGCGCATAATTTAAATGAGCCAAGAGCCTGCTAATTATTCTGGCATGTGTTCAGTTACTTTTGTACTATTTCTCCTCTAATGTAAACAAGAGAATTCCTCCTAATTGCCCAAAATAGCTTTTAGTAGGTATTGGTTTTTTCTATTTTTGTATAAAAACTACAGTTTGCATGTTTAATAACTAGACACAAAGTGTGATTATTTAGAATTTTTCTCTAAAAAGAATACACTATTACCTATATTTTTCAGCCTTTAAAATCAAATTAAGGTGCTAATTAAGCTATTAATTTACTAGAGCAGAAAATAACTATACAATGTGTATCTGGAGGAATAAATGGCCTCATGTGCATCCAAATGAGGTAAAAGTGGGCTCAGA